>NC_000007.14:131256779-131881779 GCF_000001405.40 Homo sapiens | reverse complement strand
TAAGGCTTCCCTGGGAATGGGCATTTCAACCAGCCAGAGGGAAAAAGGACATAGAGAAGACAGGGAGAGGTTTTGACAGGCCAGGTGTGGAGGGGGCATTTATCATTTCTGTTCATGTTCTATGATTAGATCTCAGACCCATGGCCTGATCTAACATCAGAGGAGGGAAATTATTCTAGTTGTATGCCCTGGAAGAAGAGGACATGAGTTTTGATGGACAGGCAGCAGTCTCCACCAAATTTTATTACCTTGAGTCAGACTCCAAATTTCAGTGTCATAAACAATTATTGAGCACCTACTGTGTGCCAGGCACCATACAAGGCACTAGAGACCCAATGATGAATAAAGCACAGTCCCTGCCCTTGAGAGGTTCATATGCAGGAGAGGTCCTCACTGTGGGCAGTGACTGAAACCTACATCACAGGATTTGGGAATGAGAAAATATAGCCAACCCAGGCCCCTCCTACGCTCTGCATTTGCAACAAAGAAAATAATAAGGGAATTGTGCTCCATGGGCATGCAAATGAGGACTAATGAAGGTCGCAGGTGATAAATTGGTGCATAGATGTGCAGGTAGGGTGCCCCAGACCAGGTATGCATGTGTTTGAATGTGTGCATGTGTGTGTGAGCACATAGGCATGTGCTGGAGTATATGGGTGTGTGTGAAAGAAAGAGAGGATTAAATCTTGTTTAGGACTAGCCAGCATCTTCAACTAACATGATCATTTCCTCTCTATTCTGAATTCGAAAGGACTGCATTATCCTGGTCTAGAAGTTTAAGTACAGTAGCTGCAAATGAACTTTATTCCTCCTTTTATAATAATATTCTTTCTTATTCTTAGATTTTCCCTCAGGATGATTTAATTCCATTCCACAAAGTTTAATAAAAATGTATCCCATCACCTTCTAACCCAAGGTCTCAGCCTCTCCTTTTCCCTCAATTCTTCAACGCAGTGGTCTAAGTGGAGCACAGTGACCAGTCATCCAGGTACAAGAAGAACATCCTGGCCTCCAAGGGAGCTGAAAGGAGAGCCCTCTGACCTAGTGTATTCTCAAAGACCAGACACACAGCCCTCCCTGGCAAAGAGTTCCCAGCCCAGTTCCCAGCAGAACTGGCTGGGATAGAACCATTTCCATGGAGCAGGCAAGCAGACAGCAGTTGGTGGTTTTCTGTCCAGAAACAGAAGATGCTAAGGTGTAGGAAGATAGGAAGGAAAGGCCCAAGTAAATGGAGAATATTGCACACCTTAGCAAAATCAGGAAAGTTGGACATCCTGAGATGAGGAGGGGGCAGCAGACCTGGTCTGGAGAAGCCTGCAGAGGGACAACCAAAGGGGTAGTTAGAAGCTGATGGGTCCATGAGCTTCCAGCATTTTAGGCAGACAGCAAGATCTGAGGCATTTGGTTCCAAAGCTGGAGTGGAGCCCAGGAGGAGCACTTCGCAACTACAGGCCCCCCAGGGAGATGCTGTGTTCACCATCTCCTACAGTCACCTCCAGGTAGCTCCATTCTGTCCCTGGGAGAAGAGGAGTACTGCGTAGGCTCCAGCCTGCACAATCTGGAGTGGCCACCACTTACCCCTTCTGCAAGGAAGAACCTTGCTGGTCAGCATCACACCAGCCTGCAGCCCTCCTCCTGCTCCCAGGCTGAGGATCAGAGAAGTGATGGGACAAGGGCACAGCCACCCTTCAGGGATCAACCAGGTGGTGCCAAACTTGCCCTGAGTCTTGCTGCAGTGGGAGAAAGAGAGAAATCCATAGTCATAGTAAGGACAATATACAAGCAATCATGATGATTCTTCCACCTGCACAGAGCTTTATATTTAGCAAGGTCCCTTCCTTTCTGTTGTCCCCATCCATGGCCCGGGGTGGAGACATTAGGAAGGCAGGAAGAACCCCCTGCTCCATCCTTCATCTGGGGGATCACCCCCTCTGGCAGAAGGAAATAGGCAGCACAGAGCCTGGCCCCGGTTTCCACAACTTGCACTGGTGGATGATGTGCAGCTGCGTCCTTACAATTTGCTGGCGTGAGCACTATCCATGATGGCCCCTGCCTTGGGAGGAGACACTGTCAAGGCCCCCTGGTGCCAGAGGCATCCTCAGAGGACATTCAGCCACTGCCTCTGCCTCTGGGAAAGACAGGCAGCCCCTGAGTCATTGCGGGCAGATGGGAGCCTGTCCTATTTTTTCAAAATATCCACAAGACATGGCACCATCTGCTTAGGTAGTCAAATGTGTATGATGATCTGACAAGGCCAAATAGGAAACTGTTATAGTACCATTTATGGCTGGGATCAGCAATCTGTGAGAATGAAAGAATCCCTTTTATCTGAACAGCACTTTTTAGTTTACAAGGTACTTTCTGAGGAGCTTTCTAGTTTTCTAAAGACTTACCTGTGACACTTCATAAAGGAGCACTACTTTTTAAATATGGACCTTATCGCTAAGAATGAATGAGTAGTCTTGGATGTGACCTGGGTGTTTGTAGTTTTAAAAAGGCCCACAGATGATTCTGATGCACAGCCAGAAGGTGTGGCATCATCTCCTTACTCCTCATGGCTGCCCTGAAAGATAGGACATCCCCTGGTAGGCCTGATTTGCAGATGAGAAAACTGAGGCTCAGGACACTGAAGATGCTTGTCCAGGGAAACATCATTAGCTAAGACCCCAGTCCAGGTCTTCTGAGCACTGGTCAGTGCTCCTTCATCTCCTCTTACTGTCCATCATCAGCAGGCTGGAAGGAAGCTCCTCTGTTCAAAAACATACCTCCAAGGAGGGTGGGACCTCTGAGTCATCCACGTGCTAATTAATTTAACATGTTTTGTCATGTCAGCCATCAAGCTTTACATCATTGTGAGGGAAAGAAAGGAGGTAACCCTCTTAAACCATGAGCAATGTCAACTGAAGACCAGCCCCATCCAAGTGGTACGTGCATGTTGAAACTGTTTAAGGTAGTTTCCAGACTTTCTTGGTAATAAAAACCACCTGAGACACTCAAACTGCAAATTTTTTTTCTTAAAAATATTTTTAGAAATTTTTTTTAAAAGACTGGATCAGGATCTCCAGCAGAAGGGATGAAGAAAACTACAGCTCTAATGGGTGACTTGATGATTCCTGTCCTCACAGAAGTTTGGGGGAAATTGCTCCAGGACAGTGGTTCTCAACAGGGGAAGGTGGTTGCTGAAGCATGGCAGGGCTCCAACTCAGCACTCTCTTCTTAAAAGTTGTCCTTGAGTCCTTTCTGGGTGGCAAGAAGATCCATCTAAAGTAGGGTTTCTCAATCTCAGCACTACTGACATTTAGGCAGGTGAATTCCTTGTCATGGGGTACTGTCCTGTGCGTTGGAGGGTGTGCAGCTGCAGCCCTGGCCTCTCTCACCAGATGCCAGCAGCACCGCCTATTCAGTTGTGACAACCAAAAATATTTTCAGATGTTGCCACATGGCCTGGTGGGCAAAGTCGTCCCCTGTGGAAAACAGATGGAGTCTAGTAGAAAGGATGGTCTAGTGGAAAGGATGGGGGCTCAGGTGTAGAGACCCCTGGTGGTCTCAGGTCAGTTCTGCTATGACCCTCCTTGTGTGATGAGGCTGTACACACGACTCCCTAAGGCCTCAATTCCTTCATCTGCAAAAAAAGGGACAAAGTCTGTCTTGCAGCAGTGTTGTAAAGATAGATTCTGAAGCAGAATGCAAGAGTTCTAACTTCCTTAGTAAAAGGCACCTAAAGGTGGGGAGAATTAGTCACAGTTCCGCTAAAGCTTCTGGGATTAATCCAACAATTAACCCCGTAGAGGCTGCTTCCTCGACTCTGCCACCAAAGCAGATGCCCACCTGAGCAACCATTCTGGAATCAGCTTATGGCATTGACTTTCTCTGCCACTCTGTGGGTCATCTCTACTGGCCCTAATTTCCCTCTACTCTTCCCTGCAAAGAGGGAGAGGGGGAGAGCAAGAAAGAACCACACAGCCCTTCATAAACAAGTCATTGGAGGTTAGGGCATCCTCCACGACCAGAGTGGTATGCGCATGTTGAAGTGATCTGTGCGTGTTGAAGTGGAATGTGCATGTTGAAGTGGTCCGTGCATGATGAAGTGGTCTGTGCATGTTTAATTGGTCTGTGCATGTTGAAGTGGTCCGTGCATGTTGAGGTGGTCCATGCATGTTAAAGTGGTATGCGCATGTTGAAATGGTATAAGCATGTTGAAATAGTATGAGCATGCTGAAGTGGTCCATGCATGCTGAAGTGATACGTGCATGTTGAAATGGTATGAGCATGTTGAAGTGGTCCATGCGTGTTGAAGTGGTATGCACATGTTGAAATGGTATGAGCATGTTGAAGTGGTCCATGCATGTTGAAGTGTCTGTGCATGTTGACGTGGCATGTGCATTTGAAGTGGTACGTGCATGTTGACTTGGTCCATGCATGTTGAAGTGCTCTGTGAATGTTGGAGTGGTATGCACACGTTGACATGGTCCATGCATGTTGAAGTGGTAGGTGCACGTTGAAGTGGTATGTGCATGTTGACATGATAGGTGCATGTTGAAATGGCCGTGTATGTTGAAGTGGAATGTGCATGTTGAAGTGGCCTGTGCATGTTGAAGTGGTCGTGCATGTTGAAGTGATATGCAAATGTTGAAGTGGTCCATGCATGTTGAAGTGGTCCATCCGTGTTGAAGTGGTCTGTGCATGTTGAAGTGCTATGCACATGTTGAAGTGGTATGCACGTGTTGAAGTGGTAGGTGCAAGTTGAAATGGTCGCACATGTTGAAGTGGTATGTGCATGTTGAAGTGATATGCACATGTTGAAGTGGGCCACGCATGTTGAAGTGGTATGCACATGTTGAAGTGTTCCACGCAGGTTAAAGTGGTCTGTGCATGTTGAAGTGATATGCACATGTTGAAGTGATATGCGCATGTTAAAGTGGTCCATGCATGTTGAAGTAGTCTGTGCATGTTGAAGTGGTATGCACATGTTGATGTGGCCCATGCATGTTGAAGTGGTCTATGAACGTTGAAGTGGTTTGTGCATGTTGAAGTGGGCCATGCATGTTGATGTGGTCCATGAATGTTGAAGTGGTCTGTGCATGTTGAAGTGGTATGCACAAGTTGACATGGTCAGTGCATGTTGAAGTGGTAGGTGCATGTTGAAGTGGTCTATGCATGTTGAAGTGATATGCACATGTTGACATGGCCTGTGCATGTTGAAGTGGTAGGTGCATGTTGAAGTGATATGCGCATGTTGACATGGTAGGTGCATGTTGAAATGGCCATGCATTTTGAAGTGGAATGCACATGTTGAAGTGGTCCATGCATGTTGAAGTGGTATGAGCATGTTGAAGTGATACGTGCATGTTGAAATGGTCCATGCATGTTGAAGTGGAATGCACATGTTGAAGTAGTCTGTGCATGTTGAAGTGGCATATGTATGTTGAAGTGCTATGCACATGTTGAAGTGGTCCATACATGTTGAAGTGATATGTGCATGTTGATGTGGTAGGTGCATGTTCAAATGGCCATGCATGTTGAAGTGGAATGCGCATGTTGAAGTGGTCCATGCACGTTGAAGTGGAATGTGCATGTTGAAGTGGTCCATGCATGTTGAAGTGGTATAAGCATGTTGAAGTGCTATGTGCATGTTGAAGTGGTCCACGCATGTTGAAGTGTTCTGTGCATGTTGAAGTGATATGCCCATGTTGACATAATCCATGCATGTTGAAGTGGTATGTGCATGCTGACATGGTCCATGCATGTTGAAGTGATAGGTGCATGTTGAAGTGGTATGTGCATGTTGACGTGGTAGGTGCATGTTGAAATGGCCATGCATGTTGAAGTGGAATGCACATGTTGAAGTTGTCAGTGCATGATGAAGTGGTCTGTGCATGTTGAAGTGGTATGGGCATGTTGAAGTGGTATGCGCATGTTGAAGTGGTCTGTGCATTCTCACTTTCATCTCCAAAGCCCTTTCATAGAGCTTAACAACAGCACACAGGGTAAACCTCCAATAAAAATTCTTTGTAAACATATGTTTTCAGCTCCAGGTAATAATACCTTCCATGCTTGTACTAGAGTGATAAAAAGGCATCTAGACAGAGGTGTACTTTCCTGGCGTTAAATAATCAGCATTTCAGTAGAGCCTGGTTAGAGGTTTGATGCTTTTCTGGAGACAGTACCTGGGGACCAGGCTTTCCTTAATAGGTTAAGAGCTACATAGTACACAAGTGACCCTCAATTGATACAGGGTGTATAAAGACAGAGCTTGTCCTAATAACAGTCTTAACTTACATCAATCATGCCATGGACCAGACTCAAGTATGAGTGCTTCACCCACTTACTTCTCACAACGATGCTATAAAATTGGTACTGTTGTTATCACCGTTGTAGATGAGGAAACTGAGGCACAGAGAGGTTAAGCATAAGGAGGAAGGATATGTCCATAGCCAGTGAGTGGCTAAAAAGCAGTCAAAGCCAAGGAGTCCAGGCATCTGAAGGAGAAGAACAGAGTCATGTTAATTTGAGTTTCAGCCCCTCCCCACTCCTACTAAACTGAACATACAGAATGTACCCACTCATGTTAATCAAGCATTCCAAAAATGAGAAGTTCTGTGGACGAGTGGAAAGAACATGAGTTTGGAAGTCAAGTTAATTCCTCCATCTGTATGACCCTGCATAAGTTACTTAACTTCTTTATTAAGCCCTAGTTTATTCAACTGTAAAAATGTGAACACACCTCACACAATTATTTTAAGGGAAATAAAATGAGGTAGTGTTCATCATACAACACCTGGCACAGAGCTGGCCACTTGGCAGTTCCTTGGTAAAAGTTTCTTCTCTTCCCTCTTCCTCACTTCTTGTTGAAGACCTTGTCATTGACTCCTGGACAGTGAGATAAATCCTTCTCTCATGTCAGAAATCATCCCCCAATCCAGGGGTTTAGTGGAAGACAAACTGGTATCTACACTTGCTCAAACTCAGGTTGACTGACACACACAACAAGGGGCTTATTATCCTCTGTGTTAAATTTGGCCCCACATCCTTCTTTTAACCTATATTTGAGGATCTACCATACGCCAGAATGTTCTAAGCCATGGGATACATCAGTGAACAAAACAAAAATGGGTCACCTTGCAGGGCATCCTTTCTAAACATGGCCACTGGTTACTGTCTACAGGGTCAGATTTACATGTGTTCTATTCCAAGGACTATTCAGGTCATATGGTGTGACTGGAGGGGACTTGATAACCACCCTCCAAAGCCTGATTACCACCCTAGGAGTAATTCTCTTGGTTTGGGGATGGCATTCTATGGCATTGCCTCAAGTTAAGCCATCATCAGTCATTAACCTGTGGGAGTGAATTTATCCAAAGGATCCAGGTTCACACTGTATCTCCCCATGCTCATCCTTTCAGTTTCTAGATCTAGTGATTCTCTGAGCTCTGCGGTGTAGCTCCTGCACAGCAAAGTGCCTATTTCACCATTTTCTATCATATGAGGTGGGGAGGAGATCAGAAGAGGGGACAGAATGCAGAAATTTCTGCATTCCTACTTTGAAACAGGTCTGTGATTTGTCACTCCTCTGCCTCAGTCTCATTCCTATTCCTGAAACTGTGCAAGAGCTTGGGCAGAGGAGTCGTCCTATTGCTGTGAAACAGATATTAAGTTTTAGAAACCAGTCTTCTTTGGAAAACTCCATGCCTCGCTCTGCTGTCTCCGGATGTCATGGATACAGAGAAGAGTCATTCTTTGCCTTGGGGAGAGAGAGAAATTGAATCTAGAAACATCACATGGATCATCTTAGCAGCATCTACTGTATTAAAAAAGAAAGAAAAAAACACCCCACCAAAGAGGCACAGCCAAATTAATTGTTTTCCTGATTAACAAAACACAATTAAGCCCCAAATGCTGCCGCTTGGGGGAAGGTCATTTGCAGTTTTTTTCCAGGGACCGTTCTGGCCACAGAGCAATGACAACTTCATTCTGATCCCTGCAAGAGGGGCCGAGAGAGAAATAATGCCACAAACTCATTATGACCGTGCTGTCTAATTCCTCTCCAGGGAAGCCAGACCCCACATCAGCTCGAATGTGGGATACAAAGGCAGACAGGAATGTTGTCACTAAACAGCAGTGACAGTAGCTTCAAAGGACCGTGTGCAAACTAGGGTGATGAGGGGAGAGGGTGAGGGTAGCAGAAGCCATGGGTAAGACTGTTGGTTCCTGCAGGGCAGGGGTCCTAATAGTCCAATGGCCTAGAACTGCTCCTTGTGGAATCAAGCTAGCCTCTCAATGCACAGTTATGGAATTGGGAAGGAAAGAAAGGAGGAGGGATGGAGGCAAGCAGAGAGGAAGGAAGGAAGTTTATAATTGAGGTGACTTTATGAAACTGCATACTGGAGAACTGAAGCATAATTCCCAGTTTGTTTGTTTGTTTGTTTGTTTGTTTTTGAGACAGGGGTCTCACTCCCATCACCCAGGCTGAAGTGCAGTGGTATGATCAGAGCTCACTGCAGCCTCAACCTACCAGGCTCAGGTGATCCTCCCACCTCAGCCTCTCCAGTAGTTGGGACCAGTAGTTGGTGCAGATGCATGCACCACCACATCGGGCTAAGTTTTTGTATTCTTAGTAGAGATGGGGTTTTGCCATGTTGGCCAGGTTGGTCTTGAATTCCTGGGCTCAGGGGCATCCATCCACCTCGGCCTCCCAAAGTGCTGGGTTTACAGACATGAACAACCATGCCCAGCCCATAATTCCAGTTTTTTGTTTTGGGGGGTTTTTTTGTTTGTTTTTTGTTTTTTTGAGACAAGAGTCTTCCTCTGTCACCCAGGCTGGAGTGCAGTGGCAAATCTCAGCTCATTGCAGTCTCTGCCTCCCAGGTTCAAATGATGCTTGTGCCTCAGCCTCCCCAGTAGCTGAGACTACAGGTGTGCACCACCACACTCGGCTAACTTTTGTATTTTTTAGTAGAGACGGGGTTCCACTGTGTTGGTCAGGCTGATCTCAAACTTCTGGCCTCAAGTCATCTGCCTGCCTTGGCCTCCCAAAGTGCTGGGATTACAGGTGTGAGCCCCCGCACCAGGCATAATTCCCAGTTTTGAAGGTACAGTAATAAGAGTAAGAATGCCTCCCATGGTCACATGCCTCCAGTATTCCAGACCCCCTGCTGAATGCTTGCCATCCATAGCCTCGTTTCACCTTCCCAACAATCCTGCCCATTTTACATATAAGCAAATTCATGAAAGTTGAGTAACTTGTCCTAGGTCACAGCCAATAAGTAGAGTTGCACCCACATCTCTCCAACTCATATTGTCCGCCGCAGAGTCTTAGAGGCAATTTTCTCTGAAGCCACTCACCTGGGGTAGCACTAACAGTCACTGAGGCAGGGCTGAAGGCAGTGTGGCCCACCACTCCCTTCTGCATCACCAGCCCCTCTCTGCCAGTCAAGAGCTTCTGCATCACCACCCCCTCTCTGCCAGTCAAGGGCTTCCAGGGAGACACATCAAAGCAATGGTGGAACCCCTGACCTTAGGATAAAATGTCCTGTAGAGTCACCTCGCTGTCCACTCTCATGTCTCTAATGCTGAAGGTGCCTGTCTACCCATACCATGAAGCTGTGGGGTACAAGGCAGGGGAGATGGGGGAGGGATGAGGGTGGCAGATGGAGCTCAGGTCTTCAATCAGAGACAACCAGGCAGTACCCTAGTTCCACAAGCCTAGACAAGTCCTGACCTTTCTACCACCGTTCTTCATTGGTAAACCTCTCTAAGTCATTGCAAAGATTAGAGGTAAGTTATATAAAGCACTTGGCACATACAGGCTCTCAATAAGGAAGGGCTAGGATGGTGATTAGATGAAGATGTAACCAAAAGTTCAAGACATGTCCGGAACAATTTGTCTTCATCCAGAAGGAATGGGTGGAGGCAAAGCTCAAGCTACACAAACAGCAGGAACCTGCTTCCCTCTGGTGTCTTCCCTCTCCCACCACCTCCTCCACAGACAGCTGCCATTCAAGGGAACTCCCAGAAAGGCCAAAGGGTCTTGCCAAGGGGTCTTGTTAGAAGCCACCCTCCCATAGACTCTATGGCCTGGGGATCATTTTGTGTAGTGTCACTGACATGGTTTGGCTGTGTCCCCACCCAAATCTCATCTTGAATTGTACACCCCATAATTCCCACATGTTGTGGGAGGGACTCAGTAGGAGTTAATTGAATTAGGGGGGTGGTTTCCCCATACTGTTCTCATGGTAGTTATAGGTTTCCCCTTTCTCTTGGCTCTCATTCTCTCTTGCCTGCCACCATGTAAGACATGCCTTTTGCCTTCTACCATGATTGTGAGGCCTCCCCAGCAACGTGGAACTGTGAGTCCATTAAACCTCTTTTTCTTTATCAATTGCCCAGTCTCAGGTATGTCTTTATCAGCAGCATGAAAACGGGCTAATATAGTGACCAGTCTATTTCTTTGCCACATATGGAGGAGTCTAGGCATTGTTTAGTTGAGATCCCAGGAAACACTGTGCTGGATGAACGTCTTGACATTTTCTTACTTGATGCCTCAGTCTCCCCTCATGAAAAGTGAAGATCATTATCTCCATCAATTTCTCTCCATTCATTGATATTGTGAATATACAGGAGAAGACTCTGGAAATATTCCAAGAACCATTAGAAAGCTGGTAGGCCCGTAGGAAGTCTTGGAGAAAGACTTCCCTCCTTGGAGGAGGAGAATGTCTCTGTTCTGAGGGCTCAGTGGGGGAGATCCCAGCCTCGAGTTCCCTCTGTACCATTGCATCAATGCACTGCATAGCCCCAATTTTCCCCCCAAATCTCAAACAGCCTGTCTACTGAATAAACCAGGTGAGTGAGTACAAACACGCTCTAGAAACAGGCTGCCAGCTGGTATATCATTGCCACTGTCAGTTCCAACCAGGACCCCGAGCAGAGGGGAAGGAGCATCACAATGGGATGTGCAGGCATTTCCTGCCACACAGGAACACAGGCCACTGCGGCCTCCTACCATCGGCCACACTCTGCCTTTATTACTGTCTGGTGCCTTGTGTCTTGGACCAGTACTTCCTGCAAGCAGGAGCCCAACATGGGCTGTATCTAGGAGCCACAGACTCAGGAAGTCCAGGTCAAGGAAGGACCCAACGAAGGGAGGTGAATGGCCCCAAACCATGCGTCAGCCTTGCAGTGGTGAAATGATATGAGACAAGGGGACCACCTGTCCAGTGGTATCCCGGGAGCCACAAGATGGGAGAACCTGGTCTCACCTCCATTAGTGTCTTAGGAGCCTGGGCAGCAGGGTTTTTTCTGCCAGGCCCTTCTTTCTCAGAAGCCAGGCTGGGGGCTGCTCAGCTGAGATTCCAGATCCTTCAAGAGTCAAGGCCGCCTTGCTTGGATTCTTTATTGAACTCACTCACTTCTCCCTGAGGCTCAGTGTGGACCAGACATCATGTCCCGCCCCCTCACTGTGCCCCCTCTGCTCACCCTGCCTGACTGTAAAGAGAGACTCTCCTCCTGGTGACCTCTAACCTCCTCCCAGGGAGCATGCCCACTCTTTGTGCTCTGAGATGAGGGGCCACAGTTACTCCTCAGGGGAGGAGACACAAGTTACACTCCAGAAATAATAGGTCTTCTTGTCCATGGAGGTTTATGTACTTTACAGAGTACATTTCACATCCACTCTCTCATTTAATTTGTGCATTCAATTAGCAGATATTTATTGAGGGCATATGACATGCTGAGTGCTGCCCTAAGCAATGAGCATGCAGTGGAGAACATGATAGATGAAGACCCCATTCTCACAGGGCTTAGGCTGAGAGACAGGCAACAAACAAGGAAAGGAACAAGATACTTTTAGGTAACGATAAGAGAGCCCAAGAAGCCAGTTATGGTAAAGGCAAATTTTGTGATTCTATTGTTTTTTTGTGATTCTATTTTTTATGTGTGTGATTTTATTTTTTGTGTGTGTGATTCTATTGTTGGAGGGGGGCAGGTGGTGCCTCTATAGATAGGGTGGTCAAGACCTGTCTAAGCAGGCGACATTCATGAGCAGAGCCCTAAATGATGAAAGGAGCCAACTCTGATCTCTGGGAAACTACGCAGATGGGAAACAGCAAGCATTAAGATTCTGGGGCAGAAATGAACTTGGAATGTTTTCAGGACAATGACAGGCTGCTGTGGGTGACAGTGGAGGAGGGGAAGGGAGGGGAGGGGGGAGTTCAGTGGTGTCCAGAGCCCATGGATCTGGGAAGCAGACAGAGCAGACCCGACCCCCTGTGGTTGTGTCTGTTTATCAGGTGAGAAATGTGAAGGGGGTCCAGTCACTTGGCTGTATTAATTTGACATTGGAGCTTCCACTTGCACACAGTTCTCCAGACTCTGGGTCTTGTGCACTCTCCTGAACCAGCTGCCTCCATGGAGCATGGCTGTCAGGGAGGAGCTCATCTGTCTCCACCCTTTTGAGGCAGAAGCCACTCCCTCCATGTTCACACCACTGGGTACTATCTGTCCCTCTGACCTCTGAGGATTTGCATTCATTCATTCACTCAATAAATATTTGTTGAAGACACACTATGTGTCAGGGCTCTTTCTAGCAGCTGGAGATACAGCAGTGAATAAAACAGACAAAATCTCTCCCCCCACAATGGAGCTAACATTTAAGTAAGGGGAGATAGAAACCAAGTACATAGATATTTGTAAAATATGTTAAATGGTGAAAAGTGCTATGGAGAAAAATAAGAAGGAAAAAGAAGAAAGAAAACACAGGGTGTTGGGGTTCAACTTAATAGGAGAAGACCTCATGGAGGTGATGTCTGCACGAAGAGCTAAAGAAAGAGAGAAAGGAGCCACACAGCTCCCTAGGGGAAGAGCATTCCTGGCAGAGGAAACAGCAAATGCAATGCCCTGAGTAGGGAGACTGTTGAGGAGTTTGAGGAACTCTGATGGTATGAGATAGATAGATAGAGAAAGAAAGAAAGAAAGAAAGAAAGAAAGAAAGAAAGAAAGAAAGAAAGAAAGAAAGAAAGAAAGAAAGAAAGAGAAAGAAAGAAAGAAAGAAAGAAAGAAAGAAAGAAAGAAAATAGATAGATGATAGATAGATAGATAGATAGATAGATAGATAGATAGATAGATAGATAATAGAGATAGATTAGATAGAAAGATGATTAGATAGATAGATAAACAATGTTTGGATAGGTAGACAGGCAGACAGACAGACAGATGGATGGGCGGATTGACGGATGGATAGATAGATAGATAGATAGATAGATAGATAGATAGACAGACAGACAGATAGATAGATGATAGATAGATAGATAGATAGACAGATGAGTTTTCATCCATGGTTCCTGGCTCAACTCTCATAGCCCTTGTTGTAATGTTGGGCACTTTAAGCCAGCTTTAGAAAACAATCACAAATACATACACACACACACACACACACACACACACACACACACACACACACCCCTTCTCCTGTCCCCTTTCACCTGCTCCTTCTTCTCCCCAGGGCTGGAATTTTCCCCTACCTTTCTGTCTTGGAGCTGGCAATAAAAAATTCTCTGACCTACCTTGTCTGATTGCAGACCTTCATTTCAGAAGGGGTCCTGCCCCACATCCTGAAGCTAAGAGGAATCTGGACAGGCCTCACTGGGTTTCCCCACTCAGTCTATTCGTATTAGATCACACCCTTTTTCTACAATCATATTTCTACATGGTTGTGAATCATGCCTATCCAATGAAGTCTATATAAAAGGCCTAAGAGAACAGGGTTGGGGAGGCTTCCTGATAGCTGAACACATGGAGGTTCTTGGAGGCTGGCACTCCCAGACAGGGCGTGGAAGCTCTATGCCCCTTCCCCCACACCTCTCCCTGTGCATCTCTTCATCTGTATCCTTTGCAATATCCTTTATAATAAACCAGTAAATGTAAGTGTTTCCCTGAGTTCTGTGAGCTGCTCTAGAAATTAGCCCCCAAGGTGGAGGATCCCTGATTTATAGTCAGTCGGTCAGAAGCACAGGTAAAACAACCTGTGCAATTCACACTGAAAGTTGTTGGGGGAGCAGTCTTGGGGACTGAGCTCTCACGCATGGGATCTGACGCTATCTCTAGGTAGATAGCATCAGAATGGTGTTGGATTGGAGGACACCCCGCTGGTGCCACTGCAGGATTGCTTGCTTGCTTGTTGGTGGGAAGAAATCCCCATCCACTTGGTCACAGAAGGCTTCTGTTCATTGTTGTTGAGTGAAAGAATGCAAAAAAAAGACCTTGGAGTGTGCTTTTTCCACTCAAAGAAACACAGCAAGGAGGCAGTGTAGCTGGGGAGGAATAAGCAAGGGAAGAGACACTGGGGACCTGGAGCGTGCCGCACCACATCCCCTCCAGCCCAGGCTCCAGTCCCATGGAGGAAGGACCCTGCAGATAACACTGACTCCACATGCTCCTCACCGATCCAGGGCTCACTATCCAAAGACCTCGGCTGCACAGAGAACGTCTGAGAGCTAGATTTGGAGTAGGCAAAGTTCCCAGGGAAGAAAACATGGAGGTTTTAACAGGAAATGACATAAAGCGAAGAACTCCAGACTCTCAGCTAGAGCTACGTTGCAAGAGTGAAAAAGCATCACAGGCCTCTCAGCTTCATTTTAGCTCTCCACATATTTTACGCGTTAAATAACAGCCAGAACTTAATGAAAGCTAGTTACATAAATTTGGAGAAAACAGCAACAAAGCACTTCTCATAACACAAGACATCAGCTCTTTTATTGTTTCATTGCTCTTGGCATGAAAGTGAGTTACTGAGAGCAGGTACTTCAGAAGGATACATAATTTTTGTATTTTTCACCTTACCATCAAGAGTACTGACTCAATAGATCATTTGCTGTTAACAAAAAAATGACCCATGTCGAATCTCCTTTTTTCCCTGTTGCCTTTTTTTTTAACTAATTCAACACTCATCAAGTGACAGAGTGATGCTCACCTTTATTCACAGCTGTTGAAAACAGACTGCTGCTAGATTCTAGACTCTTAAAGGTACCACCTAGAAAGTTATACAAGGCTTTGTGCAGTGTAGAAGAAGGTCAAAGTCCATTGTAATGAACTCCAAGGAGATGTAGCCATATGTGGTGAGGCCACAGTGGAGCAGTACAGCCTTGTTGCTAAAATCTATGGTCTGGACCTGGTGCGGTGGCTCACGCCTGTAATCCCAGCACTTTGGGTGGCCGAGGCGGGCGGATCACCTGAGGTTGGGAGTTCAAAACCAGCCTGATCAACAAGGAGAAACCCCACCTCTACTAAAAAATACAAAAAATTAGCCGGACGTGATGGTGCCTGCCTATAATCCCAGCTACTTGGGAGGCTGAGGAAGGAGAGTCAATTGAACCTGGGAAGTGGAAATTTTGGTGAGCCAAGATCACGCCATTGCACTCCAGCCTGGGCAACAAGAGAAAAACTCTGTCTCAAAAAAAAAAAAAAAGAAAGAAAGAAAGTTAAAAGAAAAGAAAAGAAAAAGAAACCTATGGTCTGGAGTTGGACATCTTGGGCTCAAATCCCAGTTCTACTACTTACAGTTTGAGTTTCAACCATGCAAAAGCATCTTATGCAAAGTGACTTCATTCTAGCTCTTCAGAGATTTTATGCATCAAACTACAGCCAGATCGTAATGAAAGTTGTCAACCTAGGACAAGCATCTTAACGCAAGCCTCAGTTTTCTCATCCACAAAATGGGTATAGCAATGTTATCTACCTCAGAGAAGGGTTGAGATGTTAAACAAAAGAACCATTGAAAAAAATTTGCATGGAAACTGCTGTATGAAAGTAAGTTACCACCATTAGATTTTTATTAAAATACTGGAAATGGGTGGGCTAATCAGCTAGAATTGGGCATGTTTGTGGTTATAATGAAATCCAGGGACATGGTCAGTGAACTAAGCATCATCACAAAATGTTATAAAATTGGCTTCTGCACCTAGGCCTCCTATAGCATCACTTACCAAGAGCTGCCTCAGTCATTATCTTGCCCTGAGCCCCCTCCCAATCCCTCCTCTGTGAAACAGGTTAGACTCCATGCCCTACGAGGTCCCTTCTGGCTCTGTTGCGTGTCTCTAAACAGAGCTGGAACCACATGCGGGGAAGGATGACTACAGGAGGGCCTACACTGTCTGCCCTTTCCTGGAAGAGAAAACAACGCCCTCTTGCAGTTGATCACCTTACCCTTGGCTGGCCAATGTTCCTCAGATTCACATTCTTCCCTTCTGTGTGAGGCTGCCCCAGTTTTCCTTCGTAGGAAGTGAGGAGCTAGGATTATGAGATGAGGACCTCGCACATGTACACACACATATACATTCATGGGCACATGTGCTCACACACACACCCCCCTCTTGTGCCTGATGCCTCAGTTGCATAGAACAGGATGATTTAAGTCCTCTCTGGTGGCAGCATCTGCACCAGCTGCTGTATCCAGTGGAAGATGCTGTTAAATCTACCACAAATTGTCTAGAGATGGAGAACATCTGGATTCCTGGCAGGAAGATGAGAGAGAAAGCAGTTCTACTCCACATCCTACCCCTTGCTTGAAGTGATTCTCTTGCTCAGTGTTCTCCAATCCAGACACTTTGGCCAAATAGGCTGGTGCATGGGCCCAGCTGCAATGAGGCCTGGGAGTGTGAGGCCCGGGCCCGTGAGTAGCAGAAAATCTGGGATGAACTGCTCACTCAGCAAGGTAGAATCCAGAGGCTGTGCTTGCTGGCGGAGTCCTGGACTCCATCTCACTGTCATTTCTACCAACCTCCCCATGCCTCAGTTTCCCTAGTTGGGTTTCACACCAGCTGCTCAAGCAGTACGATGTGAAGTATGAAGATGATTCAGAGAACCAATTCCAAACCTCCAGAGGAGATCAGAACCTGCCATTTGAGTGCCTTGGTACCCAAGCTAATCTACCACATTTGGCTCCAGGCTTCAAATACAAACAGCTCCCCAGGGCGCTCTGCTCATCACTCCTCCAGGGCACCCTTGGATGGAACTTCAGACCTTTTCTGAAAAGTATGCCTGGCAGCTTCTTCCATGATGACCTTCCCAGTCCAGAACCTGCGGGATCCCCTGCTTGGAAGAGACCCACTTCCACTCCCCATTTCCCAGGCATGCCAGGGACCAGAGGGGGCTCTACCATATAAGCTGATGAATCTCCTAGTTCTGCTCCCTTGCTTAATAAACAAACATTTCTTCCTTGTTTCTCCATGTCCACTGCAGCCTCCGGGAGCCCAGGGCCTTCAGAAACTTCCATCCAGCAAGCAGGGAGAGTCTGGGAGCCCAGGAGGCTGCCTCCAGGACCACCACATCATCTGGGGCAAATCAACCCAATTCCTCTCTGCTTCAGTTTCCACGTCTGTAAAATATAGACAACAATCTCCCTCCTGCCTGATGCCCAAGGGATGTTTTGGAAAGCAAAATGAAGGCACTTTGGGTAGAAAATATTTAAATGTAAGTTGTTTGTAAAGTTTGGGGTTTGTCTGTTTGTTGCACTCAATTTAAGAACTCTTTTATTTTGTATTAACTCCCGTGAGATTATTTTGGATGAGAACAAGGCCTCTTTCTTGGGATCACTATCCTATTGGAGGAGATTAAAGAACCAGAGTAAAGTAGTAGTAGGACTAGGGAAAATAACAAAACAACACAAGCCAAAACAAACAACAAAAAGCCCCTCTGGAATCCAGAGACACTGAGTCTTCCAAACATCCCTGACAAAGCTCTTCCTCTCTCTGTTACCTTCATCATGGGAGAGGTGACAGATTGCAGGTATAAACTCCCTGCCCAAATGGCCCCTATAGTACTTGGCCCTTTTCCCTATCACTCTGCTTATAGTTCCAGAACTTGAATAAAAAGCTAAGAAAATAAGAATGTATAAAATAGAGTCAAATCTGTCTCTCCAGCTCATGAGTGTCAGCTAAGAGAGCACAGTTCAGGTACTACTGAAATCCTACAGGCTTCTGGATTGTGAGTGATACATCTCTCAAGCTAAAAGGTAGTTTCAGAGAAGAAATGATGGCCAGGCATTGTGGCTCACCCCTGTAATCCCAGCACTTTGGGAGGCCGAGGCAGGCACCTCACCTCAGGTCAGGAGTTCAAGACGACACTGGCCAACATGGTGAAACCCATCTCTACTAAAAATACACAAATTAACCTAGCATGGTGGTACTCGCCTGTAATCCCAGCTACTTGGGAGGCTGAGGCAGGAGAATCGCTTGAACCCAGGGGGCAGAGGTTGCAGTGAGCCGAGATTGCGCCACTGCACTCCAGCCTTGGCAACAGAGTAAAACTGTGTCTCAAAAAAAAGAAAAGAAAGAAAGAAAAAGAAAGAAAGAAGGAAGGAAGGAAGGAAGGAAGGAAGGAAGGAAGGAAAGAAAGAAAGAAAGAGAGAGAGAGAGAGAGAGAGAGAGAGAGAAAGAAAGAAGAAAGAAAGAAAGAAAGAAAGAAAGAAAGAAAGAAAGAAAGAAAGAAAGAAAGAAAGAAAGAAAAAAGAAGGAAGAAAAAAAGAAGGAAAAAAAGAAAGGAAGGAAGGAAGGGGATGATGATGATGATGAGAAGCCACTGTCACTACTATAGTTTATTGAGCATCTCATGTGTGCTATGAACTTTCCATGTTTTAATTCTAAGCCTAACATCAGCCTTGTAAGGCTGATGGTATTATTAGTTTCAGCAGCACTTCTCAAACTTCAGCATCTACCAGAATCACCTGGAGGACTTTGAAAACCCAGATTGCTGAGCCTCACTCAAGAGTTGACCATTCAGTAGGTCGGGGGTACAGCCCAAGAATTTGTATTTCTAACAAATTACTGAATGATGCTGATATTGCTGCTTGAGACACTGCGCTTGGAGAGCCACTGAGTTAGGTGTTCAAAGGAGGCATCATAAAAATTAAGTCATCTACCTATAGTCAAACCATTTAAAAACATCTGAGCTGAGATTCAGACCTAAGTCTGCTGATGCCAAGCCTTGCACCTGTATCTTGGAGTCTCATTGTCTCCTGAAGCTGAACCCCCTGCAGTTACCTAGAATCTGAAGCTTTTTGAAGAAGGTTTGAGGATAGAGCAAAGGAAAACAGGGCCAGATGTGTGAGACTTGGTGGAGGCCTGGGACTGCTTCAGAGGAATTCTGCAGACACGAAAGTTAACAGAAGTCATCCTGGATGCTTTGTTTATATGCCCAATTCCACCTCTAACCGGATGTGGTCCTCACGTGGTCCTCACGGACCATTTCAGGTCTGAAATTCCAAGAGGTCAATCCAAAAACTTGCCACAAGGTGACCTCTGAAACCTACTCCAATACTGTGAGGCTGAATCTAAGCCTTAATGAAGTCACTCGAACTGGTTGCTGTGACTCAGTTTCCTTGTTTATTGAAAAGGAGAGTTATTTCTATCACCTCAACGTCCCAGCTTGACTGTGTAAACAAGTGGTGCTTACAAATAAATGCCCAGTGCTCACAGCCCTTTCACAATGGGTGTCCTATAAACACCAGCCACCATCACCATTATTGGTGAGGTGCTGCGCTCTGCAAACTGGGAGGTTTGCAAAGCAATTTCCAAACATACTTCTCATTGTTGATCTTGGCAAGAGCTTTAAAACATTCCTGGATGCAAGCATTTCCTGCAGATTTTAACTCTGTTCTCTCTCCTGAAAGTTTGATTTGAAGAAAAAAAAAATGAGAAGAACCATTTTACTTAGTGGTTCTCTCATTTCAATAGCTCCATCTCCTGGTCCCTCTATCTCTGTCCCTGCCCCACCAAACACCATGTCAACAAACATTAATTCAAAGTAAATTAGGTTTTTTAAAATAGCAAGACATCTGCATATAATGTTGTTTTATCATTACAATCAGGCAAATTGTTTTAAAGCAAATGCAAAATTATTTCAGGAGGACTTTATGCCACATAAGACAAACAGGGCTGGGCAGGCCCCAGGCAGGCTGGCTGCACCCTGCACCTCGTCCATCCAGCAGGGCTACTAGAAGCAGGAAGGGACTCTGGAAGCTGCACCGTTGCTTGGTGTTCATTGAGTTCATAGCCCTGTGACCCTGACTCTGTGTGAGGTAATTCCCAGCTCTTAGAATCCAGCCTGTAGCTGGTAGAATCCATCTATGCCCTTCTCGAGACACAAATCTCCACCCAAGAGGAAGGTATTTACCCATGGGAGGCACTGGCCTGCTCCTGAATCCTGGGGAGCAGGTATCTCTCTTCATTCTGCCCCAGATTACGCTTTTGAAAATCCAAAGGCAGTTCTCAGAGTCAATCACATAGACAGAAGGGGAAAGGCCATGCCTTCACCTGTAAGTGCCACCTGATAAATGTCTTCTTCATTGTAGCCCCCCAGGAAAAAAGAGTTACTATTCCCTCACAAAGAGGCATCTTTCTTAAATCATATAATGAGATTTATGCAATCCATTTGATTCCCCTTTTTTGCCTTAGGTGCCAGACACCTCAACACTCAAGTATTCCATTGCAGTCACTAACGGAGCTCAGATTTTTAGTGTTATTATCTCTGCTCATTCTTCTATAGGGTTCTGAGCTTTTGTTTTGCCTTATTGAATGCATGCCATTTAAAGGATATCAGGCTCAGAGTTAACATTAACTGTGCATTTCAGCAGGAATGGAAAGGACCTTATAATGTTTTAAGGAGCTGGAACTGGCCCAAATTCATTAATGAACTGAACCATAGACCAATATTCCTAACAGGGGGTCTCATGGTGGTAGAACCATTCCAAAAGGGAGGTGAGAGGAGAACTCTAATACTATTTATTGAGTGCCTACTCTGCCTCATTCTCCTTAAATATCTTATTTCATGTAATTTTCACAAAAACCCTGTGAGATTGGTTGAATCCTTCCCTACAACCCTCAGTTGCCTCATTTGTAATCTGGAAACAGGTTTCCTATTCAAGTTCTCATAATTAGTTAGTGGGGCTGAGATTAGACACAAGATATGCCTGACTTCAGAGCATATGTCGGGCCACTGCTAGCTTATATAGCACTTTAGTGTAAACCCAAGAAAGGTGCCCCTGAGGGAGGACACAGTCTTACAGTGATGGGGACACTGCCTTCACATAAATAGTACCTACGCTATAGAGAGGGCATTCTTCTTCATTCTCAGAAACAGCCCTTAGAGAGGCAGAAACTGCTAATTATCATCAAGACTTTTGTTCTCTTTTTCTTTCTGGGCCACAACCCTGGGCCATATTTTCCAGTCCCTGAGCTTCTAGGTGGGACCATGTGACCACTCCTGTTGAATGGAAAGAGGGCAAGCATTATATATGTCACTCCCAGGCTGCGCACAGTGGCTCACGTCTGTAATCCTAGAACTTTGGGAGGCAAGGTGGGTGGGTCACCTGAGGTGAGGGGTTCAAGAACAGCCTGGCCAACATGGTGAAACCCCATCTCCACTAAAGTTACAAAAAATTAGTGTGGTGGTAGGCGCCTGTAATCCCAGCTACTCAGGAGGCTGAGGCAGGAGAATCACTTGAGCCTGGGAGACAGAGGTTGTAGTGAGCTGAGATCACACCACTGTGCTCCAGCCTGGGCAACAGAGTGAGACTCCAACTCAAAAAATAATAATAATAATTTTTAAAAATATGTCACTCCCAGCTTGGCCTGTGAACTCCTAGGCAATTCTCCACTCTCTCTCTTTCCCCATCCACTGGCTGAGCAGAAAACTTTGAGGACTGGAAGAGGATGGAATCATGAATTGGAAGGTCTCTTGAGTTACTGAATGACCTTGTGGAGCAGAGCCCATTCCACCTGTTTCAAACTGGACTATGATATAAGTGAGAAATATAATTGTATTGCGTTTCAGCCTCTGATTTTTCAGGGTTTTATGGTGCTTGATTTGCCCTAATGCAAGCCCAAACCATCTTGCTTCCTTTTAACAAGCTTGCCTAAAAAGATTCAAGTGACCGCTGGCTAAAAGCAATTGAAAAGGTTCTCACCCAAGAGAACAGAGACAGTGGGGAGACTGTTTCATTTCCTTATTCCTCTAAATAAAATTCTCCATAAATCAGCTCCATATAAACTTGTATTGTTTATATCTGTTACTCCAAGCCCAACTTTCCAGAACATTTCAAGTTAACTCATCTTTCATTGAGAGTTTCAGTCATACGTATGAGTCACAGAACTGTGGAGTATTAAAGCTGAAAGGCACCTCTGTGATAATTCTTGCAAATTTTGAAGATAAGAAAAATAAGGCCAAGATGTATGGCTTCCCTGGGGTCCCAGAGTCAAGGCTGGCATCCAAGGCTCATGACTCTAGGTCCAGGGTTCTTTGCTCTCCCCGAATGGATGGAAGCCATGCTCAAGCAGCTGAACACTGTGAACGGACACAGCTCTGCCTGTAAACGCTTCCTCAGAAAGAAGTGAGGGTGTTCACATTGAGGCTGTTCTATGGGTGGAGGCTGCTGGCACCCTCTACTGGACGGACTGGGTATGTCCTCTGCTGTCCAGTCAGGTCCAAATTGCTCAACTCTAAGTCAAAGTGATGAAGCTATGGCAACCCTCTCTCCAGGTGTCCATGGCCACCATCAGTGCCTGTGTTAAAGCCTCTCTGAGATTGTGAGCTAGTCCCAGGCACATCCCCGTGTTTTCCAGCTGATGGATCATGCTTCCTGAACAAATGTAATGTCACTTCAGTCAGGGACTCTGGAGTCTACTTTCTCACACTAAGAGCGGGGAGCACAGCTTCCCAAATCACAGCAGCCCCTCTTCCTTCCTCTGGTTCACTGATGCTTTGAAAATAAAGAATGTTCCCTCTGAGGTCCCATCTCCTTTTTAAAAAGAAATTCAGTTTCCAGTTCTAGATGAAATTAGCATTTGTCCTCTCTAATTGTGTTTGCAGCTGCATCCCAATAGGAAAGAAAGGAAACCAAGAGAAAAAGGGATAATAAAAGCCTCCTTCTAAATGAGGCTGGAGTGGAAAATGAGGAGCAGGACCAAGAGGCCAGTGGGCTTGTTCCAGCCTCTCTGCATGCTGCTTTGAACAAAAGCTTGCCAGGGAGGGAGTATGGTCTGGCAGTGGCCAGCTCACTGAACAGGGAAGCAGAGAGCAATTGTAATTCCACTCTCTATTCAAAAGGCAATTTTCTCCAACACGTCCTGACACTGAGCCTCTATTTCCCCAGCTCTATAAAGCAAACGACAGAAAAACCATGGAATAAATGTCAGAAGTTACATTTCATCTCACCAGTTCACTTTCCAGAGGAGCAAACCCAGGCCCAGAGAGGGACAGGATTTGCCTAAAGTCACCCAGCTAATATGTGGCAGACGCCATCTGGTCTTCATTGCTCAGCCCCAAGCTCAACCCTGCCTCCTTTCCTTGCACAAGAAATGCCAAGAGGCAATGATCCCAGAAAGGGCTCGGAGTGAGGTTGTGAGTATTTCTTCCCCAGACACCTTTAAACAAAATAGCCCTCTACCAGCCTGGGTGCAGTCCTGTCTGTAAACAGAGGAACAGAATAAGAAACAAGGTTTTAGGAATCAGGGGTTTCGGTGTGCACCGAACATGGGCTAAGGAGCTGATGCTGGATGTTTTGGAAGAGCCTGGGGCTATGCATCAGGAGACGCTGTATTCTCAACTCAACTCTGCCATGGATAATGATCCTGACCTACCTGCTTCAGAAGATTATCATGATTTTCATAAAATAATATAATCCAAATTTTATTTTACTTCATTTTATTTGTAGAGAGGGAATCCTTGAGTGAATCTCATCCAGTTTCTTTGCTAGATTTTGGAACCACTTTAGAAGGCCAGAACTCAGAGACGTTAAATGGCATGAACTTCAGAACTCTACTCCTTAAGCCAATGCAACCTTTGCATTGCTTTCTCCAGATACTGGGGCCCACGTAAGAAGCTGAAGCTCCACAAGCTCTCCAAGGGTTTCTCAACGCATAAAGGAGTCTCAGTGCTAGGCCAAAGAATTGGGGTCTGGGATGCTGCAGGGAACCAGTTATCCTTCCTTGCAGCTCTGTGATGTATTTGACCCAAAGCCTCCTCCCATGCTGATTTCAAATCTAAATAGCAGGCATTTAGTAAAAGTCCAAGCGGTCTCTCTAAAATCTACCATCAAGAATTATTCACAGACTTCTTGCTTTGAAACCACCGTGGGAATGTTTTGCAGATTCCAAGGCTTTACACCACACTCACTGAATCAAATCTTCAGATGTGAGCTCCAGGAAATAGATCCACATTTATCCATCCTGAACTAATAGCTCCTTATGCATTTAAAATTAAATAAAACAAAATCTAAACACCTGAGCACCACCTGCAGGGCCCCATGGGAGCTCCTACCCTCAGCTCTTACCACTGCAGACACACTGGCCTGCTTGTGTTCCTCATGACAAGCTCATTCCTGCCTTGGGGCCTTTGCACTTATTTTCTCATCTTCCTGAAGCAATTCTCTTCCTGATATTTCCATAACTGGTTCCTCTTCATTATTTATAGAAGTGTTTGTTCAAGTGCCATCCTCTTAATTACTTAGGTCCCATGCAGTGCCTTTGAAATGTCTGCCTTGACCATCCTATCTAATACTACACCTCATCCGCCAAGTCTTTTTCTACCCGAAGAGCATCTTTGAAGATAGGACCTTTGTTTTGTTCTCTTCCACATGCCCAGAAACTATAGTAATATCTAATAAGACATAGGTACTGAATAAATATTTGCCGAATGACTAAATCAACGACATTGCCCTGTTTTGATCTAAGATTCTCTTCTTTATCTGTTTACTGTTAACTTGCATATTACCTAAGTCTCCCATAAGAATGACAGTTCCCTGAGAGCAGAGTCCTCCTCTATCATGTACCCACCATATCCTCAGTGCCTCCAATAGTATCTGACCCATAATATGTGTTCAATAAATAGTTGTTGAATGAATGGTTGGATGAACTAATGCATGAGAATCCTTGAGCTGGGACCTCCATTTGGGCTGGGGACAAGGTGACTGTCTCAATTAACAAACATATTTCTAGTCAGTGTTCAAGAAGTAGAGATAATTTTTTAAAGTCTTAAAACATGTACCTTTCCCCCAAATTGCCCACAAATCCATGAGGGGAAACAGAGGTATGAACGAAACCATTGCAAGTGCCTCAATATGGTATGTATTAGTCCGTTTTCACACTGCTGTAAAGAATGCAACCTAAGACTGGGGTAATTTACAAAGAAGGGTTTAATTGACTCACAGTTCCACATGACTGGGGAAGCCTCAGGAAACTTACAATCATGGCAGAAAGTGCAGGGAAAGCAAGGCACATCTTACATGGTGGCAGACAAGAGAGAGTGCAGGAAAAACTGCCACTTTTAAACCATCAGATCTCATGAGAACTCCATCACTATCACAAGCACAGTATGGGGGAAACCACCATCAGGCTGCAAATTTTCCAAACTTTTATGCTCTGCTTCCCCTTTAAATATAAGTTCCAATCTCAAACCATTTCTTGGTGAGCACTATAATTGAATGCCTTCAGAATCAACCAGGTCACCTCTTGAATGCCTTGCTGCTTAGAAATTTCTTCTGCCAGATACCCTAAATCATCTCTCTCAGGTTCAAAGTCCAACAGACTTCCAGGGTAGGGGCAAAATGATGCCAGCCGGTTTGCTAAAGCATAGCAATAGTGACCTTTGCTCCAGTTTCCAATAAGTACCTCATCTCCATCTGAGACCACCTCAACCTGGACTTCATTATCCTATCACTGTCAGCATTTTGGTCAAAACCATTCAACAAGTCTCTAGAAAGTTCCAAACTTTTCCACATCTTCCTGTCTTCTTCTGAGCCCTCCAAAGTGTTCCAACCTCTGCCCATTACCCAGTTCCAAAGTCACTTCCACATTTTCAGGTTATCCTTATAGCACTACCCCACTGTTCCTGTACCAATTCTCTGTATAAGTCCATTTTCAGACTGCTATTAAAAAATACCACCTGAGCCTGGGTAATTTGTAAAGAAAGGAGATTTAATTGACTCACAGTTCCACATGGCTGGGGAGGTCTCAGGAAACTTACAGTTGTGGCAGAAGATGAAGGGGAAGCAAGGCACATCTTACATGGCAGCAGGCAAGAGAGGGCACAGGAAAAACTGCCACTTTTAAAACCATCAGATCTCATGAGAACTCCCTCACTATTACCAGAACAGCATGGGGGAACCCGACCCCATGATCCAATAACCTCCCACCAGGTCCCTCCTTCAGTATGTGGGGATTACAATTCGACATGAGATTTGGGTAGGGACACAGAGCCAAACCATATCATGGTGTAAACAAGATGTTTTAGAGCACAAAGCAAGAGGCCACCTCTAATCCAGACAACCAGGAAGTCTTCAGGGAAGATGTGATGTTTGAATCAAGCCTTAAAGAAGGAAGTAAAATGGGAGAGTGGAGAAGTGGAAAAAGATGTTCAAAGAAGAAACAGCTTGAAGGCTGATGGCATGTTGAGGAAAGAGCTGGTGGTGGGGAGTGTGGGGACCAGGTAACACTGAGAAGCTAAATTTCAATCAATAGGCCAATGGTTCCCCAACTGTTCAAGTGGGAATAATCTCTCCCCCTTTTAAAGGCTCTTTATAAATAAGTTGTATGAAAATCAAATACTCATTCACACAGAATGAATAAACCTTTGAAGTCAAAAAAATATAAAGCCCATACTTTTACCCCAGAAACATGAAACAAAGGTCAGCAGCCACAATTTTAAAAGGAAATAATTTCTCTATGTTTCAGTGGCCATCATTTGATCATAAGTATATTTTAATTTGATTGATTAGAAAGCATATGTAAAAAGTATAAGTATACTGAGAACAGCAGGAGGCAGCCAAACTCCTAAGTAGATAGGGGCCTAGGTGAAACCCCACCTTCAAGCCAAAAAAACAGCATGAAGTCTGAAAGACTGGACTGCTGGTCCCAGATGAAACCCAAGACTCAGAGTGAGAACTTCTGTTCCATTTGCCTGCCCCTCCCCTATTCTGAGCCCATAAAATCCCCAGTCTCAGTCACACGGGGGGGACTTTCCCACCTTCAGGTAGGGGGACCACCCCTGTGTCCCCTCTCTGCTAAAAGCTGTTTCATCACTCAACAAAACTTTGCACATTGCTCACTGTTTGACTGTCAGTGCATCCTCATTCTTCTTGAGTGTGGGACAAGAACTTGGGAACCAATGCACAAGCCAGACTCGGCCGTAGTGGACGGGCTATCTCCTGCAACAGGTAGCCTGGTTGAGCAAGACCTGGATGGGGCGTCGCTGGCTGGAGGTCCTTGGCTTGCAAAGTGACCAAGAAAATCCTGTGTCAATACTATATACAAAAGGCTTTCTAAAAAATTAATAGGCTATTTCTGAGGGAAGCAGTTTTAGGTTTACAGAAAAAAAATAAGTGGAAAGTACAGAGAGTTTCCATAGATCCCTCCCACCTGCCTTCCTTGGGTTCCCTATTTTTAACATCTTGCATTAGTGCGGTACATTTATACAATAGATGAGCCAATACTGATAAATTATTATAAACCAAAGTCTGTGGTTTACATTAGGGTTCACTCTTTGTGTTGTATAGTCTATGGGTTTTGAAATGTACATTGAATGCATCTACCATTACAGTATCATGCAGAATAATTGTTTTACTGCCCTAAAGATCCTCTGTGTTATTTCTATTCATTCTTCCCTTCCTCCCCCTACCACAAAAAAAAGCTTTTTAAACCATTATTTTGTATTCTATTGATGACAACAGCATTTACCTACATTGAAAAACAACGTGCATAATTTGCTGATCATGTGTGTGAGACTGTATGTGAGACATGGGTTCCTGAGCCCCAGTTCTGGGGAGTCCTCTACAGATTGGGAGCCACTGCTAAAGGTAATAAGGAGCCATAGAAGAATGTTGGGTAGAAGCTTACTAGGATGGGATTGGGGTCTGGGAAGTTAAACAGCAGCCTTGCAGACAGGAAAGATGAGATAGAGGGATCCATGAGGAGGCCATGTCACTTCTGGGTTCTCCAAGATGTGTCGTCACCTCTGCACATGTAAGAGACATGATTTTATGAACAGAGGCACTAGTTTTGTCCCCTTTGTCTCTTCACACCCACCCCAGTGCTGAAAAACAACAAACAAACAATGATGCCCCATAGATAAAGTGGAACCAAACCACAATTTCATGCTGATTTTCAACCATGGCGTCCTGACCATCAGAACAGGAGAAACTCTGAAATGAATTGCATGCAGTGCTGCAGGCAGGGCTCTATGCTTTTCCAAACAACTAACATATTGGTGAACGTCCTAGACTTTTTCCTATGTGTATTCAGATCACACTGCCATGTATCACTTTTTTCACTCTCTATATTATTAACATTACTATGTCATAAAATATTTTTCTAAAAACATGATTTTTAGCTGTCACATAATATTCCACTTGAGGAATGTCCCATCATTTACCATCCTCCCACTGATGGACACTTGGAGAGTCTCCAATATTTCACTGTTATAAATAGCACTGGGATGCACATCCTTGTACATAAATCTCTGCACATCTCTGATGATTTCTTTGGGACAGATTCTTAGAAGTGTGATTGCTAGAATGTTTGCCATTTTGATGGATTTTCCATCTCAGAGTTCCATCCTCCCTGGTGTCCTGATGGCAAAAGATAAATATTTATGAAGGAAGGCATGTGAAAAAAAAAAAAGGAGCATTACCTGAGCGCTGGCAAACAAATCACAATGGAATAGAGACACAATTCCCAAGGGTTAATCTGGGTGATGGGCAATGCTATTTATTTATTTACAGCACTTACCTGACTCCCTCTATCTAAAAGGGACTGACCAAGAACAAAAAGAACTAAAAGTATCACATGAAAAATGTCAGCGGGGGTAAGGAAGGAGAGGTTGCCAATAGTACAGTGACTTGGCTGTCTCAGACCCAAGAAGAATGAAAACAGGAAGAGCAAGGGAACTTTGCAGTGTCAGTTTCCCCTTCTTCTAGGGTTGCCAGAAAGTATACAAGTTGCCCAGTTCAATTTGAACTTCCCCCCCAAAAAAAAAAAAGAATAATTTTTTAGTATAATTATGTCCTATGCAATATTTGGGACATGCTTATCCTAAAAAATACATTGCTAATTTGAAATTCTAAACTAGCGGGTATGCTGGATTTTTATTTGCAACCCTACTTGCTGCACAATTATACACACCCCTAATTGCTGCGTAATTATCACTGCACAATTTAATTGGCAACCCCACTTGCTGCACAATTATTGTAGACTAGCTATTATGAGAAGGTCAGCAGCCACAAAGGTGGGGGAGGGTGTGAATGAGAATTGAGGTGGCACATAACTTGGTACCCTGCAAACTGAGAGCAATAGTTAAAGGAGCAGGGGCTGCAGCTTCTTACCAATGAGGGGGTTTATTTGGGGGAATCTCAGTCCAAGGATTCCCACCCAGGAGAAAGCAACAGAGCTATCCGGAGATACGGAGGTGGCTCTGACTGCAGTCTGCATGGGGCCTGGGGTTCTGGGTGTGTGCCAGGATCACTGGGCCAGGAGCCAGAGAGGACATGCACAACTCCAGTAAGGGAAGGCTGTTTCCACTGCAATCTTTCCAGGTGGAATGTGAGCAGGCAGCTGAAGACAGGCTGGTGCCGCAGACCTGGAAAATGGTTCTCTCCCTGACCTCACTTTTGTCAACAAACTGCTTTGCTTTATGTAAAGGAGGGAGAAAAAAAGAAGGCTCGCTCTCATTACACACACACACACACACACACACACACACACACACACAGAGCACCTTCCACAGGTCGTGCCTCAGCAGTCCCTCGAACAATATGTCCTAAATTAATAGCATCAGGAGATAATGGTTTATAAAACAGGAGTTTGTATGCAACCAGGGGAAATGTTCGGCTCCTTATTATATAGCTATATATTTTTTGCAACCAGATTATGAGCAAACAAGGTTAAATGCAAATGCACACGCACACACACACACACGCAGATAAATAAGCTTCCATTTTCTGCTCCCTCAGATGCCCTCCTTTCGTTTTGTTTGGGCTATCACACATGCTTCCACTTTTCTGCTTGTCTGATGTTCCTGCTCTCTGTATTTCTCCCCTCATTATTTTCTTTTCCTTTATTTCTTTCTATTTCTCTGCTTTCTTGGTTTTCTTATTATTCATTCTTTGTCTTTCTCTTTGAGGCAGAAAAAGTAAATTTCAAACCATAAAATGTTAGGACTGGAAGTTATCTCAGATATCTAGATGGATGTCCTCATTTTGCAGACAAACCGAGGCCCATGAAAGTAAAGAGACAGGCTGGGCACAGTGGCTCATGCCTGTAATCCCAGCATTTTGGGAAGCCAGGTTGGCAGGTCAACTTGAGGTCAGGAGTTCGAGACCAGCCTGGCCAACATGATGAAGCCCCACCTGTATTAAAAATATAAAAATTAGCCAGATGTGATGGTGGGCTCCTGTAATCCCAGCTACTCAGGAGGCTGAAGCAAGAGAATTACTTGAACCCAGGAGGTAGAGATTTCAGTGAGCCGAGATCAGACTACTGAACTCCAGCCTGGGTGACAGAGCAAAACTCTGTCTCAAAAAAAAAAAAAGAAAGAACGTAAAGAGACTTTGCCAGGGTAACACCACAGTTTCTAGCACTTAGGTCTTGGGGACGATCTCCTCTCTCCAAGTTCAGTTCACTTTACACTGTCTCAAGCTTCTCGTAGGGTGTGATGCCCTTAGATTGGTGGAGTAACCTTCTGATGTGGGGTGAATTAAGTCCCCCAAAGAGATATGCCAACATCCTAGCCACTACCACCTCCATACCTGTGAAGGTGGCCTTATTTAGAAATACGATTTTAGCAGATGTAATCAAGTCAGGTCATACTAGAGTAGGGTGGGCCCTAAGATGAGGTCATACTGGAGTGGTGTGGGCCCTTACATCCAATGACTGGTGTCTTTATAAGAAGGCCCCGTGGGCCGGGCATGGTGGCTTATGCCTGTAATTCCTGCACTTTGGGAGGGCAAGGCGGGTGGATCACCTGAGGTTAGGAGTTCAAGACCAGCCTAGCCAGCATGGTGAGACCCCGTCTCTACTAAAAATACAAAAATTAGCCAGGCATGCTGACGGGCACCTGTAATCCCAGCTACTCAGGAGGCTGAGGCAGGAGAATCGCTTGAATCCGTGAGATAGAAGTTGCAGTGAGCTGAGATCTTGCCATTGTACTCCAGCCTGGACAACAAGAATGAAACTTCGTCTCAAAAAAAAAAAAGGCCCCATGAAGATACAGGGACACAGAGACGTGGAAGAAGAATACCATGTGACAAGGGAGGCAGAGATTGGACTGACACAGCTACAAGCCAAAGGACACCAAGGAGTGCCAGCAGCCACCAGAAGCCAGCAGCCACCAGAAGCCAGAAGGGGGACAAGGAATAGATTCTGCCCCAGGGCATCCTGCAGGAACCGAACTTTCTGAAACCTTGATGCTGGATGTCTGCCCTCCAGAACTACAACAGAATAAATTTCTGCTGTTTTAAGCACCCAGGTTGTGGTACATTATGAAGGCAGCCACAAGAAACCAGTAGGCCTTCTCAGGCTGGCACAACTACAGGCACTGACACGGATACTACAGTGCAGGCGTGCAGACGGAGGGCCCAAGCTCTCTCCTCTCCTCCACGCTGCCTTGATCCCCTGGAGAAAGGTACCTAATGAACATCTCGCATGGCCAAGAGCTTGGGCCTGGTGTTGCTGGGATACGAAGCAGTGCAAGACACAGTCCCTGCCTTCAAGATATTTCTGTAAGACTAAAACAAGGAAGGCCATCCTAAGAGATGGCTGCAGGTGTTCCAAGAAGGGGCCAGGCTGCCACTGCCCAAAATCACATGATTCCTCAAACTGAAGCTCTATCCAGAGTAAACAGGGCAACCCCGTACTTGCTGAATGGGGATCCCCCTGAGACCCAGCTTTGAGGGGAAGCGGACTCTCCAGGGATGCAGGCTCTGTTCCTGGTAGCCACCTCTTGGACATTCCTGAGAGCCAGCAGTTGCCCGAGCACTGGAAACCGGGTGTGTTCAAAGGCCTGTGGCCTGTCCTGCCATACACCCGTGCTTGAGGAACCTGAACACTTGTCCCAGAGCTGGCCTTTGTCTGACACAGTCCCTCTGGCACTTGACCCTGAGCAAGTGAAGAAGGGTGTGGAGGGACTTGGGGAGCAGTGAGGGCAATCTCCACCTTTCCCCTTGTCCCTGAGCTGGCTGAGTGCCCCTCCTTGAGCCTGAACACCCCAGCTCTGCACTTCCGCCCAGCCTCTGAGCTCTGCAGAACTATCGACTCCCACTCGGAGCTACAGCATGGAGCCTGCCAGGCCAGGCCAGAACCAGTGGCTCCCGAAGACCCAGAGAGAGCTTTCCTTCCTATAAGGTGTGAGAGGATCTACTCTGTTCCAGAACACAGTGGAAGACAGGGGGCAGGCCAGGAGCACTGGGGCCGTCTTCCATTTGGACTCCTAGTAAGTTGCCTGTTCTTGGACCCCAGAAAATTAAAATGTCCTTTATATTGATAACAGGGGCAATAATCTGCCTTAGGTCTTGAATCTAAGGCAAAATCGAGTCAGTGCAGCTCTCCCGGCAGATGCTGGTCTGTCTTGCTGATAATGAAGGAAGCAGAAGGGGATCAGAGGGGAAAACCAGGTTGGTCTGTGTAGTCAGAGGATTTACAAGGGAAGCGGGGCTGGAATTAAAATTAAATATTAGAAAGTGGAGAAATCACATGTGAAAAGACTGGCCTGAAAGCAATTCAGGAATTGATGAAGCTAGAGAGAGAGAGAGAGGGAGAGCGCGCACGAGAGAGAATGACAGCTGGGTGGGCTGCTGAGTACATTATTAGTCTGAAATCAGATTATAGCTTTCCCTCCTGAATTAATTCTGGGGACAGTACATGGGGAGGGGGTAGGGGCTGCTGATAGCAGTGGGTTTTCCTTGAGCATTTATTTTTTATTCTACTTTCTTTTAGTTTAGTTCTTGAGTTGGGGCTTTTCTGGATAGGGAGGGACGTTGGTGAGTGATTAAGAGTTAAAGGGAAATAGCAGGAGGAAGGATGAATAAAAGGAATCCTCTGTGTGCAACTCAAGAGAAAGTCCAGGATCAGATTAGGTTGTTTTTGCCCCATTTCTTGAATTAAAAGATCAAAAACAGGAATGTCTTTTTCTTTTTATCCAGAAAATGGGGTATGCAAAAGAATGGTCTCTTCCCACAGTTTTAGTTTACACAGGGCGTGTCCCTCCCAACCAGTCCCATGGGTGTCTCTCGGTTCCTTAGTTTGGGAGTAGGATCTCCTTGAGATCCTCAAAGTGAGGTTTGAATATACCACATCATTGCTATTTTAAGGCAGACCATCCCAACCATGTCCCCCAATTCGGTGAAAATTCATCTACCTGTTTTCACATGATGTAGAGGAAAAAAAAAAACAGAAGTAATTGTATTTATATGTGTAAAACTTGTCCCATAGCCAAGCAATTCTGTCAGAAACCCATCCCTTTCGCACACTGAGCTTCCCAGTGACCTCATCGCTTTCACCCCTGGAGGTCTGCTCCCTTCTGGTTGGCGGCTACTCCCGCAGAACATGGGGGCTCTCTTGCCCAGTGTGTTTCTCTGTGTTCAGTCAGGCTGGATCCTTGACTCTTCCTCATACAGCGTTTTCCAAATCTGTGCCATCCTGGTCAGCTACAGTTTGCCTATTTCCCCTTTAAAATACGGTCCCTATAACATAACCAGAAACTGATTTTCCTCCCTTCATCTTTCTTTCCTCCAATCCATTCTCTACACTGCCACCAGAGCAATTATTACAAAATACACACCCCACCCAGTTACCCACTGCTGGGCAAAATGCTTCAGCAGCTCCCACTGCCTACAAGAAAAATACTCCCGCTTCCTAGCATCTTCCAGAGCCCCCTCTTTCCTCTGACTACTCCAATAGCCTAACCAGGGTCCTGGATCCATTATTACCCAGCCACTCCATAATCCATTCTCTACAGCAGGATTTATCATCTTCTCAAATTGTATCCCTAAGGCCCAGCATTTTGAGAGGCTGAGGTAAGAGAATCACTTGAGCCCAGGAGTTTAAGACCAGCCTGGGCAACACAGCAAGACTCCATTTCTACAAAAAAAAAAAAAAAATTAAAAGTTAGCCAGGCATGGAGGAATGCACTTGTAGTCCTAGCTACTTGGGAGGCTGAAGTGGGAAGATTGCTTGAGCCAGGGAACTCAAGGCTGCAATGAGCTTTGATCTCACCACTGTACTCCAGCCGGGTTGATGGAGTGAGGCCCTGTCTCTAAAAAAAATAAAAATAAAAACAAAAACAAAGTATTGGCCAGGTGCAGTGGCTCATGCCTGTAATCCCAGCATTTTGGGAGGCCGAGGCAGGCAGATCACAAGATCAAGAGATCGAGACCATCCAGTCCAACATGGTGAAATCCCCACTAAAAATACAAAAAATAGCCAGATGCGGTGGTGCGCGCCTGTAATCCCAGCTACTTGGGAGGCTGAGACAGGAGAATCGCTTGAACCCAGGAGGCAAAGGTTGCAGTGAGCCAAGAACACACCAATGCACTCCAGCGTGGTGACAGAGTGAGACTGTGTCTCAAAACAAAACAAAACAAACAAAAAACACAAAGTATTACCCCTATTTACACCTCATTAATGAATCTCCATTGCGCTTGGACTAAAACCCAAATTCCTCCCTAAACCCAAAGAGGTCCTGCATGATGTGGCCTGTACCTGCCTCTCCAACATCTCCAACACGCCTCCCCACCCACACCCCAATTTCAGCCCTTATTTCAGTTCACCTTCTTTCCTGCGGCACACTCTTCTCTCATGCTGTTCCCTCTGCCTGGAATGCGCTTCCCTCCATCCTTACATGGCCAGTTCCTTCTCATTACTCCTGTGTCAACTGGATGTCACCTCCTCAGAGACGCCTTCCTTGACAACCATATGAAAATAGCATCCTCCCTCACCACACATACGTAATTTTAAATTACAGCACTGGATCAAATTTGTAACTTGAGGGTTGGCTTCTTTCTTGTCTATTTATCGTCTGACCCTCTTATTGGAATGTGACCTCCACAAACCAGAAACCATGAGAGTTTGTTCATCAGTTTATACCCAGTATCTCGTCTCATAATCTGTGCATAGAAAATGCTCAAGAAAATATTTGTTGAATGAATGAAGGTCTCAAATATCAAATACCCTCATGTCCCATCTTCCTGCTGTTCCTACTCACTCCCTAAAATCCAGGTCAAGAATCCAATACAAAGTCATCTCTGACCTGAAGAAACAGAGGTCGCCATTCCTTCCATGCAAGCAGGAAAGTATAACTGGATGCCTACTTGGTGCCACGCATGACAATAGGCACTGAGAACCTGGGAATAAATCAACACGCATCCCTGGACCTCAAGGATCCTGCAGCCTAGTGGATGTACCATGGGAATAAACTCCCTAGGATTTACCCTCTGCCTTAGGCTGCCTCGGGCCCTGCTGCTCTGTGATGTTTGCATTCACACAAAAGACCCCTCTCACTCAAAAAAAAAAAAAAAAAAACAAGCCCTCCCTGGAGAAAGCCCAGCTATTTATTGAGTGCCACCTGCCACATGGGTTAGTCCAGCCCCAGATTTTTCCTTTATGGCCAACCCCATTTCAACCACAGCTGATATCCCATCTGACCCTTCAGAACTGTTGAGAAATGAGGGGCAATAAATCTCCGTCCACTGGCCCAGCCTGGCTCCCTGCCACCGCCACTGCCTCTGCCTCCACACTTCAGAAGAAAGACTTTACAGGAGCCGCAGATGATGCTGAACTTCAATTAGGCCCTGCTGGCAAATTAGTCACGCAGGGTGACATTTTCCAATCATAGAACATTAGCATCCCCCCTAATTATGAAATTGTGGAGCTAACATGTTTGGGAGAAAATAAGACCAGTGTTCTCAGCATCACAAGTGTGTGTTTGCACACACACATGCACACACACACATGCACACACATGCGTGCACACACATGCACACACACATATGCACACACACATATGCACACGCATGCACACGGGGCCATGGGACACTGCCATTTACCTGTCCCCTAATACTGTTTAAAGTTAACTTTGCCTTTGCTTAGAAGGAGAGATGAAAACCACATGAAGGAAATCCTTAAATCTCAGAGACTATTTCTAAGAATTTCACAAAGAGAATTGCAGAAAACAATGGCTGAAATACTGAGGGCATTAAACCACACTGAGATTAAACTGTCTGCTCTTTAGATTCAGGCCTGGAAGCTAAAAGTGCTTACATGGGGAAGGAATGTAAGTTTGCCACGCTCTTACTCTGTGACTTTGTGGAACTCATGGAAACTGAGCTCTCCTCCCTCACCTAGAACTCATTCATTCAACAAAGACTTATTGAGTGTCTACTAGGTGCCAGGCACTGATGGAAGCACTCAGGATACATGGTGAACAAGGAACTCTAATGCATATGTGCACACGTGAACAATGGTCAATGCTTACATAGCTTGGAGAACATGAGGGTGTCAGGCAGCACAGCAGTGACGTTCATTACTCTGATGTTCACCAGGCAGGACTGCTTGATGCAGCTGCCTCTGGAGCTGTTCCTGCTTCAAAAGGCAGCTATTCCCAGGTCAAGGTCTACCTTTAGCCACTCTCGCTCAGTGGGATCTCCCATAGCTGAGTATCCAATACATTTTGGTCACTAGAAAGGAATGAAGGTTTAGAGAGTATAAACATTGTCTTAAGTATATAAATAAACAGATATAGGCATGTGTTTCCATATTAAAGGCAAGAGAAATAGAGGATAAGTGATTTAAACAAAGCTTATAGCAAAGTTATTATATATATTTGCATACATATACACATATATACACACACCTACAAATATGGATATATATGGGTGTCTTTTATTTATATATGTGGTATATTTATACATGTGTGTATGTGTGTGTGTATGTTTATATATCCACTTCCATATTCTGTTTATCTCAGGGGTTTCTTGAAGGAATAAATAAGTATGTAAATTCCCTACCAAAGGGTCTAGCACATAGTAGGCATCCAGAAAGCGTTAGCTATAATTGCTGTCTTTGCTTTATGACCGTCTGAATGTGATGACAAGCCAGGCTCCTCCACTCTGCACCATCTGGTACTGCATTTCTGAAGGCTACATCTGCACTTGCAGCTCTACTAACATTAAGCCTGCAGCTTCATCATAACACGGCTGCCTGATCCAGCCTGGAGATGCCACCTGCCTCCTTTACAGTAGGAGCCACCCTATCCTATCCTAGGGGTGCCTTAGCAGGGCAGGGACAGCCACCATCATCATGCCTGCAAGCCCAGCACTGTCCTCTGTCAAGCATGTAAAATACAGTTACTCATTTGTATTCCCTTTCTGCCATGTCCTCCTTCCTCCCATCTGATGTCACCTGTCTATGCACACTCAATCAGGGGACAGACGATGATCGAAGCTGGAGACCACCCAGGAGCTCAGCATGCCGGGAGGCTGGCTGGAGCTACGTGCAATCAATCTCTTGTCTGTCCACTCTCTATTGCTCCAAGCACACAGGCTCTGGTTAAGAGCCAGCAATAGGACTTCTAGTCCAGTGTTCTTTGACTTATCACTCTCTCCCCTTCTGAGCTATATCCCAGACAGAGCCCAGTCTCCTCCCCATGGCATGCTGCCAATCATGAAGACGTCACTGGAATGTCTCGTCTTTTTTTTTTTAATGCTGCTCCTTGTCGCCACAGATTGATCTGCCAGTTAAATATTTAGACATGCTCATCCGCCTTAGTTGTAAAACACTGCTTGACTTTGAGCAATGAGCAAGGAGGTACCGAGGCTGCAGCTATTCCCTGCCTGGGACACGGGGAGAGATGGAGGCAATGACAAGAAGAGCACTTCGCCCCCTGGGTCTGCGCATCTCTGCCAAAATCCAAGCAACTGAACTTGAGCAAGTTCAACACCTCACCTCCAGAGCTTGAGGGGGCTAATGGGGCAGCCAGTTCCTATCTTAAGTGGCCAAGGTCATCAGTTCTGCTCAATCACACCCACTGGCCTGGCTCAGTCAGTCCCATTCTGCCCCAGCCTTCCCAATTAGCAAATGGCCTTCCTGTCAGCTGGCTCATTTAATCCTCGCAGTATCCGTAGGAAAGCTAAAAGTGCTGGCAACATGGCATGACACCCATTATCTCACTTAATTGTCACAACAATCTCCCATGAAATGGGAATTCTTGTCCCAATTTACAAGTGAGAAGGCTGACAGTCACAGAGGTTAAGTGAATGGTCAGCCCAAGGTCACTCGGGAGGGAGTGACGGGTCTACTCCTAGAACTAGCTCGCCACCCATGTGAACTCAATGTGTTCTTCCCACCACACAGCCATAGGCAGTCACCAAATCGCCGTAGAAGGTCACCACCAAAGTAGACCCTCTGAATTCATTTGTTATCGCCTTGGCCAAAAATCCCCTTTATTCCTCTGTGAGTTCTGCAAAAGGTCAAGGTCCTTCCTGGGAAATATTGCTTGCTGCCTAATCATAGGAAGAGATATAAGGCCAAAGGAATGGAACACCTGAGCTCCCTGCCTGAACATCTGAACATCTAAACTATAAGGCATTTTCGGAGCCATGGCCATCAAAGCCTGGGGGCCCTGCTCCAGGCTGTCTGCAATAACATGAACTTCAGAATGTGGACCATAATTAGTAACTCTTCAAAGGCAGCCTAGAAGGGCCCTGGGTGACATAAGGGCAAGGTGGGCAAAGTGGGCCACAGAGAACAGTGTGATATGGAGGCTACCGGACACTCCCGAGCCCACAATGCCTCTAGCCCAGTGTTTGCTCTGACACTGAAAAAGGTTTGCAAAGAAACCCTCCTTTTCATTCTCTTGTTTCAAAAATAAGCAAGTTCTCAGTCATCTAAGCAGTTGGCAAGTGGGGAAGGGGTGGGAGGCTGGGGGGCTGGGGGGCAGGGTGTAGAGGCAGGGGCTGGAAGGTTAGAACTGTCCAACAGTCCGAGAAGCACAAGGCAAGTTCTGCTTGAGACCAAAGACTCCAGCAAGAGAAGCAACCACTACAGTGCCCAGCTTCTGCAGGGAACAGTCAGAGGAAAGCTAATGGTTATGGAATCTTACTCTCTCACTCTCCACTTGGAGAAATAGAGGCTTTGAGAGAATTTTAAATGCCTTCCAGAGGGTCACTCGGATTTCCTAAGTCCCAGCCAGCACTCACATTTTTCTCCGGAAAACCACCCCAGTGATTACCATCTTGGAGACACTCCAAAACTCCCCAAAGATACTAATATGAGTTCAAGAGTGAAGGTCACAGTCTTCAGTTATAGGAGTATTTGATCAAGGAAGAAAGTAAAGAAAAGGAGAATGGAAAATGCTAAGAAAAATAAAAATAAAAGATACTGGATGGGTCTAAAAGGATCTACTCTGTCATCTTACATGTTTCCGATATGTGCAGTGGTCTATATTCAGGCATTAGAATCTGCAATATTTGTCTCTAATGGCCATCCAGATTACATGTTTGTCGAAAATTATACATCCTTAAACTGAGTTTTTATTAAAATGGTGAAGCAATAAAGCCATAATATTTTATGATGACATCAGAGTGATACACCCAAAAGCAGCATTTTTTCTTCCTACATTAATGTCTCTCCCACCAACTTCTTCCTAAACCAGTCCCAAAGGAGCAGAATTGTACTTCCTCAGGATTCCCTCTTACTCATAGGTAAAGCCCCTCAAACTCTCCCCTCCTTATTGATCTTTGTCTGCTGAGAGAAAAAAGGAACTCTCTACTACCTCTCAGAAGTGGTGACCAGCTTTCACCAGTTTCAAAAATATACTCAGAATAACACTTACATGATCCACCAGATTGGGCCTGGATATTTAAGCCTCACCCTTCCAGAACAACTCAGTCACAGGGAGCTCACAAGAAATAGCAGCAAATTCCTTTCTCGTTGCATTCATTGATTCCCAAAGTCTAAAAGAGGGGTTCACCTACCTTACTCCTAGGATAAAACATCCTTCTTCAATTAGAATAGAGTGAACCCTTCTGCCCACACTTTGAAGCACATCTCCACCCCACAGTAACTCCTCCCAAATTGGTCAAAGCCTCACATTCATTGAGCCACATGGCACCAGCATGCAGGATGGCTTTGTTGTAAAGTGACGCACATCAGGAGTACTTTTCTGTGCTGAATGGGTGAGTGGATTAGTCAAGACTTTTTTGGCTACAAGTCTACAACAAAGCAATTTAAGATAAGAACAAAGGTGAATTATTGTAGCCACAAATACCAAGAGTGGAACCTAATGCAAGCCTATCTAGATGAAGAATGTCATCAGGTATCTATCTATCTACTAACCTATCGCTCCATCTCTCAAACTCTTTTTGCAACTCTTCCATCTCTCAACTCTGCTTTCCTCTGGATGTTAGCTTCAACTTCTTTCTTACCATGTATGGCCCTCCTCCATGGCATGGACAGAGGCCTCAGGTGGCTCTACATTTGTAGCACTTCAGTTTGTAACACCCAAGAAGGAGGAAGACCTCCTCTTTTCCAGGTCCATGGATCAGCCTTGCTTGAGTCACATCCATGTTCCTGGATAAGTCAATGGGGCCATGGCAAGGGAGGAACACAGATACTGTAACTGGTGGCCTCTACCAGAATGACAAGGAATGGAAGAGAGCCAGTTTCCCAAAAGAAATGGCAGTGTCATTGCCAGAGAAAAGATAGGGACAAATATATCGGATGTCCACATAGAAAGACAGGCTAGCTGTTCTTCCTTCATGAGACTAGTTTTAAAAGGTGGACTCAGAAATTTCTAAGAAGACCAGGTGCAGTGGCTCATGCCTGTAATCCCAACACTTTGGGAGGCTGAGGCGGGCAGATCGCCTGAGGTCAGGAGTTCGAGACCAGCCTGAACCAACATTGCAAAACCCTGTCTCTACTAAAAATACCAAAATTAGCCACATGTGGTGGTACGTGCCTGTAATACCATCTACTCGGGAGGCTGAGGCAGGAGAATCGCTTGAACCCAGGAGACGGAAGTTGTAGTTAGCCAAGATTGCACCACTGCACTCCAGCCTGGACGACAGAGCGAGAATCTGTCTCAACAAAAGAAAAAATAAAAAAGAAATTTCTACAGAATGTTTACATTCTAGATGTAAAGAATAGGAAATAGGAAGTTAATTTGGGCCTCATAATCTCCAAACCAGATTTTTGCAGAGAAGGCTGGCCTTTGGAGTGTCAGGAGTTTGCCTAGCTACTAATGAAGTCATAGGTTTTCCCATTTGACTCTTGTTCCCTGTGAAAATCCTTCCTCAGTCAGGAGCCTTGAAGGAGATAAACAGTGGAAAATAGGATTCAGAGACAACATTTTATTCAAATATCTGGCAGTCTCTCAACTCTCTGTGCCCTGCCCCCTCTCTAAAAGTTCCTCTTGAACCCACACTTGTAAAGGCCAAATGGAAGAGATAAAGGAGGAAGAGAGGGGAGAAGAGAATAAAGCAGGATGTGCAGTCAAGAGAGGTTGGCACATGCTCACAGCTGGGAGGCCGACTTCAAAAGATGTTGAACAGAGTGCTGGAGTTTCTCCCCACCCGCCTGCATGTCAGCTCCATGCAAAGTCTGCACTGGGCGAGTCTTGCAGACTGTGGATGATGATGTTGATGACAATAATGGATGACTCAGGGATGAACATTTTTTCCATCACTTGCCAGGTGAGTGACCCAGGGAAAGTTACTTAACATCTATGATCCTCAATTTCCACATCTGTAAAATGGGAATAGTGATTGTTACCAATCTCACAGAGTTGTCATGAAAATTAAATGAGATAATGCCTTAAAACGGCGGGCACAGTGGTTCATACCTGTAATCCCAGCAGTTTGGGAGGCCAAGATGGGAGAATCACATGAGCCCAGGAGTTTGAGACCAGCCTGGGCAACATAGGGAGACTCTATCACTACAAAAAAAAAATTTAAAAATTAGCCGGGTGTGGTGGCATGTGCCTGTAGTCTCAGCTATTCGGGAGGATGAGACAGAAGGATTACTTGAGCCTGGGAGGTCAAGGCTGCAGTGAGCCGTGACCATGACACTGCACTCCAGCCTGGGCAACAGAGCAAGACTTTGTCTCAAAAAAATTGCTTAGAACAGTACCTGGAACATGATAAACTCTCAACAAGTGTTAGGTGTACTGTTATCATTAGCAGCAAGGTCTATGTTCAGTCTTTAAACTAAAAAAAAAACATGTCTCAATCATATATGCACTATTTTTCAAGTGTGTCATTTTCATGAGTTAAATATAAACTTATTGAAAATTGTTACTGAATACAGTGTACCCTACAGTAATTATGTATCTTCTCAATCAGTCAACATTCAGGTGCAGTTACTCCCATGTTGAGATTCCTTTTTTCCAATTAAAAGAATCTTCATATTCAAAAAAGGTTGAGAAGTACCAATACATACCACAATGTTGTCTCTACAGTGACTTCAACCCCAGAGAAGTCATGCCTTCAGTGCAAAGTTTAGGACTTGATCTCTTACCTTTTCAAAGAAAGATGCTCTTTTTCTATTGCCCTTTGCTACTGTTGCTTACAAAGAAATTAAGTAGAATTCACGGCATCAGCAAGCATTAAATATCCCCATCTGTCCTGCCTACCCTAGGAGTTTTGCGCACCTGGATTTTTCTCTCCTGCCCATGATGGATGGCCAGGAGCCACACTGTCAGAATGACTTCCAATCCATAAATAGCTCTGCCATTTAGATGCCATGGGGATAACATTAATACCAAACAGAAAGGCTAAATAAAAAGCCTTTAGCAACTGAATGGCCCTTAGATTTCAGAGTTATCAATCCAGTGGAGCCTGCTAAGTTATTATGGCTACAGTTCTGCTCAGAGAAATCTGTGATCCTGAGAAAAGTTAGCAAAAGTCACAGTCACCTTTAACTACAAAGTGCAGTGAGAGGACTCCAGGGCAGCTAATTACCCCCATCCACTCTGGCACATTCCAAAGGCTGTGTTCATTCCTCTGCATTCTGGTCTGGGGAATGGCTCTGTGGCTCAGTTTCCCCAGATCAACAATAGTTCAAAATGTACAGTGCTTTTAACTTTTGATTTCAGTCTCACAGCAACTCTCCCAGATGGGATGGACATTATGACACTTCTGTGTAATAATGAAGAAATTAAGAAACAAAAAGGTGATGTGATTTGCCCAAGATCAAGCAATATGTGACGGACAGAGCTGGGGCAAGAATGGCAGTCCCCATGTCCCCCCAGCTATGGAAGCCCCAGATTGGCTCCTGGAACCTGCAACTAATTCTTTGCATCATCTCCTAAGGCCTTCTTTGATTGAGGGCTTAGACTCCACCTGGTGCTGGGAGTTGCTATCACCTAGAATTATTTATACCTCTTTCCCTTAATAACCTCCCCAACTTCAGGTCTGAACTAAGTTTGTCATACTGCCTTAGGCTAACTGTTAAGCAAAAGCATTGGGGTGGCCACCAGCAAATGCTGCTTGGTGTGGGCTGGCACTCGTGGGCAGAAGGGGCTGAATTTGCCTTGGTTCTCTAGCATCCTACACAAAGCCATGCTTGGACTGGGTTGCAGGATCACAGGGGGTGAGACGGACGGAGGGTGTGTCAGCAGAGGGACCCCACTCCCTCCACTTCTCCTTTCAAGGGACAAGCATGAGAGGAGCCATGAAAGTGAGGCAAAAACTGTCTGAGATTAGCTGCAAAATGTCCTGAGCTTGGGCACCGCTATTTACAGGAGTCACGGGGAAGGCTAGCCGCCCTGCATCTGGATGTAGGAGGCTGAGGAAGTTGAAGGTGTGCAGCACCTCCTGCCGGAGGGGGCAAGGGAGCCCTGAGCCCTGCTAGCTTGTTACCAAGCTACCTGAAGAGATCTTGGGGACAAACCATCAGTGGCCAATACTTCTTGTTCCCCACATTTGCATTTTTGGACTGTCAGTCTTGCCCCATGATGGGGGATAGAATAAGGAAGAAAGGGAACATAAAAGAGCTCTCTAGGGCTCCAAGGCCATGTAAAGAAATCACAATGCAAAGCCCACTCACCACAATGGCCCTTCTCTGGGAGAAGTCCTGAAATGTGGCCACTGACCCCTCAGCCTTCACCATGGCTGACTGATCCATTTGTACACCCCTAAGTAAATCTGGTTTAATCACATTTTCTTCCTACAGAAGATTTATCTTGTGGGATGGTGAGATCTCAAGAAACGTGAGAATGGGGTTGCACCATGGCAGGACAAATTGATAAGGTCTAGGTTCTCTTACTGTGGGGTCTCCGGGCATGCCCCAGTTTTTCCCCAGTTTTTCCCCTCTCTGTGTCTTGGTGGTTTCATGTGCTTCTTTGAGCCCATGAAATTCTCCAGTGTTCCTTTAAAAATGTCCCTTTTGTTTAAGCCAACCAGAATTGATTTCTGCTGTTGCAGGGGCAGAGGAAGAATATCTTAATTAATATGCATGGAATAACTATTTTCAAACTGTTCTGTATTATACTCATATGTAAAATATCCTGAAGAAAAACACTTGGTTCCTTTCATAAATCTCTGCAACGAACTTTTTTAAAATTAAAAACCTTTTTACAATTAGTAGAGAACCATGATGTTCTGTAATTTTTATTAATGTAAAATATATGTTGGTAGAAATAGAGAAAAAGATTGGATACAGAAAGGTTTGTTATAGGCTCAAAGACTCACTCTTTAAGGGATTTTTCTCTCTGTTTGTAATAAGAGTGGGAGCAACCAAAGGAAGGCGGGAATAGAGTCCAGGGACAATAGCACCTGGTTGGAGGTTGGGAGAACCCAGGTTCAACTCCAAGCAACTCCCACCTCACTTGACCTTCAGGGGGCAGAGTGAGGCGCAGGCTGTGCCACCACTCCTCAGCCATGTGATCTTGTGCTGCTTCTAAGTCACAGCATCCTCACTGGCTGGCAATAAGAAAGTGCTCAAAAAGCATTTGCAGCTGTTATTATTGTGTTATATTCTAGAACCACTCTCAATCAGATGGTTAGCTAGAGAGAAAGAGGGATGGGAAAGGTATTCTAGAAGCAAAACTTGGAGAAAATTTTTGAAAAATGGTTTGTTTTTGTGAAGGAGCTGTTATCCTCTAGAACTAATTAGAGAAACGATGAAACACTTAACACTTTGCCTCCGATAAACCATAAGCAGGGTTATTAGAAGGATCAGCAGGAAAGGAGTTAGAAGTGATTTTCTGAAAAACTATACACCAGCCTAAGGACATTTTTGACACTTGAACCACCAAAAGAAAGTTAAGTATTCTCCTTGAGTTGAGTAGGGAGACCAAGATGAGGCTACAGTGGTAATTAATGACCCAGGGGGATGAGATAAAAAGGTACTTAATTTGAAGACAGACATTTTTATTTCTCTTAATATTGTTCTATATCATTTCCCTTGTTTCATCTCATAATTAAGAACCGTAGTTATATTGACAAAGGGTTATGTTTTTGAAGGAAAACTTAAAAGGTTTGGCCAAATGCTACATTTCTATTTTATGCCGATAATAAGCGGGGTGGGGCTGGATTCAAAACTGGCTCTCTCATGACTGTGATGCCAGCACTGCAGTAGAGCAAGGTCTGAGCTCAGGCCCTTCGTGGGGACCCTTCCCCTTAACTCTTGGTGTCTTTTAGGTCACTGTAGGAGAAATCTGCATATATATTCTTGGTATTAAAAATGCTCCTCTCAAAGTGATGGCGATCAAAGCTGTTTTCAAAATAAAAATATTTACAAAGTGTTTTGTGAATAGCTCATTCTGTTGTTCAGAGGGCCTGATGGGGCCACAAGTGGAGCCTGGGCAGAGATTATGCAAAGTCAAGGGCACTTAGCAAGAAGCCCAGTCCTTCCATAGCCCTGGATCTCGTTGATGGAGCCCCAGTGGGGTTCAAACACCTGTATCCCCATTGACCTCACCTGTCTGCCAGCTGCAGCTTGAGCCAATGAGAAAACTCATGTAGATCTGGAGTAGATCTGGATCCCATGGAAAACAGCTGAGACCTGCCTTTTCAGTTAACAAAAATCATCAGTGAAGGTTTATTCCATGTTGAGGCTGAGACTATAACAGTAATGATGCTAATTGTGCCAGTCTAAAAGCTCAGACTCAAGCAGAGCCTTACGTATGTGCCCACCTGAGACTCCCTGTCCTTTCATTTGTTTTTATCTTAATCTTGCTCATTATTGTGCCCCCTTAGGGTCTCTATGCCAAAACCAGGTTTCTCTGGCCTTAACAAACAGAATATGTTTCATTATCCTAATGCTAAACAAATTTAAATAGAAAAGTGAGAAACAGAGAGGGAGCAAGCATGTTGCACCTTGACAGCTGGTGTAGGTGCTGTAAATGGGCATTGGTGTGGGCTCTGAGCCTCCGGAGAGGGACAGCAGATGCTAACCTGCCTGTGAATGTGACTGCCTCATGCTGGGAAGAGGCATGCCTGAGAGCTGGCTGCACAGATAGAAAGGGAGGCATCCACACATGTAGCTGGCTCCAAGGAGAAGCCTCGCTGTTGGAGGCCTCACTCCTGCAAAGTTCTGAATGCTGGGTCAGCGACAATTGTTGTAACTTATGGGTAGGATGGTAAAGCTCTTTTTAAAAACTTCTCATTTGTGTGGCAGGAAAGTCCTTTGGCCTAAAGACCAAGAGCCAAAAGTCAATTGCAGCTGAGGCTACCAGATGTGACCCGAATAGAGCACTCAGAACAAAGAGAACCCACCACCGAAGCGGAAAAGAACTTTTCAGCTCTTTCACCAACCTTTATGCAAAAAAGCATAAGCCAATTAGTGCACCTGAAAATGTGACTGAGATGGAGAAGCATGACTTTCTGGACTGGGTGCTGTGCAGCTTTGCACGGCATTGGGGTTCAGAATCAGGATTTTTCCAGGATCCTGAAAAGCTACCACCAGCAAACACAGCCTTCCCAGACGCAGAAGTAAAGTGTCATAGATTGAAGGGGGTTCCTGACAAGTTAATGGCAGCACCCTCCCCAGCCCTCTCGACACACACACACACACACACACACACACACACACACACACACACTTGTTCTCCTCCCCTCCCCCTGGGGCTCCTGCTAATGAGAACAGATTTATAAGGCTGCTCCTGGGAGAGCTGCTCAGCTGTCAACCTGGCTTCCCCCCAGGTTCTCCACGGGGCCTCCAGTTTCCAGGGCCGACAGGCAGGGTTTGACTTCACATATGTGTAGAGCTGACTACAGGCTGGACGTGTGCAGGGTTCCCAGGACACAAAGAAGGCTGAGGTCCAACCCCGGAGGAGCTCACCGCCAGTGGGGAGTCAGACATGCAGGCAAATAGTTATCATACAAGTTACAGCTGACTTGTACATGCCCCTGGCAGGTCAGACAGTCCCATGAGGAGAAGGCTGTAGTTCAAGTCCCACGCAGGGGCTCCTCAAGATGGCCCCAAGCAAGCAAGCTTCACTCACCCCTGCACTTAGCCCCACTCAGCTCTGAGCAATTTGTTCAGCAGGAGACTAAGGGTGATGTCTCACATCTGTCTCCAAAGCACAGTTTTTCAAGTTGACACTGAAGCTAAAATTGTGTATCAAAAAGAGACCCAGTGTAAATCAGTTCCATCAATTTGAGCGAATTTAGATGGATGAGTCTCCACTGGCACTGAAATATAGAAGACCTGCATGAGATGCTGAGGTCAAAGCAGACGTGCCGCCATAGGCTTCTCCCCATTTCTCAGAAAGGAAATTAAAAAATCAGCGCTGGGCCATCCCTGCGTCCCTACCCCATCTCACAATGCTATGTTCCCAGAGGATCCTTCCACAGTCGGCTTCTGCTCCAGCCTAAAATTCATTAATTTGAGCACACAGAGATTGTTCTGAATGTGGGAGGCTGTGTCTTCACCTGAGATGGAAAGAAAGGGATGATTGATGTGCCGTGTGTCTATTTCCCTGGGAGTGGAGAGGGAGGTGCCTGGAGCCCTCCCCAGTGGCAGAAGCGGCAGGAAGAGTAGAGAGTTCAGCAAAGGCAGGCAATCAGCAGGGTGAACAGACAGGCCACCTGCCATCAGGAGGCAGAGCCTCCCCCTAACCCAGCTTTGAGCCCCACCACACCCGGACCTCCCTCTACCTGTCACAAAACCTCCTAGATCCTCAGAGGCTTGATACAGCCACACCAGGCGCCCAGATCACTCACCTGCCACAGCTTTCTTCCAAAAGGTCCATTTCCCATCCCATTATCAACTTCACAATAACTGTTTCACATGAGCATGTCAAGAAGGACCACTTTCCTGAGGAGGGGCATTATCTTGTTTTATTGTCACAGCAAACCTGGGACATGGTGGACCTCGTCTGGCCAAAGAGAAAACTGAGGCACAACAAGGAGGTTAATAAACAAATTATAAAATGAAATGAAACAACGCTGCAGAGGAAGGACTAGAACCTAGGGCTCTAGACTCTAGCCCTTGGTGCTTCCCGTGGCTGGCCATGCCCCTCCACCCTCTTCTTGGGCTCATCTTGGATCCCTTTGCCTCCATCATCCCCCTTGAAGAACCCCAAAGATGGCGGAAGGTGGGACCCACATGACCCATGCCAGTGCCCCACTGTTTATGAAGACCTTTTGGCTTTGTTCATGCTTTGCACATGGACTTCATGATGGCTGTGGGGTATTCTGCATATGAATGGACTAGGACAGAAACTAGCAGAGAAATGTGACTCCGAGAAAAAGCTCAGCTCCAGAGGGCAGGACAGTTAAGGTCTCGAGAATCATTTCGGAGGGGGTGCACATTGCCTGAGGCTCTCAAACATCCTCAGGCCTGTGGGTAGCAGGGCAGTGGGGAGGGGCCTGGAGCAGCGCCATTTTAGGGAACAGTAAGTAGTCAGGGGTCCAGGGCAGGCCCTGCCTCCTGGTGTCCTGGTCTGCTAGCTGGGAAGCCATCTGCCCAGAAAGGTCTCTCCCCTCTCCTGGGCTGATTTCTAAAAACATGCAGCTTAAAGTCTCCCCTGTGATTTTAGCATCCTACTCTCCCAAATCCCTAAATGGCTGAGCTCACCAAGTGGGTGAGGAGAAGAGATGGGGGTCACTGCAAGGCAGAAAGGGCAGGAGATAAGCTGTGTGATGGCAAGCTGCCGAGAGCCCATCCTATTCTGGGTCAAGATAAGGCCCTCCGCGACTGGGCTGGACCAAGGTAGCGTGACCAACACTCTAAGGTCAGGGGTTGGAAACAGGACTGCTGTGCTCAGGAAGGAGAAAGTGGGAGTCGAGACAGAACCCCCAGCCTGAAAGAACCGGTTATCTGACAGGAGACCAGGAAGCAACTCAGCCACAGAGGGGCAAGTCTGAGAAATTGTGGATCAGGGGCCTCGTCACAGTGACCCGGAGAAGGGCCCACTCCTGCCAGCAGGACAGAAGGCTGGCATGCTTACATCTGGAAACTCTGGCCCAGGCTCTTTTGATCTCCGAGTGTAGCAGATGCTGCCAACGTCTTCCCTGTCCACAGACTTTTCTCCTACCCCGGGGCCCCTAAAGACCATTTGTGTACAGCCAGTGGTCTCCTACCTCGCTCTGCTGAGATCATTCTCTGGCTGCAGAAGCTAGCTGGGCTCCTTTTGAGAAAGATGGAGCACCATGGAGTTCATGCTCTGGGCAACCCTCAACTGAGGGAAAAACACCCACCGCCTTGCCCTCGGGAATACAATTCCTAGTGTTGCTCCCACAGCCCCTCAGAGGGTTCCAGATAAACAAAGCCCCAGGAGAGGGACTGACTCTACTCTTCATTGTCCCTTCTCCCTTGCTGGTCTCACTTCCCCTACTTCCTCATCCTGGAATCACCGCCCAAACTCCTTGCACCGAAATCCTTGTCTCAGGGTTGGTTTGAGGTGGGGAGGATTTAAACTAAGACACCTGTTATGAATTGAATTGTGTCCCCTAAAAAGATGCAGATGTTGACATCTTCACCCCCAGGACCTCGGAATGTGACCTTATTTGAAAATAGGGGCTGGGCGTGGTGGCTTATGCCTGAAATCCCAGCACTTTGGGAGACCGAGGCAGGCGGATCACCTGAGGTCAGAAGTTCAAGACCAGCCTGACCAATACGGTGAAATCTCGTCTCTACTAAATATGCAAAAATTAGCTAGGCATGGTGGTGCACGCCTGTAGTCCCAGCTACTCGGGAGGCTGAGACATTACAAGCTTGAACCCAGGAGGCAGAGGTTGCAGTGAACCGAGATCACGCCACTGCACTCCAGCCTGGGTGACAGAGCAAGACTCTGTCTCGAAAAATAAATAAATAAATAAATAAATAAATAAATAAATAAATAAACAAACAAACAAATAAAAGAAAATAGGGCCATTGCAGATGTAATGGGTTAAGATGAGGTCATACTGGAGTAGGATAGACTCTTACTCCAACACAACTGGTGTCCTTATAAGAAAAGAAGAGACACACAGAAAACGGCATTGGATGAGAAAGGCAGAGATTGGGGAGATGCAATCTCTGCCTCCCTGGGGATTGGGGTGATGTCTACAAGCCAAGAAACACAGAGGATTGCCAGCAAACCCCAGAAGCTGGGGAAGAGGCAAAGAAGGATCCTCCCCTACTGGTTTCAGAGGGAGCACCTTGATTCCAGACTTCTGGCCTCCAGCACTGCAAGAGAATAAATGTCTGTTGCTTTCAGCCACCTAGTTTGTGGAACTTTGCTATAGCGGCCCTGGGAAACTTGTATAGAACCTGACGACAGTGTTTAGGTGCAGGCTAAACCTGAGTATGGGGTACAGTGACATGCACTGTGAAGGTGGGAGGGGCGTGCAGTCCCCCTGAGATTGTCACCCACTTCGCAGCAGTTTTCCGCACTAAGCAGGAGGACCCGAGCCTGCAACGGGCCCTGAGAAGCAAAGACAGCTGAGGCCTCGGGCGCCGGGGATCCTGCAGACTGTCTGCCTACCCTCCCCACTCTCACCTCCATCCCCCTTAAACCTAATACCACAATCCCTTACTGATATTAAAAACTGACAAGGAATTTTGCCACCGGCACTAGCATTTTAATATTGAAAGGTTGTGAAATCTAATAAGAGCTACAAGGAGGTTGATGGGGATGGCGTTATTTTTCCCCCTTCCAAGCTTCAATAGAACTAGGATTCAATAAGCAAATGTGACAGAATGTGTAATTTCCCCTTGATCCGCCACGGCCAGGCATTTCCTGTTTAATAACCTTAAGCCAGCGCGCACCCCCCTCCCTGAGCAGCCCCCTCCCCGAACATCTCTCCTCTCCATCTTATCAGAATCATCCTTCATTTGAACGCAGCTCAGACTGGCACTTTGGTGGCACCTTATCACCGCTTGAAGACACAAAGGGAACAAGCTGAAATATTATTTTTCCCCTTTGTGGAAAGGTGTTAATGAGATCTTCCTGCCTTAGCCCTGCCTGAGGCTGCGGGAGATTCCTGATCTCAGCCCTTTCCGGTCGAATTTCAGCTTTAAAACCTGTCCATGAAAGAGGGGGTTCCTGGCCCACAACCAGCCCCCAGACGAGGGGAGGCTGAGACAAAATTTCCAGCTAGAAAGTGACGAGGAGTAGGAGGAGCCCACGCCTGACCTGGGAGGCTGGGCTTTGAGAGTCCTGGCCGGCCACAAGCAGCTCCACATGTGATATTGACAGCAAGCACTCCCGGCTTCCTGGCCTTGCCTGCTGGAGCAGGAGAGGGCGGCAGAGGCTCCCAGGCGGGGTCTGGGGCAGAGAGTGAGAGGAGTCCTACCGCCTGCCATGATCACCTGCCCCCGGCCTCACAGCGGGATCCAAGCCCAGGAGCGCCAAAGTGGGGGCTTCCGGGTGGGCTGGGGCTTTACAGGAACAGAATGAAATCTGTAGGGTAAGCCAGATTTGCCAGATTTATCAGGAAAGAGATTTCTCTAGACACCCGCTGAGCATTGGAATAAGAAAGGTATTGTCACATGTTGATTGTTGTCACTGCTGCTACAGGGAGCATAGAGCAAGCACTTCTTCGGTGCTGGGCACACACTAAGACCACACACGCAAGGAAGGGTTAAGGGGGCACAGGTACAGAACTAGCCTTGGTATGGAAGAAGGGCTTAGTCCTCTAAACTCAGGAAGGAGGCAGGACAGGTGTGGACAGACTCACTCTCAGGAAGGCAGTGGACTGATGAATGAGGTCCCATCGATGGCCTCAGTGGTCTTCCCTATTTGCCCCCCAAGGGCACTTCCATTGTTAAGCCACAACCACCCTTTTCAAACTTGGCCACCTCTTCCTTCTTCTCTCCCGGAGGACTTTATGCACCCGAGTGCCCGGAAGTTTCACCTGCTTCTCACCTGTTTGCCTCTGTCTTGGTCAGTTCATCTGGATATTAGAGTAGAAAATAACCCAGAGGTATTTTAAGGAGGTCACGTTTCAACCATGGGTTTTGAAAGTATGACTATGGGCTGGGTGCAATGGCTCACCCCTGTAATCCCAGCACTTTGGGGGACCAAGGCGGGCAGATCACAAGGTCAGGAGTTCGAGAGCAGCCTGGCCAATGTGGTGAAACCCTGTCTCTGCTAAAACTACAAAAAACAATTAGCCAGACATGGTGGTGGACGCAGGTAGTCCCAGCTACTCAGGAGGCTGAGGCAGGAGAATCTCTTGAACCCAGGAGGTGGAGGTTGCAGTGAGCTGAGATTGCACCACTACACTCCAGCCTGGGCAACAGAGTGAGACTGAAAGAAAGAGAAATAGAGAAAGAGAGAGAAAGGAGAAAGAAAGAAAGAAGGAAAGAAAGAAGGAAAGAAAGAAAGAAAGAAAGAAAGAAAGAAAGAAAGAAAGAAAGAAAGAAAGAAAGAGAAAGAAAGAAAGAAAGAAAGGAAGGAAGGAAGGAAGGAAGGAAGGAAGAGAGAGCAAGGAAGGAACGAAGGAGAAAAGACAGAAAGGAAGGAAGGAAAGAAGGAAAAGAAAAAGAAAAAGGAAGGAAGGAAGGAAAGAAAGGAAGAAAGAAAGAGAAAGAAAGGAAGGAAGGAAGGAAGGAAGGAAGAAAGAAAGAAAGAAAGAAAGAAAGAAAGAAAGAAAGAAAGAAAGAAAGAGAAAGAAAGAAAGAAAGAAAAGAAAAGAAAAGAAAGAAAGAGAAAGAAAGATGTTGCCAGGCAAGACAGGAGAAGGTGGACCAGGCAGAGCAAATCTGTTGAATGAAGCAGGTCCTGGGGCCTAGATATGCTTGGACTATTTGGGGACAGATCAAGGATCCTCAGGATGGCCAAGACAAGTTGAAACAACTGAGAAAGAAGGAGGTTGGAAGGGAAGGTTTGTTCTTTCTGGGAAAGGTCTTGAAAGCCACCCAAGATAGTTGAGCATGGGATCTAATGAGAATGGACATGAGGGGCCTCTGCAGGTTTTTAAAGCTCCCGAGTGACATAACTTGTTGTGTGTTTTTGAGCCATCACATTGCTAATGGTGCAAAAGAGGTACTGGAGGGTAGAGAGATTGCTTGAGCGGATGCTGCAGTGATCTAGCTCAGGGTTAGCAAACTTTTCCTGTAAAGAGCCAAACAGTAAGTATTTTAGGCTTTGCAGGCTGTACTGTCTCTGTGGCAGCTATGAAAATGAATGAGCATGGCCGTGCTCCAATAAAACTTTATTTACCAGAAAAGGCACCAGGCAGAATTTGGCCTGAGGGCTGCAGTTTGCCAACCTCTGGTCTGAGCCATAAAGAGATAGATCAAAAGTAAGGGATTCTGCCCTGCCTTAATGAGGTGCCCTATAAAGAGAGCAGAGCAGCTTGGGGGCAAAGAAAGGCATAAAAAAGAAAGAATAGACTCATCAAAAACGATAAGGTAGTATTAGAGTCAAATTTGACCCAGGCATCTCCTCAGTCAGAAATGACATTAAACAATGGATTTTTAAAGTGTCCCTACATAGTGCGTTTCCCTCCCTATTGCAGAATTTAGGAAACTAAGACAGACCCTTGGGTAAGGAGGAGCATCTGCTGACCTACAGCTACCCAGGAGGGCAATCGCCAGGCAAGGAAAGTAAGGGGTGGCCCCTGGCTGCGAGTCCCCCAGAGCCCAGGCAAAGAAAGGCATTAAGAAAGCATGACATCCTTGTCTCCTGTTTCAGTTTTCTCAGGAGTGAGCCAAAGAGAGCATTGCCACTCCTCAGAAAGGAGATGTGAAGGCTGCAGTGTGAATGAGTCATTAACCATCCCTGAGTCTTCCCACAATCACCTCACTATAAAGCCCAGAGAAAACACATTCTTTGTCCAAAGCTACGCAGCTTGCTCATTGTAGAACCAGAAATAAAACCCAGGGCCCTTCTCTCATTTCTGCGCTAATTTGGCTACACCAGCTTCTTCGCCAAATAACAAAGGATATGGGCCAAAAAATCAGAACTGCTCATTAAATGTGTCTCAATAAACAAACACACCACACACACACACAGAGCACACTCAAAAGCATCTTGAATTTTTAAAAAGGAGTAAAAATTCCCCAGTTTCCACTGCTCCAAGTCCTCTTGGGCAGGAACAATAGAGCTTCTTCATTCTCTGCTGCACAAACCATCGTCATGAGGACTTGGTATTTACTCGGATAAACATAATCTGCCCTGGAATGGCAGCCGGCTTCTGCAGATCACCTGACTAATAACATTTGCAGTTGCTATGTTACTTCAGCTCCTCATTTGCCATCATTTGTTACTTGGAGTTCCTGGAATTCCCCGAAAAGCTATGGGAGGCAGACGGGAAGCCACGCTGACTTGGAGCGAGGTTTGCCAGATTCCAATCACACCTTCCCCACTGATGGCCAAGCCAGGGCCCCCAGTGTTGGGTGGTGTGAACGGCAATCTTCCTCTGTGCTTTCCCTGCTGGGTCTCTTCTCCTTGAGCCGCAAAGAGAAGAGGGGTTCCCTGCTAACAGGGGTTTGAGAGCCACAGAGACTGCCCCAGGTGAATGGAATAAGGAGCTAGGGCATCCAGAAAGCACTCATTAAGGGTCATCTAATGTTTAGTATCAGTAGCTAGAAAGCCGAGACAATGCAGTGCCATGCAGAGGAACTAGATTTGGAGCCCAAAGACCTGGATTTGAATCCGGGCTCTACTAAGAGCAGCAGTTTGTCTTAGGCAGGTGTTTTGACCTCTTGGAGACTCATTATAGGGCTCTGTTCTGTTCCATTGGTCTATATCTCTGTTTTGGTACCAGTACCATGCTGTTTTGGTTACTGTAGCCTTGTAGTATAGTTTGAAATCAGGTAGTGTGATGCCTCCAGATTTGTTCTTTTGGCTTAGGATTGACTTGGAAATGTGAGCTCTTTTTTGGTTCCATATGAACTTTAAAGTAGTTTTTTCCAATTCTGTGAAGAAAGTCATTGGTAGCTTGATGGGGATGGCATTGAATCTATAAATTACCTTGGGCAGTATGGCCACTTTCACGATATTGATTATTCCTACCCATGAGCATGGAATGTTCTTCCATTTGTTTGTGTCCTCTTTTATTTCATTGAGCAATGGTTTGTAGTTCTCCTTGAAGAGGTCCTTCACATCCCTTGTAAGTTGGATTCCTAGGTATTTTATTCTCTTTGAAGCAATTGTGAATGGGAGTTCACTTATGATTTGGCTCTCTGTTTGTCTGTTATTGGTGTATAAGAATGCTTGTGATTTTTGCACATTGATTTTGTATCCTGAGACTTTGCTGAAGTTGCTTATCAGCTTAAGGAGGTTAGACCTAAAACCATAAAAACCCTAGAAGAAAACCTAGGTGTTACCATTCAGGACATAGGCATGGGCAAGGATTTCATGTCTAAAACACCAAAAGCAATGGCAACAAAAGCCAAAATTGACAAATGGGATCTAACTAAACTAAAGAGCTTCTGTACAGCAAAAGAAACTACCATCAGAGTGAACAGGCAACCTACAGAATGGGAGAAAATTTTTGCAACCTACTCATCTGACAGAGAGCTAATATCCAGAATCTACAATGAACTCAAACAAATTTACAAGAAAAAGACAAACAACCCCATCAAAAAGTGGGTGAAGGATATGAACAGACACTTCTCAAAAGAAGACATGTATGCAGCCAAAAAACACATGAAAAAATGCTCATCATCACTGGCCATCAGAGAAATGCAAATAAAAACCACAATGAGATACCATCTCACACCAGTTAGAATGGCGATCATTACAAAGTCAGGAAACAACAGGTGCTGGAGAGGATGTGGAGAAATGGGAACACTTTTACACTGTTGGTGGGACTGTAAACTAGTTCAACCATTGTGGAAGTCAGTGTGGCGATTCCTCAGGGATCTAGAACTAGAAATACCATTTGACCCAGCCATCCCATTACTGGGTATATACCCAAAGGATTATAAATCATGCTGCCATAAAGACACATGCACACGTGTGTTTATTGCGGCACTATTCACAATAGCAAAGACTTGGAACCAACCCAAATGTCCAACAAGGACAGACTGGATTAAGAAAATGTGGCACATATGCACTATGGAATACTATGCAGCCATAAAAAATGATGAGTTCACGGTCTTTGTAGGGACATGGATGAAGCTGGAAACCATCATTCTCAGCAAACTATCACAAGGACAAAAATCCAAACACCGCATGTTCTCGCTCATAGGTAGGAATTGAACAATGAGAACACATGGACACAGGAAAGGGAACATCACACACCAGTACTGTTGTGGGGTGGGGGGAGGGGGGAGGGATAGCATTAGGAGATATACCTAATGCCAAATGACGAGTTAATGGGTACAGCACACCAACACGGCACAGGTATACATATGTAACAAACCTGCACGTTGTGCACATGTACCCTAAAACTTAAAGTATAATATTAATAAAATTAAAAATAATAATAATATAATAATTTTTATGCTAAAAAAAAGAAAAAGAACTTTTAGAGGAAACCTCTTTGTGAGCACACCTCACCAGTTCAGAACTATCCTAAGTAAAAAAAGCAAAAAGGTAGCTTACTAACTCAAAAATCTTGAAGTATGGGGCTATTCTGTTAGAAAAAGGTGACTTAACATTAACCACTGAAAATTCCCTTAACCCAGCAGGTTTCCTAATGAGGGATTTAAATCTTAATTACCATACAAAGGTCCAACCAGACCTAGAAGGAACTCCCTTCAGGACAGGATGATAGATGGCTCCTCCCAGGTGATTGAGGGAAAAAACCACAATGGGTATTCAGTAATTGACAGGGAAACTCTTGTAGAAGCAGAGTTAGGAAAATTGCCTAATAATTGGTCTGCTCAAACTTGCGAGCTGTTTGCACTCAGCCAAGCCTTAAAGTACTTACAGAATCAAAGAACTCTATCTCAATCCTCACTCAAAAAGTTACCTACACCGTCTCTGAAACAAATTTGCATAGGAACTGTTGTTTATGGGAATGCATCTTGGTGGGGCAGCTGGGTTGTTATGAAATTCTCAGGAACCCAGCCCAGAGTTCTCTAGAACTCACGCCTGAGTGCAAAGGCAATATTGGGCAGCTGGTAAAGGACCACTAGAATCCAGCAACCTGGACCCCTTTCCTTGTGGTCAAGAAAGATGGGAAAACAGGTGCAGGACTGCTACATCAGTGAGCGTAACTAATCCAATAAGCAGAGGTCCATGGGTGGTTACACATCCTGGAAAGGAACTCACGCCCGAGCACAAAGGCAATGTTGGGCACGCTGGTAAAGGACCACTAGAATCCAGCAGCCCGGACCCCTTTCTCTGTGGTCAAGAAAGGCGGGAAAACAGGTGCAGGACTGCTACATTGGTGAGCGTAACTAATCAGATAAGCAGAGGTCCATGGGTGGTTATGCACCCTGGAAAGGAATAAGCATTAGGACCATAGAGGACGCTCTAGGACTAATGCTCATCAGAAAATGACTAGGGTTGCTGGCATCCCTATGTTCTTTTTTCAGATGGGAAACGTTCCCCCCAAGGCAAAAACACCCCTAAGATGTATTCTGGAGAATTTGGCCTAGTCAGAGTGTATGTACCTTTTTCCCTCTCAGACTTGAAGCGAATTAAAATAGACCTAGGTAAATTCTCAGATAACCCTGATGGCTATATTGATATTTTACAAGGGTTAGGAAAATCCTTTGATCTGACATGGAGAGATATAATGTTACTACTAGATCAGACACTAACCCCAAATGAGAGAAGTGCCGCCATAACTGCAGCCCGAGAGTTTGACGATCTCTGGTATCTCGGTCAGGTCAATGATAGGATGACGACAGAGGAAAGAGAACAATTCCCCACAGGCCAGCAGGCAGTTCCCAGTGTAGACCCTCACTGGGACACAGAATCAGAACATGGAGATTGGTGCCACAGACATTTGCTAACTTGCATGCTAGAAGGACTTAGGAAAACTAGGAAGAAGCCTGTAAGTTATTCAATGATGTCCACTATAACACAAGGAAAGGAAGAAAATCCTACTGCCTTTCTGGAGAGACTAAGGTAGGCATTGAGGAAGCATACCTCTCTGTCACCTGACTCTATTGAAGGCCAACTAATCTTAAAGGATAAGCTTATCACTCAGTCAGCTGCAGACATTAGAAACAAACTTCAAAAGTCCGCCTTAGGCCTGGAGCAAAACTTAGAAACCCTATTGAACTTGGCAACCTCAGTTTTTTTATAATAGAGATCAAGAGGAGCAGGCAGAACAGGACAACACAGGATTAAAAAAAAAAAAAAGGCCACCACTTTAGTCAGGGCCTTCAGGCAAGCAGACTTTGGAGGCTCTGGAACAGGGAAAGCCTGGGCAAATTGAATGCCTGATAGGGCTTGCTTCCAGTGCAGTACACAAGGACACTTTAAAAAGATCGTCCAAATAGCAATAAGCTGCCCCCTTGTCCGTACCCCTATGTCAAGGGAATCACTGGAAGGCCCACTGCCCCAGGGGATGAAGGTCCTCTGAGTCAGAAGCCACTAACCAGATGATCCAGCAGCAGGATTGAGGGTGCCCGGCGCAAGCACCAGCCTATGCCATCACCCTCACAGAGCCACAGGTATGCTTGACCATTGAGGGCCAGGTTAACTGTCTCCTGGACACTGGTGCAGCCTTCTCAGTCTTACTCTCCTGTCCTGGATAACTGTCCTCCAGATCTGTCAGTATCCGAGGGGTCCTAGGACAGGCAGTCACTAGATACTTCTCCCAGCCACTAAGTTGTGACTGGGGAAGTTTACTCTTTTCACATGCCTTTCTAATTATGCCTGAAAGCCCCACTCCTTTGTTAGGGAGAGACATCCTAGCAAAAGCAGGGGCCATTATACACTAGAATTAGGAAAAGGAAAAAGGGTAAATATACATACAGACTCTAAGTATGCTTACCTAGTCCTCCATGCCCACGCAGTAATATGGAGAGAAAAGGAATTCCTAACTTCCAAGGGAACACCTATTAAATATCAGGAAGCCATTAGGAGATTATTATTAGCTGTACAGAAACCTAAAGAGGTGGCAGTCTTACACTGCCAGGGTCATCAGAAAAGGAAAGAAAAGGGAAATAGAAGGGAACCGCCAAGCGGATATTGAAGCCAAAAGAGCCGCAAGGTGGGACCCTCCATTGGAAATGCTTATAGAAGGACCCCTAGTATGGGGTAATCCCCTCCGGGAAACCAAGCCCCAGTACTCAGCAGAAGAAATAGAATGGAGAACCTCACAAGGACATAGTTTCCTCCCCTCAGGATGGCTAGCCACTGAAGAAAGAAAAATACTTTTGCCTGCAGCTAACCAATGGAAAGTACTTAAAACCTTTGACCAAACCTTTCATTTAGGCATTGATAGCCCCCATCAGATGGCCAAATCATTATTTACTGGACTAGGCCTTTTCAAAACTATCAAGTAGATACTCAGGGCCTGTGAAGTGTGCCAAAGAAATAATCACCTGCACTGCAGGCCATATGTTTCACTCCCTTGATCTTTAACCTCCTTGTTAAGTTTGCCTCTTCCACCATTGAAACTGCAAAACTACAAATCATTCTTCAAATGGAGTCCCAGATGCAGTCCATGACTAAGATCTACTGTGTACCCCTGAACTGGCCTGCTAGTCCATGCTCCAATGTTAATGACATCGAAGTCACCCCTCCCAAGGAAATCTCAACTGCACAACCCCTACTACGCCCCAATTCAGCAGGAAGCAGTTAAGAGTGATCGTCAACCAACCTCCCCAACAGCACTTGGGTTTTCCTGTTGAGACGGGGGACTGAGAGAAAGGACTAGCTGGATTTCTTAGGCTGACTAAGAATTCCTAAGCCTAGTTGGGGAAGGTGACTGCACCCACCTTTAAACATGGGGCTTGTAACTCAGCTCACACCCAACCAATCAGGTAGTAAAGAGGGCTCGCTAAAATACCAATTAGACTAAAAGCAGGAGGTAAAGAAATAGTCAAATCATCTATCATCTGAGAGCACAGGGGGAGGGACAATGATTGGGATATAAACCCCAGGCATTCGAGCCAGGAGTGGGCAACCCCCTTTGGGTCCCCTCCCATTGTATGGGAGCTCTGTTTTCACTCTATTAAATCTTGCAAGGGCACACTCTTCTGGTCCGTGTTTGTTCTGGCTCAAGCTGAGCTTTCGCTCGCCCTCCACCACTGCTGAATGCCGCCATCGCAGACTGGCCGTTGACTCCCACCCCTCTGGATCCGGCAGGGTGTCCACTGTGCTTCTGATCCAGAGAGGCGCCCATTGCTGCTCCTGATCAAGCCAGAAGCTCACCATTGTTCCTGCGCAGCTAAGTGCCCAGGTTCATCCTAATTGAGCTGAACACTAGTTGCTGGGTTCCATGGTTCTCTTCTATGACCCACAGCTTCTAATAGAGCTATAACACTCACCCCATGGCCCAAGGTTCCATTCCTTGGAATCCATGAGGCCAAGAACCCCAGGTCGGACAACAAAAGGCCTTCTGCCATCTTAGGAGCGGCCACCACCATCTTGGGAGCTCTAAGAACAAAGACCATCTGGTAACATTATGACCTGAGTTGGGGTAGTGGTTAATGGCCTTAGATGCATGTTAGATTCATCTTTTAAAAATCCCAATGCTCAGGGCACACTCTGGACCAATTAAATCCAAATCTCAAGGAGAGTGACCCAAGCATCAGTATTTTTTACAGCTCCCCAAGTGATGATAACACATGTCAAGGTCATGACCACTGGGTGAGGGTAACCAACAAGGCTGCATCTAACAGACTCCTGAAAAATTAAGCACCTGATCCTGCGACATTCTGGATCACCATGGCCATGCATCTCGGACAGACAATAGCATCACCTCCCAGTTCTCAGAAGGAAACTCTGGGAATGAACACTGGGCTCAAAACCAAGGCTTTTCCTCCCTCCCAGCAGAGAAAAGAATGGTTGGTGGAAGGTCTGGGCTCTCCCTCCACAACCCTTGTGAGCAGCCCTCAAGCGCTGCCTCCAGACAGCTCACGCCAGCCTTCTTTATCCACCTCCCTGACTCTTACAACACTTTTGAATCTGGACATTCTTCTCAAAATGAAGGATAGGGCTTTTGCCTGGGATATAATGAGTTGAATAAAATTTTATGGGTCTCTCTGGGAAGACTGAGTGTGGGTCTGGGACCAGAGTGGGAGGGGCAGGCAGAGGGCAGATGGTAAGAGCTTAGGGGGTCTCTCCCCAGGGGCAGATAAAAAGGCTGAAGTAGAATTCCCGGAAGAATCAAAGGCAATCAGCGGATTAGCATACAAACTACCTCCTCCTACACCAGCTCCTGGCAGCCAAGCACCCATCAGGGGCAGCAGGCTCTTATCCCTGCAATAAATACTTAAGAAAGCTCACTGAAGCCAAACCTCTCCGGAGGGCAGTGAGGAGGAGCTGGGGTCTCAGGATCCAGAAATGGCCCCAGAGAGGGCGGTGAGGAGAGGGCAGGGGGTAGGTGGAAAGGCATAGGGTTGGGAGAGGGGCCCAAGTTAGACATAGGAATGATGTCAGTGCCCATGGAGGACCTGGGGAGGAATTAAGACACCAGCTCCTCTACTCAGATGCTGGGGATGCCGAACCTGTCACCCTCTCTTAGGGCAGCGTCTGCTTCTATAAAGTAGGGAGAAAAAAGCTGCTTCCCGAAAGAAAATGCTGTTAACAGTGCCCCATACAGTCCTCATTTCCAACAGCAAGTGACAGAAAGGAGACAGCCTTCACATGCCCCTCACATGCCCCTCGGCATAACTGTGTAACTGAACCTTTTTTTTTTTAGACGGAGACTCACTCTGTCACCCAGGCTGGAGTGCAGTGGCACAATCTTGGCTCACTGTAACCTCTGCCTCCCAAGTTCAAGTGATCCTCCTGCATCAGCCTCCCGAGTAGCTGGGACTACAAGCACACACCACCATGCCCAGCTAATTTTTGTATTTTTAGCAGAGACAGGGTTTCACCATGTTGGCCAGGCTTGTCTCGAACTCCTGACCTCGTGATCCACCTGCTTCAGCTTCTCAAAGTGCTGGGATTACAGGTGTGAGCCACCATGCCCAGCCCAACTGAACTTTCTTTAGACAAATCTCCTGACTCTAGGCTCTGACCTCTTGTTTCTTAGAGCACTTATTTAGCAAGCTTGCAATTACAAATTCTTTCTCTGCCCCTTTGAGAGGTAAATCTTCTCCCAGCCTCTTGCCAGTTTTATAACCCAGGAATGTCTTCTTCAAGAACCTGGGAGCTGTCCCTTTGAAATGTAATCATCAAGAAGGATAGGGCCCCTGTCTCCCTATCTCCCTGTCTCTGCGAAGGGTAGGAGCCTAACTTCCATATGGGACAATTAGCAAACACAGATGTTCCTTTCTCTTTCCCCTGCCCCATAAGACTTTTGCTCTGTGAAGCCTCAAGATAACTAGGAAATACCAGTGATTGAACTTTTAATGGTCCATATTCTACATAGAACAATGTGGACATTGAACAACTATTCACTGAAGTTGACATTTTTCTACCTGTGTTTGCCATATACCCCCATTATCCCTTAGGTCCCTGCGACTTGTCCCTGAGCCCAGTGGATGGGGAGCCCCCAATAACCTACCAAAAGGTAGAAGTCTAGCCTATCCCATTTCTTAGCCTCTCCTGGAATCTCGGTGATGATGAGGAGGAATGAGTACCTCCCACGACCTTCATGGTGAGCCCAAAGCTCTGTCCTCACAGCTGCTGAGCCAGGCTCTACATGGCTGTGCCCTTCACTTCATCCTCACCTCTCTTTGGATCCCTTTTGCTTTGATACCATCCATACTGGACCACTGCTAGGATGACCTCATATCCATCTTTGTCTCCAACTAGAAAGAAAATGTCTTGCTTTTCTCAGTCCCACCACTGAGACCTTTAACGTGGTTTCACGGATCCCGAGGGAAATGTTTTCTTTGTATTTGACCAGACTGCCCTCTCCTTTCCAGAGGCAGGTTTGAGGCAAGTGAGTTCAAGCAGAGCCTCTTATTATTCCCAGGGTACCTTGTCTTTCTTTGGCTTGGTCTATCCCACCACCAGATTCTTTCCTTCCACATGATCACCCCACTCCCATACCAGCATTCCATTGTCCCTTTCTGAAACCTGATTCTTTTTCAAGGTGACTTTAGACCACCAAGCAAATCAGGGATTGTGACTAGGGAAAAATTGGGTTGGTCACCAGCAAGAGGGACTGCTTCAGGCCAAAGCCTCAGTCTCCACTCACAGACACCTACCGCCTGGACTGAGCCTTCTGCTCCTTTTAAGTCTACAGTTAAAAAAAAAATTGATTTTCAAGGGCAGCTCACAGATTTGGTCGTATGATTTCATTACCATATAATGTTCAGTCAATTATTATAGACTGTTACTGTCCTTGTTGAGGTTGGGATTTTATGCATCTAGGAGTCCAACTGGATAAAAAACAAATACTTAGTTTTTTAAGATATTTAATGGCAGAGTGGAAGACTAATAATGATTAAAATAGCTAATTTTATTTAGCACTTTCTATGTTTCAGCCACTGTGCACTAAACACCCTACATAGATTACTTCATTTCTTTTCAAAATACATGGAAAAGAAAACTAGGACTTTGAGAAGTTGAGCTATTTGCCCAAGCTCACACAATTAGGTGCTGAGGTCAAGATATGAACCCAGGTAGCCTAAACTCATAATCATTATACTCTGCCACCTCCTTATTACAAGGACATTTCATGACATTGAATTTATCCCTCCCACCAGAATCAATACATAACTTCCCAGCATGTCTTTCTGAGCTGTTTCTGCTGAGAGAATCAGCAGCATCAAAAGAATCCATTGTTTTGTTTATTTCTCTGTTTTTAGAGACAGGGTCTCACTCTGTTGCCTAGGCTGGAGTGCTGTGACCATAGCTCACTGCAGCCCCAAACTCCTGGGCCCAAGCAATCTTCCTGCCTCAGCCTCCCAAGTAGCCAGGACTATAGGTACCCACCACACCCAGCTAATTTTATTTTATTTTTTGTAGGGACGGGGTCTCAGTATATTACCCAGGTCTTGAACTCCTAGTCTCAAGTGATCCTCCCCCCTCAACCTCACAAAGTTCTGGGATTACAGGCATGCCACCATACCTGGCCAGGATCCATTGCTTAATTGGACTCATCAAACAGCAGACCATTGGTCTATTACTGGCATTTTATTGATTTGTTATTGTCACTATATTTCAAAACATCTTGTATCAACCATTTTACTATATCACAGTGACCACATGGCCTGGACTTTCCAGAGTAATCCAGATTTCAATACTGTGACCTATTTTTTATATAAGCCACAAAACACTTGAGAAATTATATTATATTCATATGCAAAGTAGCCCCCTACCCTTTGCCTCTTGCATCAACAAGGAGCCCAGATTCCTTTGTCAGACTTCCTTTTTCAAAATGTCTTGGGCTCTGAAAATATCGTCATGGTAGCCTGTGAACTCCTTCCTATCATGATGAGGTAGTTTTAATGCACTTGCTCATGGCTGAGGCTAATTTACACTTTAGCCAAGTGATGGTGCCACGTGGTGTCATCGCCACAGCTGAGGCAGAGCCTCTCCCAGTCACAGCTCTGGTGTTTAATTAGCCTCCATCTTCCTACTGACTGCAACCATCATCACTGAGTCAATTCTTATTCATTATGGACTTCTGGTGGCATTACTACGATTTCCCAGCAGCCCGATTTTCCCCCCTAGAGAACAGACAGCAGATTGTCATCAAGCACTGAAGCAAGTCCTCACCACTCCTCATGTCATGCTGCTGTGCCTGGCACTGAGCCCTGCATCAACCAGGCTGGGTCAGACAGACTGGAGGCCTAATTGGTGCCAGGAACACATGTGGTCAGGCATTCTGTTGGTTCTGTAGTTTATAGACCGCACACACCCCCACCCACCCACCCATCCCATACACATGTGTTTACACAGCCCTCCTCTGCATCATGTCCAAGAAACATGGAAAATAACTTTGGCCAAGAGCCACAAAGACTAGCAGTTCCAAGTAACTGATTCTCAACTGAAGGCAAGTGGAAGGCAGAGATTTGCATCTTCTAATTATCCATCTCTTCCCTCCAGGTAACCTCTTGGCCATTGAGCCTTTAAGTGATGTCACCAGCTTACTAAAATGTATCTCACTCTGCTGGATGAAGTAGGCTGCTCATGACATAAGGGTCATGGGATATGTGGGGTAGACTCCCTCCCTCTATTCAATAACTCAATATTTTGGTATATTTAAAATTATCTAACTCTGTTTCTGAAATAAAAGGAAGTTTATATTAAAATATATTAGCATGTGAAAGTATTAAATAAAAGTCAAAGGCTTTCTGTGTTAAAGGAAAAGACAGACAGGGTCCATGCCCTCCAGAGCAAGAGCTCCTCACCTGGGGAATAGAGGGCAGAGGGTAGACAAATGGTCTGGAGAGACAGCAGATTGAGGCAAGCATGATTTTATTTGGCCATCACTGATCCATCACACAATTTCAAGCAGGTCCACTTTCCACACACCACTTGACATGTATGGCCGGGTAATGGAGCAAGACCACTACAAGCTGTCAGCAATGAGCCGGGAGTAATGAAGGCAAGGCCAGAAGGTGAGCAGGATGGTCAGAAACCCAGAAAGCAATAGCAAGATGTCAAAGCCATGTCTATGTGGTAGAGTGGAGTTCAGGACATGGCTGTGGTTAGACCGAGAGCAAAACAAGAGATGCCAAATCCAGGGAGGGTGTGAGAGTCAAAGTGGGCACATCCAAGCCCAAGCTGGCAGGAGCCAGCAGGAATGCAGGGTACTGAGAGTGACGGAGGGGGCAATCCAAGTAAACCCCCATGGAGTCACCAGTGGGGGGTTCCACAATGGTAGTCCCTCCCATCCCCTCATAAGCGAGCATTTACATGTGATTCTAATGTGCATCCTTTCATTTGTATACATTCCTGAAAAATGTGTACTGTGGTTTTGTGAGCATACATTTTCATTTATATAAATATTATTGTGCTATAGATCTGGTTCCCCTTTTCTTAACTCTTTTCAAGAAGCTGTCTGTATTTAAGATCCTTCCATGTTACTATGTGCATATCCGGTCCTCTGTTTCTAATCACTGCACAATAGTCCATAGCAAGCATCCACCATGCTGTACTATGCTGTCTCCTGGTGATGGAACCCAGATTGCCCCCAACTGCACCTTCCCCACCAGCCTCATGAAACATGGGGTTATGAGCACCCTCATGCATGCCACTATGGATCTGTGAAAGAACTGGGGAGAGATATGTGCCCTAAAGTGGAATTTGGGGGCTATATGGAAAATGTATTCTCAACAACTAAATCATGTGAGATGATTCCAGAATGGTTGCACAGTCTACATACCCACCAGCAGGGCAAGGTGATTCCTACGTCTAAGGATTCCCTATGTAAGTTCTGGGGCTCTGCTTTTTTCCATTTATCTCTATCTGTGCCAGGGCACCTAATACCATTCAAACAGAAACTCCAAATGAGGGCAGTGCTCAACTTCTTCCCCAGGTGACCACAAAAATATTTTGAGACCCAATGCATGTTTGTGCAATTCTTCTAGCTCCCACCTAAATGTTCTCTATTTATTATCAGGATTTCAAAGGACAAAATAACCAGGGCATATTTTCAGGCAATATGTTTCTAGTGTTTCCCAAGTCCTTTGACCTGCTGGCTCCAATTGCCACCATCAATAGACACCCATAATAAAGTGACTGCTCAAGAATCTATACCGCATTAACCATAGCTGTGTTCAGCTAATAAGATTCTGTACCAACACACTGTGATTTACACGGGTGTTTCGCTTCCATATTTTGTTGTCTTTCTTCTGAGTTATCTTCTCATATCACTCTTATTCCACCTTTGATTTTTTTTCCTTGGATTTTTCCACTCTCTTCTAATTAAATATGTGTATATGTGTATACGCATAACTGTGATAGATATAGATTTGACTCCACCTCTGCTGCCAGAAGGCATAAAGGCATACAACTACATCTTGAATCTATAGCCCGGGGCACACAGCTGTTTAGTTTGTCTCTTTTTGTTTTACCACTCCCCAGTTGCATTCCCTCCTGCCTAAAGTGACCACCATCCTGCCTAAAGGTAAAGAGCCAGTCACTGTTCTTCTTCCCTTTTCACGTCTTTAATCCATCATTACAAATGGACTCATGGCAGAGGCTTCTGTATGGTCCCCACAGCCACTTTTCTGGGTTGTTTTTGTTTTTGTTTTGAGACAAAGTTTCACTGTTGTTGCCCAGACTGTAGTGCAATGGCACGATCTCGGCTCACCGCAACCTCCACCTCCTGGGTTCAAGCGATTCTCTTGCCTCAGCCTCCTCAGTAGCTGGGATTACAGGCATGCACTACCACACCTGGCTAATTTTGCATTTTTTAGTAAGGATAGGGTTTCTCCATGTTGGTCAGGCTGGTCTCAAACTCCAGACCTCAGGTGATCGGCTCTCCTCGGCCTCCCAAAGTGCTGGGATTACAGGCATGAGCCACTGCACTGGGCCGATTCTTCCTGTTTTACACAGCAATAGGAGCCCATGGTAGCCCAAGTGAAACCCATATTTTCCAGCTTTTTTTGAGACAGGGTCTCTGTCACCCAAGCTGGAGTGCAGCAACACAGTCACAGCTCACTGCAGCCTCAACCTCCAGGCTCAATTGATCCTCCTGCCTCAGCCTCCCTAAAGGCGTGTGCCGCCATGCCCAGCTAATTTTTTGTATTTTTTGTAGACGGGGTTTTGCCATGTTGCCCAGGCTGCTCTCAAACTCTTGAGCTCAAGCAATCTGCCTACTTTGGCCTCCCAAGATGCTGGGATTACAGGCGTGAGCCACCGCACCCAGCTTATATTTCCCAGCTTTCTTGCAGGCAGGTCTTGCCTTACTTGAGGGCACCTATGTAGCCAGTCTTCTTTCTTCCAGCCCTCACTGGCTGGAAATAAAATGTGATTATGAGAGCTGAAGCACCACCTCAGATCATGAGATGGAAAGTGAGGGCATTGTAAGGATGACACAGGACACACAGGGAAGGATCTTGGGTCTCTGCTGATAGTTGAACTACCACAGAAGCCCTGGACTCCTTACCTAGCATTTCAAATGGCAAAAATAAGCTTCTCTTTCTGTACGCCATTAATGTTGTATATTAGCCTAGCCACTACACATATGTTCCAGGGGCCAGCAAATGTTTTCTGTAGGAAATATTTTAGGCTCTTCAGGCCATGCTATTTCTGTTGCAGCTATTCACCTCTGTCCTGTAGCACAAAGGCGGCCATAGACGATATGTAAACAAATGAGTTTGGCTGTATTAAAACTGTACGTACAAAAAGAGACATTTGTTGGGTTGGATTTGGCCCAGTTTGCCACCCCTCATACAGAGGATATGGGGTTTTTTTGTGTTTTTTTTGTTGTTGTTGTTTTTTGAGATGGAGTCTCACTCTATTGCCAGGGTGGAGTGCAATGGCACGATCTCGGCTCACTGCAACCTCCGCCTCCCAAGTTCAAGTGATTCTCCTGCCTCAGCCTCCTGAGTAGCTGGGACTACAGTTGTGCGCCACCATGCCCAGCTAATTTTTGTATTTTTAGTAGAGACGAGGTTTCACCATGTTGGCCAGGATGGTCTTGATCTCTTGACCTTGTGATCCACCCACCTCAGCCTCCCAAAGTGCTGGCATTACAGGCATGAGCCACCACGCCCGGCCAGGACATCTTTTTAAACTTTATGTCAATCCTGTCATCACATTATATGTATCCTTCTGCTACTTGCTTTCTTCTTTCAGCATTGTGGGTTGGTTTGGTTTCTTTTGTTGTTTTTGCTTTTTTTATTTATGCATAATAGATGTACATAGTTTCAGGGTACATATGATAATTTGATACATTCATATAATTTGTAAAGATCAAATTGTGGTGTACTTGACAGATCACCTTAATCAGTATCATGTTCTTGAGATCTATCCATGTTATACATGTCGATTTTATTCAATCATTTCTGTTACCAGAAACTATAGCATTTGAATAAATGCTTCACTTTTTATTCATTCTTTCTCCTGTCAATGGTCTTTTAGGTCGAAATAATTAGGTTGGTGGTCTTTCAGGTTGTTTCTAATTATTCATTTTCACAAACAATGTTAGCCCACACTCATGGGAATGCCTCCCAAGGCCTGCGTGACTTTCTGTAGAATTCACTCCTGGGAGTGAAATTACTGTATTCACACAGTATGTGCATTTCCAGCTTACTAGCAGTTTCCAAACTTTCTCTCCACGACGATACCAATTAAACCCTCCATCAGTATATGATGGTTCCCCTGGCTCCACGTTGTTACCCATACTTGCTATTTTCAGACTTCCTAAATTTTGTCAATCTGATCAGTCAGAAAAGTATCTCACTGTGATTTTAACTTGCATTGCCTGTTTACTAAGGAGGTTGAGCACTTTCTCATGTATTCACTGGTCATTTAGATTCCTCTTTATAAAATTCACTGGCAGCCCAGGCATGGTGGCTCCCACCTGTAATCCTAGTACTTTGAGAGGCCAAGGCGGGCGGATCACCTGAGGTCGGGAGTTCAAGACGAGCCTGACCAACATGGGGAAACTCCACCTCTACTAAAAATACAAAATTAGCCGGGGGTGGTGGCACATGCCTGATCCCAGCTACTCAGGAGGCTGAGGCAGGAGAATCACTTGAACCCGGGAGGCAGAGGTTGCAGTAAGCCGAGATTGCGCCATTGCACTCCAGCCGGGGCAACAAGAGCGAAATCCATCTCAAAAAAAAAAAAAAGAAAGAAAGAAAAAGGAAAAAAAAAACCTCACTGGTAATATCTTTTAGATTATTTGTAGTTTTCATATCGATTTATAAGTGATTTTCTTGTATTCTAGATACTAATTATTTATCTTTTGTAAGCTTTACAAATATCTTTATCAACTCTGCAACTTGATTTTTTTTTTTTTTTTTTTTTTATGAGACGGAGTCTCGCTGTCGCCCAGGTTGGAGTGCAGTGGCGCAATCTCGGCGCACTGCAGGCTCCGCCCCGCCGGGGTTCACGCCATTCTGCTGCCTCAGCCTCCCAAGTAGCTGGGACTACAGGCGCCTGCCACCTCGCCCGGCTAATTTTTTGTATTTTTAGTAGAGACGGAGTTTCACCGTGCTGGCAGGATGGTCTCAATCTCCTGACCTCGTGATCCGCCCGCCTCGGCCTCCCAAAGCCCTGGGATTACCGGCGCGAGCCACCGCGCCGGCCTTGATTTTTAATTCATACTTCAATTGATGAACATTTTAATTTTAATATAGTCAAACCTATCCAATTTCTCATTTTAGTTACTGCTTCTGACATCTTAAGAAACCTTTCCTATTTCCAAGGTTATGAAGAGATTCTCTTACACTTTCCTCCAATACTTTGAAGTTTTCTTTTGCACATTTTTGTCGTTTAATGTCCTGAAATCGATCTTGGTATAAGTTTGAAATAGAATTTTTTCCATTATAGATTACCAAGTTTTCCAGTGATGTTTGTTAAATAGCCCATGCATTCCTAAAGATTTGCAATGCACCTTGTCACATATCAAATACCCATATATTCATGGTTTTATATCTGACACTGCTTTTCTGTTCTTTTGATCTCTTTTTCATTTTCTGTGCCAATACCACACTGTCCTAATCATGATAGCTTTATAATAAGCCTTGATTTCTGATAGATCAATTCCTTTGGTTTTTTTTTTATTTTTCTTCAAAATTGACTTGGATACTCCTGTTCCTTTCTTTGCTCTCCGTAAAAAGTTTTAGAATCAGCCCACCAGGTTCTATGAAAAAAAGTTGTTAGGATTTTGCCTGGCATTGCATTCAGTTTAGAGATTCGTCTGGAGATAATGATACCTTCGCAATACTGACTCTTCCTAATCACTCTGTCTCTTGCACTTCCACAGCATCAGATGACAATAATTTGAGACAAATTTATGGCCAGTTGAACTGCTGTAATCAAAGATTAATGGTTCTGTGTCAATTCAGAGAAAAGTTCCCACTGCCTGGCTACAGGATTCTGTCCTTGACCTTGTCCTTTTGAAAATACCTGTCAATCAATTAGTCAGACGACAGCAACCTGATAGGGAGAGCACGTGCCACAGACGACATAATCAAAATCACAATGATCTCAATAGTCTAGGCTGCTTGGGTGAAGCCCAGAAAATAACATTTAACAAGTATAAATGCAAAGCCCAGCAGCAATTTCTGAAATTCACTTGCACAAATGCCAAATGGTTGCAGAGGGAGTACTGATTTGGGAGCAATTTATGTGAAAAGGATTTTGTGGCACAAGGGAGGCAGGTAGGTAGTCATTGATCACAAACCTAATATGAGGCAATAATATGATGTGGCCATTTAAAGAGCTAAGGCAAACTTATTAAAGTCAATATTCAGTTTATGTGAATTACAGGCTCCCTGTACTCTGGTGTAATCTGATCATATCCGCAGCACATCCTTCATCTTTGGATGCCACACCAACTTATCTCAGAGCATCTAAAGAAGGGTAGACAACACGGTGAGAGATTGTGAAAAGCTTCCCATCCAAGGTCTGGATAAAGAGGCATCCATGCTGTTATTGCTTTCATGGCAAAGCAACAAAGTAAACCACTGTCCAGCCTGTATAAGGGAATACTCTCTAACTTATGTTGAAGATGTCTCCAACAATGGAATGGTCAGGTGCATAGTAGTTAGAGAATTTCTGCTGTTAGAACCATTCTAGCAGGGGCTAAGAGAACATGTCGCAAATGTGTGGTATGGATAGGATGCCTGCTTTGGCTAGACTCCTTGGTAAGTGACTGTGGCTTTAAGATCATACATTTTTTTCTGCCTGGTCCAGCACAAACTTCTTCAATCATAAAGAAGAAATAATACACAGGTAGGCAAAGGCAAGAACACAGAGTGAATACAAAATAAGGAATGATTTTGTCCAGATTAGGCCAGATTAGGAAGGATTTTGTCACCTTTCTTATTTAAAAAAAAATGCATTTGTGAAATATTGTAAATATACAAAAAGCACAGAGAAAAACAAAACAAATATCTATGTCTCCACCAACAAGATTTAATCATTGCTATATTGTGCCATATTTGTTTAAGATTTTGTAAAAGAAATAAAACATCACAGGTATGGTTAAATTTACACTGCGTATTCTAACTCATTTCCCATGACAGACAATTCTCCTGAAGTTGGTATATATCCTTCTCACCTGTGTATTTGAGCCTTACTACACATTTCCATAAAAGTATATAGTATTGTTTTAAGTGTTTTTAAAATTGATAGGAATGGTTTTATGCTATTTATAATATTCTGCAACTTGTTTTCTTAGAAGACCATTATAAATAAGGCTACGACAATCATCTTTGTACACATCTCCTTGTTTATACATGACTGTCTCAGAGTATATATACCTAGAAGTGAAATTGCTGAGTCAGAGTCACAGGTCTGAAATGTTACTAGATACTGCCTAATTGGTTGTACCCGCAAGTACTATAAGACAGTTTCTATTATCTCACATTCTAGCTGATATATCAAACTTTCAAATTTTTTATAAACTGATTGGCATGAAGTGGCATTTCATTGTGATTTGAGAGTTTTTGGCATTTCTGGATGCTAGAAAGATTGAACATTTTTCATATACTTATGGATTTGTGGAATTATTCATATGTTCTGGACATTTATCCTTCATTGATTATATACAGGTAAATATCTTCTTTTTTTTTTTTTTTTTTTTTTGAGATGGAGTCTTGCTCTGTCGCTCAGGCTGAGTGCAATGGCATGATCTCAGCTCACTGCAACCTCTGTCTCCCAGATTCAAGCAATTCTCCTGTCTCAGCTTCCCGAGTAGCTGGGACTACAGGTGCACACCATCATGCCTGGCTAGTTTTTGTATTTTTTTAGTAGAGACAGGGTTTCACCATATTGGTCAGGCTGATCTCAACTCCTGACCTCAAGCGATCCACCTGTCTCGGCCTCCCAAAGTGCTGGATTACAGGCGTGCGCCACCGCGCCCGGCCCAGGTTCTTCTACCTGTGACTTCATTTTCTTACTAGCTCCACTCTGATTCTCTTCTTATTCCCCACTGAGCACAGGTCACCTGCAATCTAGTATCTGCTGTCACTTATAAGGCATGATTTCACCAAGTCAGTCTTCTGGTGGTTGGTTGCTTGTTTTCATCTTTGGCATGAAACTTGCAATTCCAGAAACTTCCATAGGCAGTGCTTTTGTTTTTGGTGTGGGAGTTAATTAGATGAGTTTATAATTGGGTCAGTTTTCACCTATCTAGTTGTTTAAATAAAACATTACATTACTTGTTTCATAATTAACAATGAATAGTTATCTAACAAATTAGGAGCAAAGTTTAAAGAACTAGGACACCAAGGTACAAGTCATAGGCATTAATGACAACCTTGAGAAAAGCAATCATTTATTCTACCTCTGGTTCTATTTAGTATGAGGATTAACCTTGAGTCATGCTAGCCTTCCCTGTTCAACTTGATCACCAGAATTCCAACCTAAGGCTGCAGTCAGCACTAGCTGCACTAAGATTTCAGGTCAGCTGGGCTTATGGAAGGAAGGGCGAAAGGAGTCAAAGCCAAGAATTATTAGCTTGTTTCAATTATCTTAGAACTTCTCTCTGTTCTTGCTTGGGGATCACTCTGCATTCCTTTATTGCCCATCAGACAGAGGTTACTACTGGCAACCAAGCTGCAAACTCATTCACTCATCCTGGTTCTAGGTAGCCTTCAATACATGGGTTTGTTTTCTAACTTCTACAACCAAGCATTTAAACACCTGGTTCAGACTTCGAACACCGCTTTTATCACATGTTTTTCTTAAAGTAAATGTTTCTTGAGCATTCACTATCTGAACATGTAAACTTACAATGTGAATGCAAAAATATATATATTATTTTATGGCCAAGAAGCATGATATCCCTTCTGCTCCCTGTCCCTATTCACAGACCAGAGTTGGCCACTAAGCAACACAGAGTCCTGCAAAGCAGTTGTCGCCTGATCTCAGCTCCCGCCAGACAAGTTCTCCTCTTAATTTCTCCTTTCACCTTCCATCTTAACACTTAGCTTCCCTGTTGATTTCATAGTCCTGAAGATCCAGAGAAGGAGGGAGTGAAAGCAATACTTACATCTGATAACAAATTACAATGGATTAGGGACATTGCATGATGAATACCAAATAGATACAATCAACTGGGGCCATGCAATGGGTCACCTGATTTTAACTATAACAAACAAAGCAATAAACACTTAGATCTACCCCAGCTACAGATGAATTCTGAATGTCTATCTCAAAGGTGTGCTGTAAACTTGAGGAATGAGCAAGAACATGGGACAAATTTCCATCACTGGTCATACAACCCAAAGAATCAGCCCAATTCATGCTGTAGGGAAACACAGAAGGTGTTGACTAAACACTTGGAATGTGGGGCCACTGTGCCCCTCTCTTTGGATTTCTCCATTGCCCCAAATGAGAGAGGCCTTCTGTCTCCACCCACAGAAGAGGGTGCTAATCTGCTGGGTCAGAGCCTGGGATCACTGTCGAGCCATGCTCCCTGGAGGCTGGGTGACCTAACTGAAAGGTAATGGGAATGTACAAATATGCCCTCCTCTCCACCCAGACCAGGTAAAGCTGGGTAGGTCAACCTTATCCATACAGCTGGTTGGCTAAGCCCATGAAGCGCTAAGTTAAGTGTTTTACAGGCATTGCTTTCACTTGCAAAGCAGAAATAAACCATTGTTTCTCAAATGCAGGATGGTCCAGGAAACTGTACCACAGCCTCTGCTCTCCAGCTCCTGGGCCCTCCTCAACCACTGCGGTGCCTGCTCCCTTGTCCCTCTCTCCCCAACTCCTACTGCCCCTCCCTCCTGGAGACCCAAGAACAAATTCAAATTGTCCACCATTCTGGTGCAATTTGTTTGGGAATTGCTGTCCTAAACCACAGGGTTCTGATGAACAGAACTATTTAGCCTGACCCAGAAGCCATTGCTTAGGAATGAATGTTGAGTCCTAAGATAGCAAAGCAAGCCCCAGGGTGAGCAGGGGACCTCCTGGAAACCAGCACAGCAGGAAGATCTTCTTCTCTCTTCTACTATAGTGATTTGCATTGGGTGCATTGTGTCACAGGCCACTTTGTAATTTATCATGTGCTATTTTTTATGTTTTCCAGACATTTTTTAAAGTCCATGTCCTTGGACTATATCCTTGGGATATTATTTAGCCTTAAATGGGAAGGAAATTCCAGCATATGCTACAATCTGGATGAACTTTAAGGACATTATGTTGGGGAAATAGGGAAATAGTCAAAGGGTACAAAGGTTCAGTTACACAGGATGAATACATTCCAGAGCATCAAATTCATGGAAACAGAGAGTGAAATGGTGGTTGCCAGGGGATGGGGGAGAGGGAAGTGGGGAGCTGTTGGATGGGTATAGAGTTTCAGTTTTGCAAGATGAAAAAGTTCTGGAGATTGGTTACACAACAATGTGAATATACTCAGCACTACAGAATTATACACATAAAACTAAATTTTGTTACGTGTGTTTCACCATAATTTTTAAAAAGAAAGTCCATGTCTTCTCTCTCCTTTGTAGATTCTCTAGTAAAGCCTTGCACCATGCATAAAAATGCACCCTGTCTTCATCAAAACGTTTTTATCAGTCATTATAGGCATTTCCACCCCATTATCTTATTTAATGTAATGTATTCCTTACAGTAACCTTGATAGAGAAGTATTATAGCCCAATTAATAGATAAGGAAACTGAGGCTTGGCAACATTTATGTGACTTGCCCTCAGCTAATTGGAAGCAAAACTGGGGAAACACAGCTCTCCAACTCCAGATGAGCACCATTCCCAGTTGTTTTATTAACCTGGAGATCTGGAATTGAATTATTTGGGGTTAGACTCAGAGGAAGTGTTTCAAAAGCCCCTCCAACATCAACAGCTGAGAATACAGATTCATACATGACCAAGGTTCAAAAAGAAATGTGTGTGTGTGTGTGTGTGTGTGTGTGTGTGTGAATATTGCCAGAAAAAAAAATTACCACTTTATGTGTAGGGAGGAAAAGCCCACAAACTCTCAAGTCTCAAAGAAAGTGCAGTAGTTTTTCCTCATACCTTGTTGGTGGGAATGTGAATTGATACAGCCATTATGGAAAACGGCACAGAGGTTCCTCAAAAAACTAAAAATGGAATTACCATATGAGCCAGCAATCCCACCTCTAGTCATATACCCAAAAGAAATAAAATAATTTCAAAGATAAATCTGCACTCCCATGTTCATTTTTCAGCATCACTCACAATGGCCAAGATGTGAAAACAACCTAAGTGTCCATCAATGGATGTGTGGATAAAGAAAATGGGGTGATAGTCACAATGGAATATTATTATTCAGCCTTAAAACAGAAGAAGGCCGGGCACAGTGGCTCCCGCCTGTAATCCCAGCACTTTGGGAGGCCGAGGTGGGTGGATCACTTGAGGTCAGGAGTTCAAGACCAGCCTGGCCAACATGGTGAAACTCCATCTCTACTAAAAATAAAAATTAGCGGGGTGTGCTGGGATTACACACCTGTAATCCCAGCTACTCAGGAGGCTGAGGCAGGAGAATTGCTTGAACCTGAGAGGCGGAGTTTTCAATGAGCCGAGATCATGCCATTGTACTCCAGCCTGGAAGACAGGCAGATCTCAAAAAAAAAGAAAAAAAAAAAAAAGAAGGAAATCCTGCCATTTATGGCAACATGGATGAACCCAAAAGACATTATACCAAGTGAAATAAGCCAGGCACAGGAAGATCACTGCATGATCTCACATACATGTGTGTAGAATCTTAAACAGTCAAACTCCTAGAAGCAAAGGGTAGAGCAGTGGTTGCCAGGGGCCAGGTGATTGGAGAAATGGGGAAATAGTCAAAGGGTACAAAGGTTCAGTTACACAGGATGAATAAGTTCTTGAGATCTAGTGTACAGCATGGTGGCTGTAGTTAACAATATTCTATTGTATACTTAAAATTCACTATGAGGGTAGATTTTAAGTGTTCTCACCACACACACACAAAAGTGGTAATGATGTGAAGTGATAGATACAGTAATTATCTTGATTGTGGTGATTATTTAAGAATATATATGGGTATTAAAACATCACAACGTATGCCTTAAGTATATACAATCTTTGTCTGTCAATGATACTTCAATAAAGCAGAAAACAAAAGAACAAAAAATATAGTAGTTCTCAAACACAGACAAACAAGCCAGAGGCAGAACCGGCCTCAGAATCGGTTGCCATGGGCAACATAACACCATTCAGGCTCCACATCCTTGGCTTGCATGTGGCTTGCTGTCCTCGGGCCTCACAGCTGGAGGTATCTGAGCAAGGACCACGGCCACAGAAGAGAGTCTGTCTTCAGGAAACACATCCACGCCAAGGATAGTGACAACTCTGATGGGAACAATCTGGGGCAGAGCCCCTCTCTGAGAAAGCAGAGGGAAGAGAGTGGAAGGCGAAGGGAAGTGGTGGGTTTGGGCCAGCAGATCATACTAGAAAGGACGGGAGTGTGTGTAGCTTTGAAACCTGGATTCTTCTGAGGCCAACAATTCTGAGAAAAAAACATGAGGCCACTGTTGCTGACACGAGAAGGCAGCCCAGTCATGCCTCGGGGTCTCTGCTCATGTCATCACCCTCCATCCTTCCTCTACTATTTAAAGACAGGTGGTAGCATGCAGGAAATTCTTTTTTTTTTTTTTCATTAATGGTCTTTCCTTTAATATCTTAGTTTTCTCTAAACAAACACCATAACCCTCTGGCCCTCCTCCTTCTCCTGGGGTCTTTCCTCCCCTCTTTCCCTTACTCTTATCCCTATTTTTGATCTGCTCCCCTGATCTCCTGGACCCTGGGAGGAAACCACGTGGTTGGGCTGGAGAGGGGCAAGGAGATGGATGTCCCCACAGAATGACAGAGGAATGGGGTTCAAGCTGTCCTGCATTCCTCCAGATCTTCTCCAGAGCCTTCCTGAGATGAGAAGAGGGAAAGCTTTTCCATTTGCAGCTAAACCCACTGCCTTCACATCCCAAAAGATGTCTTCTTGTCTCTCACTCAACAGCTAAACATACAAAATTAGAAAGAGTTAAGAGAATAGTAAAGCTGGAATATTTCAATCAACAAGCAAATATCTTTGCAATCCCTACCAAACCCACCCACAAGGCCTCACACTTAGCTTGGGTAGACAAGACTGAGGCACAGGAAATATATATTGTTCTGTTAAACATATTATCAATGAGTCATATCAGCTAGGATCCAACTGGTAACCTTAGGCAAGTCACTTAACCTCTCTGATCCTCAGTTTCCCCATATGTGAAATTAGAGAAAGGGATGGAAGAGGAGGGGAATACCTCTCCTACCTCCCAGGGTCACATGAGATCACAGGTCTCTGCAAAAGCTGTTGGAAAGGCCAAGTGAGGAACCTATCTCTTGCTTGTGAGCCACATTTCACCTCCATCCCACCATCTACCACCTCTTGAGGATATGTAATTAACATCTTCCAGAGCCCTGTTTGTGTGGGTAAGGATTAGACAGAGGGTAGAGGGGAAATAGGTTAGAAGGAGCCAAACACAAATCATTTCTGCAAATGCATGAGCACATTCAGCGTTTATAATGAATGCCTGGGAGGTGTGATGCGTGTGCCTGTGCACCGCTGCTGGATCCCAGCTCTCCTCTTCCTGCCTGCATTCAGTGCCTGTCCCCTTCACTTCCTGTCATGCTCAGCTGACAGTAATATATGCCACCTTTCAAGCGGGTTAGAAGAGGCTTGAGTGGGCAGCTTTGAAGCCTGGGCAGCTTTGAAGCCAGGGCACCAAGACAGGTGGCTCTGACAAGGGCGAGCAGAAGCCTAGCTGGGGAGACCCAGGAGGCCGGGAGGCCTCTGAAACCCCATCTGCAGTCCTTCATGTTTCAGGTAGGGACAGTGTAGGAAGCTCCGCCCCATGGCAGGCCACGTGGCAGCTATAACTCGTCCTTTCTGTTTCATTGCACTTTATGAAGAAGACCTCAACTGAACCCACAAAAATGGCTTTTTCATGGCTATTATTCCAACCAGCAGCCCTGGGGGGCTGGTGGGGGAGCAGAGGTCTTGTGTTGCCACATAAAAAGCCACCTCAAGCCATAGCAGGATGCCTGCAACCCATGTTGGAGGCTGGTCAACCAAGGGATCATTGTCATTCAGGTCAATCAGTTGGTCATTCTGTTCACCTGTCAAATAAGGTTCCTAAACAAGCTCAATTACAGTATCAGACCCTTTTTTGCAAACTAAGAAGTATCAGGACCCCTCATCCCCACCCCAACGAAGGAGGATATCCTGCGTTATTGAACTACCCTCACTCCTCTATGATTAGAATGGTTGGAGAACTGTAGGCCTCAGCTATGTACTTGATGGCATATTTGGCAGGGACCTAAAAGAAAAACAGGAATACCCCGGTATTAGTTCATTCTTACACTGCTATAAAGAACTACCTGAGACTGGGTAATTTATGAAGAGGTTTAATTGACTCACAGGTCCACAGGCTGTACAAGAAGCATGGCTGGGAGTCCTCGGGACACTTACAATCATGGCAGAAGGCGAAAGGGAAGCAAGTACTTCTTCACATGTCAGAGCAGGAGAGAGCGAGGAGGAAGTGCCATACACTTTTAAATCATCAGATCTCCTGAGAATGTACTCACTGTCACAAGAACAGCAAAGGGGAAATCTGCCCCCATGATCCAATCACCTCCCACCAGGTCCCTCCCCCAATAATGGGAATTACAATTTGACATGAGATTTGGATGCGGACATGAAGCCAAATCATATCAACCCTCCCCGAGAAAAGATACTAGCTTCCTACCTTTCCTGGTATTTAATAATAACAGCATTTACTTTGTGCCTTGCTTTCTTGAATGCTTTGCTTTTCATATATCAACTACTTACTCCCCACCCGCATTAAGACCTCACCTCATCTTAAAGGTATCATATGAATAGGAAGGTCATGAGACATAAAGAAATGGCGTCCCAAACTTCTTGCCTGGTGGCAAGGCTGATGTATCTGAGGAGGGATGGATGAGAATGCCTGGATGAGACTATCCCTGAGCCCCTCATGGATGATGCGTTGGCAGGAGCTGGCTCTGCCCATCTTGCCCACCCCTGGGGTATATGATGGCAGTATTTACAGGTTTGAGGACACAGATTTAGGGACACGTTGTGCCTTGTGGTGGACACAGCCTACATTGACCCAGACTAAGGGCTGACTACCTATGAAGAGCCTGCTTCTAGCTCTGCACAAGACCCATGGGAGCCTAATTCTTCCTCCAGTTGCACTGAAACTCAACTCCTTAGGTGTCTATTGTTCTGTGCTCCATTGGATTCCCATCTGCGGCAGGCAGCATACTGCACACTCCCAGAGGAGCATGCCTGTGCCTGACCTGCTGGGTCAGCCCTAAGCACCCTGAGCTAGGCAGTGTGGTGGCTGTGGAGGACTGGCAGTTGCCACAAATCCAAAGCATGGAAGAGTTATACTTCTAGTCTCAGGGTTCAAGATGTATGGACAGGGCCATGTCAGGGACAGGGTGATTAATAGAGCCCTGCTCTCTGCAGCCTGTGGGCACAGCAGCAGGGTCAGCTGACAGCAGCCCAAGGGTTTCTGCTACTGATTTATTTGTTTGAAGCGACAGCATCAAAGGTCTGCTGCCCAGAATCTGTCTGCCTGGCCAGCTGGTTAGCTGGTCCTGTGGATTGAGAGGTCTTTGCTGGGATAAGACCAGGTGCCATCATGATCAAATCCCTTGAGAACACAGGTTCTTAAACTTACCAGGACATTACAAAATCACTCCTGGGGTTTGTTTAAATGTGCACGGCCCAGCTCCATCCTCAGTGATTTGGATTCAGCATGTCTGGAGCAGCACCCAGGAATTTGCATCTTAACAGACATCCCAGGTAGTTGTGATGCAGGACCGTATTTTGAGAACGAAGCCGAGTTCCTTTGCTCTTCCAAGTACAGTATGTGCACAAGCAATACCTGCATCATTAACTCAAAAGCTCAGGCCTCACCCCGATCTACTGAATCCCTACCAACAGTTTAGCAAGAGCCCCAGGTGACTGATCCCTATGCTCATTGCAATTTGAGAAGCACAGCTCTGCAGTAGGTTCTCAAACCAGCCTGAATCCAAATCACCTGGAGGCCCTGTTAAAATCACAGATTGCTGGGCCCCACCCCCAAAGCTTCTGCTTCAGAAGGTCTGGTGTGGGGCAGATGCATTTATATCTCTAACAAGTTCCCAGGGTACACTGATGCTGCTGGTTCTGAGACCACGCTTCGAGAACTACTGCTCTAGTATAGCAGATTTTTTTTCCAGCCCTGCTTCATCGTGTCATCACCTGGGGAACTTTAAAAACCACTGCTGCCTGAGTCCTACATCCCAGAGGCTCTGATTTCATTGGTTTCCAGGCCCAGCCTGGACATCTGGATTTAGCAGTTCCCGAGGTGATCTTATTGTGTAGATAAGACTGAAAACCATTGTTCTGGAGTCAGACAACCTGGAGACAAATGCCAGCTGGTGGCCTGAGAAAAATTACTTAACCTCCTTGAGCTTCAATTCCTTCCAGTAAAATATGGATGATAATTCTTACCTTTCAGGATTCATATGGAAATTCATGATATAATGAAAGTAAAGTATCGAGCATATAATAGGTGTTCGATTCATGTAACTTTATCCTCCCGTGACACTGTCTTCATAGGGGAGCCCCCATATCTCAGCACCTGACCCCCAAATTCCCTCTCTTCAGCATACATTTACTGAGTTGTGCCTACTGTGTCTCAAACACTTTCAGGTGCTAGGGATACAAAGGTGAAAAGACAGGCCTTATTCAGGACCTTAAATTAAGTGAAGAGCTTAAACTCAGGTGGGGGAGATAGGAAAAAAATGTTTTTTAATTAAATTTTAAAATGTGAAAGTTTCTATGAAGGAAACAAGAGGCCAGAATCTGGGGAGAAAAAAAAATGAATCTGTTTATGTAGGCAGTCAGGAAAGTCTCTCTGAGAAAGTGCCATTTTTGCTGACCCCCAAGGGACAGAAAAGAGTTCTATCACTGTAGCCCCCTCTGATATCTGGCATGAGGGTCATCTGAACCAGTGATCCTGATGTTGCTACTGAAAGACACAGGTCATACCCCAGACTCTGTCTCCCCTAGGATGGCTGTAGCCAATGTCCCCTGATGGCAGCCATGGAAGAAGCCAATGCCAGTAGCACAGACAAGTCCAGGCATTCTGACCCTTTCTAAGGCTGACATGCAGAACCAGACCAGAAGGACCATGGCTCCATGGCCAAAGACACCAAAGCCACTGTCTTATGGTTCTTCAACTACAACCTCGGTGCAACCCATTACAATACAGGGCTAAAGGTATGGCCAGGATTTGCATGAAGTACAAGGCCCACTTGAGGCAGCAGGATGGGCAGGTGGCTGAGAAGAGGGGAGGGCAATGGAAAGGCAGGTGTGTTCATCCATTTTGTGTTGCTATAACAGAAGAATACAGACTGAGTAATTTACAAAGAAAAGAAATGTTTTTTTTACATTTCTGGAGGCTGGGAAGTCCAAGGTCAGATTGCCTGTATCTGTCAAGAGCCTTCTTGTTGTGTCTTCCATGGCAGGAGGCAAAAGAGCGAGACAGGGCTGAACTCACTTTCTAGTAAACTTGCTCCCACAACGACATTAACCCATTCGTGAGAGTAGAACTCTCATAACCCAATCACCTAAGAGTCTCACCTCCTAATACTGTCACAATGGCAATTAAATTTTATCACGAGTTTTGGAGAGGACATTTGGACTATAGCAGCAGGCCAAAGCCTGCTTCTCCAACATGACAACCAACCACCCCAGGGCCAGCTCAGTCCTGACATTTGGATTAGATCATTTATCCAAAGCCTCAAGCCCAGTCATGGTCCTGGCAGGTACTGAGAAGCAAAGAAGCCCTAGGACCCATTCAGAAGGCACAGATACAACCTACAGAGATGCTTAGAAACATAAGAGCTCAGACCAATGGCAAAGATAGACACCAACATCTGGCAATAAACCAAGAAATCAGAGCATGAAAAAACATTGTATCCTGCCCACCCTGAAGCCTCCACATACCTGGATGGCATCAAAGATGTCTTTTCACCTCGTAGTCTACATTATTCCATGGGAAGAGCCTCTTTCACAGATGAGGAACCTGAGAAGTTGGGTGACTCATCAAAAGTTGCACCACCAATTACACAGCAGCCCCTAACTTTCATTCCAATCGTGTTGGAGTTTGTTATACCGTGTTGCATTCCTCCCAATACATGACCCATTTCAAATGGGTCATTCAAATCCAGGTTGCAGTTGGTGCTCATTTTCCTATTAGCTCTGGAAGGTTTCCAGTACCCACACACCCTACTCACTGTCTGCCTGGAGAAGGACTTCATTCACCTGTCCATAAACCTAGTGGATGGAGATAGCGTGGCAACTTACTTTATATACTTTATGGGGCCTCAAATTGTCAGCAGGCAATTCTTTCTCTATGTCTGTAGTTCACAAATATCTGCTGCTATCTCCCAAGTGCCTTAAGTACATCATCTCATTTAATTTAGTCTTTGCAACAACTCTATATGGTAGATATAATGATGCTCATTTTCCTGGTGAGTAAACTGAGGCTCACAGAGGTCAAGTGACTTGCCCAAGCTAACACATCTAGAGGTGGAAAGTCAGAATTTGAATTTCAGACAGCCATGCTCTTGCGCTGTCTCCATTGACCGGTGTGCCACATTGCCTCCCTTTCCCAGTGGGACTGCCTCTCCTCCACCTGGTATCTTCTGCAACATAGAGGGTTTAGGGAGGCAGAGGTCACCCCAAGAGGATATCCTCCACTCTAATGTGAACCTGATCTTTGAGCACCCTCAATCCTGCTTGAGACATGAGTTGGTTCATCCTCATTACCAACCCAGGGATATAGCCACAGATGCAAATAAAGTTACATTTTCCTACAGATACAAATGGATTTGTGTAAAGGCATCAGAACAAAGCTGCTCTGCTAAGCCCTCCATGAAGGTGCAAATTGCTAATCTGATTTAAATGTGTCACTGGTTTGCTTAGGTCCCATCAAAAGTTTTGGATACAGGAGTCAAGGAATAATAAAAGTTTCTGATATGAGCTCTACTCATATTTGAGCTTGAAATGAATTCTTAGTTGTTGGTTGTGGGAGCCAATTTCTGTATTTTAAAATGGGGTTGGCAAGCAAGACAAGGACAAGACAGAAAGGAACCAATAAAATCAAGAGCAGGGATTAATTAAGGTCATGGAGATGGCAACAAAGGAAGGAGGGTAATCACACTTCTTCCAAGAAAGACAAGTTGGGTTTTTTTTTTTATATACATAAGTTTCTGGAAAAATAATTTAATTTTAACACCATCTCCACAAATCAGCTGGGCTCATCTGTCTCCCATGGAAAGTAAAGATTGCCCTTTTTCTGGCCAGGGGGGGAATCTCATTTCCCCTCTCCTTATCATTTATTAGAAATCAAAATATTGTTTCAAATAGAAGTGTTTAATATTTCAGACTACATAATGTGTCCAGCACAAAAGGGCAGCATCAGTAGGCAGGCTACAGAAGTTAGAGAGGAGATGAAAAGTGACCCTGAACCACACGACCAAAGATTTCTCTCCGATCTATCCTTCCTTGTTCTGGGAGACTTGGCTTATTGGCCATTGTTCATTCTTGAACTTCCTCCACTCTGAAAATGGGGAAAATAACTTGAAGATTTCCCTCCCCTACCCTATGGTATAGAGGTATTTCAACAACATTGATTGCAACAGCCACTGTCTAAAGCAAATTCCCCTCTCCAAATGATTTTGGTCATAGAGAAACTAAGATGTATTCCCACCAAAAACACCACTCTATATGAGGCTGAAAATTCTGGCAAGAAAAGAAACTTACGACTTAGGTCATATCTATTAGCACTGTGGTCCAAATTAATAGCTTATTTCTCCTTTGTGGCCTTTTTTATATCTTAGTCATTGGCAGCCACCTTCTCTCAACTCCTCTCATATCTAAAGATCTGGTGACACATCACTTCCTAGACTATCACTACCTCTCGTTTTCTTTATATTTAAAATGCCTGATGGAAGCTGGGTGCAGTGGTACACACCTGTATTCCCAGCACTTTGGGAGGCCAAGGTGGGAGGATCGCTTGAGACCAGGAGTTTGAGACCAGCCTGGGAAACATGGCAAAATTCTGTCTCTACAAAAAATGTAAAAACTAGCCAAGCATGGTGGTGCACATCTGTAATCCCAGCTACTTGAGACGCTGAGGTGAGAGTATCACCTGAGCCCGGGGAGGTCGAGGCTGCAGGAGCCGTGATTGCACCACTGTCCTCCAACCTGGGTGACAGAGTGAGACCTTGTATCAAAAATTAATAATAAAAATAAAAATAAAAGGTCCGATGGAGCTAATTCATAGTATTGTGCATCATCCGTGGCTATCTCCATTGAACACCTGATGAACCCCAGTCTCCAAACACCTTACATTCTAGACTCTCAAACAGGTAAAATCCAATCCCTCAACTTTATCAATTTGGCAGGTTTGAAATTCAGTGTGTCAGGTTTACCGGTAATGAGGAACACTTCAACTCACCCGGATGACGGCATCAGTGTGAGGGATAGTGGCGATGCAGCTAACCCAATTACCAAGTGTTCTGGATGTGTGAAGCACCGTGCGAATGCTAAGTCATAATGTTATGCTTTCATCTGAAAGATGTGCATATCACCCAGGAGCATCAGTAAGTCAGTAACATAATCTGCAATAAGTCATCATTAATTAACGCTAAATCACCAGGCCCTTCCTCGGGAAGCAGCATATTAAACTGACATCGGTATGTGAAGAGTTCATTATGGTTAACGCTATGAGAACACAAACTGAAAGACTTAATAGTGGATTAGAAGGTGTTTATGTCCAAACACCTCATGTAGGCCCCCAGCTGCCACACTCCAGCAAAGATATTAGCTCGTTGCTAAGGACGATCATGGGAGACGGAGAAATTTACACGAAGAGGTTCTCCCAGGGTGGAGTAATGAGATATTTGGAAGCGTTGAAAAAACATGAAAGAGCGCACGCTCACCCAGCTCTTCCCCTTATCCTTCCCCTCTTTCACACCATTTCCACGAGATGGAAGCAAGGAGCAAAGAGATATCAGCAGCAATGGGCTCTTGGGGCAGAGGGAGGGATCAGATTCACCTGGGGAATGCGAAGGCATGGGTGTAGGGGAGGGTGGGATTGGATGGTGGGAAAACTCCTCGGGTGATTTCGTTTGCCACCCCACATCCCCCTTCCCCACCCCACCTACTATTATGGAGTGATTTTTGCCACATTTAATGTTATTGCTTCAAATTGTAATGTCAAATGATACTAAACAACATAAATTTGTGAGGCACATGGTTGTAAATCAACATTGCCATAGCTAATATAATCGCTAACCTAAGTAGACATTATCATAAAAACAAAATGAAAGGTTGCACAGGGTACAACGCTGATTATCCAACACCAGCACTTCCATGGCTGTTAAACTCATTGCAAGAAAGGGATGAGAATCCCTGAACCACAGGCATGGGAACGCAGTGGCTACAGCCTTGGTGCACCTCCTTCATTCCCCAGAGTGAAGGGACCTAGTGGCAAGCACACTTTAGTACAAGTCTCTGTACTCAGTTGTAATAAGTCCTTATTCAAAAAGAGGCCCACAGTCCCAGCTACTCAGGAGGCTGAGGTGGGAGGATCACTTAAGCCCAGGAGTTCAAAGCTGCAGTGAGTTATGATTGCACCACTGCACTCCAGCCTCGGCTACAGAATGAGACTCTATCTCGTAAAAAAAAAAAAAAAAGAAAGAAAGAAAAGAAAAGAAAGAAAATAAATAATAAAAATAAAAAGGAATAAATTTCTTCTGCTACTAACAAAATATTAGCATAAAGACAAAGAAGTGTGAAGTCTTTGAAGAGATATATTGTTTTTCATGCATTCATTCACTCAACAAATATTTACTGAGCATTCTGATAGCATTCAAGATACAAAAAAAGAGAGAGAGACCAAAAGGCCTGTCCTCAAGTCACTCTCCGGCTAGCATGAAAGGGAATACAGTGCACAAATAGGCAACTAGTTATAAAATGGTGGAGGAGTAGAGGGATTCACAAGTTGTGCAGAGCAGACAGGGGAAGGAAAGTGACAGGGATGCCTCTCAGAAAAAATATACATGCGCTAAGGATCATCTGGGAGGCGAGGCTAGGGCCATTCCAAGCAAAGGGGACAGTCTAAGCATAGCCACAATCCTGGAGAAGAAAGCCCTTCCTACTACCAGTCCTGTCCCTCCCAGCTAGAACAGACTGGACCATGGTAGACACCAGATCCACACTAAACCAATTGGTTTCCTCTTATAGGATGACCAGACTAAATGAGTCACCTGCCCTGAAACTTAAAACTCAAGTGACAAGCCTGCCATTTAGAGACCACGTAGTCAGAGGAGAGCAGAGAAGGGGTCTCTAAAGAGAAGCAGGGGAAGGAAGGAAGCACACAGAGAAGGGCAGATCCAAGAAACCATGTGACCCCAAAGCAGAAGGAGGGAGAATGATGGCTTTCAGGCACAGGTCTAGACCTTCATAAGGCTCAGCTATTTTCATGGGCCATGACTCTCGTGAAATACTCTCAGTTCCTTTGAATAAAGTCCCCTTAATTTAAGACAGCTGGGCCAGGATTCTGGCTGGGGGCACTGGTGAACAAGAGACACTGAAGGATCCTGGGTGGAAATGGGCTCTTCTGTACCATGGCATATGGCACTCACTGCAAGAGTGATCTCAGACCCACCTAAGTTAATCATCATCACCAGAAGTGAGAGGACTGCAAACAAACTGATTGGATCAGGGGCAGCGGGGCTGGGTTCACCAGGAGGTCTACACACCTACTTATCAGCTTTTTATAAAGATAAAATCTCTGAAGCACTTGCAGCTTCTCTGGAGAAAGACATGAGATAAATACAAGGTATTGTTAACAAAAGGGTCTTTCTTCTTTATTATAAAGCTATTGGAAAGGAATTGCTTTTCCAGGCCATAAGGGAGCTGCAGCCCAATCTCAACAGGTAACCTTGAAAATCAGACACAATAGCTGTCCCTTTTCTCAATTCTCTTTCTTCCCTTACTCACCATCCCTCCAAAAGCACACTTTTCCATTCACAGTCTTTTTCATGTACTGAGACTACCACCTTGTCCTCTGCATACTGAACAACCATGGCTGTGGCTGGGCCAGACCCTGCCCTGTCTCATCAGCTCAGCATCCATCATGCTTGGGCTGTGATGCCACTGAATTCTGGGTGGGAGGATGTGTGGCCAGGAAAGGGAGATGTCTTTCATGGCTCATAAGGAAGAGGCTTCCAGGCTAAAGGTTATGTACAGCACCCTGAGGAGTTCTGCTTTTGAAAGATCAAAGAAAAAGTCCCTCCTGATACAGTACATATAATTTCTTCACAATTCTTTCTGTGGCAACAGGATGTTTGTGTCAATAAAACTGTATTCAAGTATTTCGCATGTGTATGGTCACTGGAATGCAACCCAAAGATCTAAGGAAGGACACAGATGAAGAAAAGGTAAACCTATGACATGAGGCAGATAAGGGTGCAAAAGAGGAAGGCGTTAGATACATTCGCTTTGTAAAAATGGAGGCCAAAAACCAGGAGTGGGAATTGAGAAACAAGCATTTTCTTGGTATTCAAGGATGCTTAGGGAAAACCCTGCCCTGGGGACAGAAGCAGCAGGAAACTATGCTCTCTGACTGTGGGCTAATTCCCCAACAAAAGAACTTCCTAATCCATCTGTGGAACCTGCTGTAGGACACAGGACTTTGAGGAGTCTTGGTTTCTGGAGAGCTCCTGAAATGCTTTCCCTATGAAATGGAGTTTGTAGAAGTGGCTGGACCACTGCAATGCTCTCTAGACTTCTGAGCCCTAATAATGTTTTCAGCGAGACTGAGATGTAACAGCATCCCATGCCTAAACTTTCATCCCAGGGATGTTCCAGAAGGCAGAGGCTTCCCCTGTGGTCCACATCAGCTCTCTGGAACACTGGCATAGGGGCTTGGCATCTCATCAGCACATATTTAGGTTCATTGTCATTTGGAGTTTAAACGGACACTAGAATCACCAGGTATAACCCTCTCCACGTCTCAGATATGACACCACAGGTTGAAACATTTCACTGTCCTCTGGGATTCTCCAGGATGAAGCCGTTTCTGTTTGCATTTAATACAGCTACGCTGTCACTGTTAGAACCTAACTCCTCCTGTCCAACTGGCCATACAGGAGGCATGGTGGCTGCACTTGAGCTCGCCGACTATGCTAGAAGAGACTGTTACTTTGACCTAAACAAGTTATTCAGAATAGCTTCTTGGGTCACATAACCTCTTACAAGTTGTTTTGAAGGGAACCTGGGCTTCACAAAACAGCGTTATATAGTCCCAGTTACTCGGTGAACCCATGAGGTCAAGGCTGCAGTGTGCTGTGATCATGCCACTGCACTCCAGCCTAGGTGACAGAGTGAGATCCTGTTTCAAAAATAATAATAATAAATAATAATAATACAGTATTATCTGGGGAGACCATGTATTTGTTATCTATTGCCATGTAATAAATTACCTCCAAAACTTGGTGGCATAAAAAAACCAACATTTAGTATCTCACATTATCTGTGGGTCAGGAATTTGGGCACAGCTTGGCTGGGTATCTCACCTGAGATAAGCTGCAGTCATCTCAAGGCTCAACTGGGGAACATCTGCCTCCTAAGTTGACTCGTGGTTACAGGCAGAATTGATTTTCCTGCAGATGTTGGACCAAGGCTTCTGTTCCATGCTGGCTGTTGGCCAGAGGCCTCCCCTAGTTCCTGTCACATGGGCCTCTCCACAGGGCAGCTCACAACATGGCATTTGTTCCATCCAAGCAAGCAAGAGAGTAAGAGAGAGCACAGAAGATGGAAGCCATAGTCTTTTGGGAGCCTAACTCAGAAGTGACATCTTATTACTTTTCTCACAGTCTGCTTAGTAGAAGTCAACCACTAGGTCCAGCCCACACTCTGGGAGAGGAGATTACACAAGGACATGAATCCCAGGAGATGTGGATCATTGTGAGGCCATTTTGGAGACTGCCTACCACACACTACATATTATCTTCTCATATTACCTTTACATATTACCTTCTCATTTACATGTCTGTATCATGCGGATTGGCAAGAAGAGAAGGAAGACAGCAACCACGCTGACCAGATTCCTTCTATCCTTGCAGTAGTCAGCCATCACCATTAGGCCTGTGTGAAAGGTAAGCACACATGGTCATATTTTGGTATAGGACCTCCCTTCACACCATATCTGCTAGGAACTCTGGTCAAAGCAGAGCCAGAGTCCTCTCCCAGGAATGAGTAGTTGAGGTACGCAAAGTTAAACTGGATGGTCACCTAGAAGTGAGACCAGAGCCAACACAGTGTCTTGAGCAAAGCCATGCTCAAGCTGAAGTTAGGAGAGCAGAGACCAGGCATAAGCAGAGGTAGCCAATCAGCAAAGAAGAATCTGAAAGAGCAAAGACAGAGAGATACCAGGACCCTTATGATATCTGAGACAAAGACACAGAAACACAGAGAAACTGCCTCAAGGCTTGCCTCTTTTTATTTTTTTCTGTTTATTCAGTCTTGACCACATACCTTCTCCCCTGTATCTGAACTAGACTACATTGGGTTTTGTTTCTTTACCTTCAATCCTGACTAAGGCAAGTTTTCCCCAGTCTGTTTCTTCTCCTTGAAAATGATTAATATCAGTTCAATTTCACTCCAGAAAATGACCTTTGAGATGTAAAATAATGTGCAGATTCCAAGAAAAGCATATTTTTGTTCAAAGCACAGATGCAATGCAATTCATTTCCATAGGTCTTTATTGAGATGGAGGTTATTGTTCTCTCTGTGAATCAAGGTGGAAATGTAATTAAAGCAATGAGAATTTGACTTATCCTAAATCAAACTGCATGATAGTCATTAAACTAGAGCTTGAGGGCCGATATACTTAGCCTTCTGTATTAGTCCCTTCTCACACTGATAATAAAGACATACCTGAGACTGGGTAATTTATAAAGGAAAGAAGTTTAATTGACTCACAGTTCTGCAGGGCTACGGTGGCCTCAGGAAACTTACAATCATGGCAACAGAGGAAGCAAACATGTCCTTCTTCACACGGCGGCAGCAAGAGAGAAGTACAAAGCAAAAGGGGGAAAAGCCTCTTATAAAACCATCAGATCTTGTGAGAACTTACCCACTATCATGAGAACAGCATGGAGGTAACCACCCCCATGATTCAATTACCTCCCACTGGGCCCCTCCTATGACATGTAGGGATTGTGGGAACTGCAATTCAAGATGAGATTTGGGTGGGGACACAGCCAAACCTTATTACCTTCTAAACCCACAGTAACTTACAATGTGAAAATATATGTTACAAATTCATACAAATGTGCATACACACATGCACATACCTACATGGCAACAGACACACTTCACAAACTAGGAAAATGAAGTCCCAGCAAAGAGCAACCTCTCTTCACTCGTATTGATGTATCACAAGACAATATGCACCCCTTGAGTCAACTCCCACATGGATTTGCTTTCAGAGCACATTTTCTAAGTATTCAACAGTCTGTCAATAGAGAAACCAACTCTAGAGTAGTTTACAGGACTCCCCCAGGCAGTTCACGTAAATATTGCAAACTGCAAGTTTATACTGCCAACTCACTGCAGATACCCAGAAGAATAAGATTTTACAAGCTTTCTTTCCACAGGAAGTCAGACTGCAAATACAGAGTGATCATAGCTGGGATAATGCTGCCCCCTTTGATAGATGTAGCCTGAAGAAATGTCTTTTCTTAATATATAAATGATTTTTTAAATTATAAAGGTAATATGTGCTTATTATGGGGAATTCTGAAATTTCAAAAAATACAGAGGGGAAAATAAAGTTATGTATAAATACTATCACAAAGAGACAACTGAGGTTTGTGTTTGGTGTATTTCCTTATAGTCTTTTTTCCATATCATATTATATATGTACCTATAAAATATGTATATATGTGTATATATTATATATAAGTATGTATATCCATATACATATATGTATACACACAAATATATATATTTGTGTCTTTTACAAAATTGAAATAATATGTTTTGTTTTGCTTTTTTCACTTATTATTTGCATGGCAGACATGGGGAAAGACTGCTAATGGGTACCCAATTTCTCTTTGGTGAGATAAAAATATATTAAAATTAGATTATGTTGCTGATTGCACAACGCTGAAAATACACTAAAAACACTGAACTATACACTTTGAACAGGTGAACTTTATGGTATGTAAATTACATGTCAATAAATTGTTTAAAAAAAAACCTTAGTGAGATACTGCCACATTATATGTCAAGAAAAGTTGTTTAAAAAAAACCTTAGTGAGATACTGCCACATGCCTATCAGGATGGCTAATATTAGAATATTACTACATGGCTAATATTACTATATGGCCAATATTAGAATATTAGAATACTACTACATACCTATTAGAATGGCTGGTATTAGAATGGCTGATAGGTGTGTGACCAGTATTAAAAACAAAAACAATTGATTTTCAAAACTTTAATTCCAAATACTAGTTAGGATATAAAGTAACTGGAACGCTGATAAAAATATAAAATGGTGCAGCCACTTTGGAAAACAGTTTGGCAGTTTCTTACAAAGTTAAACATGCACTTACCATACTACCTGACAATCCTACTCCTAGGAATTTACCCGAGAGAAATGCATGCATATGTCCACACAAAAACCTATCCCTTGTGCAAATATTCATTGTAGCTTTAGTCACGTTAACCCCAAACCAGTAACAACAAAAATGTCCATCAATAGGAGAATGGACAGACAGAAACTTCCTCAAGCTTTGCCTCTTTTTATTTTTTCCTGTTTATTCAGCCTTTACAACATATCTGTATATCATATATTAAATTAAAATGTGATATATTTATTCAGCAGAATACTATGTAGCATTAAAAAGGAATTACCATTGCAGGCAACAACATAGATGAATCTCAAAACCATTATGTTGAGTAAAAGAAGCTCTGCAGAACAGACAAAATACCAGATTGTTCCATTGATATGAAACTCTAGAAGAGGGAACTCTAATCTATCACGACAGAAAATGGATCAGTGGTTGCCTGGGTCTGAGAATGGGAAAAAGCAATTGAGTACAAAGGAGCATGAGGGAATTTTGTAGAATGGTGATAAAATTTTGTGTCATGATTGTGGTGGTGGTTATATGGTTGTGTGCATTTTTCTAAACTCATCAAATTGTATACCTAAAATTCTTAAATTTTATTATATGTAAATTATACCTCAATAAAGTATATTTCTAAAAATAAAAAACTCACCAAACTGTAAATTTATAGGTGCATTTTTGGTGTATAAATTGTATCTCAATAAATTTGAGTTTTTAAAATGTGCAAAATATATATTACATTGTGTTCATTTTCACAGGTCATTAAATATTTTTCAAAAACACCCTAAATTGAATATTACACAGCTATTCTATTTAATGTTATAGATGTGCCACAACTTGATTAGCCATTGTTGCTGAATACTTAGTGATATTCTTTTTTTTCTTTTGCACTTAAAAAGCATTGTAATCAATATCTGCCTATATAAAACTTTGTCTAAGTTTCAGATTCATGAAAAGGGGACAATTGTGTCAAAGAGCAAAAATATTTTCAAGGCTCTCAATACATGTGGAACAATATTTTCTCAAAGCTGATTGCTTTTATCTGTGTAGGTAGGAAGAGAAAGAGGCTTGTTGCTGTTTCTCCAGCTCCTCTGCTAGAAGGGAAGCACTTTATGTGGATTCCCATGAAAGAAGCATGGGGCTACAGAGGCTGTGGGTTCTTGTTCTAGCACTATCAGTTGCTTTGTAATTTTGAGTCATTTCCTCCTCTTTAAATACTGTCTTTTTTGGCCTGTCATGGTGGCTCATGCCTGTAACACAAGCACTTTGGGAAGCCAAAGCAGGAGGATCGCTTGAACACAGGAGTTCAAGACCAGCCAGGGCAACATAGTGAGATCCAGTCTCTATAAAAAATAAGTAATAAATAAATACTGTCTTTTTAATCTCCAAAATGAGAATACTAACTTATGGTAACCAAATATTGTTTGACAGGACATAAAAAAGCACTAACCATAAAATAAACAATTGATAATTGAACATAAAAGCTTGTATTTATTCAAAGACATTATCAAGAAAAACGGCAAACCACAGACTGGAAGAAGTTATTTTATAAAACATATATTGAACTCAGGATTTATATCAAGAGCCCCTAAAAATAATTAGGAAAAAGGTGGGCAAAAGAACATGCAATTAAACGTGCACTTCATGCACACACACAAAGATTCATGTGGGTAACATGCAGACGAAAATGTGCTCAATATCATTAGTTATATGGAAATGCAGATTAAAACCACTTGAGGTATCACTATATGTCCAGCAGAATGGCTAACATTTAAAAGATTGACAACGCCAATGTTTAGTGTGGAGACAGAGTAATTAGAACTCTCTTTCATTGTTGACAGGAGTGTGAAATAGTATAATCGCTTTGGAAAACTGGAAGTACCTGCTAAGATTAAACATATATACCCTTGTGAGGTAGAAGATTCACAGGATTTGTTTTCCAAGCATCAATCAGGACCCTCCTGATAAAAAATGGGTTGCAGTAAAGAAACGAAATGAAACCAGCAGATGGCAAGGGAAGTGACCTCTAGTTGCCCTCACTGCTTATTAGCATTAAAAAACTCCCACCAACACCATCACAGTTTACAAATACCATGGCAATGACCCGGAAGTTACTTTATGTAGTTCCAGTAACTTCCCCTGCCCCTTTTCTAAAGAATTCTGAACAATCTGTCCCTTAATTAACATATAATTAAAATAGGTATAAATATACTTAGCCAGCAATCCACAGGGGCTGCTGCTCTGCACTGCTACTGTTGCTGTTCACTGCTGCTGCTGCTCTTCCTCCTAGGGGCTGTCTGCCTATGAGATAGCTCTGCCCTGCGGATGGAACAGCCACTTTGCTGTACGCTGATACTCTGGGCCACTCTGCCCTCCTCTGTCTGTGGAGCAGCCACTCTGCTGTACACTGTTGCCCTGAGAATCTTACTTTCTTTCACTGTCTGCTCACTATTGAATTCTTTCCTGAGTAAAGCCAAGAACCCTCCCAGGCTAAGCCCCAATTTGGGGTTTCATCTGTATCACCTGGACTCAGTAATTTCACTCCTGGATATATGCCCTAGAGTTATAAATTAGTGCACAGGTGCACCAAGGCACATGCAAGAAATTTCATAGCAGTTTTATTTATAATAGCCCAACAGTTGAAAAACCCAAATGTTCATTAACATAATAATAGATACTTGGTGGCATATCTATATAATGGAATGCTACTCAATAAGAAAAAACTAACTTCTGATTTATGCAATAACATGGATAAATTTCTCAGACATAATGTTGAACAAAAGAGCTCAGATTCAAAATAATACAGATTGAATGACAATGTTTATATAAAGTTCAAGAACAAGCATCTATCTGTTCTTGGTGATAGTAGAAGTCAGAATAACAATTACTTCTGGTATGGATGACAGAGGTATTGACCAAGAAGAGGCACAATGGAACCTTCTAGGGACATGGAATTGTTCTGCATCCTGCTCTTGATGGTTATGACAAAGGTGTGTATACATGTAAAACTTCATTGGTCTGTCTCCTTAAGATGTGTGCACTTTCCTATGTATATGCTATGCCTCAATAAAAATAAATGAAAATTAAATAAAATGAAAATATTGGACTAGATGATAACCAGAGTTTTTCCAACCTTTTACAATCTCTTCACATTCTATCCTCTTTCCCTCTTTTTCTCTGTTTCCCTTTTCCCCAAGCTCTCCCATTCTAAAAGCTTTAGCTAACACGGTGCTTGGAGAGCGCACACATCTGCATGTCTCCAGCCCCAAACCCATCAAAGAACGTCTCATCTGGATTTGCCACCTCCTGCAACTCACTGACACCACAACGTGTCCAAAACAAAACTCATCCTCTTCTACCTCCTCACCCTCACCCAGAGCGGGTACCAATCAGTATGGCTCCCCAGCTCACAACAATTTCCCCTTTTCCAGGATCAGCCCTAGTATGTGGGTGTGGGCTACCACAAAGCAAGCCTGTACACCATCAGTCTAACTCCAGGCCAGAGGTGACTGAACCAGGAAGAGACACCTCCACCAAGCTGCACTAGACTTCCTGTCCTGTGAATTTAAAGAACACACAATGGGGAAAGGACAGTCTCTTCAATAAATGATGTTGGGAAAACTAGATATTCACATGCAGAAGAACAAAATTAGACTTTTTATCTTACACCATATTCAAAAATCAACCCAAACTGGACTAACGGCTTAAATATAAGACCTTAAACTGTAAAAGTGGTAGAAGAAAACATAAGGGAAAAGCTACACAACACTGATCTGGGCAAGGATTTTTTGGCTATAACCCCAACAAAGGCAAAAATAGACAAATGGGATGGCATCAAACTGAAAAGCTTCTGCACAGCAAAGGAAACAATTAACAAAGTGAAGAGAAAACCCATAGAATGGGAAGAAATGTTTGCAAACTGTACATGTAACAAGGTGTTATCAAAATATAGAAGGAACTCAAACAATTCAATGGCAAGAAAACAAATAACCCAATTAAAAATGAGCAAAGAACCTAAATAGACATTTCTCAAAAGAAGACATACAAATGGCCAATAGATACATGAAAAAATGCTCAGTATCACTAATCATTAGGGAAACACAAAATAAAACCACAATGACTTAACACATTTCACCTGTTAGAATGGCTAGTACCAAAAAGATGAAAGGTAACTGTTAGGGGGGATATGGGAAAATGGCAATTCTTATACATTGTGGGAATGTAAATTAGTTACAGCCATTATGGAAAATGGTTTGGAGGTTCCTCAAAAACACTAAAACTAGAATCACCATACAACCCAGTAATCACACTCCTGGATATATAGTCAAAGGAACCGAAATCAGTATGTTGACGGGAATGTCTGCACTTTCATGCTCACTGCAGCCTTATTCACAGCAGCCAAGATAGGAAACAGCCTAAGTGTCACCACGTGATCACATAAGTGTACTACACGATCTCACTTACATGTGGAATCTAACAAAGCAGAACTCGTAGAAGTAAAGAGTAAAACAGTGGTTACCAGAAATAGGATGTTGTTCATCAAAGGATATAAAGTTTCAGATGGACAGGAGAAATAGGTTTCATGATTTATTGCACACCAGGGTGACTACAGTCAGTAATTATGTATTATATATGTCAAAATAACTAAGAGCATAAATTTCAAATGCCTCACCATAAGAAAATGATGGGCAAGCAAGATGTGGATATGTTAATTAGCTTGATTTAATTATGCCACATTACACACATATATCAAAACAGCCCATTCTACCCCATAAATGTATAAGATTATGGTTTGTCCAGCTCACACCTGTAATCCCAGCACTTTGGGAGGCCAAGGCAGGCGGATCACAAGGTCAGGAGTTCGAGACCAGCCTGGCCAACATGGTGAAACCCCATCTCTACTAAAAATACAAAAATTAGTTGGGCGTGGTGCGCACGCATGTAATCCCAGCTACTCAGGAGGCTGAGGCAGGAGAATTGCTTGAACCTGGGAGGCAGAGGTTGGAGTGAGCTGAGATCGTGCCATTGCACTCCAGCCTGGGCAACAGAGCAAGACTCCGTCTCGGAAAAAAAGAAAAAAGTTGCACTAAAAGCCATTGAAACGGACTCCTGTTTGATCTCTCTCTCCCTGCAGTCTCCTAATTCTCTAATTCATCCTTCACAGTTCTGTGAAAGGGGGCTTCCTAAAACCCACTTCAGACCAGGCCATTGTACCATTTATGGGCCTTTGCCGGCTCCCCATTGACTACTGGAGTATGAGTGCAGGCTCCTTAGTGTGGCGGTCAAGTCCCTCCACAATGGCCCAACTTCCCTTTCTAGTTTCTGCTCTGATGCTCTCCTTCCTGCTTCTCCCAAGCCCCATGCCCTGCCCCCTCCAATTGCACTAGACAACACACGTGCTCCCCACAGACAGGTTCACACCTCTTGGCCTTTGCTAATGTTGTTCCCTTAGCTTAAATGTCACACCCCACCCTTCCTGCCATCACCTCCTCTGTGGCCGTTGGAGCTCTCATCCCTTTTTGGAGGCCCAGATAAAATGCCAGTGTGTGCAGGAAGCTTGTTCTCATTAGAATTCATCATCAGAAGTATTTTGTTTATTCTTCTGGTGTGGGTGTGTCGTACCTGACCTTGAGGGACAATGATTTGCACCTGAATATGTTTATCTGGGAACTAAAACTAGATCCTCTTTTCTACTCTATCCCTCCTTTCCACCATCATCCCTACCATAGAATCAGTGCACAATAGCTGCATGAGGAATTTACATTTTCTAAACCTACCATGAAAAAAAAAAATGAAAATGGAAAAGGAGGGATGTGGCCAGAGGCCTGCAGGGTGGGGTGAGGGGCAGGGGAAGTGGGAATGGATGGGGTGGAGAAAGTGGGGGGAACGCGGGAAGTGAAGGAGAGGGCACAGCAACCTAAGAGAATGAAAGAACAAGGAGCAGAGGAACAAAATCCTTAGGAAATGGAACTCTCGTCCATGACAATTTTTTTTTTTTTTGAGACAGAGTCTCCCTTTGTCACCCAGGCTGGAGTGCAGTGGCACAATCTTGGCTCACTGCAACCTCCACCTTTCTGGGTCCAAGCGATTCTTCTGCATCAGCCTCCTGAGTAGCTGAGACTACAGGTGCATGCCACCACACCTGGCTAATTTTTGCATTTTTAGTAGAGACGGGGTTTCACATATTGGCCAGGCTGGTCCCAAACTCCCGACCTCACGTGATCCGCCCGCCTCGGCCTCCCAAAGTGCTGGGATTACAAGCGTGAGCCACTGCGTTCGGCCCCATGATAATTTTTAAATCAAGAGGGATAAATGCTGACCAACTTATCCCTGTCAAGGGTGCTCCTGGGTATGGAGATGAGACAAGGGGCAGATCCAAGGCTAAGACCAAGAGCATGGAAGACAGGCAGGAAGCTCCTGTTTCCCTGAGCCTGGCTCAGAAGCAGAGGGCACTTTGGCAGGGAACCTGCTACCTGTCCTGATGGAATGGTTTGCTTCCTACACCCAGGGGCATAGCAACTGGCTCTTTTAAACACCAGAAATGAAGCAAAAAGACAAATCTTTCCATGGTGTTGCCTCCCCTGGCAGAGAAATGATGGAGGTTAAAAGAAGAAGAATGAAAAGGTAAAGACAATCTGAATCTCTACAAAATGCCCACGAGGCCAAAAACTTCCAGGTGATGGAGTGTCAGCAGCCTCCGCACCAATCTCCCTGGGAAGGGGGTTACAAAGTGAGAGTGAGGAGGGGAAGGAATCGAATGGCTTTTTATAGCCCCTAATATCTCTTCTGACAGCAGCCTGCACAGCTTCCCCGTGCCAGGATGCCGGGAAGACGAATGGATTTGTCTTTCCGTTAAATATCATTACCCAGAGCCCCGGGGAGAATGAAGAATGGGTTGCAAACTCACACCCGAGGTTCCATCTCTTTTCTCATAATTAACAAAAAGCCTACAGAAACAACTCTCATGTGTTCTCCTCAACCCATCCCCACCAACAACAACACACGTAACCTCAGAAAATAGGTAGCCCACTGAACTTCAGCAATCACCAGTGCCCAGCACATGGCCAGCCCTGAGGTTCAGCCCTATCAGCACGGTCAGGTCCACAGTAGGTCAGTAACCTACTCCAAGATCCATTAAGCCACTTGCAGGAGCCCATCATCTTAAGTGGGAAAACCCAGTAGCGTTTCCCATTAAGAAAAATCGCAAGGGTTTGCTCTTTGCTACAGGTGCAAATGATTCTGCTTGTTGATGGAACTCTCCGTTGCTTTAGTGATCTGAGCCATTCACAAGCATCAAGACAAAGGGAGCAAAGCAAATAAAAGTAGTGGTCCCACCACCTCCAGTTTAAGGATACATTTAACAAAATATGGGCAAGATCTGTATATCGTAAATAACAAATACTGCTGTGAGAAATGTAGAGATGTCTTATGTCAAGTACTAGAACTAATACATGAATTTAGCAAGGTCATAAAATACAAAGTTAATATACAAAAATCAATTGTATTCTTCTATATTAGCAGCAACAATCAGAAAATGACATTTGAAAATAATTCTATTTACAGTAGTGCCATAAATACATAAAAACATAAAATACTAGGAATAAATCTAATAAAAGTCATTTCAGACCCCCACACTGAAAACTACAAAACATTGTTGAAATAAATTAAATAAGACCTAAATAAATAGAGATATCTCACATTTGGTTTGGAACACTCAATCGTGTCAAGATATCAATTTTCCCCCAAACTAGTCTACAGCATCAGTGCAATGCCAATTAAAATTCCAGCAGGCTTCTTTTGTGGAAATTGACAAACTGATTCTAAAATTCATATGGCAATTCAAAGGGTCTAAAACAGTCAAAACAATTTAGAAAAACAAGAATAAACTTAGGGAATTTACACTGACCGATGTCAAGGCTACAATAATCAAGGCAGTGTATATTAGTAAGGTTGGACATATAGACCATGGACCAAAAGAGCAAGTCCAGGAACAGACCCATATATATGGCTAATTGATTTTTTACAATGTGACAACATAATTCAGTAGAGAAAGGATAATCTTTTTATAAATGGTCTGGGACAATTGAATACATATACGGAAAAAAAATGAATGTTGACCTATCTCTTACATCATACAAAAACATTGACTTGAAATTGATCATAGACCTAAACATAAAACCTGAACTATAAAAATTTTAGAAGAAAATATAGGATAAAATCTTTGCAACTTGGGATAGGCAAGTATTTCTTAGGATGCAAAAAGTATGAATATCAAAAGAAAAAAATGACAAATTTTAAACTTTGAAAGACATTATTAAGAAAATAAAAAGGCAAGCCACAGACTGGGAGAAACATTTGCTATATGTGTGTGTGTGTGTGTGTGTGTGTGTGTGTGTGTGTGTGTGTATCATATGTATAAATACAAATTTAAATTTAAATATACCCCAGAGGAACTTATTAAGAATCAAGAATCTTATTAATAAGAATAAGACAATTCAAAGCAAAAAAAAGATATGCTACAAAAGAAAATATATGGATAGGCAATAAACAAATTTAAAGATGCTCGATATCATTAGTCATCAAAGAAATGCAAATTAAAATTAAATAGCACCACACACCCACAAGAATGGCTAAAATTAAAAAGCCTGAAAATATTAACTATTGGCAAGAAAATATCAACTATTGGCAAGGTACAACTGGTACTCCCAGACACTGCCGGTAAGACTATAAAATGGATTAACCACTTTGGAAAATAATTAGGCAATTTCTTATGAAGGTAAACACACACTTTACCATATGACCCATCAGTTTCATTCCTACATGTTTACCCAAGAGAACTGAAGATCTATATTCCCACAAAGTCCACATGAATATTTATATTAATAGCAGCATATTCATAATGGCTAAAAACTGGAAATAACCCAAATGTCAACCACAGGTAACTAGCAAACACATTGTTGTATTTATTCCATATAATGAACACTACTCAGCCACAAGAAGGAGTGTATACTGATCACACAACACCACAAATGATTCTCAAAAACATTTTGCTGCACAAAAGATGTCAAAGTAAGATTACATTTACATGGAATTCTAGTAAAAGAAAAACCCATCTAAGTGATGGAAGGCAGATCAGTGGTTTCCTGGGAGAGGGAGAAGGGAATTGGCTGCAAAGAGGCATGAGGGAATGTTCTGGGGTGATGAAAATGTTATGTCTTGATTGCCCTGGTGATGGTTACACAAGTGTATACATTTGTCAAAACTCATCAGATCATACACTTAAAAGTGTTCATTACATTGTATGCAAATTACACCTCAATGAATTCAATTAAAAAATACTGATGTGTGTTCCAGCCCCACAGATACTATTTAATTGGTCTGAGATGTATCCTGGGCATCAGAATTTTTTTAAATTCCCCCAAAGATCTCAATATGTGGCCAAAGTTGAGAACCACTACTCTAGGGGCTAAGCAGCAAATTAAGTGGCCTGATGTCCTGGGACACCAACAAAGGGCTGCTGGCTCTCTTGGTGTGAGCACAAGCCAATACTGGAAGTCACAGACTACCATCTACCACATCACAGTCCACAGTACCTGAGGATCCCTTTGGTTTACTACCGATTTACATGACACTCTCCACAGAACCAGGTCATGCTGTGGCATGGTGGTCATCACACTAGCATGTCTGCACTCCTGACACCAGGATCCAGGACAGAGAGTGCCTTGAAAGACCCCTTGTCTGGTTCAACAAGGCACCCAGGCAAGAATCCCTCTAGCATGCGGCTGGGGACCAGCATGCCAGCATTGGCACTGGGGCCCAGATATGGTTCTAAATACACAGGATGGCCAGAGGGCCTAGGGGTTAGGAGGGGGCTCCCAAGTTTGGTACACAGTGGCTCTCACCCCTGTAACCTGGTAGCAAACAAAGGATAAGTGCCCACCAGGAAAGACCAGCTGTTAGAGGGTCATATTTGGGTCAACAGTCAGAAATCAAGTGGGAATCTCACAGCTAAAGTCCCGGGAGTCACTTTTCCATGCGTCCCTTTGCCATCTCTGAAGTGAATAGAAATGATTGTATTAGGTCTTGAATATTCATTTGTCAATGGTCATCGGCCTCTCCAAGGAGGAAGACCCTGTTCTGCTGGTGCTGATCAAGTAGAGACTTTCTCAGAGCACAGCCATGAAACTCAGTAAAAATCCTTTTTCTCCTTGCTCTTGCCAGCATTATAAGTTACCTGCCTGTTGACACCGCCAGAGCTGCTTCTCCGAGAAACCCACCCTCTCTTGGGAGCCAGTCAAGGTGGCAGTAGGCCATGTGACACAGTTCAGCCCAACGACGCACTCCATACTCTCAAAGTGGGACAACTGCTACCCCGGATGCCTGGGTTAGAAGTGGCTTTCTGACTCCTACTAAATAAAGTCACCAACTTGATGACACTAGATGCTAGCCTCAATAACCAGGTATAGAGTGAGCACAACAACAAAACAAAAAGGAATACAGTAGGGTGTCTGCCCTCAAGGAGCTCCTAGTCTGTAAGTGAACTATGAGAAATAGACAAATTTCATGATGTCCAATGGATCGAGGTCAGCACTAGGGAGACAGAATACAGACTGTGGGCAGCCCAGGGCAGAGCGTGTACCTCTGTAGTTGGGAGCCTCAATCTCCATAGAGGCTTCCCTGTCTCTTGTAGGATGAGATTCTTGAGCATGGAACCCGCGGTACTCCATGGCCCCAAGTTGGCTGCCCCTCCCCTGCAGACATGCTATCTTAGGCCACCCTAAACCACTCCCAGGCACCTGACCATGATACTCCCTTCCCTCCATGACTTCCCATATGCTCCTCCCTCTCCATAGGACATGAATACCTTTCTTCTCGTCTCTTCTGTGTCACTCTGACATGCAGCATAGAGGGTCCATCTTTGTGAAGTCTTCCCCAATCCTCCTCGCACAGATCCAGCAGAATCAGGCTTCCCTTCTCTCTGTCTCATAACCCACGTACCTTCTTATATTAGGGCAAGTGACTTTGGGCCTCTTTACACGTTGCCCCCACTCCCAGCCTGCCACCTCCCTGGTAGTAATAACTGTGTTAATTTGCTTGCTTACTTTTCAACAAATGTTTAATGAGGACCTGCTCTGTGTCATGCACTGTTCTAAGGTCTCAAGACAGAGGCCAGCAAAGTCCTTATTTCTCTGGAGCTTCTGTTTAGTGGAGGATGGGGAGATAGGAGGCTTCCTAAAATAAATTGAATTTTTAAAAGCATAAAAGCGATAAGTACTCCATAGAATAGTATTTACAAACAAGGTAACCTGATAGAGGGTGACTGTATGGCTACTTTAGAGTGGATGGTTACAGAAGGCCTCTCAGAGCAGGTGACATCCTAACAAAGGTGTGAATGACAGAGTTACCCACCCATTAAGAAAACCTGGGGAAGAGCTTTCCAGGTACAGAGAACAGCTAGAGCAAAGGCCCTGCTATGGACAGAATTGTATCCCCCCAAAATTCATATGTTGAAGTCCAACCCCTAGTGTTACTATATTTGGAGTAAGGAAGTAATTTGGTAATCATGTTTAATTAAGCTTAAATGAGGTCATAGGGCAGAGTCCTAATTTGATAAGGTTACTGTCCCTATATGAGAAGATGCCAAAGAGTCGAGTGCCCTCACTATATTTGGAGTAAGGAAGTAATTCGGTATTCATGCTTAATTAAGCTTAAATGAGGTCATAGGGCGGAGTCCTAATTTGATAAGGTTACTGTCCTTATATGAGAAGATGCCAAAGAGTTGAGTGCGCTCGCTCTCTCTCTCTCTCTCTCTCTCTCTCTCTCTCTCTCTCTCTCTCTCTCTTCCTCCCCCCACCCCAGCACCCCCACTCCACCATGTAAGGGCACAGTGAGAAGGCAGCTGTCTGCAAGCCAGGAAGACAACCCTCACTAGAAACTAAATTGGCCAGCATGTTGATCTTGGACTTCTCAGCCCTCAGAACTGTGAGAAACAAATGTCTTCTTTAAGCCATGCATTCTCTGGTATTTTGTCACAGTGGCCCTAGCTGAGTAGTACAGGCCCTAAAATGAAAGAAACTCAACCAATAGGAGAGTAGCAGAAGATGATGTCGGAAGACCTACAAAGGTTAGGTTACTTCACAAGTCACACACTGGTAAGTGGCAGATCCATTCTTGGTGTGACTGACTGCCCTCCTCCTACTGCAATGGTGGGACCGAGATGTGGCTTAGGGCTCAGGTTAGAGCTGCAGGCTGCCAGGCCTAAGATAAGTCTGAGCTGGACTCGGCTCACTGAAGTTTGGGGGTGATGAGGCCAGAGTAACCCCTGGGAAGCTAAAAAGGCCTTGCTTACCTGAGACTTCCATGAGATCATCAGAGCATCACACCTGGTTAGCCAAGGCCCCCATCACTTGGGTAGTGTCCTCCAGTAGGACAGGGCATCATGAGGAAGGTCTGGACCTGGACTTTCAGGTCAGACAGGACCTGGAAGTCTCAGGCAGCATATGGTGGGCAAAAGGTGGGCAGAGCAGGGCCCCTGGCGGTGGGGGCACTCAGGAACTACCCAAAGATCCACGCAGCCTATCAGACCAGCATCATCAGAGAAATCTCCCAGCGAGGGCCCCATCCCAGTCACATGAATGGGAGTGAACAAGAGCCAGGCAGGACTTCTGTCTGGTGGGCCAGAGTTTCCTTGGACTACGTAAAAACACTGAGACCCAAAGAACAAGCCAGAACCAGGATACGAAGTGAGGATCAGGTTCCCAGGCAAGGCAGAAGCTCATCTGTTAGAAGCGCTCTGTTCTTCCTGGCTCTTAACTATAGACAGCATAGTGTCAGAGCTGGAGATGACGCTGGCTCCAAGTAACCCAGGTGTAGGGAGAAGTGACCTATGGGAGAAAGGGCCTGGCCAGACATACCATGTGAGTTAAACAATGCTACCCTAGTCCCTGTTCTGTCACAGCCCCCTCTGCATCACCGAGGGGCCACTTAGAAACACAAACTCTCAGACCCCACACCCAAGACCTGCTGAATCAAAATCTGCACTCTAACAAAACCCCTGAGTGATTCAATTAAAATCTGAGCAGCGTGCCTTTTTGGTTACTAATTATGCCCCTCCAATTAAGTGTTGATACCCGGAACATAGTAGGTGCCCAATTAGAAAACCATTGAATAAATAGGGGATACGAGTAAAACTTTTCCTTTCAGAGAAGTCATTAACCCAATGTCTTCAATGAGCCAAACCTAAGTGGCATGTCAGCCTCTGAGTTTTAAATGTTGTTCACTCTCTGGGTGAATGGTGGCTAGTTTCGTTCCCCTCATCTTTTATTACCAGATAGAAATGTGTATATAAGGTGAAATCCAAGTTCTTTTTTAAGCCTTTCATTCCAAGGATCATCATAATCAAGGAGACAGGAAATCTCCAGATAAGAGACAGTAGAAGGATGAATTGATAAAAAGAAATTGCAACACCAAGTCATAGAGCTCCTGCATTTCCTCAGCAAAGAGAGACTGTGGAAACTGTAGCTCCCTCTCCCACTTCCAAGAATGACAGGAGGCAAGCCTGGGCTAGTCCTCCCTGCCCTGAAGGGTTGGTGCTGACCCTGCCATCATCAAACGCATTGCTTGTGGCCCTGAGCAAACTCTCTTCCTAACTCTGTTTTCCCCCAAGGATTAGCTGATGCAAGGGTTTTGATAAGCATTGGTTGATTTCAGTCACTTACATTCATTGCTCAATAAATAAAAAGGCAAGGATCAGCCTGAGATGTGGGTAGTGGAGGAAAGTATTCCTTTTACTTATTTAGAGATAAAAGGGCCAAGAAGAAGAGTCATCGGCCACAGGCTCCCAGAAGGAGGCAGGAGGGAGCTGGGAGGAGTGGGCGGGACTTTCGGCTATCAGGGCCCTAATGCCAAACAAGGGCAGCCCAGGAAAGGGTTGAAGATGGTGTCGAGAGTGGGCAGAGCACAGGTCAGGGTCCCCTACGGGTGACGGCTGTCGACGAAAAGAGTCAAACTCTGTAAAATATTTGAAGAGATTTATTCTGAGCCAAATATGAGTGACCATGGCCCATGACATAGCCCTCAGGAGGTCCTGAGAACATGTGCCCAAAGTGGTCCAGGTGAGCTTTGTTTTATACATTTTAGAGAGGCATGAGACATCAATCAAATACACTTTAAGAAATGCATTGGTTTGGTCCAGAAAGGTGGGACAACTTAAAGCAGGGACTTCCAGGCTACAGGTGAGTTTAAACATTTTCTGGTTGACAATTGGTTGAGTTTGTCTAAAGACCTGGGATTGATAGAAAGGGAATGTTCTGGTTAAGCTAAAAGATTGTGGAGACCAAAGTTCTTTCAAAGTCTTATAGTGGCTGCCCTTAGAGACAATAGATGACAAATATTTCCTATTCAGATCTTAGCTAATCTCTTCAGGGTTGGGAGGGTCTGGAAAAAAAAAAGAGATCTAGCTATGGTAATAGAGATTCTTTACAGATGCACATTTTCCCCTACAAAGGACAGCTTTGCAGGGCCATTTTTAAACACGGCAAAGAAACATGTTTCCACAAAATATTTTTATTTTCTTTCTTGTCTCGTAACGTTATGCCAGAGTCAGGTTGGAAAGTCATGATATATAGGGTTAAATAAAACCCATCTGATGAGAATTTATGATTTGTAGGGCACTACTCCCCAGACCCCTTAGATAGGAATTAGAGCAAGATAGAAAAAAATCTGAGTTTAGTCCTCATGGCAGAATGGAACAAGCCATTTGCTCACTTGCTCTTTCCCATCTGTTCAGAGTGGAGTTGTGGGATAATGACATCAGGGATCAGATAACCTGAGCACAAACCGCACCTTTGCCATCTGAAAGCTGTGTGAACTTAGGAAAGTCACTTAACCTCTCTGTTGTCTGGTCACCTCATCTGTGAAATGGAGATAAAGTAATGTTACCTGATAGGATTATCATGAAGATAAATAAGTCAGTACATGCAAAGCACTTAGGTTACTGCCCGTCATAAAGGAAGCACTCAATAACCATTAGCTCTTATCTGTGACATGCTGATACAGGTATTTTCCCACATACCTAGCAGAGTAGTTTTTAAAATATTTTTAAATAATAATAATAAGGCCATCATGTATTTTGTTTTCTAAAATATTGTCATATTATGATCTCATTTTAACTTTCCAGCAAATATATGATATTGAAACTGTAGATGCAAAAGTACTTTGGAATTATAGGAGACTTGGTGAGTCACTTTTTTTTTCTTGAGACAGGATCTTACTCTGTCACTCAGGCTGGAGTGCAGTCATGTAATCATAGCTCACTATAACCTCCAGCTCCTGGGCTCAAGTGATCCTTCCACCTCAGTCTCCCCAGTAGCTAGGACTATAGGCATGCACCACCATACTCAGCTAATTTTTGTTTTTATTTTTAGTAGATATAGGGTCTCTCCATGTTGCCCAGACTGATCTCGAACTCCTGGCCTTGTTGAGCCACTTCTAAGGAAAATTGGCTCAGACCTGCTTGTGGCAGCCTTAGTCAATGAGTTTCATACCACCTGACTCCCCCTCTCCTGCCACTGATAATTAGATCCCGGTGGGCACCTGATCCAATGACAGCCAATCCCTGGGCTGCACAGTAGTCTATATGGTAGCCTGGAGAAAAAAATCTGTTCAACAGTCATGCTAGGTTTATCAAAATCTCAAGTCTTAGAAATTTGAATTAAAACTTAAAGGCTCTGAGAACATAAATCAGCACAATTACTTTGGGAGCAATATAGCAGTGTCTATTCAAATTTTCAAATGTACATAATCTCTGACTCAACAATATTATCCTTGATATGTACCCTAAAGAAATATGTATCACAAAAAGACACATCCAAGGATGTTTTGCACCATTGCTTATTGACAAAGCTTTGGAATTTGAAAACAACCTAAATATCCACAGGAAATGACCAAATAAAATGTGATGTATCATTCAATAGAATGCGGAAGGATCACCTGAACCCAGGAGTTCAAGACCAGCCTGGGCAACATAGTGAGACCCTGTCTCTATAAAAACTAAATAATAAATAAACAAATAAATACTGTCTTTTAAATTTCCAAAATGAGAATAGTAACATATGGTAGCCAAATATTTTTTGACAGGACATAAAAAGCACTAACCATAAAATAAACAATTGATAATTGGACGTAAAAGCTCATGTTTACTCAAAGACTTTTGTTTGTTTGTTTGTTTTTGAGACAGAGTTTCACTCTTGTTGACCAGGCTGGAGTGCAATGGCGCCATCTCAGCTCACTGCAACCCCCGTCTCCCGGGTTCATGCAATTCTCCTGCCTCAGCCTCCCGAGTAGCTGGGATTACAGGTGCCTGCCACCAGGCCTGGCTAATTTTTGTATTTTTAGTAGAGATGGGGTTTCACCATATTGGCCAGGCTGGTCTCAAACTCCTGACCTCAGGTAATCCACCCACCTTAGCCTCCCAAAGTGCTGGGATTATAGGCGTGAGCCACCATGCCCGGCCTACTCAAAGACATTATTAAGAGAAAAGGTAAACCACAGACTGGAAGAACTTATTTTATAAAACATATATCGAACTAAGGATTTTTGTTTCTTTGTTTTTGAGAAAGAGTTTCGCTCTTGTTGCCCAGGCTGGAGTGCAGTGGCACGGTCTTGGCTCACTACAACCTCTGCCTCCAGGGTTCAAGTGATTCTCCTGCCTCAGCCTCCCGAGTAGCTGAGACTACAGGCACATGCCACCACGCCTGGCTAAATCTTGTATTTTTAGTAGAGACAGGGTTTTGCCATGTTGGCCAGGCTGGTTTCAAACTCCTGACCTCAGGTGACCCACCCACCTCGGCCTCCCAAAGTGCTGGGATTACAGGCATGCCCAGCTTGAAGTAAGGATTTATATCAAGAATTCCTAAAAATAATTAGGAAAAAGGTGGGCAAAAGAACATGCAATTGAGCATGCACTTCACACACACACACAAAGGTTCATGTGGGTAACATGCAGAGATGAAAATGTGCTCAATATCATTAGTGTCTGGCTTACTTTGTGTACTAGTTGACAAAAGCCAAGGCAAAGAATATAGGAAGTAGAGCTAATGGAAAGGAAAGATGGCGAATCTGACTTTGGACGTTTAGTGTCTAAGGTGCCTGTAGGACACACAGGGGAAGATGTACAACAGGCAATTAGATGTGTGGATCCAGAGGCAAGGAAAGAGGTTTGGGTTTAAAAAGAGATATGACAGTAAAAGATATGGGAGAGGATGAGCTCACTTGGGGACACTGCCTTGAGTGAGAAGGCAGGAAAGCTTAGGAAAGAATCTACTTTTTTTTTTTTTTTTTTTTTTTTTTTTTTTTTTTTTTGGAGGGACAGAGTTTCACTCTTGTTGCCCAGGCTGGAGTGCAATGGCGTGATCTTGGCTCACTGCAACCTCCACCTCCCAGGTTCAAGCAATTCTCCTGCCTCAGCCTCCTGAGAAGCTGAGATTACAGGCGCATGCCACCCTACCCAGCTAATTTTTGTATTTTTAGTAGAGACAGGGTTTTGCCATGTTGGTCAGGCGGGTCTTGAATCCCTGTCCTCAAGTGATCCACCCGCCTCGGCCTCCCAAAGTGCTGCAATTACAGGCGTGAACCACCATGCCCAGCCACTTGCATTTTTAAAAAGGACAGCAGGGAAGAGACCTCAATAAGAGAGACTTTGAATTTTGAATGGCCAGAGGTTTACCCTAGGTATGCCAACATTTAGTCAAAACAATCAGACAGTTGGGTAACAGAACGCTTGAGGTCTAAGCCTTTCAAGAGAACACTGAACTAGAAGTTCCTCTTTGGTTTCTATAAAGCCAAAAGATTCAGAAGTTCCAAATTTCAGGTCCTGAAGATTTTGTGAACATGAATCAGGTCTCATGAAGCTTTTTGGAGAAGGATCAATATGCAATGAATACAGGTGATCTCAAGAGGCAGAAGCCCAGAGGACTCCAGCTGTCTACCTTTGAGTACAAGACACAGGAGACTTCTTAAACATGAAAGTGTTTTCCCAATACTACTCACTTTTACCCCATGGGCCAAATTTCTATGTATTTTTATTAAAAAGGAAGAAAACTCAGCCTTCAGAGTTGCGATTCACCTAAGTATAAACCCTGAAGCTTCAGAACCACGACTAGGAAATCACCACCTCACCTATCTTTAGCCTTGATTACTGGGGTCTTGACAGAATGTAGAGAGTAGAGCTGATGCGAAGGGAAGATGGAAAGTCTGATTTTAGATATTTAGAGTCTAAGGTGCCTGTAGGACACACAGGGGGTAGTTGTACAACAGGATCCAGAGTTAAGAAAAGAGATCTGGATTAGACAAAAGACATATGATAGTAAAAGACAGGGGAAAGGATGCTGGTTATTCCCGGAGATAATCGACAACAACTAATAGCCTCTAAAGTGTTACATGATTCAAAGTACATTCCACAATCTGTTCTTTTATCTTCTGAATCAGGGAGCAACCTGGTTAAAGTTTTTAGGAAGGGACAAGCAGGCTATTTTTCAAAAGAATGACAGGGCCTCTTTTCTGAACAGCTCAATTAAGAGGGTCAGGAAAAGGGAATGGGAAGGACGATGAACATGAAACCTTCTTTGGTCTGGATCTAGGTCTCTGATGATATTGAAAACCTCCCCCCGTGCACATATCACCAACAATGGATCTGTCAGAATTCCCAGCAGCTGAAATGAGGCAGAACAGACATGTGCCCTGGGCTTCCAAAAAGAAAAAATAATAATAATAACCCATGCATTACAGATTTGGAATATGCTTTCAATGAATAAATGTATGGAGATGATTAAAAGATGTACATGGCAAATGGCTGGCCAGACAGGCACTGACATGGATGTGCCATAGGCTTATATATTTATTTGCAAAACACAATGTAATAGAAATGGACATCATACTTTGCATTTATATAGCAAGTATTTCTCCAAGGACCTCAAAGGATTCTACAGCCATTACTTGATTCATCCTTGTTACATGCTTGTAAAATGAAGGCGAGGCAAGGATTACTCATCCCATTTTATTAAAGAGGAAGCTGAAGCCCCAAGAGGCTCCATGGTTTGGCCAAGGGCATGTCGTGAGTCATTTATTTGCTCAAAATCAGGTAGGGGCTGAAATTAGTCCCAAATTGTCCTTATACCTGCTGATTTTTACCTGTAGACTCCTGAAAAGGAAATGATTCTGTTTCTCAAGCTTGTTTGTGATTGAGACCATCAAACAGGTAGTGTTAAGGGAAGAGTATAAACTGGGGAAGCGAAGAGGTTAGCAAGCATTTGTCATTTCACTTTTCCTTCGGTAGGCAAATGCTGCTGCATCCTTATGGACAAACACAGCACTCTTTACAACCAAGTGGAGAAAATGTTCCTATCATTGTTGCACTGGAAATAAGAGACATGGCTCCATGTTAATACTTGCCAGTTAATGACTGCCCACAATGCATGTATTTTTTGTTTTCATTTGTCTTTTCCACAATGCACATTTTTAATGTGCACTTTATATTATGTCATTTATCTTACAACTACTATATGAGCTAGATATTTCCTTGCAAAATTAAGAGACAGGCTTAAAGAGATTAGATGACTTGTCCATAGTCACATAACAAACAAGTTTAGACTTGGGATTTGAGTGCATTTTTGCTGATTTGAATAGATGTGCACTTCTACCATGTTTTACCAATAGAACTTCACTTCCACACTCCACAGGGGTCCTACAGTCAGGCATAGCCTAGAGATGTATAAGAAAGCTGGGGCTAGCCTGGGTGCCTACCTCGCACACATGTTCTGAATGACAGCCCAGGGTAAATGCAGAGATTATTCCTTTCTCCCCAGACAAATACATGGGATATGGCCCCACCTCAGCCACTCTGATTGCCAGGATAGTTTGGGCCTTCCTGGTCCCAGATTCACACCTTGCATCTGACCCAGGCCCAAGCTAGTGGCAATGCCAGCTGAGCTTCATAAACAGGAGATGGAAAGAAAAAACAATAACCTGGAAGCTACTCCAGGGCACTCTTCTCCCACTTGCACTGACCACTACTAGTTGGCATCTGAATTTCAACCATCGCTGGGCAGTAAGTGCAGGGTCTGTCTCCTGGGGGCTCCCATTCTTCAGAGTGGAAAACTGAGGCTCACACATGTTCAAAGTTACCAAAGAAATCAGAAAGCGAAAAAGCATCAGGGACTATTTTCCCCAATGTTTTCTGTAATTTTGATTTTAACCGTTAGAATGTGCTATTGCAAGCAGTAGAGAAAGCCATCCTCTGAAAATGCAGGATGGAAAAGAAAAATTCTGAGATGTATTATTGTCCCCATTCTCCAGATAAGAAAAGTGATGCTCAGAGTGTAAATAGCACATACTAAAGCCAGGATCCGAACGTGGATCTGTGGAAGTCACGCCCTTTCCATTAAGCCTCACTAACCTCCAAAGAGTTTGATGGTGTATCCTTCTCCTGATGATGCCATCCCAGTGGTGTCAGAGGAGGCTTCTAGCACAGCCTCAGAACAGCAGTATGAGTTATAGATGCAGAGAAGGCCAAGGGTGGGTGAGGTGCCCTCTCTGTGGAGCACTGCAGTTACTGGGGCTGGAGCAGGGACGCAGCCTCTGCGGTGCTGTGATTCTCAGGGTTTGCTTGCCAGCCAGTGCTGTCCACAAACACAAGTCACATATGGATATAGTTTGGAAATTAGCCCCACCCAAATCTCATGTTGAAATGTAATCCTCAGTGTTGGAGGTGGGGCCTGGCGGGAGGGGATTGAATCATGGGGGCGGATTTCTCATGAATGGTTTCGTACTACTCCCTTGGTGCTGTTTTTGTGATAGTGAGTTCTCATAAGATCTGGTTGTTGAAAAGTATGTGGCACCTCCCCTCCTCTCTTGCTCCTGTTTTCTCCATGTGACGTGCCTGCTCACTCTTCACCTTCCGCCATGATTGTAAGCTTTCTGAGGCCTCCCCAGAAGCAGATGCTGCTATATTTCCTGTACAGCCTGCAGAACAATGAGGCAATTAAACCTCTTTTCTTTATAAGTTACCCAGTCTCAGGTATTTCTTTATAGCAATGCAAGAACGGACTAACACACATACGCAGTGTTAAATTTCATGGGAGCCACAGATGCAAGCCACATATGATCTTAAAACATGAGGTACTTACATAAAAATGAGTAAAAAGAAACAGGTGACATTAATTATAATAATACATTTTATTGAAACCAATAGAGCCATTAGATTGCCACTTCAACATGTCATCAATATGAAAAATATTAACGATATACTTTACATTCTTATTTTTTTTATCTAGGTCCTTGAAACACATCACCATTTGGACAAGCCACGTTTCAAGCGCTCAATAGCTGCAGGTGACTAGTGGCTTTCACATTGGATAGTGCAAATCTAGAAGGATAGGATAGCTCAGAAAGCTTGGACTATGGATTGCGGATCTAGACTCCGATCAACTGCCAGGGCGACTTAGCAAAGGGCTTGAGAGGTTGGACACTATTTCATTTCCATCTTATGCCAGTTACTAGACCCTGTTGTCTCAGTTTCTTCATCTGTAAAACAGAGATAATAACAATATCTACCTTGTAGGCTTTTGTGAGGATGAAATGAGGAAATGCTTAGAACAGAAATGGGCACAAAGTAAGCAATACAAAGGTATTTGCTAATGTTTTTCTTATTTCCCCGGGACTCTGTTTTCTTTTCTGTAAAATAAGGCTGTTGAAAACAGATAATCATTGAGATCCCTTCTTGCTCTTATTCAGTGAAAACCCTAGGTGGGAATCCAGTTCTAGTGCTGTCTTATCTCCGTGCTTTAGTTCTGAAGCATGCACTGGGCAGGGCCTCAGATCCAGCCTTAGTAGAGGCTTGCAAGGTGCTGCTGTGGCTGCCTTAAAGTTGGCTAGGCAGAAGGACTCATCTCATTTGTTGTCAGTGTTAGAAGCTTGTTCCCTCTGTCCTGGGTTCACGCTGACTTGTTCCCTGGACAGCCTCCACATTCTCACAGTTGTCCTCCACAGACACAAAGTTCCCAGTTATAAGCCCTCACGTATTTGAATCTCTAAGCTAGAAGAAATCCAAGCTGGACCTGGAGTTTGGGGGAAAACTCATCCATTTCCAAGTTCCTTCAGCACCAGCTAATAGAAAAGAATCTCCCCGGGAATGACAACCGTGCAGCTTTGTACACCTGCTGTTCTTGGGGCTGAGAGAGGAATGGGAAGCTGAGTGGTCAAAAGGGCAAGCCCTTGAAAAGTTGTGAATGAAGATGCCAAAGCCTCAGCAACAGCCATTCCAGCTCAGGAAAGTCCAGCTGTCTGGCTTCTTTCCCCTAGAGACCAAAGTGAAGAACTGTAGAAATTCAAGGTGGAGACTAACCAGGGAATCAGACACCTCCTGCCCAGGGAGGCCGGCAGAGACGAGTGCATCTCCAATTCATCTCCAGGGATCTCTCCAATCCACTCAGAAGCTGGAGTGTCTGCTACTTCTTGGAAGTCAGGGGTCTGCTGACTGATGTGTCTTCATGCCAGGAATTCTTCCTCCCCATTTTACCAAACAGAAGGATGGCAGGGCTGCTCTTCTCAAAAGAGAAGAACAAAACCATGGCCCCTCCTGCCAAGCAGCGGTTTCCTCCCAGCTGTTCATGTAGATTTGCTGAGAGCTACATTCTCCCATATCAGCAAGCCCTTAACCAAGAGCCTACCCTGAAAAGAGAGATACCAAAGAATTGGAAGTCACAGACCTACCCATGAGAAAGGACTCCAGACCAATCACTGAGCAACAGTGAAACCAGACACCATCTTGGTCCCGATGGAGGAAGGAATGAAACACAGAGACTCTTACACTCAGCCATCATTGGCTATTAGGAGCACCAGACCCTGACTCCTCTTCCTTCTCTAGGCTAAACTAAAGAGCTGTTTTCCATCTCCCAGACACAGTGACTGAATCTAAAATATTTCAATATTCTGGCCTGGCTGAGTGCCTGCTATGGACTGAATGTTTGTGCCCCTGCAAAGTTCATATGTGGAAACCCTACCCACCCCCTTGATGTGATGCTTTTAGGAGCAGGAGCCTTTGGGAGGTGATTAGGATTGGAAGAGGTCATGAGTTTGGTGCCCTTGGAGTCACAAGAGAGCTTGCCTCAGCTCCCCACTCTCTCCTGGGGAGGATACAATAAAAGAAGCTGGCAATCTGCCCAGAAGAGGGCCCTCACCAGAACCCTGCCCTGCTGACTCCCTGATCTCAGACTTCCAGTCTCCAGAACTATGAAAAATGTTACAAATGTCTGTTCTTCATAAGTAACCCAGTTCATGATGTTCTATTACAGCAGCCTGAATGAACTAAGACAGTGCCCCTCGACTGCTGAGGAGCCACGTTCTCCCTTTGTGGCCTGCGTGGCCGAGCTGCACACATAAAAAACTCCTGAATGCCACTATTTTCATCAAAAGGGCAGGTGGTGCACTAATCACGTGGAGGTGCCACCATGGGTGCCTCCATCAGCACCACCATCGCATAACCATCAACTTCACCACACCCTCAGCCCCCATCAAGCTGGGGTGACAGGATGCTGAGATGGGAGAGGTCTTTCCCATGCAACAGCCAAACAACATCACCCCAACCCAGGCAAGTCCCAAAGGGAGTTTCCTGTCTGCCCCATGAAGGGAAATGAGGGCACTGCTTGTCCTGGACCACAGAGAACTGGAATGTGGAGCAGAGAGTGCTGGATATTTCCACACGGCAAGAGCAAGAGTTTTTCACTGTGAAGCCACCTGTGGTCCCCGGTCTCAGAGCCTCTCCAGGCCTGTTCCTTCTGCTCATTAGGTAAATGTGCCAACACAAGGAAAGAAATCAAGATCTATTTAGCTTTCCCCACCGGCCCTGTCAATCATTCCGAGGAAGACAGTTCCTGCCACGCAGCTCAGGAAATGGGCCCCAGAGGGCCAAGAAACAGTTCCATCCTGTAAATGTATTTACACAGTACAGTGCTTGTTCTTCACATTTCACCAGCAGCCCACCTCTCCCGAGTGCCCGGGGAAGTTTTATCACCTGGGAGGGCATGCGCCGCTGCTCCACCAAGGCCCTCCTTGATCATCAGAACAGACAGATTGTGCAGAGACACGGCCTCCCCTGGCGAGGCGAGGCAAGGCGGCTCCAGGGCTGACAGAAGCAGGAGCAGGCTGGGGCCATGGCACCCACAGAACATTTCTGAACACCCACTGTGCTCCCTGGCTGGGGCTGCCTCCTCTGGCAGCTCTTCTCAAGATCAAGGGAGAGATGTGGGCTCTGATTACAGCATCTTTGAAAAGGGCACCATTTGGAAATTTGGGGAACAGGCAGAAGTAGGAGGGATCAAGATCAAGATCGGACGGGCAAGACTGCATAAAAAAGGCTAGATATTCCAGAGTTTTCAGAGCTGCAAGGGGAGTTCAAACATTATCCAGTCCTCTTGCCCATTGTACAGAGGAGAAAACTGAGCTTCAGAGAAAATAAGAGTATATTCCATAGTAGTTAAGACCGAGGGCTTTGGAGCCAGTCTGAACTTGGTTGTAACCCCAGCTCTACAACTTGCTTGCTCTATAACCTTGAATTTGATCTCCACAAGTCTCTATTTTCTCATTTGTAAAATGTATACGAGAAAATGTCCCTCATATGGTTTGTAAGGTTCACATGCGATAAGGAAGTAAATAAAGCACTTAACATAGGAATTAAACAATTTGTGGTAAACATTATCACTATAATTACATAATTTGGCCGAAGTCATCCAGAGAATTCATATCCGACGCAGAACTCAAATTCAGTTCTTTCAACTCCTAGAGCAGTGTTCACTTTCTAATGATCAAAAGGACCTTCAAAGTGAGTCACTTTCTTTATCATTTAGGAATTTCATTCATCTACTAATACCAGTGGCTTAGAGAAATTAGGGTTGTATTCTTTTGTCAACCTAAATAACAAAGAGAAGTTCTCTAAAAGAAAAGGTGTTTATTTGGGAATAGGCATTGCAATGGAAATACATATGCCATAGTAAACTATGTATGTATTCAGGGAGGTATGGGAAGACAAAGGTTTTTAAAGGAGAAAATGAGGAGAATTGCATAACTGTTTTGAAATAATTATCCTTGGCTACAAAGACCAACGACAAGGATGATGCCAGTCCGAGGTTAAACAGGCAGTTGCTGGGCAGATGTCCTTGCGGAAGGATTTTTTTGTGTGTAAAGTTACAATGCCCTTTGCACAAGGTTGTGGTTTTTACAGTCTTCTGTGATAGCTTTTGTTATCAGGCATATACGCATGAGAAACCTCTCTACATAGCCTTCTCTGGCTCTATATGTTAGATTTTTCTTGATATTAATTAATGACTCCATTTTCATCTTAAGAACTTTCACACCCCCACATAAAGTAAAACCAAAGGTAAGTAGTAGATGATTGGTAAGGAAGCACCATGAATCCAGACTTCTCTATTTTTCTGCCATCCTGAGCTGTTTGTTTTTATCCTCAAGGTCGCAAGATAGTTGCTGTGGCTCCAGCCATCAGGAGGAAATGGAGTGGAAAGGGGCAATGGGGCATACCTTCGAGTATAGTTAGCCCCCTTTAAAAAGATCCCCTAGAAGCTCCATTCTGTGGCTTTTGCTCCTAATTGGAAGCCCTGGATGCAAGGAAAGCTGGACAATGCCTTATAAAGCCAGAGTTTTGTTGACAAAGAAGGGGAGAGTGAATACTGTAACAGCAATGAACAATCTTAGCCTTTCAGCCACACTCTCCGAGATAATGGGGTGTCACCCTTCACATCTGCCTCCCACCCAGGACCTCTGGAGGAGTCTCTGAGTGTTCCCCATTTATGCCTCTGGCTGCCCAGTGTCCCAGCCTGGTCCAGGATCAGTGTCTTACTGCCCCACAACACCTGGCCGATGCTTTGTTGCCACTCACTGACAAGGACTTTGTGCAAAGGCAAAAGTGCACAAAGGAGGGGCTGCTGGGGGAGAGCCCTACCTTGCCCACAGCTTTCCTTGGTGTCTATGAGTTTAGAGGTTGAGTTCTTTTTTATTCTCTGTGATTAGAGCCAATCTGAATAACGCAAAGCAAACATCTTTGTGAGTCATTTTGTAAGGAAAATTTTGCCTCTTCTGCCCCAAACTCTCCAAAGATACTCTGTTTCTTTCATAGTAAGAGCCAGAATTCTTGTTCTGACCTGCCAGGCCCTAGAAAATCTCCCCTGGGCACCTCTTTAGCTTCTCCCCTTTACTGTGCTCCTGCCACCACAGCCTCCTTGCTGTTTCTCAAACACGGCAGGTACACTCCAGGCTCCCAGGGCCTTAGGACTTGCTATTCTCTTGCCTGGAATGCTCTGTCCCTCAGCACCCAAACGGTTCCTCCTTCACCTCCTGTAAGGCTTTGTTTAAATGTCATCTTCTTTTTTTTTTTTTTTTTTGAGGTGGAGTCTTGCTCTGTAGCCCAGGCTTGGTGTGATCTCAGCTCACTGCAACCTCCACCTCCCAGGTTCAAGCAATTCTCCCACCTCAGCCTCCCAAGTAGCTGGGATTACAGGCACCTGCCATCATGCCCAGCTAATTTTTGTATTTTTGTAGAGACGGGGTTGCACCATGTTGGCCAGGCTGGTCATGAACTCCTGACATCAGGTGATCCACCTGCCTTGCCCTCCCAAAGTGCTGGGATTACAGGCGAGAGCCACCGCACGTGGCCAAATGTCACCTTCTCAATGAGGCTGCACTGACCAGTCTTTAAAACCATATCTCCCTAGGCACTCCCAAACCCTCCTCTCACTTCCCGTAGCACTCTTCACCTCCTAACTTTCCATGCGCTTCATTTATTTATGTTTGTCATATTGCCATGTAATGGGTTTCTTAGCCTATTTATTTATGTATTATGAGGGAAGAAAGTTCTGTCTGTTTGGTTCACAGCTGCACCCTCAGCATGTAAATAAGAGCCTGACACATGAAGCAAATTCTTAACTATCTGTTGAATAAGTTTAGCACATATAAACGTAGCTCAGTCTTGGGACAAATTAGAATCTCCAATCAAAAAAGGCAATTGACAAGAAAGGAATAGATAAGCATCTGAAGTAACCAGCAATAAAAACAGATCATCTATATAAAGTCAGATCAAGAAAATGGTCATCTTAGAGAAGACACAGAAAATTAATGATCTGGATTTATGGTACTGCTTTCCCACCAAGATGAGTAAACACATTAGCTATCCACTCTCTAGGTAAATGTTATCACACCCATTCAGAGGAAGGGGATGCTAAGACCCAGGAATGGTCAGTCCAGTATCTCCTATGGTCCTACTAAATGACCCAGCGTCTTAGATCCTGGCTCAAGATCCCATAGCCTAAAAGAAAGTGGGCTTCTGTCCCAAACTGGCTGCCAACAGGACAATTGTTCATTTTCTTTCTCCTTCAACTTTCTGTTGACTGTGTCCCCGCTCCTAAGCTGCTCATTTACTCGGTGGCTTCCACAGGCATCCCTTTACCTATGTGTGGGCACTTTTCAAAATAAGACTACCTTGTGGCTGAAAGCACTCAAAAGGACTTAATCAGAAAATAAACAGCCATGCCCCCTCCCTTCATATGCCTCAATACTCACATTTGAGGGATGCCCAGGTGATGAGAGAATTAAATCTCTGTCCCTAAGTCAGCTAGAAATCGGTTTTTTCTTCTCTTGCTGAAAAATTAGAAAGTGATTTTGAAAATGCAATGCAGAGAAAGCAGTCTCTCTTTTCCTCTCTCCTCTAGCCATGGAAATATCCACTACCAGAGCTTGATTAATGTTAAATATGACCTTTCGCAAAGTTTCTTGGCAGTTAATTTATGATACTTCCAGATTCTAATGTATCAGGCAGTGGCTGTTTATGCGTTTGATGAAGTAGTCTTTGTCCAGAGTTGATATGTTTTACCAGAACTTCTGTAGCTCACTTTTCCTTTCTCTCTCTTGCTGTTTCAATCTCTCTTTCAGTCTTTGTGCTTGGATATTTAATCAATTTGACTGGGAAGAAAACATGAATATATTTATGAATTCTCAGTCCCTAAGTTGTCATGTACACTGTATTAGCTTATTACTGTATCTCCGAGATAATTCTTCCCTCTCATCTCCCTACACCTGTGCTTTTGAGTTCAGGGAGATCTCAGCTCAACCAAAATTACTTTTAATGTTTGGTTTGCTACAAGAGCTGCTTTGAGGGTTTCTGTCTTGAACAGGTGTATCTTCTCTTTGCATGCTTATTGCTTTTGCCTTTCTTCTTCACTGTCTCTGAAAAAAAGAAATCTAGTGAACTAGACTTGAGCCCCAAGAGGTTGTTACAGCCCAAGAATGTAACTAAGCTTAATGAGTGGAGGAGAAGCCAACAAATGGGTGCCTGGGATGCAAGGAACTCAGGGTGCTTCACCTTAGAAAGTACATGACGATAGTCAACTACCACATGAAAGTTCCAGGATATCAGAGATTTTAGCTTTTCTTTTCCAGAAACTAGAATGGTGCTTGGCACATAGTAGGTGCATAACTTTTGTGGAAAGAAAGAAGGAAAGTGAGATAGCAAGCAAGGGAAGGAAGACCGCAGTCTCTAATACAATGACCCTTAAATCCTTTACTAGAGTTTGAGCCCATGAGGCCATTTTTGGATTTTTATAATAAAAGCCCAGGGAACTGCCAGAATCTTCTTACCATTCTTTTCTTTGCCACTACCTGAGAAACTGTTATAGGTGCTGAGAACACCTTTCCCTGAGTCCTGCAGCTCCCTCTACACTGTCAAACCAGGTGTGTGCACTTGGACCAGCATCTTCAAATCTTTAAATGCATCACGAATGGCTTTAACTACAACAGTGAGGACGGGAAGAGACCAGCAACCAGAGCAGAGCAAAAACTCCATTAAGTTGCATCAAAGGCCCAGGTGAAGCAAGAGAACATAGATTGATGAGAGCTATGTGATTACTCCAAAAATACTCTGCAACCTGGAGAAAGAGCAGGGGAAAGGGACAAATAAGTTTCCCAAGGTTAGGAGTCAGCCAAGTAGATGCAACATGAGCTCAAGAGGAAAAAGGAATGGGTAGAACCAGAAAAAAATGTGGGATTCAGGCTGTAAACAGAGGTGGAAGAAACCAAGGGCTGCATGGGCTCTGTTAGCATTTGGTCTACAAGTTTTATTTTATATTTGGAAATATATAAATCATTGATGAGATGTTTTATTTTCTAGCCATTTGGGCATCAATTACACACATCGCAATTTTCTTTGTCCTCCCAAGGAGAAAACTGAATGGAGCCAGGCAGAGCTGCCATTCGCATCACACACCTTTGGAGGCTACCCACACAGTGTGACAGTTGCATCCCAGGACTCTAGAGCAGTAAGCCTCACTTGTGAGACAAAGAGACAGATGTCACTTCTACAGTGTGATTTGAAGGGCAACAGGAAATCTGTGTAGCCTCCCTACCCCATGCCTTCTGTCAGCCTTCCATTGTGCCTAAAATTTCCCTATTATTCACTGCTTAGATTTACTGTACAGAAATACTAATAAAGCACAAATGTTACCTGGAGATGTCACGCAGCTGAAGCAGTACAAAAAACTTGAAAGTCGGACCAAGCTAGGGTCAGATCCCAGCTCTCACTCCATAGCAGTGGGATACCTGGCAAATTACTTAGCATCGCAAAGACTCTCTATCCTTATTTATAAAAATCTGAACTCTACCTACATTATAGGGTCATCATAAGGATAATTTGACTGACATGTATAGAGCAACTACCACAGAAACTGACACCTACTGGGGGCCCAAGAGATGTTCCTTCTTTTTATCTTTATCTATGAAAACTGGCATGGTGGGAAAAGCACTGGACAAGAGTCAAGGGTCATGGGTTCTAGTCCATGCTGTTCCACTAAGGAGCTGTGTGACCTTGTTAAGGTCACTTTTCTTCTCTGGGCTTGAGTTTCCCAGGGGCTTGAACTGAATTTATTCATTCAAAAAATGTTATTGAGCTCCCAGTATGTGCCAGGAGCTGTTAATCTGCTTGCATGATGAATAAATGAATAAACATGTATGTGAAATCATGGTAAGCAATAGACAGATAATTAAAATGTAGTCTTATGATGGAGAGGTCCTGGGTAGCTATTTCAGATGGAGCACTCAGGGAAGACCTGTGTGAGGGGGTGAATTTTATACTGAGATCTCCAATGACAAGAAGGAGCTAGCCATCGAAATCTCAAGGGGAGATGCTACGATGCTGTGCTGGCAGAGGAAACAGCAAATGCAGAGTCTCCCTCAAAAGAAGCAAGCTTGGATGACTTCCAAAGTCTTTTCTAGGCCCAATAGCCTTTATCTTGTGTTCGCTGTGGTCAGGATGTGACTTTTGGGTATGATACTAGGATAAGTCAAATGGCAGTCCTTTTATGGGCTGATCACTGTCAGTAAGAGGTAGATCGTGATGCAGTTAGACTAGTTATGCTAGGGGCCAGCTGAGCAAGGGAAAATCATAACCCAGACTGGAAAGAGAAAAGTACAGCTAAAAAAGCAAAGACGTCATTGGGCTATAAAGAATATTGTAGAGACTGGGGCCAATTTCCTTTCAAAGCACCCAGCAGGATCTTATCATAAGACAGTGACAGAGAAACAATGACAGAAGTTTGCTTCTTGGACAGTTGGACACTTTTTTGAAGCTCCTTTACAGCAGCTGAAGAAGGGCAGAACTAAGTCAGGAAGAACATTCCTAGGTGAACTTAGAAATAAGCGTCTGGGCTAGAAACATTCTGGTCTCAGATGACAGAATTGAGATATTCATTCATTTCCCTCACTCATTCACTCATTCAACAAATATTTATTGAGGGCCCACTCTTCTAGGCCATGCTTTTATAGCTGGAGCTACGGCATTGAAGAAAGCAGACAAAAACCCCTAGAAAAGTCCTTACATTCTAGCAGGGAAGATAGAAATTGAGAGGTCAAGATCTTTAACCTGAACAAGCTTAGACTTTTTATTTGCTCTAAATACTGAGTGCCCAGTCTGTGCCTAGTGGTGGGTTAGTTGCTGGGTACTGTGCTGACCACACCTGGTCACGCAAACACATAATAACGTACATTGATAGAAAGTTTTACTGCCCTCAAACCACTGATCTCCTTTCATCCTCATGCCACCCTACAAGCTCTGAAAGGCAAAGGGGTTTGCTCAGGCTCACCATACTGAGCATCTGGACTGCATCCCAGGTCATCTTGCAGTCTAGAGCTCTTTCAATTATATCATTTTGTTGCTTACTATAGCAGATGTTTTCCTTCTGTTGAACTAACCTATAGGCACCTTCCCAGACATTATATTGGAAGCAAGAATTGTGAAGAGGCAGGACCTGAGAGAATTCACTCTGTTGATGTGTAGCAGCAGCTACTCCCAGGTTCCCAGGGCAGCATCCAGTGTCGGAGGTGTCTGCAGGGCAATCACAGCATCAGTGCTGGACTGCAGCAACAATGGTGTCTTCACTGCCTTAGTTTTGTTGCATGATTAGGAACATTGCTTCCAGGTGTGTAGCCCACAATGCAGGTACTCTAGGCCTCCTGAAGATATTCTGAACTACCAATACTCATTTTAATAAATTCTTTTTTGTGCGTTCTTAAATCAACCAGATTTGGTTTATGTTGCCTGAAATACACACTGTGACTGCTATACTTACAAAATCCTTTGTCCTCATTTACCAGCAGGATAGGCTAAGTTTTCTACAGTTTAAAAAAAAAAAAATCCCTAGTGGCTTAAAACAATATGGCTTCTCTCCTGCTCATAGTTCTATTGCATCCCAGGTTGACTGGATTTTTCCAAATAAATGTTTAAATATTTTGAACTAAATGAAAATGAAAATACAACTGATCAAAATTTATGGGATGCAGCAAAAGTGGGGTTTTGAAGAAATTTTCTAACATTGAATCACACATTAAAAAAGAAAAAAGATCTAAAATCAATCATTTAAGCTTCTACCTTAGGAAATTAAGGAAAAAATAGAAACATAAACCCAAAGAAGCATAATACAAAATAATAATATTAGAGCAGAAATCAATGGAAGTTGAAACAAGAAGTCAATAGAGAAAAATCAACAAAATCAAAAGCTAGTTTTTTCACAAGATCAGTAAAATTGATAAACCTCTAGTCAAGTTACAAATTACTAATATTGGAAATAAAAGAGGAGCTACTTCTACTGATCTCATGATCATTAAAAGCATAATAAAGGCTAGTTTAAAAGTATAATCATAAGCGCCTCTGCCCAGCTGCCCACTGTCTGGGAAGTGAGGAGCACCTCTGCCCAGCTTCTGCCCTGTCTGGGAAGTGAGGAGCGTCTCTGCCCAGCTGCCCACCGTATAGGAAGTGAGGAGCGTCTCTGCCCGGCCGCCGCCCCATCTGGGAAGTGAGGAGCGCCTCTTACCGGCCACCCCATCTGGGAAGTCAGGAGCGCCTCTGCCCGGCCGCCGCCCCATCTGGGAAATGAGGAGTGCCTCTGCCCGGCCGCCGCCCCATCTGGGAACTCAGGAGCACCTCTGTCCAGCCGCCGTCCCGCCTGGGAAGTGAGGAGCGCCTCTTACCGGCCACCCCATCTGGGAAGTCAGGAGCGCCTCTGCCCGGCCGCCGCCCCGTCTGGGAAGTGAGGAGCGCCTCTGCCCGGCCGCTGTGCAACCTTCCAAGTGTGAAGTGACAACCTTGTGTGTGATCTTTTCTGTCCTCCCCAGGTTTGCACTTTCGACATTAAAGTTTACTTTTTAGTTAAAAAAAAAAAAAAGTATAATCAAAAGCTAATTTTTTTCAAAAGATGAGTAAAATTGATAAACCTCTAGTTAAACTGCAAATTACTAATATTAGAAATTAAAGAAGAGCTATTTCTACTGATCCCATAAACATTAAAGGTATAATAAAGGAATATAAACAACTCTATGCCTACAAATTTGATAAAATATATGAAATAGGCCAATCCCTTGATGGGAATAAATTACCAAAACTCACACGAGGAGACATAGAATATGAATAAACCTATATCTATTAAAGAAACTGACTCAATAATTAATAACCTTCCAAAAAAAGAAAATACCAGGTCCAGATGGTTTTACTAGTGAATTCTACCAAACATTTAAGGGAGAAATCATACCAATTCTCTATTATCTCTTTCAGAAAATAGAAGCAAACAGAACATTTTCTAACTCATTCTATGAGGTCAGCATTGTCCTAATATCAAAACAAACCAGTGAAAGTCATTATAAGAAAGAAAAACTGCCGGGCGCAGTGGCTCACGCCTGTAATCCCAGGACTTTGGTAGGCTAAGGCGGGCGGATCACGAGGTCAGGAGATCAAGACCATCCTGGCTAACACAGTGAAACCCCGACTCTACTAAAAATACAAAAAATTAGCCGGGCGCGGTGGCGGGCGCCTGTACTCCCAGCTACTCCGGAGGCTGAGGCAGGAGAATGGCGTGAACCCGGGAGGCGGAGTTTGCAGTGAGCAGAGATCGTGCCACTGCACTCCAGCCTGGGCAATAGAGCAAGACTCTGTCTCAAAAAAAAAAAAAAAAGAAAAGAAAGAAAGAAAGAAAAACTACAGGCCAATATTTTTCATGAACCCAGATGTAAAAATTCTCAGCCAAATATTGGTAAATCAAATCCAACAATGTAGAAAAAGAATTATACACCACGACAAATGAGATTTATTCCAGGTATGCAAGGCTGGCTCAACATTCAAAAATTACTTCAGGCCGGGCATGGTAGCTCACGCCTGTAATCCCAGCACTTTGGGAGGCTGAGGCGGGCGGATTGCTTGAGGTCAGGAGTTCAAAATCAGCCTGGCCAACGTGGTGAAACTCCGTCTCTACTAAAATACAAAAATTAGCCGGGCGTGGTGGTGTGTGCCTTTAATTCCAGCTATTCGGGAGGCTGAGGCAAGAGAATCGCTTGAACCTGCGGTGCAGAGGTTGCAGTGAGCCGAGATTGCACTGCTGCACTCCAGCTTGGGCGACAGAGTGAGACTCAGTCTCAAAAAATAAATAAATAAACAAAAATCACTTCATGCAATCCATCACCTCAACAGGCTAAAGAAGAAAAATATATAATCATATCAATAGATGCAGAAAAAACATTTGACAAAATCAAACACCCATTCATGATTTAAGGAAAAAAATCAGTGGACTAGGAATAGAAAGAAACTTCCTTACCTTAATAAAGAAAGTCGCCTGGCTACCCTCGAGGCCGCTGAAGGTCAGCGCAGTCGTGGCGTTCTCCACGCCGGCTGCCTGCCTGACCCATCAGCAGAAGGTGTTGAGGCTTTAAAAGTGGGTGCTGTGCCACCTCGAGTTGTGTTGCATCCACAGGGACAAATACCGATACTTTGCTTGTTTGATGAGAGCCCAGTCTGAAGAACATACGAACGAAAAGGATATGATGAAGGCCATCCGGCTGCTGAAGGAGGCTGAGGAAGAATTCTGGTACCATCAGCATCCACAGCCATGCATCTTCCCTGACTCTCCTAGGGGTACCTCCTATGTGACACACGAGTGCTACAAGGTCCCAGAATGGTGCTTAGATGACTGGCATCCTTCTGAGAAGGCAATGTATCCTGATTACTTTGCCAAGAGAAAACAGTGGAAGAAACTGCGGAGGGAAAGCTGGAAAAGAGAGGTTAAGCAGCTGCAGGAGGAAACGCCACCTGCCGGAAAGGAAGGTGATTTGCCCCCACTGTGGTGGCATATTGTGACCAGACCCTGGGAGCAGCCCGTGGAGAGAGAGAGAGAGAGAGAGAGACCTCCTCTTTCATGCTTGCTAGTGAAATACGTTACAGAACATACACTTGCTCTAATAAAAAATCAGTGAAATGGAAAAAAAAAAAAAAAGAAAGCTTGCCAACCCCTACAGCTAATATTATATTTAATGATGAAACTAGATGGTTTCCCCTGAAAATCAGAAACAAGGAAAGGAGGTTTCCTCTCACCACCCTATTCAGCATCATACTAGAAGTCCTAGCTAAGACAGTAAGATAAGAAAAGAACAAAAAAATTAAACAGATAAAGAAGGAAGAAATAAAACTGTCTTTGTTTGCAAATGTGATGATTGTCAATGTTGAAAATTCCAAAGAACTGACCAAAAAACAAAAAAAAAGTCTTGAAATCAAAAAGCAGTTACAGCAAGATTGTCGATACAAGGCTAATATACAAAATTTAATTGCTTTCCTATATACCCACAAGGAAAAAATGGATTATAAAATTAAAAATTCATCACTTATGTCAGCACCAAAAAATTGAAATACTTAGGTTCTAATCTAACAAAATAAATATAGAATCTATTTGGGGAAAACAATACAAGTCTGATAAAAAATCAAATATCTAAATAAATGGAAATGTGTTCCATGTTCATAGATAGGAAGACCCAATATTGTTAAGATGTCAATTTTTTCCAACTGATCTATAGATTGAATGCAGTCTTAATCAAAATCCTAACAAGTTATTTTGTGAAGATCAAAAAAAGATTTAAAGTTTATATGGAAAGGCAAAAGACAAAATAATCAACACAATACTGAAGAAGCACAAAGTCAAAAGGCTGATATTACCTGACTTTAACACTGCTAATAAAGGTACAGTAATCAAGACAACATGATATTGGAGGAACAATAGAAGAATAAATCAGTGGAACATAAAAGAGTCCAAAACAGACCCACATAATACAGACCACCTATCTTTGACAAAGGAGCAAAGGAGATTCAATGAGGAAATAGTAGATTTTTAGGCCAAGCGTGGTGGCTCACACCTGTAATCCCAGCACTTTGGGAGGCTGAGGTAGGAAGATGGCTTGAGCCCAGGAGTTTGAGACCAGCCTGGGCAATATAGTGAGACCGTGTATCTACAAGGTTTTTTAATTAGCCAGGCATGGTAGTACACACCTGTAGTCCCAGCTACTCAGGAGGCTGATTTGAGAGAATCACTTGAGCCTGGGAGGCAGAGGCTGCAGTGAGCCGACACCACACCACTGCACTCCAGCCTGGGCGACAGACTGAGAATCTGTCTCAAAAAAAAAAGAAAAAAAAAAAAAGATATCGTAGATTTTTAAATAAATGGTACTAAAACATTGGATATCCTTAGAAAAAGAATAATCTAGACACAGACCTTCCTTCTACTTTTCACAAAAAATTAACTCAAAGTGGATCATAGACCTGAATGTAAAACTATAAAACTTCTAGAAGATAATGTAGAAGAAAATCTAGGTGACCTTGGGTTTGGAGATTAGTTTTCAGATTAAAAAAAAAAAAGAGGAATACAGAAAAGAAAAAATATTGGCAACTTAGATTTTATTAAAATTCAAAACTTCTGCTCTGCAAAAGAAACTTTTAAGAGAATGAAAAGACAAGCCACAGACTGGAAAAATATATTCACAAAACACATATCTGATAAAGGCCTTGTAGCCAAAAGGGGAAAAAAATCCTTAAAACTCAATAATAAGAAAATAAACAACTCATTTTAAAAACTGGCAAAAGACCCGAACAGATACCCCACCAAAAAAGATACACAGATGGCAAACAAGTATATGAATAGATGCTCAACATCATATGCCATTAGAGAAGTGCAAGTTAAAACAACGAGATACCACTAAAAACCTATTCTAATGGAAAAACAAACCTGACAATACCAAATATTGGCAGGAATATTATTCAGTGGCAATGCAAAATGGTGTGGCCACTTTGAAAGATAATCTGGTGGTTTCTTACAAGGCTTAAACATAGTGTTGCCATACAATCCAACAATCACACTCCTAGGTATTTACCCAACTGACTTGAAAACTTTGCCCACATAAAACCTAAAAACAAATGTTTATAGAAGTTTATTCATAACTGCAAAAACTGGAAGCAACCAAGGTGTAACTCAATAGGTGAATGGATAAGCAAACCATATTCTATACAATGAATATTATTCAGTGACAGGAAGAAAGTCCTATCAACCCATGAAAATATATAAAAGAAATTTAAATGTGTATTGCTAAGTGAAGCCAGTCTGAAGGGGACACATACTGTATGATTCCAACTATATGACGCTCTGGAAAATGGAATACTATATAGACATTAAAAAGTCAGTGGTTGCCAGGGGTTCTGGGTAGGGGAGGGATTAGCTAGTGAAGCACAGAAGATTTTTAAAGCAGCAATAGGATTCTGTATACTATAATTATGGGTATATGACATGCATTTGTTGAGACTCACAGAATTGTACAATGCAAAGAGTGAACCTCTATGTAAACTATGAACTCTAGTTAATAATAATATATCAGTATTGGTTCATTAATTGTGACAAATATACTACACTAATGTATGAAGTTAATAATAGGGAATATGTCAGTAGGGGAGATACATGGAAACACTGAACTGTCTGCTCAATTCTTCTGTAAATCTTTTTTTTAAGACAAAATCACACTGTTATTCGTGTTAGAGTGCAAATGAAGCAGCATGATCATAACTCACTATAACTCAAACTCCTGATCTCAAGCAATCTTCCTGCCTCACCCTCCTGAATAGCTAGGACTACAGGCACATGCCACCACATCCAGCTAATTTTCTTTCTATTTTTTGTACAGATGGGTCTCACTATTTTGCCCAGGCTGGTCTTAAACCCCTGGCCTCAAGGGATCCTCCTACCTCAGCCTCCCAAAGCACTGGAATTATAGGCATGAGCCGCTGTGCCTGGCCATTCTGTAAATCTAAAACTGTGCTAAAAAATAAAGTTCATTAATTTAAAAAAAAAAACTTAATGGTTTAAAATAACAATGGTTTATTTCTTGATCACACTTTATGTTCATGCCAAAATTGGCTGCTTTTTCCTTATTCAGGAAACTGGTACAGACTTATTCAGGGGCAGCCTGGTTGATGAAAATCTCGTCTTGAATATCACCAGTCTTCATGAAAGAGTGGAGAAATCGTTCAATCATTCTTAAATATGATGCACCAGAGAAGGCACATTGCTTCTGCTCACATTTCATTATGAGTAAGTCATCCAGCCACACCTAGCTTTAAAAGTGGTAGGAATGCAATTTTATCATGTGCCCAGAAAAAGAAAAATCCAAATTCTAGTCATTAGTCCTAATGACTACCACCCCTTGTTTCCTAGTTCCTTCTCCTGGTCCAACATCATCACGAGGACACTTGTGCACAGGACACTTTTGCGCCAGCACATAGAAACACATTCTGGCTGCTCAGAGGCAAAGGCTCTCCAAGCCCACTGATCCTTGCTAGTGTCATTGATATATCTCGAGCAAGCTCCACCTGCTTAATTGCTTCTTCACTCTGAAATCCCTCCTGAAAAACCTAGCGCTTTTATGAAGTTCTTCCTTGGCTTCATACCCTCAGTATCAATTTACAAGAGGGAAAAAGTCCAAAGAGAAACAGAAGAAACATTGGGAAAAGTATGCCTCAAAAAGCCTTTGTAGGTAAGCAGATCAAGGACCTCTGTACCAGCTTTCACTCCATTGAGTGTTGCTCAGCAAGGGGCTTGACCTGTCTCTTCACCTGCCACCACAAAGGCAGATGGCAGGCTACAAAGGACACATTCATTGTAAAGAATTATAAAGTCTCATTCTGTTCACAGTGGCCAAGAATGCCTTGAGCATTCAAAACCTGAGATGTGTGGAAGAAAAAGTGTGACAAGGACTACTTGATTTGCATGTGACAAATTTAACTCAAACCAGCTTAAGCACAAAGAGAATGCCAAGAATTCCTGTCCAGATTCAGAATTAAGGAATTAATTTGAAAAATATCATTAGATCTCTATCTCTATCTCTCTCTCTCTCTCTCTCTCTCTCTCTCTCTCTCGCTTTTCTGAGTTGATTTTATTCTCAGGCAATTTTCTCCCGCATGCTAAAAAATTCGCTTAGGGTGTGATATGGTTTGGCTGTGTCCCCACCCAAATCTCATCTTGAATTGTAGCTCCCATAATCCCCATGGGTCATGGGAGGTACCTGGTGGGAGGTAATTGAATCATGCAGGCAGGTTTTTCCCATGCTGATTTCATGATAGTGAATATGTCTCATGGGATCTGATGGTGTTATAAAGAGCAGTTCCCCTGCACATGCTCTCTTGCCTGCTGCCATGTAAAACGTGTTTCTGTTCTTCCTTCACCTTCCACCATGATTGGGAGGCCTTCCCAGTCATGTGAAACTGCAAGTCCACTAAACCTCTTTTTCTTTATAAATTATCCAGTCTCAGGTATTTCTTGAGAACAATATGAAAATGGACTAATACAGGGAGTTAAATCTATCCCAAACTTTCAGAAAGTTAGCTCTTTCAGGAAGAGAGAGACAGAGACAGAAGCACAGAGAGAAAAAGAATACCTCTGCCACTGGTCCCAGCAAAGTCCTGGAAGAATGCTGAGGATTCTAGTTGATCAACCCCAGGTCACATAGGCCTCCTTGAACTGATTGCATGGTCACTGTAGCTTGGTCCTATAGCATCAATATGGAATAGACTTCTTGTTGGAAAAAGATGTTTCTGTTTCCAGAGAAAAGGAGGAGAGGAGAGCTACAACTACCAGAGCCAACAACAGTAAGGGGACAGAATCAAGTAAGCACACAATCATGTGCAAGCACGTACATACTCGCATTCAGGCAGCCCTTCCATCATCAGACTGCCCATCTTAGAAACGGGTTATGGTTCCAGGATTGTCTAAGGCTGAAGACGATAGAACCGCTCCTCCAGAGCTATAGCCCTGCTGCCTTCCTCCACGAAGATGGGACTTGCCTGTGCTCGCTCTTCCAGTGTCTCCCTGGTTGAACACCTCCCTTAGTAATTTGCATACCAACCTCGCACCCCACAAGAGCCTGTGGTTATCTTGAGGAAAATAATGGTTTCTGTTTTTCTTTGCATTCTATCACATGGTCCAGGGATAGTCTTTCAGCCAGTATTGAATGAATGTCTGTATCTCTGGATGCATAAATGGACAGAATAAAGAGCTTCTAAGAAAGTAGAATATACAGTCCCTGACTCTGGGATCTTTTTACTCTGTCAAGGACAATTAGAATACCTCTTAACATAACAGAACAGATTTAAATAAAAGCCACAAGAATAAATTAACTCCATAAGATTTGAATCAGATAATGATCAGAGGATGCCAAGTAAAAGTGTAAACAAAGTCAGGCTTCCACAGTTATCAAGTGCACTTGGAGACAGCTCTTCTTTCTTATTATTTGTGCTCAAATCTTATTCGTGTCAGTAATGTGATTCTCAAATGGGAGGGACACATGGTGAATGCAGAGAGCAGCTTGGATTGGAAGAGCCCATGGTGCTTTATTAGTACAGAGGAACAAACCCTAGGGTTCTGATTCCTGCCCAGGCCTAGAAAAGTCTACCCCTCTTTCCTGGCCACCAGTATCCCACTAATCCCAACAGTCCTCCATCTGGGAGTAGGTAATTTCTCCATTTGCAGAGAATAAGAGTCCTTCCCATCCTTCCTCCTCTGACATATGCAGACTACACATTAGCATGGTAATGTCTCATGCCATTAGTGAGTAACGTGCTGAATAATTAGGCTATGAAAATCTAACGGCAGGGATTTTTGTTTTATTAGCAATTTTCCATCCTATTGTGTTAATTTCATCTCATGTCAGCTGGCTTTCTAAGTAAACAATGATCACAGGCAGACATCAGTTCTCAGCACATTGTGCTGCCGTGGGTGACTTAACAGACCAGGAAATGGCTTAAGTTGCCTTTTGTCTTGCAGTCTCTGCCTTCTGTTGATGTCACAAGATCTCTAGTCCCTGGTTTCTTATGACCCTAGAATATTCATTTCCTCTTTGTGTGTGTCTTTCTCTGCCTGTCTGTTCTCAATCTATCTCAATATCCTTCTTGCTCATCTTTGTTTTTCTTCTCCCTCTTTTATGCCATCTCCTCTCCAATACCTCTGTGTGCCTACCTGTAATGACATTGCACTTTTCAATACCATTTTATTTTCAAATAATTCTCACATCCATCTTGCATCTTCTGCCCCCACTTCATTTTTCCATATACCTTCTTTAATGTCTCTCACTTTCCTCCCCAATTCATCTGCTTTTCTTTCCACTTGACTATCTTCTCAGCATTCCTTCCTTCACCTCCTGTACTCTTCATTTGGCCTAGCTCCTGGAGTGCTATCTTTCAGCCTCTCACCACCCTCCATCCCCCACCCCTCCATACACACACACACACACACACACACACACACACACACACACACCTCATTTTCTCCTTCCTGCTCACCAAGATTCCTGGCTGACAGGTGATTAATATTGGGCCCAGGCATGCTGGAAAGTTTAATGCTTTTTCTGTGATATCCCCACAGTCATGAAACATCTGCAAGTTTCTCCCAGAGCTGAGAAAAAGTTCTGTTACTTAATACATTGTTGTTGTCCAAATTACAAAAGCACCTGCCAAGTCTCTAAGAAAGATCATGGAGAAAGGTATTGGCAGCATTTACCTGGGTCACCACATGGACAGAGTTGATGAAGAAGGGTCATTCTTGATCAAAAGCTCTTCTTTCATTCTGTTCCTTTCTGTCTGATTCCAGGAGAGGAGGAACCTGGATTCCCCCAAGGCAGGATCATGTTTACTGACTCTATCCAAATATCCAGGCCAAAGAACTAGAACAATGAGGTAATATCTCCTTCAAAAAAAGATATGGCTAAATGTCAATAACTCAAGCACTCAAACTATGCATCCACAGAAGACCAATAACCCAACAGGCTGCTGTCTGGGGCAGCAGTTGGGGACAAGCCAAAGCAATGTATAATTTTTATAATTAACCCACAAAATGTAACATAGTTGCCCTTCCTGCTAAGGGCCATAAATATTGTCCCTTTGATTTTATTCACCCTTGCCTCCTCATCATTCAGCCACATATCCCCACCCCTCCTCTATAATGCTCAACATATAGATGGCTATTTGATGTCTCAAAAAATCAACCGGCTTAATAAATGAGATTTTAGCCCTGAAAATACTGTCATGACTCCGATGAAAAAGAGATCCAGAAGAGGATACAAGAAGCTTTTGAAAAGCGCCAAGGCCCAAAATGATCTGAGATATTTGCAAATCGGTCCCGTACCCACAACTGTGCAGCAGTGAGAATTACAAAAGAGATTGGAGAATAATTTCTGTGATCTCAAGAAAACGTTGATTAGACAAGAAAATAGGATTAACTCTTAGATTGTGTGAAATAAGCTACACATATAACACATGCATTTTAAAAAAGATAGCTAATGTAGCTCCATGAAATCAAAGGTGATTTAAGGCAGATTTTAAACATTCCTGCGTAGAGAAATAAAACAATCAAAGCACAAATGTGGAAATGTGAATGGCCTGGGATCACAGAAAAGGCAGCTTTGCTGCTATGAGCAATGGACACTACTCCACTCCTGGGCACTTCCAGCTGCTGCCCCGGCACAGCGACCTCTCCAGCATCACGCCAGGACTGAACCACTGAAACCATTATGCTTAGTGCACAGTGAACCAACCTTAGAACGAGAAATGGGCAAGCCAATCTCACTTCTGCCACACCTTCTTCCTCTCAGCTCTCATCGCCTGTCCATACCAATATCCTGCATCAGACATACAGACACCCGCCATACTGACTGCTGCACTAGCGAGGATCACCTTGCACAGACGAGTTCACCCTGCATTCAGCACATCAGCATTCAGCACCACGGCCAGTGCCTACGGCAGCAGAAGGGAGCGAAACCCAGAAGGGGCAGCAGAAAATATAATCATTCTCTCAGTAGTCAGCCACAGGGCTCCTATTTCTTTCTCTTGTTTCTGAAGCTTTTTCCCTCTGGGTCCACGCAGGGCTACTGCATCTGGGTATCCATAAAAATTGACTGTGTTGTACTAACATATTCTCTGATTAACTGGTAGGAGAAGAGAAGGGAAAGCACCCCTCCCCTCCACTACATATGTGCATAGATCCCTCCCTCTCTAAGAAGCTGGCTGCATTTGACAAATACTGGAAACTCCTTCCCACCTCCTGCCTTTTAATGACTAAGAGAGCAAGACCTGTAGTCAAGCTGTCTTCTCTAAGCTCGACCGCATGGTAGCTGTATAACCTTAGGCAAGTCACCTGCAAAATGAAGATAAAAATAGTACCTATCTCATCGGCTTTGCTGTTATTATTGTCATGATCGGTGCTGTCATCTGGCCACACTGGTCACCTTGCTGTTGCTTGAACATACTGCTGCCTCAAAGTCTTTGCATTTGCTATTTCCTATGCTTAGAAGCTTTCTCCAAAATAGCCATGTGGCTTGCTCCCTCACTTTCTTCTAATTATCAGTAAGACTTTCCCTGATTATACCCTATAGTACCTCTCTCTCCACCACTCCCTACCTCCCATTCCTGCTTTATTTTTTTTTCCTAAAATGTATTACTTTCTGATATACTAAATATTATTTTTATGTTTGTGTTTTCTCTATCCTCTTTTAGAATGTAAGCTCCATGAAGGCATGAATTATGTTGTGCTCACTTGTATCCCTGGTGCCATTAAACAGTACCTGGCATGTAGCAGGTATTCAAAAACACCAGGTGAATGCAGTGTTATTATTATTATCAAAATGATTATTCTGGGATGATTTTCTCTATTTTATACAGGAGCAAACTGAGACATTTAAAAAATGTGGCCCACCTATAAAATGCAAGCAAGTAGAAGAGCAGAAAATAATGAATTGAGAGCCAACCTTTCAATCTACTCCACCAGAGCAGCCCATAAGCTAATGAAGTGTTCAAAATGCAGCTTGAGAGAAGTTCCCCATACCTTGAAGAGAGCCCTTGGATAACCATTTTCAATCTCCTCCACCCCTCCTCAGAGCCCAGCCTGGGACCCTGTGGAGACTGCTGAAGGTTGGCAAAGCTCTAAATCTTCCCTGGTCCAATGTACATCCCAGAAGGATCCTACTCCCATGGGTCTACCTGGCTTCAGGCCTTTGACATGGGTCTTGGTGAAAGCTAGGCACACTCAGCACTGAGAAGGCCATGCCACCAGTGTTCTAATACATCAGAGTTCATCTCAGCTTCTTCTCCTCCCAACAGAGTCTCATGCTCAGACTCATGCTCTTCCCTCAGCCAGGAGGTTAGCAAGGTGAAGGGCACAGGGCAGGGATCATTCTGAATCTCCTGCAAAAAGACTTTGCTTCCAAAGTGGCCAAAGTCCCCAGTGGAATCTGCCGATGAAGTCCTTGCCTTAGAGTCAGGATTGAGGGAGGAGATTAGCCCGATCCCAGGATGAAGTCACATGAAAACCTCCTGCACCACGACTGTGCCAATGAAGAAGGGCCCCACTGGGGCACAGAAAATTCCAGATTTGTGCTGGCAAAGCCCACCTGAACAGCTATTTTTTTCCCAACACTGAGGCTTGCGGGTGAAATAAGAACACTCGGGACAATACAGGTTAAGGAATAAATGAGAGATAGAAAACTCTGGTTCTGCTACAAGAAGGCCTTTAAAACCAAGCTCAATTCCATAAAAGTGAGTCCTGTGAGAAACATGAAGACAGAGTCACAAACCAGGTCACTATGCGCTAATGAGGAAGTCAAAGGAGAACCTCCATGACCCAAAAGTCACAGGCTCCACATCACACAAAAGAATGGCACACTGCAATTTGTGCAGCACCAACCGGAGAGCTTGTTAAAAATGCAGAATCCCTGAGCTCCACCCCAGACCTGCTGAATCAGGATCTCTGGGGCTGGGCCTGGGAATGGGCATTTTAACATCCTGCCCAAACAAGTTTTGTGCAGGATGAGTTTTGTTTGTTGTTGTTGTTGTTGTTGTTGTTTGAGACAGAGTCTCACTCTGTCACCCAGGCTGGAGTGCAATGGCATGATCTCACCTCACCACAACCTCTGCCTCTCAAGTTCAAGCCATTCTTCTGCCTCAGCCTCCTGAGTAGCTGGGATTACAGGCACCTGCTACCACACATGGCTAATGTTTTATATTTTTGGTAGAGATGGGGTTTCACCATGTTGGCCAGGCTGATCTCAAACTCCTGACCTCAAGTGATCTGTTCACTTCAGCCTCCCAAAGTGCTGGGATTACAGGATTGAGCCACCACACCCAGCCCATGCTGAGTTTTGGAAGCATAAATGCATTGCCCTGTCGAGGCACAGCAATTCAAATCACTCCAGCAAACCTTTGTGAGACCTTCCATGTTTTGGACTCTCTGATAGTGGCTGGACTTCCTGGCAGTTTGGTTGGGAAGAGGGGGTGACTTGGGTATCCTCTTATCCATACAATGGTCAAACAACAACAAAAAACTTTGGGAAGGTTGGGAAGAGCAGCTGAAAAGCTTCATGGATTGGGGCAAAAGAAGAGAGGAGATGCTGCGTGGTGTAGCAGAGAGGCCTGCAGAGTTAGAAATTGGCAAATTATCTGGCCTTGGCCCTTAGGTCAGACTTGGATCTCATCCTCAGAGAACTAGGGTACCCTCAGCGTGGGTGACAGGTGGGTGGGAGGGAGAGGCCAGGTCACTCTGGGAGATTGGTACCAACCTCGTCCCACATCTCAACATGTACATCGCTTTCAAATTTATCTCTTTCTTCCTTCCTACTCAGCTATGTAGAGAATCACAGATGCACAGAAACTTCTGTGTGAAAGGAACTTAGAGGTCAGCCAGCTCAGGCCTCATCCAATATAGTCCTGATGTTTGTCTCTGTTGTCCTTTTCTTTCCTGCTAGTGTGAGGTCTACCCAGGTCATCCAAATAAGATACACACTTGTTTGCATTACTTAGCAGCAAAAAGGTGTTGAGCCATATTCTAGAGGCAGTAAAATCCACAGTGAGGACCTGAATCTATCCAAGGTCTGGCACCTAAATGGCTGATAGAGCTCCCCCACTTCCCCAGGAAGGACTAAAAGGACTGTGTGGAAGTACAGCTTCCCCCAGAGTGTCCTAGGGACATACTGTGTTTCTTTGGATTATTTTGATGTCCTTTAAGCATGCTTTTAAACTTTGCTTCCCAAAAGGTACTAACACTACAAGTGAAGTCATTTCTGATTTTAGCTCATCACCTCTAGCCACTGTCATGAACCCAAGAGGCCTAAATTCAAGATCCTGTATAGTTAAGAAATTTCAATGAAGAAGCAATGGCTTGGGATTAAGAAACCTGCTTTAGCCATTGACATACTATGATCTCCCCAGCCTCTGTATGTGAATCTGGAAAATAGGGCGGGTATGGCAGCTCCAAGTTTGTCGGCAACAGTACATGAAACCATGCATTCTCTACCATCAGAGCTCCCAGAAGAGAGTGCAATATGCATGCCAGGTGGTGTTATTAGTGACATACTCAGGTGCTTTCTACAGTTTGTGATTACTACTAAAGGGTAATAGTTAACTGTGTCACCTTCTCAAGACAACACCAAGCAGAATGTCCTGGCATTAAAGGAATGAGCTGCTGCTCCCATCTTTATCTGGATTTTCAGCATTTGCATTGGCTTGCTGATGACAGCAGATAGTGCTCAGAGAGTTTGTTCCAAGAATATTAATTGGCTTCCCTATTCAGTGATGCTCACTTGCTCACCCCACTCCCTCTCACTCTTGTTCTTTCTGTTTCTCTCTCTTTGTTGAGCTGACACAGGCAACAACTCCTCAAAAGCTGTTTCCTCAAAGCCACAGCAGCAACAGGCAACAGCAGCCTCAAGAGCCTCAGAAGAGGCAGCAGTGAGCAGCATCAAGAGCTTTCCTTCCCTTCATTTCAGGAGGTGAGAGGAGCTATGCCAAGGAATGTGGAGGGAACTGGCTGCTCTAGAATCTCAGCTCTTCTCCAGGAGCCTGGCACTGGGCACAGAGTTACCATGAGCACACACACCAAATAGGGTGACTTCCAGCTGGCACAGGGAGTCGTACCCTCAGCACTGTTGGGAGGAGCTGAGGAAGGATGGGGCAGAGCCAGCTTCTGGCTAGAACTGAGATGCAGCCGTGACAGGAGTAGGGGATTGGAAAGCCATAAGGCAGCACCATGGAATTGGACGCAATCTCTAGCAAGGAAATCCATCTGTCCTTGAGACTCAGGGAGGGAGGATGCTTTACTGAAGGTCGCAGAAAGATGGAAAGTAAAGGCCAAATGTTTCCAAAGGACTCAGGCTCTGCTTCAGAGAGTTGAAAAAAGAGCCCATAAATAAGGACAAGATATCAAAGTCAACAGATTTCTTCAGCTCTCTAGGCACTGCCTACCTGAGCTGTACTTCTGGACAAAGCACTCAATCAATGTTACAGTATATTATAACATTATAGTATATAATATTTGGATACTGCATTAAGATTTGGAAAAGCCTCTGGAAAATGCTTTAAGTCTTAGTAGCTTTATGCAAGACTGCAGACCCTGCTCCCCACTGATGCATCGCCTCTCAGTGCAAGTCCCACCACCATATCCCTGGAACACAGGGCCCCAGGAGAAGAAGCTCGGCCCCTCCTCCAGCCCAAACCTGGCCAAGGTTCCCCGTCTCCCCTCTCCCAGCAGGCACTCTGTTAAAATGCCTGAGACTCTGGCACCCAGAGCAAGAGGCAGAAAGAGAGCAGTGAAAGTGTCTCTGATAAGCAAGCATAGCAGGCAGGGTGAACAGCAAACCCCCTGGAACCAGACAGCCTGGGTTCAAGAGCTGGCCCCATCTCCTGCTAGCTAGTGATTCTTGGACACAAGACTTAACCTCTGTTCCTCAACTTCCCCATCCAGAAAACAGAGCTAGTAACAGCAGCACCTATCCTCTGACTGTGTTGAGGGGATTCAGTGACAGAGTAGAAAGAGTCCTTAGTATGGTGCCTGACCCCTAGTGACTATTCTGTAAAAAAAAGTGACTAATACCATGGGGGAAGGCATGGTATTTCTATGGGACAGGTGGAGGACTGTGGTCAAGGCAGCTGCTTTGAACTGTAGAAGTTCAAACCCACTCAATACAACTTGGCAAGGACAAGCACATACTATACAAATTGGCTAATTTCCTGCAAAGAAATATCCCTGTTTGCAGAGAAAAGGAATTCTTACACAGTATTGGTACGTAAATTTGTACAACCATTATGGAAAACAGTATGGAGGTTCCTCAAAAAGCTAAAACAGAACTACCATAAGATCCAGCAATCCCACTACCAATATATATCCAAAGGAAAGAAAATCAGTAGACCAAAGAGATATCTACAGCCCCATGTTTACTGCCACTCTAGTCACAATAGCAAAGATATGGAATCAGCCTAAGTGTCCATCAGCAGATTAATGGATAAAGAAAATATGGTATATATCCACAAATAGAATATTATTCAGCTATCAAAAAACAATGAAATCTTGTCATTTGCAGCAACATGGATGAGCCTGGAGTACATTGTTGGTGAAATAAACCAGGCACAGAAAGATAAATACTCCATGTTCTCACTCATGTGAAAGCTAAAAGAAAAAGTTGATCTCATAGCAGAGAGTAGAAGAGAGTTTACCAGACACTGAGAAGGGTGAGGAGGAGGTGTGGATAGGAAGAGGTTGGTTATAGGTTACAAAATGACTGCTAGATGGGAGGAATAAGTTCTAGTGTTCCATACCACTGTAGAGGGACCATAGTTAACAATAATTTATTGGATAGTTTCAAATAGAGGTGAGGCTTTTGAGTGTACCCAACACAGAGAAATTATCAATGTTTAAGATGATGGATATGCTAATTACCCTGATTTGATCATTACACATTATATGTATCCAAATATTACTATGCACCCCATAAATATATGCAATGACTATGTGTCAATTTTTACTTCAATACTTTTTGGGGTACAGGTGGTTTTTGGTTACATAGATAAGTTCTTTGGTGGTGATTTCTGAGATTTTGGTGTACCCATCACCCGAGCAGTGTACACTGTACCCAATATGTAGTCTTTTATCCCTCGCCTTCCTCCCATCCTTCCCTGCGAGTCAGTAAAGTCCATTATATTATTCTTATGCCTCTGCATCCTCATAGCTTAGCTCCCACTTATAAGTGAGAATATATGACACTTACTTTTCCATTCCTGAGTTACTTCACTTAGAATAATGGCCTCCAACTCCAGCCAAGTTGGTGCAAAGGTCATTATTTCATTTCATTTTATGGTTGAGTAGTACTCTATGGTGTATATATACCACATTTTCCTTATCCACTCATTGGTTGATCTCTCTGATCAACCAAGGAGTGAGATAAGGTCTCTTTCTGTCACTCAGGCTGGAGTACAGGGGCGCAATCACAACTCACTGCAGCCTCGACCTTCTGGGACTCAAGCAATCCTCCCACCTCAGTCTCCCAAGTAGCTGGGAACACAGGTGCATGCCACTATACCTAGTTAATTTTTCTCATTTTTTGTAAAGATGACATCTCACCACATTCCCCAGGCTGGAAAAATGTTTTTCAGGCTGGGCACAGTAGCTCACACCTGTAATCCCAGCACTTTGGGAGTTGGAGACCAGCCTGAGCAACATGGTAAGACCCTGTCTCTACAAAAAATTTAAAAATTAGCCAGGAGTGGTGGTGCATGCCTGTAGTCCCTGCTACTCCAGAGGCTGAGGTGGGAGGATCACTTGAACCCAGGAGGTCAAGGCTACAGTGAGCCATGATTGGGCCACTGCACTCCAACCTGGGCAACATAGCAAGACCCTGTCTCTAAAAATAAAAATAAATAAAATTTAAAATGTTTTTTAAAATTGCTGTGGACACACAACACCCACTGATTCGGGGCTCCCATTCTCTTGCTGACATGTCCCTTCTTCCTCTGGTCATCCCTCTCTCTCTCTCTTTTTTTTTTTTTAATTTTTGTTGTTTGTTTGTTTGGTTTTTCTTTTGAGACATGGTCTCACCCTGTTGCCCAAGTTGTAGTGAAGTGGTGCAATCTCAGCTCACGGCAACCTCCCCCTCCCGGGTTCAAGCCGCAGCCTCCCAAGTAGCTGAGAATACGGGTGCCCACCACTACGCCTGGCTAATTTTTGTATTTTTTTCCGTAGAGACGGCGTTTCACCATGTTGGTCAGGCTGATCTCGAACTCCTGACCTGAAGTGATACACCCACCTCGGCCTCCCAAAGTGCTGGGATTACAGGCATGAGCCACCGTGCCCGGCCATCTGGTCATCTCTTCTAAAGTCCCTGACTCCTAGGCCAGAGGGGCCCTCTGTGTTCTCATAACCCCTTGGCTCCTTCGTGGAATGAGACTTGAGGAAATGCAGGCAGGAGAGGCAGGGGGCCTGCGTCTGCCCTCACTCCTCCTTCCCCCACCCTGCGACTCTTCCTTCCCCACCTCCCACAGGTCCCCGCGACAGCTGTTGGGGTGAGAGCCAAGTCTTCTGCAGCCCCCGCCCCTCCCCCGCAGGTGCTCCTCCTTCCGTCCTGGGATATCCCTCCTGAGCGCATCCCGCACCTGTATTTGTTAATCAAGCCGCGGAGGACACAGTAATTGCCCAGCAGAAAACACGGGTGCAGATATTAGGGAGCGCCGGGGCAAAGGCACTAAATGAGATTCTTGTTTTCCAAACAGAGCCGGAGATTTAATTACAGCCTTTCCAAGTGCTTATTAAAAACCCTTATTTTTTTCCTTATTGTTTTCCTGCATGGCGCATATTGAATCAGCCGCTGCTGTTGTCTTGTTTTTGGAGCGTTCATAAAAAGAACCGATGTGGAAAATTGCAAACACAGATTGTACCCAAACAATACCTTCTCCCTTTGCTTTTCTTCCTCTTCTTTCTTCCCGCTGAATAACAACATGGGAGAGTGTTTTCCGTGCACATCCGAGCCCTCTCAAACAGCTAAAGGGCGTCTTTTTGGCACTCAGAGACCATCCTCCACCTTCCTGAGAAATACGAACAGGCCAGGGGGAGCAGGAACCCACGTCCTGTGGGAAACAGGAGGAGATAGGTGCTCTGCAGACCTGCAATCATAGACCATCAAGGCCAAGAGGGCCCTCCGCAGAGTGGCCTCACCACCCCATCACGGGTGAGGAATCTACTTGCACAAAGAGGTGAAATGATGGAGCCCAGACACAACCAGTTCCTTCGCCTACTCGACCAGAGCGTCTTCTACTGAGGTGGCCCCCTTCATGCTTCTGGCATTTGCACCCGGAAGGATCTGTGGACTCTTCTCTTAACCCACACAGTTCCTCCTCTGGCAAGAGGGTTGGTCTCTCCATGCCTTCCCCTTCTCAATGGCAGCATCCCATATTGATAATCAGCCATGCTACCTCCAAGTAGCAACCCTGCTCCAAGAAGACTAGGTCCAGGGTCCCAGCCAGATGCAATATCAACCAGGGGCTCAAGTTTTTAACTACCTGCTTACCTCTGAATGATGCTGCCTCTCAGACAAACAAGACTGTTTCCTGGCCTTTCTCAGAAAGTCTCCATAAGACAAAGTCCTAAGGAGGCACCTTAGGGACTCCTTAGGGGAAAGAGACTGGACCCCTTTGGGTGTCCTCAGGTCCCCACCAGAGCCTCCTCGCCACGCGCCATCCTCACTGCCCTCCCATGCTTGCCCAGTTTGGATCTAGAATCCACGCTCTAGAGGAGAGGCAGCTCCTCTCCCCATGCCATCTTTCCTCCCTGCTGCTCAATTGGCAGGAATGGTGGGAGGGCACCAATTACTGCCAATTTGGAGGAGTGATGCCAGCATGGGGAATGTGTCTTACTGAATAATGGTTAAAATTGTATTCTTCCTTCCTGTCCCCCACTCCTCATACCCCACACCAGCACCCAGTCTCCCAGCTTCCATTCTGCTCATTAGCTCAAGTTGCCCTTGTTGGGAAGGAAGGGCAGAGCAGGGGTGATGGAGCTGGCACCCTCTATTCCAGCTCCCTGATAGAAACCCTGCTGAACCCACAGCCTGCCACCCTCTTCTTGAGTTCCTCCCTGGTGAGGAAGGGTACCTGTACTTAGATTATGAAGCCAAGACCTTGGCCATGTGATTCCAGAGAAGAACTTTTGGTTTCCTCCTAAACTTCATTTTTCTCTGTCCTTCCAATTCTATTTTTCAAGTTTATACAAAGTTGAGAGTTGAGGTGGGAGGAACTTTCCAAAGAGAAGGCAATTGGCAGATTCCTTCATGGCTCTCCCACCCCCACACAGAGTGGATGTCTAAAGTAGACCTCAAGGAGCCTCAAAACCCCACTGCTCCAGCATGCAGGCAACCTCACCCCTTGGGCTGTGAACCACACACAGGAGGCTGGGTGAAGTGTGGCAAGACCAATGAAAACCTGAAAAAGCTGATATTTCTGCTGAAACTCCCCAAGTCTACTCTCTCCAGCAAAATCATGGAACTCCAGAGCAAAAAAACTACGTCAAATGCCGAGGTTGATTCTCAATTTCAATTTCACCCTTCCGTCTCCAGAGCTGGCAAAGCTAAAAATGACACTTCCCAGAGCTTCTCATAGCTCAACTTAGGTTCTGCTCATTAGCTGCATTTGTGCCAGATTTGGGGACTGGGACCCAAAGGACGCCATCATCTCTCTGCAGAGGTGCAGTCGGACAATCAATGTTGGTGGTGGCTGGATTCCGGGGCCCATGGTCTTGTCACCAGCTTCAAGGGTGTGATGATGACAGTGGAGGCTACCACCATGGCAGCAGTTTTCTGACTTTGTGGCCTTCAACTTCCTTCTGCTGGCTCTCCCAGTGAATTTTGTAAAGATTTCATTCTCTGTATAAAATTCCATTCTGTTCAAAACACCTTGAGATATTTCTGTTTTCCTGTTTTAAATCTTGACTGATACAGTGTCTCTGTAACCATTTGGCAGATGAAGTTCAAAGAAATGAAGGTCCCACAGCAACTTAGAAGGCAGACCTGGGACCAGATTCGACTTTCCTCACTCTAGCCCAGAGTTCATTCCACAGAAGAGTGAAGAACAGAGTAGCTGTCCTTTTAAAACTCCCTTTCCTTTCTCCCAGAAGTCTGCCTCCCCACCCCTGGCTCAGCAAATGTGTGTGCATGTGAATGTGTGTGTAAACACACACAGGCATAGCCATACATGTGTCCTGGCACAGACTAATGCAGTGTATCCCAACATTGAGGTGTTCTGTCACTGGTACCACCAAAAGTCCAAGTGGCTCAGATGTGACCTTGGTGTTGTGGCTCTATTAAACTTCTTTTGGGGAACAAGCTTTTATTTCATGGACGATTCAGAATCTCCGTTCAGAGGAAATTGATGTTTTGCCAGGCATTTTCCCACTTGGGAGATGGCCAGAACTCACAGTAAGAGCAGACAAATACGATGTAAGTCAGCAGCTTCAAACAACAAATAAAAAAGCTGAGCCTGAGAAAGGTCTCTGAAGGTGATGCTGCTAAAAACTGTGTCTCCTGGAGAAGCTGTTAATAACCTATCACGTGGGTCCCCAGGGAGTGATCCACCAGCCGAAGTAAACTTACAGAAAGTAAGTTTCTGTCAACTTACAGAAAGTGCTTCACTTTCACTGGATCCTGGGAGTTCTAGACTTGGGCTTCCCAGCTGAACTCTGCTTGAGCCTGATGAAGTTATGTCTAGGCCTTTGAGTTGGACAGAGCTTCTTTGTGAAGGGAAAATTCAGTCCACCTTTATGGAGGGGGCAGTGGTCATTGGCTCAGCAAACAGTGAGGGCTATATGAAGGAAGAGGGGGAAATGGAAGAAAAGTCCACTGGAAAGCAGAGTAATTGACCTTCAGAGAGTCTGTTATTATTCCCCCTTGCTCCCGTTCTTTCCTGAATCTAAAATGTGTTGCATTAAAAGAATCGGCCTGGCCTGCTTTTAGAAGATTCCCCCACTCTACCAGCCTCTGGAGTAGGGCAGACCATCTCTCAGCCATTTCTTCCATCTAAGCCCTCCACTGTCCTCTCTTCACACCCCACACTTGGTGAGCCCCAGAGTCATTTGTCCCCTAAGCCAACTTATCTAGCAGGCCTATTTATGAGACAGTTTTCATCAGACCCACACAAGATGAAAAATAAAAACAAGGATAATTCAGGTGTGTGTGTGTGTGTTTGTGTGTGTGTGTGTGTGTGTGCGCGCGCGCGCGTGCGTGCAAGGTAGCCAACCTTCCTTTCTTGGGAAAATTGTCCTTTATTCCAAGAATATTCCACTCCTAGGAATAGTCCTTTTTCATGTTAAAATATCCCTTCTTTCACGAATTGGTAATAGTAGTAACAGTGGGTTTTGCTGTTGTTGCTGCTACTGTTCTTTCTGTTCTTTTAAGGTGGGGAGCAGGTTGTTTCTTTTCTAACATTCTTGCTTGACAAAAGGTATCAGCTCCCTCCTGTTAGTCACGGTTTGTTTGATTTTTTTACTGGTCAGTGCCATGTAAAGACCTATAGTAACCCCCACCTGTCCCCCTCGCCTTTGCAAGACCCATGCAAAGGCCCCAGGCAGGTTCCTCCTTCTTCTCCCCTTCCCTCAAATTACTTTTTCACAATACAGCAGATGAACCAGAACTTGGAGGCTAGGGGCTCCAGGCTGGCAACCAACCCTTCCTAAGATAATTGTGGGGACCTGACATCCCGTTATGCTCAGGGGAGCTGCTTTGATGTCAGCCCATTGAAAATCACATCAGTCTCTGACCCAGGGAAGCTTCAAATTGTTTTTAAAAGGCTACTGGTAAGTATATGAAATATGGCGTTCCATCTCAAAACCAAGCCTGTCCTCTCTTAAAAAGGCTCTCAGCTCCAAATGAGGCAAGCGCCAGCCCAGCAGATACAACACACGCTTAGGACTAGCTTCCTCTTTGCCTCTGCCCAAGCCTCCCACTGCCTGCAAGTTTACCTCGGAAGCTTCCTTCTGCCTCCAGCTTTATCCTGCTTGTGATTCAAATGCAAAATCAGCCAAAGAGAGGACCACTGTGACAGCTGCTCCCTTCCTGGGACCACCACTGCCCCAAATCGGTGCTCACTGCCGCCCAGTTCATGTGCAGGCTGCAGCCTCAAACCCTGCAGGCCTCCTCCCCAACAGGACTTTACCCATCACCCAGGCACCTCAGGGCTACAGGAATAGGGTCTCCATATAGAGGAGTCCCTGTCGTCTCAATGAGTTTTTCCTACCTTCATCTTGTGCCCAACCATGCCAGCAAGCTGCAGGGTCCCCCACTATATACTTTTGTGATTCCCTAGGAGGTGAATTCGGCTGCTAGATCTTCTGGCCCCAGTTTCTTTTAATCTCACATACATATTAACTCATTTAATGTGTACTATTATTATTGACATTTTATAGATAGGAAAATAAGGTACGGAAAGGTCAGGCCGCACAACTAGTAGCTCGAGGAGCTGGGATTTGAACCCAGCAATCTGGCTTGAGAGTCCACGCCCTTAACCTCATAGTGTCACCCCTGTGCCTGGCACACAAGGGTATCCTGAGACCCAGAGGTTTGGACAGAGGTAGGATCCAGGGAGAACAGAGATCAAGAACTTATCTCCTGCCAGGCCCCATATAAGTCCTGCCAAGAGACCTCTTAGAGTCTCAGGAATGTGGAAACAGCTCTGAAGCTCTATGAAAGCTGCTTGCCTGACCCAGGAAGCTGTGCTAAGCCCCTATTCATTCAACACCCTCTTGTAGTCAGTAAGAGCTTCAGAAGGACACTAGGAAAACCTCTAGAGGCAGTTTAAGGCAAGACCCTGACACCTTCCTCACCGTCAAGGCCACCTTCCCAGACCCACCTCCTGCCTTAACTCACTCTCCAGGGCACCCCTAGATGTCTCTGAGGCCCACAGAGTTTAGGGGTCCACATGACAAGCAGTGGCCCATAGCAAGCCCCTGTGCAAATTACAAAAAGAAGCCTTTTGAGAGTGGACAAACCCCTGTGGAAGCACCATGCGGTAAGCAGAATGAAATCTGCATTCGAGCCCCCACTAACCCCCCAAATAGGTGCCTTCATGCAGTAAACAACTGTGTACTGCTTTGGGGGAAGAACACTCCAGGTGGAGGGAACAGCAAGAGCAAAATCCCGGAGGTGGGAAAGTGCTTGGCACCTCCAAGGAACAGCAAGAGGCCCTGGTGGCTGGAGCAGAGGGAGCTGGGAGAGCAGTGAGAGGTGCTGGGGCTGAGTCATGCTGGGCTTTGAAAACCATCACGAAGGCTTCGGCTGTTCCCTGAGTGAGATGGGCCCATTGGAAGCTACTGGGCAGAGAAATAATGTCATCTGAGTTACATATTTTTAAAGGTCACTCAGGCTACTGTGTTGAAAATTGACATGGGAGGAAGACAGGAAAGCTGGGAAGCTTGTGCAGTGTCTGGCCATGAAATGGGCATGGCCCAGGCCAGGCAAGTGGAAAAGATGGGAAAGTGGTTGGAATCTGAACCTGGATGATGGGATGTGGAGGATGAGAAAAGGAGTTGAGGAAGAATCGAAGATTTTGGGGTCTTTGCAATAAAAAGATGGAGTTGCCATTTATTGAAATCAGGAAATTGCAGGAGGAGCTGGTTTGGAATGGAAGATTAGGAATTTGAGTTTGGACGTGTTAACTTTGGGGTCCCCTTAGATACCTAAATGGAGGTGTCAAATAGTCAGTTGGATAAAATTGACAACTGATAAAATATGGAAGTGGTCAGCGTAGAGATGATACTTAAAGCCATGACACTAGACGAAGTCACCAAGGGAGTAAGCACAGGGAGAGATGAGAACAGGAACTGAGCCTTCAATGGCTAGAAGTTGGGAAGAGGAGGAGGAACTAACAAGAGTCTGAAAAGGAAAGGCCAGGCGTGGTGGCTCATACCTATAATCCCAGCACTTTGGGGTGCCAAGGTGGGAGGATCACTTGAGGCCAGAAGTTTGAGATCAGCCTGGGCAACATAGTGAGACCCCATCTCTACAAAAATGTTTGAGGCTGCAGTGGGCTATGATTGCACCATCTGCTCCAGGCTGGGTGACAAAGTAAGACCCTATCTCCAAAAAAAAAAAAAACAAGAGTCTGAAAAGAAGCCACCAGCAAGGCAGGAGGTGTCCCGAAGCCAAGTAAAGTGTTTTGAGGAGGAGAAGTCAGCAGTGCCCAATGCTGCTGACAGGTCAAGATGAAGATGAGGAAGAACACCTGCCATTGGACTTAGCTAATTTCCTGCCACTTATTCTCTGAATAGCCTTGGATGAATTCATGTAACTCTGTAGGCACCATTTTCTCCATGGTGATAACATAGTACCTGCCTTGTTGGATGGTTGTGATGAGCTGCTATATTGAAAATAGAAAATAAAGTACCTGTCACCATGCCCAGCCCATGGCAAACACTCAGCAAATGGTGGCTATGAGTAGAATTAGATATTCCACTCACTGTTCTGCTCTTCTATTCTTAAGATATCGAAAGAAAGAAAGAAATGAAGAGGAAGGCAGATTATCTGTGGAAAGAGCTTCAGAGATCTTTTCTAGCTTCTTTTTCTCAGGCTTTGAAACATCAGTCTAATGCTTTCACACCAGGATGTCACCAAAGTCCTACAAGGTGTCCGATGATTAATAGGGAGACAAGCAGGGTATAATGCAACAGGGAGAATTCCAACAGTGTCCGAGAATCTCACCACCACAGAAGGCACCACTGGAGCAGAGCAGTCATGAATAAGAATCAAGGTGGATATGGAGGGAGGGGGCGGGGAAGAGGCTGCCCTGGACTCTATCCTGGAAGTTTACTACTGAAGCTCCCGATGATATATGAAGCCCTCACAAACACTTATACACCATTGGTGCGAATGTAAATTAGTTCAGCCCCTGTGGAAAGCAGTTTGGAGATTTCTCAAAAAAAATTAAAAATAGCTACCATTCAAGCTAGCAATCCCATTACCGGGTATCTACCCAAAGGAAAATAAATTGTTCTACCAAAAAGACCTGCACTCTATGTTCATTGCAGCACTACTCATAATAGCAAAGGCATGGAATCAACCTAGGTGCCCATCAACAGAAGACTGGATAAAGCAAATGTGGTACATATATGCCATGGAGTACAACTCAGCCATAAAAGATAATGAAATCATATGTTTTGCAACCATTGCAACATGGATATAGCTGGAGGCCATTATCCTAAGCCAATTAACATAGAAATGGAAAACAATACCTCACATATTCCCACTTATAAGTGGGAGCTAAACATTGGCTACACATGAACATAAAGATGGGAACAAAAGACATCAAGGGCTCCAAAAGCAGGGAGGAAGGGAGGGGAGCCAGGGCTGTCAAGAAGCCTCCTACTGTGTATTATGCTTACTATTTAGGCGATGGAATCAACAGAAGCCCAAACCTCAGCATCATGCAACATACCCTTGTAACAAACCTGCACATGCACCCCCTGAATCTAAAATTTAAATTTAAAAAAAAGAAGCCCTCACAGAGCTGAGAGCCCCATGAGTTACCATGACATTCTCAAGGGCAGCACTGAGGTATCCCTCATAAGCCCCCCAGCCCCTCCCAGAAAACTCCCTCCTGGGTGACAAAGCCCATCTGCCTGGGATCTGCCTGCTGCCCACCCCTCCATGACTGCAGCACCTCCCTGCCCTTTGGATCTCAGATGGCAAGGCCACCATATACATCCCCCACGGGCCATAAGACTTCCAGTTACCTTAGTCACCATGACCCTCCTACTGGTTCCCACCAGGTCAGAACTCAGACCTGCCTCCTCCCAGGGCTGCCTGGCCTCACTGCCTAGCCTACCAGAGTGATGTGGCTGGGCACATAGGAAACAATTCTGATTTCCTCAGCTCTGTGTCAGAGTCACAAACTCCTTCACTCATCAATGCATGTTTGCCTCTATCACCTCCAATCTGCCAGGCCAAACCCAAGCTCTTTTTGGGTTGCCATGGCAACTCACTTTACAACTACATTTGCCTTGACCCCAGAACCAAGGGACTAAAGTCTATGCTTGTAAATCTTTGGGGTGGCCATCGGTGAAGCTAGTGGACAGGCTGGACATGGAGGTGAGATCACAGACAAAGGGGGCACTTGCCCTGTTGAGGACTTCTTTGCTCTTTCTGCAATAAAAAATTGGAGTATGCAAATAAGAAACAGGACATTTTTCAAATCTGTCTACTTTGCCCTGGTCCTGTCTGCCATTAGCCCAGTCCAGGCCATCAGCTTCTCTTCCCTGGACTAGGCCAGTGGCAAACAGGACTGGAAGAAAGGGAAGCAACCTCCTAGCTGGTCCCCCTGACTCAAGGCCCCGCCCCCCACCTTCCATTCTCCACCCAGAGCCAAGCATTGTTTTGTAGCTGGGAAACGAATTGTCCCCCGCCCCACCGTGGGACACATGCCAGAAATGCCTGTTGTCCTCAAGATAAAGGCCCCTCAAGGTGCCAGGCCATTTATGTTCAGGCTCTGGCCACCTTTCAGTGCCTGCTGTCCCTTCATCCTCACCCCCTCAAACCCTACCCTCTATGATCCCATCACCCTGGGCTTTCTCTCCTCTCGGCCTTTGCACGTACAGTTTGATATGGTTTGGCTGTGTCCCCACCCAAATTTCATCTTGAATTGTAGCTCTTATAATTCCCACATGTCATGGGAGGGACCCAGTTGTAGGTAATTGAATGATGGGGGTGGGCCTTTCCCATGCTGTTCTCGTGATAGTGAATAAATCTCAGGAGATCTGATAGTTTTATAAAGGGAAGTTCCTCTGCACACATGCTTTCTTGCCTGCCATGTAAGATGTGACTTTGCTATTCCCTCATGCTGCCATGATTGTGAGGTCTCCACAGCCATGTGAAACTGTGAGTCAATTAAACCTCTTTATAAATTACCCAGTCTCGGGTATGTCTTTATTAGCAGCATGAGAACAAACTAATATACTGATCCCTCTGCCTAGGTTGCTCAGCCCCTTCGTCTAGTTAATTCCTACCCCGCCTTCAGGTCTCACTGTTTCGTTTTCACTTAGTTATCCAGAAAGCCTTCTCTGACAGCCACCAGCAATTAGGCTGGATGCCTCAGAGTACCCTCCCATGGCCACTTACCCATCCCCTGATTCTCTATGGGCTGTTCTGCCTTTCCACTGACTGTCAGCTCCCTGAAGGCAAGGATGACTGGTTTTGCTCACATCTGTATCCCTAACACTAAGCCCCTGGGAGGATACAAGAGCCAAGGAGTTTAGTGTGTGAATGAATGAATGGGAAGATGGGAGGGAATCTCTGCATATGAGACTGTCAGTATATCATTTCAACTGCAGAATATTAATGAAAGAGTTTGCTCAATGGTATTTCTCCAATTGCCTTGGCTTGCCGAATTACAGCTAAGGTCTTAAATCCAAAAATAATGGCATGAAGTGCTCCCTACATTCTTAAGGAAGCTGCCAGAAACTTTTAAGAAGGCCTTCCCCTCAACTACAATTACACCTGCCTTCCCTAGGGGAGGGGAGGAAGAAGCTTCCCAGAATCAAAGTCAAGTGAAGGGGCTCCAACAGAACCTTTTGTAGAGACAGGGAGTGCCTGGATCTCATTCAGTCCCAGCAGGAGGAGGTCTGCTCAGTCTTCCCCAGGTCTGTTTGGACATTTCTTCCCCACCACAGCAACACTCTGAGAGGCCATGTCAAGCTGAGCAGAGGGAGGAGTGGAGCCCTGAACGGATGCAAGATTGAGAAGTGAGTTCTACATTGGTGTAGACCAGGCTGCTTTTTAGTTCCACAAAGGGTCTGGAAATCCAGGGCTCTGTCTGAGATGTCATTAGGGCACAGGAAGGGAAACTCATCCTGGTGTCCTTTTATCCCTTTCAGCCCAAAATGTTCAATAAATGAATCCCATCAGGAAAGAGGGATTTGTGAATCATTCGCGTCTAGAGAAATAAGGCAGTTGGGGAATCGAATGAGGAAAAAGTTCTTCTCCAGCTCTGGAGATGAGCTTTTAGGCCTCCACAAAGCCGTGGGAGAATCTTTCTTCTCTTCTTCTTTCTGCCCCATCACTCCTCCTCCCCATGTTATTTCCCTGTTGTCTGGTTTTTTGTTCTTTTTGTGTGTGTGTGTGGTTTTTGGTTTTTGTTTTGAGATGAGGGTCTCACTATGTTGCCCAAGCTAACCTTGAACTCCTGAGCTCAAGTGCTGTTCCCATTTCAGCCTCCCAAGTGGCTGAGACAACAGGCGCACACTGTAGTGCAAGTTCCATCACAAAATGCTGCCACCCAGAACTACAGAAACTCCAGGGGGCACCCCAGTGGGTGTCCAAGGGGTGGCTCTGAGATGAGGGATGAGGTAGCTTGGCCCAGGGGCTGGGGGCCTCCCCTTGGGGCTAGAGGCTGCAAGGCCAGGCTCCCTGGACTGCTGTAGATGCTGGCATCCCACTCCTCTGGCTGGGCTGCAGGTAGTAAAGTCTGGCCTTCTTGTGGGAAGTGGGGATAGGATTGGAAGAAGGAAATCCTTCCTGTGTCCTGCATGGCTGCCTGGCGCTGGCCCTAGAGATGCTGTCAGGCTATCTGTCCAGAGGAGTGGACAATGGAGCTGCTGAATTTACAAATGGCCAAGCTCTGCACCTGGTTTCCCATGTTATTTTAATTATAAAATATGAAGCCTCTGGATGGAGATTCAGCATTAAAGTCAAGCATCCAAACGCTGAATCTACACCAATGCTACTTTCAAATAACCAGAGAAGAGGATACGAATGGGTGCAACATCTGGCTAGGATGTTTTCCTCCATTATTCATTAAAATGTGTGCTTCGGCATCCTGAAAGCACAGCATGTACCCAAATTCAAAACAAGTCTGACTTAGCCAGCACACATGGTACCCCCAGGCCTGCCTGGCTTTGGACAAGAACACAGCTCACAGCTCTGAATCCTGAGATCGTATTTCTGCCCCAGCCAGAAAATCCAAGCAGCCTATACAACAAACCCCAATCTGAGAGGAAAATTTAATTCCTCTTTGGTTCTTAAAATGATCTGGTTTTCTCTCTCCCCTCTTCCCTCTTCCCTGTCTCCAGCTCCTTCATTCCAAGTATTTATGATGTCATGACTCATTAACATTCTTCCCAGGACATCTTTAATAAATATGCAGGGGGGGAGCCTTTGCTTGGATATTAAATATTAAATTTATAAGACATATAATCCTAGTTAAGTTGAATGTAGTCTTGTGCATTAAATTAGGAGAAAGAGAGAGGGTATAAAAGAGCACAGTGGACACCAAGAAGCCCAGGAATCTGGCTACAGAGCTTGGCCATTTTTAAATTCTATCAGCTCCATCATCTACTCTTCCAGACAGATAGCCTGACAGCATCTCTACGGCCAGAGCCAGGCAGCCACTCAGGACACAGGAAGGATTTCCCTCTTCCAAGCCTATCCCCATTCCCCACAAGCAGGCCAGACTTTACCACCTGCAGCCCGGCCAGAAGAGTGGGACCCCAGTGTCTAAAGCAGTCCAGGGGGCCTGGCCTTGCAGTCTCTAGCCCCAGGGGGAGGCCACCAGCCCCTGGGCCAAGCTACCTCATCTCAGAGCCACCCCCTGGACACCCACTGGGGTGCCCCTGGAGTTTCTCTAGTTCTGGGTGGCAGCATTTTATGATGGAACTTACCCAAAGCATTTTCTCTGATTTAGGTCCTCCTTGTCCCTGGCCTGTTTAATGGCCCCTAAAGGAATGTCCCTCCAGGGTATCCCTTCCCATGCCTCACACACATCTGGGATGGCCTGTTCCATCTCCTCTTCTTCCTAGAAAGCATCAGGCCCTGGGCTGTGCATGGTGGCTCACGCCTGTAATCCTAGCACTTTGGGTGGCCAAGGCACCAGGTCACTTGAGGTCAGGAGTTCCTGACCAGCCTGGCCAACCTGGTGAAACCCCGTCTCTACTAAAAATACAAAAATTAGCTGGGTGTGGTGGCATGTGCCTGTAATCCCAGCTACTCAGGAGGCTGAAGTAGGAGAAGCACTTGAACCCAGGAGGCAGAGGTTGCAGTGAGCCATCTCAAAAAATAAAAAGCATTACACCCAGTTTTACTCACATCTTGCTCACCCAGTATTTATTGAGTCCCTACCATATGCAGCTGTCTTTCCAATTCTACAAGGAACCTCAGAGTAAAATTTGCCCTGCCCTCTCAGAGCCAGCCAGGCACAGGCTGCCTCTGGAGTCAAGAAGAAGGTGACCAGTAACTCCAGGACTGTGGATTACCAGCCTCCTCCCCTGAGCCAGGGCCAGGTGGGAAAGGAAAAGACTCAGTTGGCAAATGTTCTGAGGAGGGGCTGTGGTACCTGCTTAGCCAAAGTTCTCACTAGTGGACACAGTCAATTTCTCATGCCAGTTCAGAAACCCTTGATAGGATGGAAGATGTAAAAAAGATAAGCCATGATTCTCACCCTCAGAAGGCGTCTATTCTTGTTGCCTAGAGAATAAAGCTAGGCAGAAAGGAGTGAATGTTAAAATGTGTGGGACCAGGCACCCCCTGCCCTCTGCAGAGCCTCTCCTTATTTGCAAGAGTGCAAATAAGAACATGAGCAAAGGCCCTTGGCTCAGGGCCACCCCAGCAACTTCCTTCCATTCCTTTTTCCACACCCTGTGGGGGTTTTGCACATATGTGTAGACAAGATGGTCCATACATCCAAGTCCCCACTCTACTCCTGCCAAATAGCTGTCCTCTGTGGTCACACACTTAACACCTGGCAGGGGACTGGGCATCATTTGGGCAGGAAATTCTGGTGTCTCAGGTACATGAACATAGTCGAGAAATACTGTGCCCTGTGGGGAGGGGCCTGTTGCAAGGAGGGCCAGAGGGAAGCCTTCTAAAGTGCAAGCCCACAAGGCAGGAGGGCGGCTTGAGGCCAGGAGTTCGAGAGAAGTTTGGGCAACATAGTGAGACCCCATCTTTACAAAAATAAAAATAGAAAAATTAGCTGGGCATGGTGGCATGCACCTGTAGTCCTAGCTACTCAGGAGGCTGAGGCAGGAAGGTTGCTTGAGCCCAGGAGTTTGAAGTTATAGTGAGCTATGATTGCAGCACTGCACTCCAGCCTCAGTCCCAAAACCTGTCTCTAAACAAAACACATACCTTGTATCAGGTATTTTCATTTTGAGACAGGGTCTCAAAACTTCAAAAACTTATGGCAAACATAGCATAGGAGGCCTTTTTAATAATTCTTGCAGAAATTAGAACCGTAAGCTACGTTCAGTGGTACACGCCTGTAGTCCTAGCTACTTGGGAGGCTGAGGCAGAAAGATCACTTGAGCCCAGGAATTTGAGGCTACAGTGAACTGTGATCATGCCACAGCACTCCAGCCTGGGTGACAGAGTGAGATCCTGTCTCTAAAAAAGTAATAATAATATATCACAAGCCGAGAGAGGAGTCCCTGGCTATCTGGCTCTAGGATGGTGATAATGGGGACTGCATGTGCTTCAGGAATTTGGAGCAGGGGCTCAGGGGAAGGGAGACAGCTTCTAGGTAGAGGAGAACTAAGCAGAGTGTGCATAAGTGGGCAGAACCCAGAGAGACAGAGAGCATAGAGACATTCCAGAGAGGTCAGCTAGTGCAAAGGGGAAAACCGTAAACAGTTATGACATCATCGGCTCACTCAGGGGTAAGGCTATATCCTATGCTGGGAAGCATCACAGGGCCGAGTGGCAGGACAGAGAGAACAAAGCAGTCTCCTTTCTGACATCTTCTAGTGCTCCAGTCACTGCTGGAGAAGAAATACTGATATTTGTGAAGAGAAGCCCTTACCTACCTGCGTCCTCGTGTGACTTTGCCGGGTCTGGCAGCTGCTTTCCTGCCAATCGATGGGAAGTGGCTACTAACTGATGCTAGCTTTCACTGGTAACGGGAAAGTCAACAGCCTCTGGCCCTTTCTGTGAAGGAGAAAAGCAGAAAAGTGCTCAGAATCCTAAAAGGGAGACAGATCAAAAGAAGGGTGGGAAAAAAAAAAAAAAAGAAGGGTGGGACATCCAGGAGACAGAGAGAGGGGGTAGTTAGCTGTTCCACTCCCTAAAAGGTGGAACGTAGGCAGTCTTTGCTGCTCACGGCCAGGTCAATGAGCAGCTGCTGCTGAGCTCAAAATAAAATTGAAAAACTGAGGAACTACCACCTTCTCTGGAGCAAGGGAATGCAAGAACAGCTCAGCTTGGATTAGGGCTTGAAGCTATGAAACCCAAAGAAAATGCCAATTTCTTAGCACAGCAGAAGAAACAGGACTGGTCTGATATGGGATCAGGCTGGCTTTGGGGAGCTGGACCAATGCTCACAGAGCCGAAGCTCTTCTGCAAAAGACACATGCAGGATGATGCATCTCTCCTGTGCATCTGAAATGCCCACCTGGAAGCCGACTGGGTAGACCCAGCGGTATGATCACAGCAATGCTTTATAAATATGCATGGAAAAACCTGGAAGGAAACACACCTAAGGGTTTACCATGGCTATCTCTAGGTCATGCAATTGTGGGTGACTTTTAATTTTCTAGTTAAAATGTTACCTATCTTCCCCATCAGAGCACCCCCTTAAATTATGTTATTATTCTGAAGAGTCTGCATGCTATCGATGCTTAAGCTTGCAAGCGCTTGTTGCATTTGAAATGATCAGTCTGAAATCATGTCATCATAACTTTCTATGAGAAAGTCAGGAGAAGGCAGATACAGGCTGTGACCACAAGAACAGCTCCAGACAGACCCTCAGAGACAGAAGGCTGGTGAATAGACATTGGGTCAGCTGGTCAATACCCTTGGAGCCATGCCCAGCTCTCTGCACCTGGAGATTGCAGGTGGAAATAGCACCAAGAAAGGAAGACTTTGCCAAGAATGAGGACAAGCCAAGAAGTCCAAGAATGCAAAACATCAGTCGTAAGAAGTTCTACTTGACAAGCTGACCCTCTGTCTAGGAAGGGCCTCTGATATATGGGGGCTAGGGAGGGTATGGAATTAAAGGGGTATGCACAGATGAATGGGGCACACTTGGGCCTGATGGGAGACAAAGCAATTAGCCCGGAAAAAGGACAGCAGGATATGGGGGTGGGAAGGCCTGACGCAGAGCCTAGCCTTTCCCAAGTTCATCGTCAGGGATGAGCTCATTTGAGCTGGGCTCCATCAGCTCGTGATGACACCCAAGCCTTCTGGCATTTCCTCTGTCATCTGCCTCCATTATGTTTGTTCATGTTTTGGGGGAATTGGATTTTAGACTCCTGGACTGGAAAGCTCAAGGATAACAGGATTAGAGCATTTCCTGTGCCTTCAACACAGGCATGAAGAGAATCACAGCAGGAAGATGAGTTTGCCCAGAGAGAGACCCCATCCCCCAGAGTCACTTCACAGGGATGTGTAGGCTGCCACCTTCAAAAGCTGTGGCTCCTGGCTCCTCTCAGCAGCCCCTCCTTCATCTTCCAGCCCCCAAGAAGCAGCTTCAAGGTACAAGAGGGGCAGGGGTAGTGTCAGAATTCTTTCTGACGACGCACACCAACCTCTGACCAAAGAACTGACTGCATGTAAATAGGTGGCACCCAAGTGGACAAGTCTGCCATGTCCCCTCCAGCATCAGAGATCACATAGGTGGTATACATCTTTGTCTTCATTCATTCTACAATTTTTTATTGAATAGCTAGTGCTGGGCCACAAGACAGACAAAGACAAGGTCACTACTGTCACAGAATTGCATCCTAGTGGGAGATGGAAAAAGATACATAATAAGGACATAAGTTAGCAAAGTCTTATCTCCCCAACCTCTTAAGGTTAGAGTGTCCCAGGGCTCAGTCCTTGCACGACTTCTCTTTTCCATCTATACCCACTGATGACTCCCACACAAACGGCTTAGCCCAAGTGTTGTCTCAGAACTTGGACACTACCCAAATGTCTACTCAGCATTTCCATATGGAGATAGATATATATAAAATATATCATATATAATATATTATATGTATATGTGTATATATACATACATGTATATATGTACATATATATGCATGCATATATGTACATATATGCATGTATGCATACGTGTATTATATGTACATATATGCATATATGTATGCATATATTATATGTATATATTATATATTTGTATATTACATAATATATGATATATTTTATATATGATATATTTTAAATAATATATAAAACGATCTGTAACATATATAAAGTCAAATTTAACAAATTCAAAACTGAACTAATAATCTTCATAAATTCACTCCCCATAGAAACTCCCCATCTCAGTTAATGGCAATACAATCCTTTCAGCTGCCCAGGTCTCAAATCTTGAAGTCATTCTTGACTGGTCTCTTTTCACATATCCTATATCCAAGATGTTAATAAATCCCAATGATGCTACCTACAGAATATATTCAGAATCCAGTCACCTGCAAGGAGGTGGAGGCTGCAGTGTGCTGTGATCGCACTACTGCACTCTAGCCTGGGCAACAGAGCAAGGGCAAGACCCTGTCTCAAAAAAAAAAAAAAAAGAAAAAGAAAAAGTATGCAGCCAGTGAGCTCCACCCCACCACTGTGATCCTGAACCAACCTACCACCTTCTCTCACCTGGATCATTGTGATGGCCTCATAAATGGGCTCTTTGCATTCACCCCTGCCCCTACAGTCAGTTCATCACTCAGTAGCCAAAGGGATCCTGCATGGTAGGTGTCACATCTCAGGAATTGCCTGGGCATGGACAGTCATTTGCAGGTAGCCATGCAAAGTGGGAGCATCCAGGTCCTAACACTAAATCCTTTCGATAGGGCAGAATAGAGAATGGAGGAGGGCTTCTGCTATAGGGGTCGGGAGGAAAGGGTCTGTCCAGCAGGCAGCTCTGTATCCCAGGGGAACAACAACCTCTGGCAGGAGTCCAAGTAATAGTAAGTGAAGGAGAGCCCAAGGCAGGGAGATGAGATGTTCTAGGGAAAGAATGTCCAGCCATGGGGACACTTGGCCAGTGATTCCAAGAAAGCAGGAGAGCAGTACAGAGAGGAAAGGGGACCCCACCACTTTCCTTAAGGAAGTGCTCAGGTCTCTGTTCTCGGTTTACTCCAACCCTGAAGGGAGCTCAAGACTCTCCTCTCTGCCTCCATCTCAAGGACCAACAATCTAGACTGAGACCAAAGACACTATCAGGCCAATGTGATGGGAAGGAGAGACACAGGAAAGGTAAAGTACTGACATGGGAAATTCTGACTCTCATCACTCTGGAAGGTGAGGGTCTGAGCCTCTTGGCCTTTCCTTTAAGTGTTATGTGCACCTTCTTGTTTCTTGACCTCCCAAGAGAGCTGTTACAGTAAAATGGGCCAAGGACTTCCTCCCACCCCTTTTTCCATGCCCCACTCCCTAAACAAGAACTGAGGTGGGGCCAAGGGAAAAGAAGCCTGGCTGGATGCCAGGGGACCTACTCCTCTGTATGTGGTCTAAGTTGCTTTAGTAGAACCTGGGATTATACATAGAGCTTTAGGGCCAAATCATAACATAGTGCATATTTGTGTGTTATATAGTTGATATGGTTTGGCTCTGTGTCCCCACCCAAATCTCACTTTGAATTGTAATAATCCCCACATGTCAAGGGCAGGACCAGATGGAGATAACTGAATCATGGGAGCAAGTTCCCCCATGCTGTTCTTGTGATAGTCAATGAGTTCTCGGGAAATCTGATGGTTTTATAAGGGGCTTCCCCCTTCGCGTGGGTCCCATTCTCTCTCCTGCTGCCCTGCGAAGAAGTGCCTTCCACCATGACTGTAAGTTTCCTGAGGCCTCCCCAGCCATGTGGAACTGTGAGTCAATGAAACCTCTTTTCTTTATAAATTACCCAGTATCAAGTATTTCTTTATAGCAGTGTGAGAACAGACTAACGCAATAGTCAACATATATCTGCCCACAGAATCTGGCAGGGCAGAACATAGTTTAGCATTCTGACTAGCTCCTCTTCAGAGTCACAACTAACATTTGCAGTATAAGGCATGATGTGTGGTCGGCGTGCCTATCTATTTAGAAGACTAGACTATAGGGAATGAGTCTGCGGCCTCCTATTGTCAGACAGTCAATGCCACATCCATTTGCACTAGTTTAAACTCCTCTCTAAAGCCCCAAATGCAAATATACAGACACCATAAGCCCCAGGTCCCAAGAGTCCATCTGTCTGCATCAGCAGTAGCCTCCCCACGCCCACTCTCAACACCACCATCCATAGAGTAAACTTTGTGTCATTTTGCTCCTATCCTCAGCTCTAAGGCCATCCACGACCTTTCCTGCCTCCCCTTCCCATCTCTCCATCCCCTGGTTGCTGCTTCTTGAATTGCCCAAGGAGAGTGTGCAGTCAACACCATCCCATAAAGAAGCTGCCTGAACATCATATCCTGAGCATCCTAGAAAGGAAATGTAGGTAGTGGGTTGAAGCTGGCAGCCACTCGCTCTGTTTTCTCTCAAATCCCCACTCTAGCTGCCTTGGAACTCTCTGATTAACTCCGACATTGGCTGGTAATTTATCAGTAAGCCTTGGCAGAGCCTCTGTATGGGAAGCTCTGGGATGCAGCCATGCTCTGCTTGATGAGAATGGGAACCCCACAGAAGGAGGCTGCAGGTGGACAGCAAGTTACAAGAGTGTCCACTTCCCAAGGCCTTTCACACCCAGCAAGGCTCTCCTTCTGGGCATACAAACTCCTATGGATAGCTGTAATCATTTACCTAGAGGGGTAGTGCACTTCTAATGCATGTGTACGTGTGTATATGTGTGTTCATGCACGTGGGAGAGGAGGGATCAGACATTGTTATCAACATCATTCAATATAATCACACTACATTGGGCAGTATCCAGCCTACAAACAAGTATGGAATAAAAATGTCTGCGTGTAGACTCAACCCAGGTCAGAAGTCACCAAAATAGAAGGAAACGGCCTTGCTATCCACTTGCTTTTTATCCTAGCCACCTATTTTTATCCTGGAAAAGCAAAAGCATTCAGGCAGGGTGCGGTGGCTCATGCCTGTAATCCCAGCACTTTGGGAGGCCGAGGCTGGTGGATCACTTGAGGCTAGGAGTTCGAGACCAGCCTGGCCAACATGGTGAAACCCTGTCTCTACTAAAAATGCAACAATTAGCCTGGCATGGTGGCAAATGCCTGTAATCCCAGCTACTCAGGAGGCTGAAGCAAGAAAATGGCTTCAACCCAGGAAGCAGAGGCTGCGGTGAGCTGAGATCGCGCCACTGCACTCTAGCCTGGAAAACAGAGCGAGACTCTGTCTCAAATAAAAAAATAAAAATTAAAAATAGAAAAACAAAAGCCTTCTAATCAGATGTCTGCTTGAGAACAATTTTTAGATTGGCTGAGACATTTTACTTATTGTTGTTCAGAAGCGAGTGCAGGCTTGAAGGAACGGCAATTCATATGCTCTAGATCAATGTATTCTTACTCTTTAACAATGATTAGCACTTTGTATCTATGCATGAGAAATAGACAAATACGACAACGTCCTTGCCTTCACTATTTTCAGTCTTCAGAAACGTCAGTTAAAACTTTCTTTTTATGCGTATTCAAACCAGATATTGGACACCATGTAGATTCTTCCTAAAAAATCAATGAATTGACTTTAGTTTTTAGCAATGTGGCAGAAGAAATAGCCTCCTATTACCAAATACTAAGAAATGTTGGCCAGGCACGATGGCTCATGCCTATAATCCTAGCACTTTGGGAGTCCAAGATGGGCAGATCATCTGAGGTCGGGAGTTCGAGAACAGCCTGACCAACATGGAGAAACCCCATCTCTACCAAAAATACAAAATTATCCAGGAATGGTGACACATGCCTGTAATCCCAGCTACTCAGGAAGGCTGAGGCAGGACAATCACTTGAACCGGGGAGGTGGAGGTTGCGGTGAGCCAAGATCCACCATTGCACTCCAGCCTGGGCAACAAGAGCGAAACTCGGTCTCAAAAAAAAAAAAAAAAAAAAAAAAAGAAGGAAAGAAATGTTGGATAAAGTAAAACAAAAATCCTTTAAATGCATGGCTGATCTCATAAGAAAATTCTTAGAGACGGAAAAAAAAAAGGAAGCTGAAAACTAGAGTGGTAAGTGGTGCTGAGGCAATGGCTGTGTTCAGAGCAGTTTTTAAAAAGAAAGAAGCTTGGGTTTGAATAGCCATATAGGGATGAGACACAAAGCCTTGGGACTGGATAAAATGGGGAGGCAGACCTTAAAAAAACATGATCCTTGAAGTTTTATGGTCTTTGTGCAAAGGCAAAGTAAATATATATATATGCGCACTGTCAAAGGGAGGTGGCACAGAAGCCCGTCTATCTAGACTGGGGATCTGGGTAGCCAAGAACATCTTCTTAACAATTTATAACCACAGGCCTGCTCTACACTATCTGCATTGTCTCAGAGCCTCACAATTAAGAAAGCCACATAAAAGCAGCTCCTTCTAGTAATGCCTTGAGCACAAGACAGAAACAAATGTAAACCATCTCTAGAAGGAATATACTCTTAGATACGTTGCACAGAATACCACTAAAAAAGCTCCATTAAATGACAGCTGGAACTCCCAAACTGCAAAACACGTAAGGACAGAAGACAGAGTGAACGGGAGTTATAAGAAACAACAAATAACAGAATTTGACCCATAGGATTTTTAGTTAATAGAATTATTCAATGCAGACTATAAAATCAAAAATGCAAATTCATTGGTAATATAAAAGAAAGGGTCAAAAACTGAAAAGGAGCAAGGTTTTTAAAGTGACATAAAATTTCTATAAAGAAATAATATAGTTATAGGCCATGCATGATGGCTCACACCTGTAATCATAGCACTTTGGGAGGCAGGCCAAGGCGGAATGATAGCTTGAGCCCAGGAGTTCGAGACTACCCTAGACAACACAGTGAGACCCCATCTACACAAACAATTTTTAAAAATTAATTGGGCATGGCAGCACATACCTGTGGTCCCAGCTATTTGGGAGGCTGAGGTGGGAGGATCACTTGAGCCTAGGAAGCGGAGTTTGCAGTGAACCAAGATTATGCCACCACACTCCAGCTTGGGCAACAGAGAAAGACTCTGTCTCAAAAAAAAAAGTATAAAAAAGAAGAAATAATAGTTATTAAATTTTATAGAAACTTGGATAGATTTTCCTTCTTAAAAAACAGCTAAAAATGCTAGATAATTTTTTTTAATTTTATTTCTTTTTTTTTTTGAGACAGAGTTTCACTCTTGTTGACCAGGCTGGAGTGCAGTGGCGTGATCTCAGCTCACTGCAACCTCTGCCTTCTAGTTTCAAGCGATTCTCCTGCCTCAGCCTCCTGAATAGCTGGGATTACAGGTGCCTGCCACCACAGCTGGCTAATTTTTGTATTTTTGATAGAGACAGGGTTTCACCATGTTGGCCAGGCTGGTCTCGAACTCCTGACCTCATGATCTGCCAGCCTCGGCCTCCCAAAGTGCCGGGATTAGAGGCGTAAGCCGCTGCGCCCAGCCCACAATTTTCTTTCTAAAAACCTCAAAAAGCTGACAACTAGGGGATTATCAGACCAAAATCTATGTGACAAAGAAAATCAAGAATCTTTAAGTGACATTTGTTCTGAGAGCATTTGCCAAAGAAAAAGAACTTCAACCTTAAGTTTACTCAGCTTCACGAGGCTTGGGAGACAAAAGACAAAGTCCAAAGCCTGCCCAACATGGGGAATCTCATAGTGAATCTCTTTCCATAATGTTGGGAGCCCAAAAAGCTATACCCTCAAGATACACTTTAAATAGAAATAAGTCCAGCCCACCCTCACACTCTCAGGGGACCACATGAAAAGTTGCCTTGGTACAGAGAAGAGCAGGAATAAAACACTAACAAAAAAAAAAACCCTATTACTGAAAAATTGAAACCATAAGTCTGATTTCCGAATGGCCCAAATAACTTCAAACTATAAATTCAGCTTAAAGAGAACTGGTATCAGTGGTGTTCTTAAGCATATGGAAGAAATAAATGAAATCCTGTCTGCAAAAATGAACCTTCATCCTAGGCCTCAAAGAAATACCACAAATAAGTACCCATAAAAAATGTGCAGCTTAGCTGGGTGCGGTGGCTCATGCCTGTAATCACAGCACTTTGGGATGTCGAGGCAGGCGGATCACTTAATGTCGGGAGTTCAAGACAAGCCTGACCAACATGGAGAAATCCCATCTCTACTAAAAATACAAAATTAGCCGGGCATGGTGGCACACACCTGTAATCCCAGCTACTTGGGAGGCTAAGGCAGAGAATCGCTTGAACCTGGGAGGTGGAGTTTGCAGTGAGCCAAGATTGCACCATTGCCCTCCAGCCTGGGCGACAGAGTGAGACTCCGTCTCAAAAAAAAAAAAAAAAAGAAGTTCAGCTGATAGTCAAAAATAACCAAGCACAAAAGCAAGCAATGCACCATGAATAAAAATAGCAGAAACAATATGCAACAGAAACAGATCGGCAAAGGCATTCATTGTACACTGAAATTATAAGGTTAGATTATAAAACAATTGTGTAGTCTATCTTTAAAGAAATGAAAGGCAAGCATTAAAAAAAAAAAAAATACCCTGCAGGCAAACAGAAACTATTTACCAAACAACCAGGCAGGTTTGAAAATGAACAAACTTGAAATTTAAGAATTAAATATGAATTTGGGCAGGGCATGGTGGCTCATGCCTGTAATTTCAGCACTTTGGGAGGCTGAGGCAGGAGGATCGCTTGAGGCCAGGAGTTTGAGACCAGCCTGGCCACACAGCAAGACTCTGTCTCTATAAATACATAAATAATATGAGTTAGAATTAAAAACTTGGGGTAGATTTAACAGTAATTTAGAAAATCTAAACAGAGAATTCAGGCCAGGCATGGTGGTTCTTCCCTGTAATCCCAGCACTTTGGGAGGCCAAGCTAAAAAAAAGCTGAAAAAAAGAAAACTACAAACAACTCCATTATATCCTGAATACTCATATATATATGTACATATATATATTTTTTTTTGAGATGGAGTTTTGCTCTTGTTGCCCAGGCTGGAGTGCCAACGGCACAATCTCGGCTCACCGCAACCTCTGCCTCCCGGGTTCAAGCAATTCTCCTGCTTCAGCCTCCCGAGTAGCTGGGATACCAGGCATGTGCCACCATGCCTGACTAATTTTGTATTTTTAGTAGAGACGGGGTTTCTCTGTTGGTTAGACTGGTCTCCAACTCATGACCTCAGGTGATCCGACTGTCTCAGCCTCCCAAAGTGCTGGGATTACAGGCATGAGCCACCGCGCCTGGCTCTTATATCTTTTTTTCTTTTTTTGAGATAGAGTCTCACTTTGTCTCCCAAACTGGAGTGCAGTGGCATTATCTTGACTCACTGCAACTTCCGCCTCCTGGGTTAAAGCAATTCTCATGCTTCAGCCTCCCAAGTAGCTGGGATTACAGGCACCCACCACCACACCTGGCTAATTTTTGTATTTGCAGTAAAATGGGGTTTCACCATGTTGGCCAGGTTGGTCTCGAACTCCCTACCTCAAGTGATCTTCCTGCCTTGGCCTCCCAGGAAGCTAGGATTACAGGCATAAGCCACCGTGCCCAGTCTATATCTTTTTTTTTTTTTTTAATGAATCTGTGGTTAAAAACCTTCCAACAAAGAAAACTCAAGGCCCAGATGTCTTCACAGGTGAATTTTTCCAAACATCAAATAAGAAATCATATCAATTCTCACAAAAACTTCCAGCATATACAAAAGTATATATGGAATACTTCCCAACTTATAAGACTAACATCACCTGCATATCAAAACCAGATGAAAACATTACAAGATAAAGAAATTATAAATCAATACCCTTCATAAATATAGCTTCAAACATCTTTAACAAAACATGACATGTCAGGTTCAAAATTAACAAAAAGAATAACTCATCATAACCAAGTGGATTTATCCAAGAAATGCAAGGATAGTTCAGCAACCAAAATTAGTCAATGTAACTCACCATATCAACAGGCTAAATCATTTCAACAGACGCAGAAAAAGCCTTTGACAAGATTCAACATCCATTTATGATTTTTAAAATCAGCAAACTAGTAATAACAATGAACTTTCTCAATCTCAATCTCATAAATGGCATCGCTAAAACTCTGCAGCTAGAATCATATATAATGGTGAAAGACTTTATAACATCGTATTTTATTGGTGAAAGACCAAATGGTTTTTCTCCTAGTTTAGGATTAAGGCAAAGATATTCACTCTTACCACTCCTATCCAACATTATACTGGAGGCCCTAAGAAGTATAAAAGAAAAATAAATAAAGGCATATAGATTGGAGAGGAAGAAACTGCCTCTCTTTACTGACAATATGACTATTTTTGGATAAAATGACCTGAAAAAAATCTATCAAAAACCTACTAGAAATAAGTGAGTTTGTCAAGGTTGTAGAATACAAGGCTAGTATAAAAAAATCAATCTATTGTATATACTACCAATGGAAACTAGAAATTAATTTTTTTTTGAGACAGAGTTTTGCTCTTGTCACCCAGGCTAGAGTGCAATGACGTGATCTCAGCTCACGGCAACCTCCGCCTCACAGGTTCAAGTGATTCTGCTGCCGCAGCCTCCCGAGTAGCTGGGATTACAGGTGCGTACTACCAGCCCAGCTAATTTTTGTATTTTTAGTAGAGACAGGGTTTCACCATGTTGGCCAGGCTGGTCTCGAACTCCTGACCTCAGGTGATCCACCCGCCTCGGCCTCCCAAAGTGCTGGGATTATAGGCATGAGCCACTGTGGACAGCTGAAATTAAATTTTTAAAATGCCATTTACAACCACACATAAGATACTTAGGTATAAATCTTGCATGTATAAGATCTGCAGGCTAAAAACCACCAACTACAAATGAAAGAAAATCAACTAAATAAATAGAGGATATATCATGTTCATGAATTGGAAGATTCAATATTGGTAGCCTGGCAGTTCTCCCCAAACCAATCTAGTGATTTAATATAATTTCAAGAAAATCCCAGTATAATTTTTAGATAAATCAACAAACTGATTCTAAAATGTATATGGAAAGACAAAAGAACTAGAATAGCCAAAACAATTCTGGAAAAGAAGAGCAAAGTTGGAAGACTAACGTTACCTGATTTTCACACTTCCCATGAAGTTCTTCAGTCAAGTCAGTGCAGTATTGAAGAAAAGATAGACATATAGATCAATATGGAATAAATAGAGGGCCCAGAAATAGACCTACACATATAAGGTAAATTGATTTTGACAAAGGTGCAAAGGTAATTTAATGGAGAGAACAGTCTTTTCAACAAATGGTGCTGGAACAAGTGGATACTACCTGTGAAAAAGTAAACAATTATTCATACCTTGCACCATATACAAAAATTAAAAATCTGGCCGGTGTGGTGGCCCACGCCTGTAATCCCAGACTTTGGGAGGCTAAGGTGGGCAGATCACCTGAAGTCAGGAGTTCGAGACTAGCCTGACCAACATGGTGAAACCCCATCTCTACTAAAAATACAAAATTAGCTGGGCGTGGTGGTGCATGCTTGTGATCCCAACTACTTGGGAGGTTTACTGAGGCAGGAGAATCACTTGAACCTGGGAGCCAGAGGTTGCAGTGAGCTAAGATTGTGCCATTGCACTCCAGCTTGGGCGACAAGAGTGAAAACTCCATCTCAAAAAAAAAAAAAAATTAAAAATCGATAACAAACGTAAATGTAAGAGCTGAAAGTGTACAACTTCTAGAAGAAAAACTTAGAGAAAATCACTGTGACCTTAGATTAGGCAACAATTTCTTAGCTACAACACTAAAAGCACAATCCTTGAGAGAAAATTAAGAAATCAGACTTCACCAAAATTTAAAATTTTTTCACTCTATGAAAGAGTGAAAATACAAACCACATACTGGGAGAAATTTGCAAATCACATGCCTTATAATAACTTGCATTTAGAATATATGAAAAGTTCTCAAAACCCAACAATAATCAAACAACCCAATTTTTTTAATGGGCAAAAGATTTAAACATACATTTCACCAAAGAAGACATACGAATGGCAGGTAAACACATGAAAAGATGCCCAACATCATGAATCACTAGGCAAATGCAAATTAAAACCACAATGAGGCCAGGCACAGTGGCTCATGACTGTAATCCTAGCACTTTGGGAGGCCGAGGCAGGAGGATCACTTGAGCCCAGGAGTTTGAGACCAGCCTGGGCAATAGGCCAAGACCTCATCTCTACTAAAATTCAAAAACATTAGCCAGGCATGGTGGCACACACCTGCAGTCCTAGCTACTTGGGAAGTAGAGGCTGCAGTGAGCCCTTATTATGCCACTGCACTCCAGCCTGGGTGACCAAAACACACACACACACACACACACAATGACATACCACTGCACACCTATTAAAATGACAAAAAGACAACCCCCCCACCTCCCACCCTACAATCAAAAAACCTGACACAGCCACTTTAGACAACAGTTTGGCATTTCCTCATGAAGTTAAACATACTCTTGCCCTATATAACCCAGGTATTCACCCAGATGAAATGAAAATCAATGCATACAAGAAAACCTGCATGTAAATATTTGTAGCAGCTTTATTCATAATATCCAAAACCTAGAATCTGTCTAAATGTCTTCCAGCGAGGAGATGGATAAGCAAACTGTGGTAAATCTATACAATGATATACCGCTCAGTAATAAAAAGAAATGAACCAGTGATACACACGCCCATCTCACATGCATTGCACTATGTGAAAAAAAAGTCAGACTCAAAATGCTATGTACCGTATTATTCCAAATACAGTAGTTTTTTAAAAAGCAAAACTACAGAAACAAAAAAATCAGTGGGTAGTAGGAGGAAGGGGAAGACTGGACTTCCAAGAGGCTCAGGGGAAATGTGGAGGATGATGAATTGATTCTATATTTTGAAGGTACTGGTGGCTATACAACAATTTGCATCTATCAAAACTCAAAATCACAAACTAAAAAGGATGAATGTTACTATATGCGAGTTACCTGAATTTTAAAAATGAAAACTAGGAAAATGGCATTAAACATTTAGAAAGATGTGCAGCCTTGCTCACAAAGAGAAATGCAAACTAAACTGCCCTGAGGTGCTATTTTTCACCTTTCAGATTGGCAAAAGCTCAAAAGTATGACAATATATCCTATGGGAAAGGCTGTGGAGAAACAGGCATTCTCACATACACCCCTATGGAAGTGAATTTGTCAATAGTTAGCAAAATTACATATATATTCATTCTTTAATTCAGAAATCAATCTCAAAGAGACATTGGTAAAAATACAAAAAGTCATACACAAGTCTATTCATTGTAACAATCTTTATAACAGCAAAAGCCCGAACAAACCAAACATCCATCATCAGAAGACTAGTTAAATATTGTATGGTACATTCACAAATAGACTACTATACAGCTGCAAAGAGGCATAATCCTATGTAGTGATCTCCAGGATATGTTGCTAAGTGAAAAAGGCTAGGCAGAGAAAAACACGTATGGTATGTTATCATTTTATCTAAGAAAAGCTAGGGGGTTATAAACATATACGCATTTTTGCCTATATTAAGAACAAATAATAGGAAAATACGATATAAAAATATTTCAATTGTTTCCTATAAGGGAGCAAAGAAATACTGTGGAGGTAACAGGAATAGAAGTCAGGTTTTGCTGAATACATGAAACTATATAAATGCTTTATATAATTATAAGAAAATTATAAAGCAATCCCTAAAAATCAAATGCAGATTTACATAAATGAACCTAACCTAAAGTAACTTATGCCATCTAGTTGGTGACACAAACACAAAAGAATCACCCAAATAATTTAACTGAACAACCCTAGAGGGATATAGGCTCAGGGCCAAGGAAAAAATGACAAAAAAATTCTAAACTATTTATGGGGAAATCAAATGAGAAATTTTGTGGGTGTTGTAAATCAGGATTTTTGGTGTGGAAGAATGGAGGAGGTTAAGTGAAAGTCTGTAATCCTGAATTTCAACTTGAATTGAAAATACCAGTATAAACTCACGATGTATTATATATTTTTCTTTAGTTACATATTTTCTAACTCTGTTCACTGAAAAGGCTTAGAAACAATGACCAACCCATGGCAATGAGCACCCTAGCACCCAGATTGTGGGATTCAAACACTATTCTCACTAAAAGAAACCAGGACTCCCTGAAGAAATGGCTGACTCCAAGTCAAGGCATGACATGCCGTAAGATGGATAAACATCTTGTCATATGGAAAGAAAGGCAGCTATCAAAACTACTAGGCTCGTGTCAAAAAGGACTCAGGAGCCAACCCATAGAGGTTTACACTGGCCAAAGATGGAAAAATGTATATGTAAATAAGGAAAATAATGGCAGCAGATTGACCCACATCAACTATGTTTACACATACAGGGTTCATAATTCCTTGGTCACCTTTAGGGGACGCTAGGGAACCAAACTGCTATTTAGAAAACTGACAAAGGGAAAGAATTAGGTATTTGTCTTAGCTCACTGTACTCCAGCATAATCAAATAGGAGAGGAAGGGAAGTTTCTCTTTGTAGAGGTATTCCTGCTAATAAATGAAGAAGGAAGAAGGAACAATAGAATTATAATATCGCCATATTGTGTAGCCCCTAACGAATTAATATACCTAGGTAATGATCATCAATGTCAGCTAATATCACAAAAAGAGATATTTTGTGCTGCCTGATGGAAGTATGCAAAATAACCTGTCAGGAGTTCTTGAAAAGAAATCTTAATCTCAAATCAAGCTTCTAGATATAACTACTAATTTACAGGTAATATAGGAATGAGAGGAGCACATTGATTGATACAATAAGAATGAAATCGGCAAAGTCCAGACTGTGGGAAACCACAGAAAAAACTACCCAGTCCTTCGGCAATCACAGAAAAAGAAGAGATAGAAGGGAATCAGAGAGTAAAAGAGATTTAAGGGGCATATGAATGACTTGGAATTAGTGGATCTTTACTGGCTCCTTATTCAAATGAAGAAATTGTAGGAGAGAGAGAGAGAGAGAACCAGAAAAAATAATACTGATAATATTAGTGAATTGTTAAATTTTAGGTGAAATAACAGTGTTGTCGTACGTTTTTTTAAAAAAAGAATTCTTATCATAGAGATACATTCTAAAAAAATAAGAATGAAATGATACAATGTCTTTTTCTTTTCAAAATAATCTAGAAAGAGAGAGAAGTGAGAGAAAGTTATAAATGAAACAAGATTTGCCATGTTGAATCCAAGTGTGGGTACATGGGAGTTTGTTATATTTTAAAAAAAGAAAAAATGAAGATGTGCTAAATCATCCTGTAAGAAGTCCAGAAGGGAGAAAAATGAAACATAAAACAGGTAGGACAAAACACATGAAATATAAGAGTCCATATAAATCCACATATGTTGCTAATTAAAATAAATGTAAAAGAATTATAAGCTCCAGCTAAAAAGTCAAATATTATCAGTTAAACTCTATTATAGGCTGTTTTCAAGATACACCTCTAAAACATAGGTTACATAAATATCAAAAGGAAAAGAATGAAAAATATACAGCATACAAATGTTAACCAAAAAAAAAAAACTATTGCAGGTATACTAATATCAGGCAAAACAAATTGATGATAAAGGATTTCTAGTGAAAAAGTGAGTTCCTCCATAATACAAAAAGTACAATTCAGGCCGGGTGCAGTGGCTCATGCCTGTAATCCCAGCACTTTGGGAGGCCAAGGTGGGCAGATCACATGAGGTCAGGAGTTTGAGACCAGCCTGGCCAACATGGTGAAACCCCTTTTCTACTAAAAATACAAAAATTAGCTGGGCGTGGTGGCAGTTGCCTGTAATCCCAGCTACTTGGGAGGCTGAGGCAGGGGAATCGCTTGAGCCTAAGAGGAGGAGGTTACAGTGAGCCGATATCGTGCCATTGCACTCCAGCCTGGGAGACAAGAGCGAGACTTCGTCTCAAAAAAAAAAAAAAAAAAAAAGTACAATTCATGAGAGAACTATAACAATTTTAGACTTGTATGCATCTAATAACACAAACAATATGAAAAGCAAATTTGACAGATCTAGAAAGAAAAATATACAAATACACAAACATAATGGGGAATTTTAACGTATTTCTCTCAGTAACTTAGAATGAGCAAAAAAAATCGATAAGAGTAAGAAGAGGTGGGCTGGGTGCAGTGGCTGACGCTTGTAATCCCAGCACTTTGGGAGGCCGAGGCGGGCAGATCGTTTGAGGTCAGGAGTTTGAGACCAGCCTGGCCAACATGGCGAAACCCCATCTCTACTAAAAATACAAAAAAATTAGCCTGGTATGGTGGTGCACACCTGTAATCCCATCTACTCGGGAGGCTGAAGCACGAGAATACCTTGAACCCAAGAGGCGGAGGTTGCAGTGAGCTGAGATCACGCCACTGCACTCCAGCCTGGGCAACAGAGCGAGACTCCATCTCAAAATAAATAAATAAATAAATAAATAAATAAATAAATAAATAAATAAATAAATAGAGGAACAATAAAATTAACAAACTTGGCCTAATGAAACAGTAAGTGCAAAAACCTCCACTTTCAAGCATATATGGAACATTTATAAAAACTGATAATTATCATAAAGTAGATTTGTATAATTCTCAAAATATTGAAATAATATAGAGCATCTTCACTGATTAAAATGTGATTAATCCCAGCCTGGGCAACATGGTAAAACCTCGTCTCTACAAAAACTTAGCTGGGCATGGTGGTGCGCACCTGTGGTCCCAGCTACTCAGAAGGCTGAGGTGGGAGGATCACCTGATCCCAGGAGACAGAGGTTGCAGTGAGCCGAGATTGCACCACTGTACTCCAGCCTGGCGACAGTGCAAGACTCCGTCAAAAAAAAAAAAAAAAAAAAAGATTAAGCCAAAAGTAAATATAAAACAAATATAACTAAAAAAAATACCAAATGTTGGCCGGACGCGGTGGCTCACGCGTATAATCCCAGCACTTTGTGAGGCCGAGGAGGGCAGATCACGAGGTCAGGAGATGGAGACCAGCCTGGCTAACATGGTGAAACCCCGTCTCTACTAAAAATACAAAAAAAAAATTAGCCAGGCATGGTGGTACGCGCCTGTAGTCCCAACTACTCGGGAAGCTGAGGCAGGAGAATTGCTTGAACCCGGGAGGCGGAGGTTGCAGTGAGCCGAGATCGTGCCATTGCACTCCAGCCTGGGCAACAGAGCAAAAAAACAAACAAACAAAAATACCAAATGTTTAGAAATTAAGAAACTAAGTTCTAAATAATCTATAGGTCAAAAAGAAATTATTACATAAATTAGAAAGTATTTTGAAATGAAAAAATTTGGAAATGAAAATATTTTTACAATGAGAACACTACAAGTCAAAACTTCAGAAACTATACCAGAGGAAAATCTGTAGTCTTAAATGCATATATTAGATAATAAGAAAGGATGAAAACTCTATAACCACAAAATTGAAAGCCTAAATAAAATGGCCACTTTTCTAGCAAAACCTAGAAAAACTAACCCAAGAACAATAGAATAGACACTAATCATTAAAGTAATTAAATCAATAGTTAAAAACTCATTTGCAGGAAGAGGGGGAAGACGGCTTTCTGGGCCATATCATCTTACAAGTATATTCTACCAAAACCTCAAGAAAAAAATGCAATCTTATTCAAATTGTTTCAGAGAAGGAAAAAAAGAAGAAAACACAGCAATGTATGAGGCTTTAAAAATTTTGATTCCAAAATCAGACAAAGATAGTATAAGAAAGAAACATTTCAGGCCAGCCTTGTTTATGAAAAATAGATGTAAAAAATGTTAAACAAAAATTTTTAACAAACAGAATCAAATCATGTTTAAAATAATAATAGTATAATTAAGGCCATGTAAGATTTATCTCACGAGGGCAAGGAAAATTTAATACCAGAATAGCTACTCATACAAGAAATCACATTAACAGAAGAAGATAGAAAAACTACATCATTAACTCAGTAGAGGCAATCTTTTGCTTAAAAATGCATTAGGAACTTACTAATCTAGAAATAGGAGGGATCTTAATAGCTACCAAAAACCTTATACTTACAGTGAAATAGAAGTATTTATTTTTAAAATCAGGAACAAGGTACGGATACTACTCTCATTGTTCTATTCAGTATTTTATTTGAAGTATAAAACTGTAATTATTCCAAAATAATATGATGTCCACATAGAAGGCCCAAGATGATTTTAAAATTAATTAAAATTTGTAAGCGAATTTAACAAACTTCTGGGATGAAAAATTATTATACAAAATTTAATTATAATCTATATACCACTATCAAAGTTAGAACATTTAATTTTTGTAAATGTAATTTACAATAGCAAATCAAATTAGAAAGTATCTAAGAATAAATCTAACAATAGGTGTGCAAGACCTTTATTGATAAATTATTAAATACATTTTAATACCCTTTTAAAAAAGAAATTAAAAAATAGAGTGCAATGGTATGACCATGGCTCACTGCAGCCTCAACCTCCCTGGGCTCAAGTGATCCTTCCACCTCAGCACCTTCCAACCCCTATATCCCCTCCCCTCACCTTCACCCCTACTAGCTGTGACTACAGGCATGAGCCACCATGCCTGGCTAATTTTTTTTTTTTTTTTTTGAGAGACAGGGTCTCACTATATTGCCCAGGCTGATCTCAAACTCCTGGGCTTAAGCAATCCTCCTGCCTCAGCCTCCCAAACTGCTGAGATTACAGGCATGAGCCACTGTGCCTGGCCTCTAATCCCATTTCATACCCATTAGATTGGCAAAAAAAGAAAAAACACTGCCAGATCCTGGCAATGATATAGTGCAACAGGAATTCCATATGGTGTGGGGAAAACCACCTTGGAGAGCAATTAACATGTAATCCATGTTACTCCACTCCAAAATATGTCTCCAAAAAATTCTTCTACACACGGTCAAGAAGTTTATAAAAGTGACTATTGCAGCATTGTGTATAATAGTGAAAAATTGGAAATACCCTAAATGTCCATCAAAGAGACCTTGTCTCTACAAAAAATAAAGAAAATTTGGCTGGGTGCAGTGGCATGCACCTGTAGTCCCAGCACTTTGTGAGGCCAAGGTGGGTGGATTGCTTAAGTCCAGGAGTTCCAGACCAGCCTGGGCAACACAGCAAAACCCTGTCTCTACAAAAAAAAAAAAAATACAGAAATTAGCCAGGTGTGGTGGTGTGCACTTGTGGTCCTAGCTACTTGGGAGGCTGAGGTGGGAGAATCACCTGAGCCTGGGAGGTCAAGGCTGCAGTAAGCCATGATCCTGCCACAGTACTCCATCCAGTCTGGGTGACAGAGTGAGACGCTGTCTCAAAAAATAAATAAATAAATAAATAAACAAAAGATAAACAAAGTTAACCAGGTATGGTGGCATATGCCTTTGTCTCAGCTACTCAGGAGGCTGAAATGGGAGGATTGCTTGAGCCTAGGAGGTCAAGGGTGCAGTGAGCCATGATCAAGCCAATGCACTCCAGGCTGGGTGACAGAGTGACAGCTTGTCTTAAAAAAAAAAAAAAAAAAAAAGTACTGTTTCATAGCCACAAAAATCTTTCTAATGCTATCCCTTTAGAATTACACCTTCTCTCCCCTCTGCCCCCCACCATCGCTAACCTCTGTCAACCACTAATTTGTTTCCACTATATACTTCTCTCACTTTGAAATTTTATGTAAACACAATGATACAATATATATCATTTTAAGATTGGCCTTTTTCACTCAGAATAGTGCCCTTTAGATCCACCCAAGTTGTTCCATGTATGAATAGTTCTTTTCATTTCTGAGTAGTATTTCATGTAATGTATGTACCACCATTTATTTAACCGTTAGACTTTTGTAGAACATTTTGGTTGTTTCCAACTTTGGGGCTATTACAAACAAAGCTGCTGTGGGCAATCATATAGAGGATTTATGTGAGCATAATTTTTTTATTTCTCTTGAACAAATCCCTAGGAGTGTAATTGCTGGGATATATGGCAAGTATATGGTTTTTCAAAGAAATTGATCAATTATTTTCCAGAGCGGCTATACGATTTTACTTTCCTATCAGCAATATATGAGAGATCCTGTTTCTCCACATCCTCACCAGAGTTTGGTATCGTTATTATTTTTTTATTTTAGCTGTTCTAAGGAGTGTGTAGTGATATCTTATCATGATCCTAATTGCATTTCCCTGACAACTAGTGATACTGTACATTATTTCATGTGTATATCTTTGGTGAAATGTCACTCCATGTATTTTGCCTATTTCTTTTTTTTTTTTTTTAGTGTTGAGTTTTGAGATTCCTTTATATGGTCTAGATATGAGTTCTTTATCAGATATGTGGCTTGCAAATATTTTCCTCCAGTCTGTAGCTTGTCTGTTCATTCTCTTAACAAGATCTTACACAGTGTAAAACATTTTAATTTTAATGAAGTTTAATTTCCCAATTTTTTATTTTCTTCTCTTATGGATAGTGCTTTTGTTATCATTTCTAGGAATTCTGGAGGTCCCACGTTTTCTTTAAAAGTTTTATAATTTTATAGTTTACATTTAAATCTATAATCTATTTTTAGCTCATTTTTGTGTAAGGTATAAGGTTGTAAAGTTAAGTCAAGCTATTTTAGGTTTTTGGTAATATTTTTTGGGTTACATCTGTGTTTTTTTGGCTTGCTTGTTTTACCCATAGATATCTAATTGCTCCAGCACTATTTGTTGAAAAGACTGTACTTTTCCATTGAATTACTTTTGTATTTTTTTCAGAAATCAGTTGGCATGCAGGGTAGAAAGAAAGAAATTAAACTGTCCCGACTTGCAGATGACATGATTACCCATGCAGAAAATTCCAAGGAATCTACAACAAAAACTCCTAGAGCTAGTAAATGAGTTCAGCAAGGTCACAGAATATAGTATTAACATACGAAAATCAATTACATTTTCATATCCTACCAATGAACACATGGAAACCAAAATTAAAATTACAATGCCACTTATAATTGCTCAAAAATAAAATATTTAGGTGTAAATCTAGCTCTTTCTGCCATCTCTCTGTGCTGCCACAATGGTGTGCATAAATGTCCTCGTTGATGCTCTCAAAAGCATCAACAATGCTGATGAAGCAAATGGCAGGTTCTTATTAGGCCATGCTCCAAAGTCACTGTCCGGTTTCTAACTGTGATGGTGAAGCATGGTCACATTGGTGAATTTGAAATCACTGATTATCACAGAGCTGGGAAAATTGTTGTGAACCTCACAGACAGGCCAAATAATTGTGGAGTGATCAGCCCCAAATGTGACGTCCACCTCAAAGATCCAGAAAAATCACAAAATAATCTGCTCCCATCCTGCCAGTTTGGTTTTATTGTACTGACAACCTCAGCTGGCATCATGGACCATGAAAAAGGAAGCTGAAAACACACAGGAGAGAAAATCCTGGGATTCTTTTTCTAGAGACGTAATACATATTGACAAATAAAATGTCTCAGGGACAGAAAAAAAATCTGAAAAAACCCCAACATATACAGGAGTATGCTGAAAACTGCAAAACATTAATGAAAGAAATCAAACACCTAATTAAAATGGAGAGACATACTATGTTCGTGGATTGGAAAACTCAACAGAGTAAAGATGTCAATTCTCCCCAAATTTATACACAGGTTTGATGCAATTGCTGTCAAAATCCTGGCAAAAAAAATGTGACGATGTTTTATAATCTTTTTTTTTTTAGACAGAGTCTCACTCTGTCACCCAGGCTGGAGTGCAGTGGTGAGATCTCAGCTCACTGCAACCTCCACCTCCTGGGTTCAAGTGATTCTCCTGCCTCAGCCTCCTGAGTAGCTGGGATTGAGCACAATTGAGCCACCATGCCCAGCTAATTTTTGTATTTTTAGTAGAGACAGGGTTTCCCCATGTTGGCCAGGCTGGTCTTGAATGCCTGACTTCAAGTGATCCACCTGCCTCAGCTTCTCAAAGTGCTGAGATTACAGGCGTGAGCCACCACACCCAGCAATGTTTTACAATCTTAAAAAATCCTTAATTCAACAGTGTTTCCTGATTTCAACTGAAAGAATGTATGTATGTCTGCATGTATGTACATGTATGTGTATGTAAGTGTGGGATTAAGGTTTAATTCAATTCAGTGAAATACAACCCACCGTTGGGCTTGGCCATTCATGGGAGGCCAACAGGTCAAAAATCTCTTCCACCCACTATGTTCAGCTTATATGAGATACAAAATAGAATCACCTGTAAAACGAAGATGTATGTGGATCACTATATTTTACATCTTGCATCCAGAAATGCTTTACTTTGCCTTTTCTTCCTTCACCCTTGTCTGAGACCCACATGGGAGCTATGTCTTTCCCTTGCACCTGCCTCTCAGAACAAAGCTGAGCACAGATGAGGTCTTCAAGAAATACCAGAGCTGACCCTTTATCTAGTCACTTTTTCCTTCACTTTCCTCTTGCCCTCTTCCAAACTAAGAGAGATCCAATATCTATTGGGCCATTTGAGATCCACACAGTGCTCTTCCCTTCTTCTTACTCAGCCAAGAATGCTATTTACTCTTTTGTCTTCTTCAAACAGTTTTTCTCTGCTCCACATTCCCAGCAGCCCACCAGTGTCCTGGTCTGATTATGGAACACTTGTTGATATTCACCACGGTACCCTTGTGGGTGTCTTCTCTACCCACCGATGTGTCTAGACTTCCATAAATGTCAGCATTGAGAAAAGCAGGTTAAAAAATTAGTCATGAGTCAATGAGGAGGGCACACAGCTCTGAGGTGGGACCCAGAGCTATGGGGCTGAGGGGACATCTGGAGTGTTTGACTGTGGTGACTCACAAATCAATGTGACACAACATTCTATGAGAAAGTCAAATTCCATTAAACAGCTGCTCTTAGTAGTGATTGGAAATTTTATTGGTTGATAATCCAAATGTAAATCACAGACTTAATTTCACACATTTCAATCCAGAAGTCTTGATGCTGTGTGAACATAGCCATGATTAGACTCTACTGAGTTCCACTGCTCTGCTAACTTCAAGGCAACTTGAAACACTCTACAATTGTTCACATGGTACTCATGCCCAAAACACGGGCTCTGGCTTCACTGCCAATGGATAGGATGAACTGTAATTAACAAATCAATGAGTATTTACTGCCTGAGTACCCTCCGAGTGCCAGATTCTGCACTAAGCACATTGGTAGACAAAAAGGCAAACAAGTTTTGGCCTCTCCTCTCCAAGATCTTACAATCTAATGGCAGGAAAAAAAGAGCTATCACATAAGAAACAACTGAGAATGTCTTAAATGATGTACTGATATCTACATTTGGTAGGTAAGTTACAAGCAGAGTAATCAGAATAAATGGCAATATCAGGGAAGATTTCACAGCCAGGGCAAGATTTTCACTGTGACTTTCAGATGCCTGGTGATTGGGTGCTTGGTGAGGAGAAGAGAAGCTGTTTGAAGCAGAAGGAACTTGCCAGCCCCACGAAGACAGGAAGTTGTCTAGCTAGCTGCTGTGCCCACCTCCAGAGCTACGTTGAGTGTCCCTTCCACAGCGAGTGGGAAGTATATGGAGATGACATCCTCCCCAGCTGATCCAGATGGATACTCACCTCACTAGTTCTCCCTAGAACTTAAGGGGACCAGCTGCTGATACCTCAGAAAAGCACAATTTAATGAAAGAAGCATAGATTTGGGGGTAGGGCCAATTCAAATTCATTGCTTAGATGACCTCATGCAAGCTACTTTTCCTCTCTAAGCTTTAGTCTTTTTATGTGCTAAATGGGACTAATAATGGTACCAAACTCATAGGGTTGTAGTGCAGAATAAATAATGCATGCACACTGCCTGGAACATAATACATAGTTCATAAAAAAGTAACTCTTGTCATTGTTTTATACAGTCAGTATTTGTGTAGATTTATCCATATGGGTGCCCATTTCTTCCCACATCCTTATGCTTCTACCTGGGATCTTTTTCCTACTGTCTGGAGAACTTTTTAGTATTTCCTTTAGGGTAGGTCTGCTAGTAAAAAAATTTCCCATTTTTGTTTGCCCAAAAATGCTTTATTTCACCTTCACTTTTGAAGGACATCTTCAATTAATGGGTATAGAATTCTAGGTTGGCAATTATTTTCTTTCAGCACTTTGAAGATATCATTACATTGTCTTCTAGCTTCCATCATTTCTAGCGAGAAGCCAGCTGTTGATCTTATTGCTGTTTGTTTGAAAGTAATGTATATTTTCTCCTCTTTGGTTGATTTTAATATTTTTCTCTTTCCCTTTTGTTTAAGGCCATTTTATTAAGATAGGCCTAGATATATGGTTTTATTTGTGTTTATCCTGCTTGAGGTTTATGGTTCTTAATAAGCTCATGACTTGATTTTTTGTCACTTTTGGAAAATTCTTGGTCGTTATTTTTTTCAAATATTGTTTCTGCTCTCTTATCTGTCTCCTCTTTTTTTGGGATTCCCGTTGCACATATGATAGACCTTTGCACCATGTCCCTTCTATCTCTTATACACCTTCCTGAATTTTCCATCTTTTTCTTTAGTCTGGAAATTTTCTTGTCTTCAAGCTCCCTATTCTCTTCATGTGTGTTAAATCTGTTGTAAAACTCATACTGTGCTGCATTTTTTCAGTTCTAGAATTTTTTGTTTGTTTGTTTATGGGTTTCCAGTTCTCTCTTCTCTACCTTATTTTACTTCCTGAGTATGTTAACTATTTATTTTAAAGTCCATTTCTGATCATTCTAAAATCTGTATCTACTGTGGGTTTATTTATACTATCTGTTTTTTCTCTACTTTTTTTGTCACATCGTCTTTTCTCTGGAGATAACTCACATACCTGAAGCCCAATGACACCACGATTATTTTCCAAACTATGTCCTTAACTCTACCTGCTACTCCGCCCACTTTTCGGAATTTAATTATCTCAATCGCTTTCCCTATCACGTCATGCTTTTATAGAATTCTAACAAGTTTATATCATGGTCCTTTAAACATAGGATTACAATGCAATACTTATTTCCTCACAGCATCCAAAATGGCATTTGAGGATTTTGTGAATCAGACTTAACCTTCTGACTCTGCCTCTCACACATCCTACAATCCTGCAAAGTTGAACTAGTCCCATTGCTTGTTGCCCTGTGTTTAGTCGCTCACTTTTTTCCTGTTTTTCTACCCCAGTGCACATTTCAGAGTTATTTCCAGCATGTGGAATCCCCCTTCTCTTGTATCTGCCTACCCAAATTCTATCACCTAAGTCCCAGATTAACTGACATCCCTCCAAAAAGGAAACCCTGAATCTTCAGAGTTTATATTAATCTCATCCTTCTCTGAGCACCCACAGCCTTCTATCTGAATGTCATTTATGTCCAGATCTCACTTCCACCAGCAGCTAATTGAGGATGGTGGCAGGCAGCCATTGTTCCTCTCTTCTAAAGATCCTTTCTTCCTTCTAGGAGCATGGTTATATGCTCATCTGACTTTCCATTTAGGAACGACCTCTTCCCACTCTCAGACTGGATGTTTCTAGCAAAACTGACTCCCATCCCTGGCTCCAGGGCTAGGGATTGGTTCAGGGCTGGGACAACAAAACCTGGGAGCCTCAGCCATGGAACTTATGCTGGAAGGCAGGCATTCAAGGCTGAAAGGATGTCATGCTATATCTTTTTCTAACTAAAACACTACAAAGTCTCCCATGTCACTTAGAAGAGAAGCCTAGAACATTCTATATACATCTCGTACTCCACCTCTCAACTGCTTCTTTTTTTTTTTTTTTTTTTGAGACGGAGTCTCGCTCTGACGCCCAGGCTGAAATGCAGTGGCATGATCTCGGCTCACTGCAACCTCCACCTCTCAGGTTCAAGCAATTCTCCTGCCTCAGTCTCCAGAGTAGATGGGATTACAGGCGCACACCACAATGCCTGGCTTATTTTTTGTATTTTTAGTAGAGACGGGGTTTCACTGTGTTAGCTAGACTGGTCTCGAACGCCTGACCTCAGCTGATCCATCCACCTCAGCCTCCCAAAGTCCTGGAATTACAGGTGTGAGCCACCATGCCTGGCCTCAACTGCTTCTTTGACCTTTAACCCTATTATTCTTCTCCTCACCTACTCCACTTCAGCCACACTGGCCACTTTGATATTCCTGAGACATGCCAGACATAGCCCTGCCTTAATGCCTTTACTCTATCTGCCTGGACCACCCTTCCTCACACATCCATGTGGCTAACTCCAAATAGAGACTTGAAGAAGTCTCTGCAAATCTCCCTTTATCGGCAAGACTTCCTCTGAATGCCCTATTTAATGCTGGCACTCACCATCACCACCTCACTATTCCTAATGTCCCTTATTCTGCTCTGCTCTTTTTTCCAAATCACTTCCTCTTCCCAATGTATTCTTTAATTTCCTTATTCATACATTTACTTATGTAAACATCTGGTGTAAACATACACTAGAATCTAAGCTCACCAAGGGCAGCGATCTTTGTCCGCTTTGTTGACTAGTATCTCTCAAGCCCTAGAACAGTCCCTGGCTCAGAGAAGGACTGCAGAAATCTCCATCAGCTGTGGCATCACTTGGAATCTCTCATTTCTGTAAGTGTATCCCTGCACCCCACCTTTTATTTGGGTACTTAAAAGATGTTGATGTTCAGCTAGAGTGAGTGTCCTGTGAAAGTATCACCTTCACGGGCTGCTGTGGCCCCAGCTCACTTTTGCTCTCATGAGCAGGGACAACTCTTGCGCTGAAGCCACCCTTTCCCACCCTCCTCACTTTAGGAGAAATTCTATTAATCAGGCAGAGAAATCAAGCTGGGAAAACATGGACTTCCATTGGACTCTGGGAAATTGAGATTGAGCTAAACAGAAACTCTAGGTAAAATAAATGTATCGAATGCAGTAAAATAAATCTGGGAACACAGTAAATCATAGTAAGCGCAAATGTGGTTCAAATGGCCTCCTGATGTCAAAATGTAAATGTTAACCAAAAATGTCATGCTTTTGCACTTTGCAGGTCATTTTCATGTCTATATTTCACATCGTCTTCAACAACTCTAAGAAATAAATCACGTCCCTCTTTGGAGATAAGGAACCGATACTTAAGGAGAAGGGAAGATGCAAACAGAGCCATTCAGTCATGTGGTGAGCCTGGAACCCAGGCTCAGCTATCATAGAGCAGTTTTTTCTGCTGGGTGTTTGAAGCCCAGGGGTGTATGCCAGTGCACCCGGGGGTCTTAAATCCACAGTGCAGATGTGATACGTCTCCCCAAAGCATCAGTTCTATCCCAACGTTCACAGAAATAAAAAATGTTATTCTTAGATTAAAACAAATGCAGATTTTGCATAAAGCACAATGTACAATATTTGCATAAATTACTAAGATAAGAAAATTCAGCTTAAGACAAATTTCCATCCTTGCAGAAATCAGCTTAGAGCTCTGTAGCACACTTCCACCACCTCTCCCTAGCTTTTACATTAACCAGCTGTGTGATTTTGGGCAAATTACTTAACGTCTCTTAACGTCCCTAATTTTTCTCACCTGTAAAATGGAGTAATCGTGCCTTCCTCATAAGTTTGTTGTTATGAAGATTAAGTTAAGATACATAAGAGAAACCCCCAAAACAGAGCCTGACACAGAAGAAAAAAAAATGAAAACATTCATTTTCTTATCATTATTATGTTGCAATTTTTTTAATTTTTTTTTTTTTTGGAGATGGAGTCTCACTCTGTTGCGCAGGCTGGAGTGCAGTGGCACAATCTTGGTTCACTGCAACCTCCACCTCCCGGGTTCAAGCGATTCTCCTGCCTCAGCCTCCCAAGTAGCTGGGACTACAGGCACGTGCCACCATGCCTGGCTATTTTTTTGTATTTTTAGTAGAGATGGGGCTTCACCATGTTAGCCAGGATGGCCTCGATCTCCTGACCTTGTGATCTGCCTGCCTCAGCCTTCCAAAGTGCTAGGATTACAGGTGTGAGCCACCGCACCTGGCCCATGTTGGAATATTTTCTAAGAAAAAATATGGAAGCCAAGAAGAAATCATTCCATTAAAGTCACAAGCTCTTAATGTGTCCAGTTTAAGGTTTCACTTGAGAAGCAAGAACTGGAAAAGATTTAGGGAATAGAAATTGCAAGAATGACTAGGGATTGAAAAGCAGAATGCTTGAGGAAAGGTTAAAGGAACCAGATTTTCTTTGGACTTGAAGAGGAAAGAGTTGAAAGAGACTTAAAAACAACCTTTTCAAAATAAAAAAAAAGGGGCCCAGCTGCTGTCCATCTCCACCAGAATGGAAGGGGACACCACTCTGACCTGGTTGGGGTTGAGGGTGGGGGGCTTGAATTCGGCATCAGAGGAATCTGTGTGGCTACAAGGAATGTCAGAACTACTGAGAGAAAAGTGGAGCCATTTCCCTGCATATTTCCTTGGAGGTGCTAAAAAAATCGACCCAGGTGCATAGATGAGGACAAGCTGGTCTTTAAGCAGAAAGTACTGCCATCTGTGTAGTTGGTTTGCTGCAACATGAGTCAAAATTTCCTGCATTATCTTCTCCTGTGAACCTGCCTGGCTGCTCCACATTTCTGTTTTACTTATTACTTTGCACAAAACCATTTGTGGTTCCTACCAGAGGATAAATGCTACCTGGAAGGCTTTTTCCTGGAAAGGAATCATTAGCAGTCTCTAACACTGTAACTCCTTCAATGAGCTCTTACCAATCGGGAGAACGCTCAGGAAAGGGACACAGAATAAGTATGGGTTTTTTTGTTGTTATCGTTGTTTTTGTTGTTGTTTTGTTTTGTTTGTTTTTTTGAGACAGAGTCTCCCACTGTTACTAGGGCTGGAGTCCAGTGGCGAGATCCTCCCAGGTTCAAGCAATTCTCCTGCCTCCGTCTCCCGAGTAGCTGGGATTACAGGTGCCCACCACCATGTCTGGCTAATTTTTTTTGTATTTTTAGTAGAGACAGGGTTTCACCATGTTGGCCAGGCTGGTCTCGGACTCCTGACCTCATGATTCACCTGCCTTGGCCTCCCAAAGTGCTGGGATTACAGGCGTGAGCCACCACACCCGGCCACAAGTATGTTTTAAAGCTCAAAGGCAAGGCTGAAATGCCCAGCTTAGGATAACAAGGGTAGGATGTGCTCAGGTTGCAAGGAACAGGCTGGCGGCACTGGAGAGGCCCTAGCTTGGAGCAGGAAGATGGAGGGTAATTTCTCACCATCCTCTACTCATCCTGCTTTAAGCTGGCTCTGTCCCCTCAAGTGGGAGCCCCCTGCAGGCAGGGACTTCTTTGGGGGGATTACTTTATTCCCAGAGCCTAGAAGAGCACATGGTCCCCCTCCCAGGCACATAGACAGGTCAGGTGCACACAGACATGTGGGCCTCCTCCCACCATCCACTGCAGGCACTTGGGCCAGCCATGCAGCTGCCGCTGTGACGTTGAGGTCCCTGGGGACCCAATCCAAGGCTAACACTTCCAGACCCGAACTCAAGAACTGCCTTGTCCTCCCTCCACCTCTCTTCTCAGTACCATTCCCCTGACCCATCTTTCTGGTTTTTCCCACTGCCTCTTCCCCAAGATGTGCCCCTCGTCTGTTTCTGTCTCTTTCCCTCTCTGGATCTGTCCCATCCCTTCTCCTGGATCTGGCCTGCCCCATCCACCTTGTCTCTTCCCCCAATCTGTCCCGCCCTCTGTCCAGCTCTGCCCTCTTCTTCCCCAGCTCTGCCACAGCTCTGCTCCCAGTCAGTTCTGCTTTGCCACATGCCCCACTCGGCCCCCAGTGCTGGTCCTCTGTCCTCTGGCTCCATCGTACTCTCCCCTGTCTGTCCCCACATGTGGACCCACCAATGGTTCTCTTTAGGAGGGAGGAGGGGCTGGGTGCGGTGGCTCACACCTGTAATCCCAGCATTTTGGGAGGCCAAGGCGGGCAGATTACCTGAAGTCAGGAGGTTCAAGACCAGCCTGGCCAACATGGTGAAACCCCGTCTCTAACTAAAAATACAAAAAAATATTAGCCAGGCATTGTGGTGGGCACCTGTAATACCTGCTACTCGGGAGGCTGAGGCAGGAGAATCACTTGAACCTGGAAGGCAGAGGTTGGGGTGAGCCGAGATGGCACTCCAGCCTGGGTGACAGAGTGAAACTCCATCTCCAAACATAATAAATAAATAATAAAATGGGAGGGAGGAGTGAGACTATTCCTAGAGCCCAGAAACACCCCCTCCCTAACTGAGGGAGAGAGAATACACACCTGGTATGTAGTAGAGGCTCGATAATGTGTGATAAACCAGTGAGTGAATGAATGAACACTGCAGAATGAATAATTAAATAACAGTACGCCTGGAAAGCTCAGGAGTGCAGAGAACAGAACCCTGACATCCTCACCACAGGATCTTCTGCAGCATGGAGTACTTCTCAGGTGCGAGCAAATACTGTGTTCAATCCCTGCTTTCTGGGGAGAGGGAGCTTGCGAGAGAGGCCCTGCATCACCCAGGAAAGCAGGGTGACCTCCAAGGCACAGGACAGGGCTGGCCATTGTTTCAGATGGCAGAGAGGACAATGGTGCTGAGGGGCTCCACCCCACCTTGAGGCCCCCCCTCAAAAACTCCCTCTAGGCAAAAAACAATAACAGAAACTCTAGATGCAGGTGAGTTGATCTTTCCTCAAGGGGTTGCAAGTCCCTAGAGACCCTGGGCCAAGCCCTTTGTGGTTGCAGGCACCGTCCTGCAACATCATCCTGCAATGCTGCCAGATGCTGAGTGGCAGGACCCATCACTATGAGTGGAACCTGGCACCTGCCTCCAGTCTCAATTCAGTGGCGCTGACAGCCATGTCCTGAGGGGCCCAGGAATCCAGAAAGGGGAAATGGCTGAGCCCAGTGCAGGGGCTTCCAAAAGCTAGAGCAGCTGGGAGCCGGGGTTCATGTCAGGAGTTTGAGTGCGGTCGGAGGGGGCTGAAGAGACAATGGTGGGGGCACAGAGGACAGCCCCTCTGGTCCATGCAAGGTCAAGAGGGGCCTGGGTGGAGGCTGAGAGCCTGCCTCAAGGCCCGCTGGGTGGGTGTGCCCTTGTCATTGTTACTACCCGGGCTCAGCAGGATACCCTAGAGGACCTGGCCAGTGGAATCCATCCCATCCTCTGCGTTCATCTGAGCCACACCCACGGTCCCCCCCACCGTGTGTTACACAAGCAGCCCCTGAAGGCCACCTTGGCCTCCCCATTAGCGTCACCAGGACAACTCCCCCTCTCAACCCCTGCTGCCCAAAGGAAATCAGCACGTGTTTCCAGGCCTGGCCCCCACGGTGGCCCTGCCGCATCAGGCCCTCTGCTCATCGAGCGCGCACACGCGGCACAAGTCATTAAGACATTCTCGACCTGCGACCGGCAGGCACACACCCACTCACAGAGGTGGCCTCATCGGAGCCCAGGGCCGTGGCCGGGAAGCGCCGGGAGGGTCCCAGGGATGCGGTGCTACTGCCCCCTGCTGGCAGCTTCTGGAACACCGCGGGCTGATGACAAGACAGAATACGCAGAAAGGCCTCCTCCCTTCCTCCACACAGCTTTACAACAGGGAACATTCAGGGGTGCGGCCCTCAGTGGGGACGTGGAACTGGCTGCGGCCAGAATAACTCCCAGTTTGCAGAGAGGGAACGGGCAGCACAGAAAAGGAGAGCAGGGGGAGGAGGGTGAGAGATGGGAGCTCGCAAGCCAGCCTGAAGAGTAAGTGTATACACGCCCCTGCCATCTGCACTGCCCTTCCCAGGTTACAGAGCACGTTCATGTTCACTGAACATCACAGCTCTTCCAGACGACCCTGAAAGGCAGGGGCAGGGCAGGTAGGGTTCCTTCTGTTTTTCCAGTGAGATCATGGAAGCCCAAGGAGCTGGTATCCCTCAACTACAGTGGCACAACCAGGTGCTGGGCTGCACCCAGCATAATGTCTGCCTCTGCTCTGATGTGTGATATTGAACAAGTGTTTCTGGGCCCCTGTGGTGGCCCCAGAGCATGAGAATTTGTTCTGACAAAAACTTCCTCTACCCCCAGAGCCAGACCCAACCTGTTGCCTGGTGACAGGCAGGTGTGGGCGGGGAGAGGCTGGGTCTAACAGTGGTCTGTATTCTCCATAACAGACTGGAAGGCACATTAAGTAGAGATAAGCAGAGGTCTGAGAAAACGTAAGTATTGTAGAGCACAGAGGTCCCGCCCCAGCGTAGCAGCTAGACAGCCCCTAGGATGCTGAGATGCTGGGCTAGCCCCCACAGCAAGGCTGGAGTTCGGATGGTTGATCATTTAACCTTGTGCTCCTGTTGCTTTCCAAGTGTCCGGGAAGAGCCAAGGTCCATAGATAAAAGCAGCCACAGCCGGGCACAGTGGCTCACGGGGAGGCCAATGCAGGTGGATCACCTGAAGTCAGGAGTTCCAGAGCAGCCTGGCCAACATGGCGAAACCCCGTCTCTAATAAAAATACAAAAATTAGCCGGGCATGGTGGTGGATGCCTGTAATCCCAGCTACTCTGGAGGCTGAAGCAGGAGAATCGCTTGAACCCAGGAGGTAGAGGTTGCAGTAAGCCAAGATCACACCACTGCACTGCAGCCTGGGTGACAGAGTGAGATTCCATCTCAAAAAAAAAAAAAGAAAAAGCCACACACCCTGGGTGTGCAACAGGCTGGAGTTGGACTCCTTCTTTTGATGATGGAACCCTCGTCCTCCCTAGGGACAGATCATCTCAAGTCAGCTTCCCCAAACTTCTATCTGGCATCTCCCAGATTCTCCCTGTTCTTGTCTGATCTCCTACTGCCTCTGCCCTAACCATTGCCCAGAGCTCCCCTCCTCCTGTCCTGCCCTTCCCCAAGGCTATGGCCACACCAGGGTCAAGGGCACAAATGGCCCTTCCAAGCACGAGTAAACTGATTGGAGGAAACAAACCCATTCCTCATCCCTGTCTCCAAGTCGCCACAAGCGATAGCAAAATGCATCCTCTGCTCCGGACCGAGGAGCCGGTGACAAATGGAAGACTTGTTCTTCCTCTGAAATTTTTTTTAATGTTGAGAGAGGAGAGGCGGAATATTTATTAGTGCGGAAATGGGACTTGTCGGAGCCTGTGAACGCCCCCACACGTGTCTGTTCTCAAGGAACAAGAAAGACAAGTTAAGGAATCTAAGACCCTTGTGAGCCATGAAGCAGTCTCTCCAGAAATAAAATGTGTACCCAAGCAGGGGCTCCAATCAAACACTTCCACCAGCTAGAAAAGGGGGCCGCCAGAGGGGAAAATCCAGCCCAGCTCCTACCACCACCCCCGGCCCCACTGCACCGTGGACAGTCCACCCCAGCCCTCTCACACCTGACCAAGTACTGCCATCCTTCGCCCCTCCCTGCTGCCCTAGGGCCAGAGGGGCTAAGGCAGCTCAGAAATAGGCTAATTCGGGTACAGGGAATGCTTCCTGCAGGAGGCATCACCTCACAGAGAGCTCTGGGGTCTTTACCCGCTGTGTTCAGGTCTGGCCTGGGCAGCTTTGAGCCTCGTGGCCTTCTTCCCTGCTCACTCCCTCATTCATTCAGGGACCACCCTCCCTCCATGTGCCAAGACAGTGCTGGATCCCATGGGGAAAGAGAGATGAGTAAGACCCTGTCCTTGTCCCCCATCATGGCTGAAAGGGACAACGGGCAACCAAAAGTCGCATTTCTGTGTCGTGTTACTGTGTCGTGAACTTTGACTCAGTGACCTCATCTCAGGTTCCAGGGTGAGAGCTGGTTTCAGAGCTGCATTGCACAGAAGAAGAAACTGAGTCCCAGAGAGATGAGCGGTGGCCCAGCCTGAGCCTGACCCGCAGACTTCGCTCCACACGCTTCCACCCTCCTGCCCGCGGCTAAGCGGCAAGGCTGGTCCTTCGGCCATCGGAGGAGTGGGTTGGATCCTCAAGACAGAGACACGACTACTGGCTGGAGTCCTCAGCTCTGAGGGTGCGGACTTCCACCCACAGTAGTTTCTCACACAAACCAAAAGTCCCCTCCGAAGAGCAGCCCCAACCAGGCGGAGGGGACAGATAACCCGTTTCTGAAGGCTGAAGCAAAGTGGAGAAGTCAGGCGGCCTGAACCAGAGCTCAGAACTGAGGTCCTCGCTGGGGCTGCCCAGGACCACCTTCAAAAGCCACCGTCTGCAAGAGTAACCCACCCCCCCCCCCACCGACAACTCCTGCCACACTCTGTATACCCCAGGGGCTGGACATGTCCGTCTAAAGAGGCTTTCTTGAGGAGAAGAAGAAGATTCTGGCCTAGGCTCGCCCTATCCAATTCTCTCCACACCTTCCTGTCCACCCAGTCCCCCAGGGGAAGCCAATAACCCCTGCAGCTCTGTGGCTGAGGCCATCCCTGCCTCATGTGTTGGTCTCTCCTGCCCTCTGGTGGACAGATCCCAGCAGTGCATCCTGCATAACCCAAATGGAATCACCTTTCCTTCCAGAGCCTCTTCAATCTCTGTTCCTCTTCCCACAGGATCCTGTATCTGGGCCCTGCACCTCCAGGGCCATACTGAAGGTGGAGGTTGCTCTCTGCTCCCTCACTCCCATTCCCCTTATCTCCTCCTACAAATCAAGACCACCTCCTTTCTGACCCCAGCATTCGGGGACCTTCTGGCCTAGCGTCCAGCTCCTTCTGCGTAACTGGTGCCCTGCCCCTGATGCTACTGGGCCTCCCCTGCACCATGACCCCTTCTCCCTGGGTCTCCTTGCCTGGATCTCATCCCTGCTGCCTGCCTGCCAGTCTGGTCTCCTCCCCCACTGAAGGCTCTGATCGTAGGTAAGAGGCTGACCTGGCCCTAAATGCCCAGCTGTGGCCACCAGCTTCAAGGCTCTGGGCAGCCTGTTTCTGAGCCTCTGCTTCCTTGGGCTTGCTGGATTTGCTTGCTGGCCTTGGTTCAACCGACTTCAATTTAACTGGCATTAACCAAGCAGCTCTGCTCTTTAGTAGACATTGTCCTAGGAGCAAAGAGAATAACAGAGGTGAACAGGCTGCAAATCAGTCTACCAGGGAAGGCAGACACAGCAAGAGGTACCCGAGCAGAACGTGCTGGGTGCTGAACCAGGAAGAGCGTCTGAGGACAGCAGGGCCTGGGAGCCCCAGGGAGAGGATTCATGGGGAAAGTGACCTGAATCCTAGGCCGATGGGGGAGCAGGCTCCCCGGCACGGAGCAGAGGGGATGCTGGCTGTGACAACCACCACTACTGAGCACGCCTTTACCTACACTATTCTCACCTCGCCCTAATGCTGAAGTTAAAGCTGATATTATCCTGCTTTTGAAAGATAATAGAGCGTCAGAGCATTAGGGCAGACAGCCCCGGGTCTCATCGCTAGCAAGTGACTTGAACCTGGTGCCACATTCAAGGCACCATTCTGTTGCTTCCCTAGCAGAAGGCAGAGCGTGAGCAAACGTGTGGAGGCTGGAAGTGGCAGCCCACTCAGGAATAGAGAGTGTTTCCAGGCAGGCTGAGACAGCGCCATGTGAGCATGGGACCTGCACTCTCAGAGCCACACAGAGGGCGGATGAGGAGGGCAAGACGAGGGGTGGGTGACCGCATGGCCCTCACTCTCACCCTTCCCTTTTTTTTTTTTTTTTTTTGAGATGGAGTCTCGCTCTGTCGCCCAGGCTGGGGTGCAGTGGCATGATCTCTGCTCACTGCAACCTCCATATCCCAGGTTCAAGCTATTCTCCTGCCTCAGCCTCCTGAGTAGCTGGGACTGCAGGCATGCACCACCATGCCCGGCGGATTTTTTGTATTTTTAGTAGAGACGGGGTTTCACTGCATTAGCCAGGATGGTCTTGATCTCCTGATCTCATGATCTGCCCGCCTTGGCCTCCCAAAGTGCTGGGATTACAGGTGTGAGCCACCGTGCCCGGCCCTTCCCTCCTTATTCTAAAAAAAAACCTTTGGTTTTTATCTTAGTACTTGTTTACCCTAAATACAAACTGTATTTCCTAGCCTTCCTCACTGGTAGATGTGGCCATATGGTTAGGGGCACATGAGTAGAACCTACATAAACAGCTTCCAGGTGACGCTTTGAAAGGAAGGAGAATGGCTCTTGCACCTCTTCCTGCTGGCTGGGTTGTGGGCGAGGTGGCAAGGGGTGCCGGCTCATGTAATCAAGGGCATGCTGCAGGAACAGCAGAGCCACCACACGGAAGATGTCACGGGGCTGTCACACTGTCCTGGGACTGCTTATCATCAGGCATTACTTGTGAAAGAGAAATCTACTTCTCTCACGTGTACGCCCTTATTTGGGTCTCTGTCACGGCAGCTGAACCTGAATTCTAGCTAACATAAAAGCTATCACAGGGGTCTCAGCCAGACAGCAAAGTCAGAGGCAATGGAAGGGAAGGGGCAGGGGCGGGAGATCCTCAGATGCTGTGGAGACAACTCCGATAGGATTTGGCATGTGGTTGAATGTGGGCGGTGGGGAAGGAGGACCGGCAAGGCATGAAGTTGACAGCAGAATGGAGGTATTTGAGACAGGCCATCCTCTTCTTTGCCATTTCACTTCTAGATCTCACTTTCTCCTGTGTGCATCTCCCCTTCTTCAAGACCTCTCCTTTCCCTGGGTTCAAAAAATCACTTGACCAAGACCTCTCCTGCCTCTGCCCCTCACATGTGCTTCTCTTTGCTGGACACCACCCCCAGCCCTGCACCACCCAGCCTGGCCACTTCAGGGTCTTTTATAGACTCTGCAAACAGCACCTCCCCACTGGAAGCTTCCCTGACTGCTTTGAGCTGAGCTAGGTCCTCAATCTCTGTGCTCCCTTCTGACTCAGCATGGATCCCACCAGGAACTTCTGGAGGGCAGATACCTTCTCTTTTTTTTTTAAGAGACTGGGTCTAGGCTAGGCACAGTAGCTCATGCCTGTAATCCCAGCACTTTGGGAGGCTGAGGCAGGTGGATCACTTGAGGTCAGGAGTTCAAGACCAGCCTGGCCAACGTGATAAAACCCCATCTCTGCTAAAACAAAAATTAGCCGAGGGAGGTGATGCACAACTGTAGTCCCAGCTACTCGGAAGGCTGAGGCAGGAGAATCGCTTGAACCTGGGAGGCAGAGGTTGCAGTGAGCAGAGATTGCACCACTGCACTCCAACCTGAGTGACAGACCAAGACTCTGTCTCAAAAAAATAAGAGACCAGATCTCACTCTGTCACCCAAGCTGGAGAGTGGTGGCACAATTACAGCTCTCTGTAGCTCCATTTCCTGGGTTCCAGCCATCCTCCCACCTCAGCCCCCGAGTAGCTGAGACCACAGCAGTGCACCACAGTGCCTAAGTGACCATATTCACCTTTGGATCTCAATGTCTAGCATCCTGCCTGGCACATGATGGGCACCCAGGAAATGCCATTAGCCAGGATTTTCCTTTATCCCTGTGCCTGGAAACCACCTCCTGGCTCCCTGTCACCATTCCCCCTCGGCAGTCTCCACCCATCTGAGTGGCAACACTTAGATGAAACAAAAGCAAACCAGTCAGTGTGGAGAAATGAAGCCTCTAGAAGTAATGTCAGGTAACTTTCTTCAGCTGCCCTCCCCCCACTCTGATTCAGAACTGCCATTATCAAAAGGTAATAGGTTTCCATAATCTTACTCCCCATTTGGGCAGAAAACCATGAAGCATGCTTTCCCAAGGATGTTTAACTTGAAATCTTCCATACCTTAAATTTAGGTCTCCATTTCAGAAATGATGCAGGCTTAGATGAAAGAAGACAAATGTCATTATTTTATGGAGAGGAAGTTATGAAACACCACACATGTCAAATCTCCATATACCTTTTCCTCCTAATGCAGCAAAATGATACCTTTATACCGTTCATTCAAAGGCTCAGTAAGTCGGCACAGGGAGATGGGGCTGCAGCAGTAATCATCGATGTTTCTGGTAACCCCTGGCACCAATCTACTGCATTCTAAACACATGAAAGGCTTCCTCAATTTCACTCCCCATCATCATCAGCCACAACAGGTATTTATTGACTGCCTGTTATACGTGGGACATTTGCTAGGTGCAAGGAAAGAAAACTTGAAATTTCCCAAAGATTTTGAAAGGGGAAAGATCTGTACTTTAGAAGTAAGTTATCTGCCTCTTAAATGAGCCATGTGTATAAAGAAGACAATTGCAGAGACTTTTATAGAGATGGTCTAGACCGTTGTACATTGTCAGATTGCTCCGTGTGCAATGTTTGCCAAATACAGGACAAATGATGCCATCATAATTATTCAACGGCATGGTAACCTAATCGATGCGCCAGACAAAACCTTCCAAAGAGAATCTATAGCTCTTCTGATCCTCACCCAGCCCTGCCAATTACAGACAGGCAAAATATTTCCATGGTCTCCTTCTCTGTCTTATCATGAGAACGTGCAGACCAAATCTGTGTTTTGAAATCAAGAAGGTCTGAAAAAGGCTACTTATCTCCAAATGTAGTCACACGTAGATTTGAAACAAATGCAATGGCTTTAGGGAGGAAAAAGACAGAATTCTTTGAACACAAAAGCTCTGCATGCCTTTTTTAATGAGTTCAGAAAATGATAGAAACGTTATCGTCCTGCAAATGCTCACTGAGTCACGGCAGCAGTGCGAAGCCTTTGTCACTCATTTCTTCAAGTCTCTTTCCACATTCAAATCACTCTTCATCATTAGTAGCAGGAGATTACAATTTACATGATTGTACTCATTTGTGCAAGAAAACATGAAGGGAAGTTTCTCAATATTTTGATACAGGTTTTATACATCTGCCAGGCACCATTTCTTTTTTTTTTTTTTTTTTTTGAGACAGAGTCTCACTCTGTCACCCAGGCTGGAGTGCAGTGGCACAATATCGGCTCACCGCAACCTCAGCCTCCCGGGTTGAAGCGATTCTCCTGCCTCAGCCTCCTGAGTAGCTGGGATTACAGGCGCCCGCCACCACGCCCGGCTAATTTTTGTATATTTAGTAGAGTCGGGTTTCACCATTTTGGCCAGGCTGGTCTTGAACTCCTGACCTCGTGATCCACCCACCTCAGCCTCCCAAAGTGCTGGGATTACAGGCGTGAGACACCGCACCCAGCTGACATGTACCATTTCTATCAAATGTCTGTGTACTTGTTTTTGTTAAATGTGGAGAAAGAGGACTCTATTCCTTTTTAGTATGGAGACTGAGAGAGACCAAAACACAATTTCTTTATTCTAAAAGATGAGAGGGATCAGGCATGGTGGATCAAGCCTATAATCCTAGCACTTTGGGAGGCTTGAGGAGAGAGGATCGCTTGAGGCCAGGAGTTTGAAACTAGACTGAGCATCATAGCAAGACCCCATCTCTACAAAAATGAAATAAAATAAATAATTAGCTGAGCTTGGTGGCACGTACCTGTAGCCCTAGCTGCTTGGGAGGCTGAGGCAGGAGGATTGCTTGAGCCCAGGAGTTCAAGGCTGCAGTCAGCCATGACCACATCACAGCACTCCAGTCTGGGTGACAGAGTGAGACCCTGTCTCTAAAAAATAATATGAAAAAATGAAAGATGAGAGGACTGAGGCCCAGGAAGGAGCATGAACTGTGATGCAAGGAACAGGGGCAAGATTGCCTGGACAGGACCCTGAGACCTCACTCTGGATTTCCTGGCCACTGAGCTTCCCAAGCCCAACTTCTCATGGAACTGGTGGGTTTCCTCCCCAACCTTCACCTACCGTTCTGCAGAGGAGCTGAAACTTATGAAACCAGTGAGTTTCCTCCCCGACCTTCACCTAACCCTCTGCAGAGGAGCTGAAACTTCTCATATGGAACCAGTGGGTTTCCTCCCCGACCTTCACCTACCCGTCTGCAGAGGAGCTGAAACTTCCCACAGCCCCAGGTCTCCAGGCACTGAGCAGCTGGTGTCCCCAGACAACTCTCTTTACAACTGGCACTGAAAGCCAGACAGCCCAGCACCCCGGCAGTGAGGATTCCCTCCCCTGCCATCAGTTTGACCCACCCTTGCCACATAGGAGCCAGACCCCAGAGGGTAAAGTCCTCCCATTGGGATGCAAGGCCATTTTGCACACCCAGCAGAGCACCTGGCCCAGGCAGGCCTCTCTGGGGATAAGGGATGGGGAGAGAGGGGTCTGCTGACTCAGCCTTGTAAGTTTTCTTTACCCATGCCCCCATCCCTAAAAGAACTTTATTCCTTAACATACCATGTGAGATTGTGGAATGTGTACTGAGTCCTGCTGCACGAGTGGGCACCAGAAGGGACCTCTCTGTGTGACTGTAGTGATCATCATAGGACTACGATGTGCCATACAGAGCCAGTTAGAAACAATAGTTGGGAAGAAAACCCAGGCCCCAGACTCCCAATCTGCTACATTGTTATAACTTATCTCAAAACACTTCAGCATAGGTGGTAATACATATAAACATATATCACAGTTATACATGTACAGCCTAGGGGAAGTTATGTAACATTTGAAGTTCCTTAATGGGGAATACATACTCCCGGGGCAGGTAGTTAGCATCTGAAATGCTTTCATGAAAACCCCATACCCAAGAGGTAGCTGCTTACAAGCATTCCAACCAACTAGATTTCTGATTGACATGACAGCTTTTGTTAATTAGTATAATGGATGTTAGAAAACATTTTTATTGCTGAAATGAATGCAGTTCAAGATGCATGGGTGGCATAAATGTATTTCATAGGCGTTCTCACCCATGTATGTGGGGGGCGTAAGAATCTGCTGAACCCAGTTACTTATGCCCTTTGGGATAGCAACCCAGGTCTTCCCCATTTGGCGATTATGGAGGGTTGTCAGCTGATCCCAACTAGAAAGTTAACTGAACCTTCTGCTCAAGCACTTCTTCATCTACCAGGGTATGCAAAGTGCTCCTGAGAGAACCCGAGTCAGGGACCTGGGACATCATGGAGCTTACATGAGTGAGCTTCATGACCTTTTTTTTTTTTTTTTTTTTTTTTTTGAGGCGGACTCTCACTCTGTCGCCCAGGCTGGAGTGCAGTGGCGCGATCTCAACTCACTGCAAGCTCCGCCTCCCGGGTTCACGTCATTCTTCTGCCTCAGCCTCCTGAGTAGCTGGGACTACAGGTGCCCACCACCACGCCTGGCTAATTTTTTGCATTTTTTAGTAGAGATGGGGTTTCACCATGTTAGCCAGGATGGTCTCGATCTCCTGACCTCGTGATCCGTCCACCTCGGCCTCCCAAAGTGCTGAGATTACAGGCGTGAGCCACCGTGCCCAGCCTCTTCATGACCTTTTTTGTGCCTGTTTGCTAATAAACTTTTGTGCTTCTAACAGAATTCATTCTAAGATTTACCTACACTGGAACATACCATGAGATACAAACTGTAGTAGGCAAAAACAAACAAAAACAAATCTACATTCCTCACCCATCTCTAAATAATATAAAGGACTGATACCAAACAAAAAGAACCTAAAATACTGAATGACCTAATTGGCTTGGGCAAGTCTGCAACACCATTCACTGCTTTTTCTGCTAAACCATCCAGTTCACCGTATCTTATGATGCATCACCCTCCTTAATAAGCAGAATCAAGATCCAAAATCACTTTAGCAAGCTGAAACATGGACTTGAGTCATCAAGATGAAATTTCACAGAGGTAAATGTGAAGTCCCAGAATCAGTGTGCAAACTGTCAATTGCAAAATTATAGGATGGGATAAGAGACTGGGTTTGCAGCAGACTTGTATCATAATCTCTGAATTATGGGTTTAATGGAAGTTTACAGAGTGAACAGGAAAAACTACTAAGTGTTCAGATGGCATCTAAAGCTCAAGGAAAAGAGCAATTTCACAGTGTTCTGCCCTCGTCAAACCACATCTGGAATATGGTAATAAATTCTGGGTTCCATATTTTAAATCATTTTGACAAATGAGAATATATCCAAAGGAGAGTGACCAGGAAGATAAGGAGTCTTCAAATAATAAATCTCAGTTAAATAAATAACTCATGAGATCTATCCTAGAAAAAAACACAAAAGAAAATATATTTCAACATCAAACAGTTGAGAGCTTGTTATGAAGAGAGTGTTTTGTAGACTAAGAGGTAAAAGATTTCATCTAAGCAGAACAGATAGCTAGAAGTGTCCAGTAATGGAAGGTACTTACTATAGGATAATTTCTGTCTTATGCAGTAAGTATAGTCATCACCATCATCACCATTATCATCACCATCACCACCCTCATCACCATCACTATCATCACCATCATCATCATCCTCAGTTTACAGATGCGGTATTAAGTCTAAGACAAGTTAACTGACTCATCCCATATCATATTGCTCATAAGAAAGCTACTTCCAACACTGCCATTCTATTATTTTTAATTCTCTAAGAAGCTATCTCTTTTCTCCTCTCTTCTTGACAAGAGTGAAGGGAATGTGAGTCAGGGGTCTACCTTGAGTCCTTCCTTTGCTGCTTCTCCCGTATAGCAATTGGTAAGATTATGGGCATTTATTCATTCATTCATTCGTTCATTCATTCATTCATTCGAGATGGAGTCGCTCTGTCACCCAGGCTGGTGCAGTGGCATGATCTCAGCTCACTGCAGCCTCTGCCTCCCAGGTTCAACTGATTCTCCTGCCTCAGCCTCCTGAGCAGCTGGGATTACAGGTGCCTGCCACCACACTCAGCTAATTTTTATAGTTTTAATAGAGATGTGGTTTCTCCATGTTGGCCAGGCTGGTCTCGAACTCATGACCTCAAGTGATCCTCCCCCCTCGGCCTCCCAAAGTGCTGGGATTACAGGCGTGAGCCACCACACCCAGCCTGTGAGGTTTTATATTAGACAAACTCTTTAGGATCCAATCCCCAGTTCTACTATTTATCACTCACACAACCTAGGGCAAGTTACTTAGCCCCTCCAATCCTTAGCTTCTCACCCTTAAGGTAGTGTTCCTGACAAGAAATTTCTCATGGAGTTTATTTGTGAACTAACTGAGGTAAGGCACATGCACCACTGTGAAGGTGCCAAGGCACAGTAAACACACAATAAAAATTTGTGAATTATTGCCCAGCTTTTACATGCTGAGCACTGTAAAGACACTGCAAGATCCACAGAGCTTATAATCTAGCTGCAAAGCCTTCTTCTTCCAGGAAGCCCACCTCAAACAAATAACAGAGGGTTTGAAAAGCTTTGCAGGGAGTGTGTAGTACTGGCAGTCTCAAGGGGAATGAATTTCCATTCCAGATACTCAACTTCCAAAGGTACTATTCCCTAAACTGATCTTCCTGAAAATGCCTCCAGCAGAGGACTCCACTCTCAAAATTTCCCTTCTCCCACTTTATGAAAGAAAGTCACACTTTTTCTCACCCACTCAGAACCTCACTGTATTTTTCACATCTTTATCCCCAGATGTGAAAACATCTGGGCATCAAACAAAAGGACAACTTTGAGGCATTGGTTTACTGGGTGAGAAAATGAGTGACTCCATTTACTTTCTGCACGTCACATGATTTTTCAGTTCTTTGCCTTCTGTGAAATTGAAAGAGAACTAATCAAATGGCTAACAGATAGATTGCTAAAAATAATTTTTGATGGTAGATCACAGTACAATTTTGGGCTTAAAAAGTTTAGAAGTTAAAGAATTGAATAACAGATGAGACAAAACTTCCTTCTCCCTCTTATTTATGTGAATGAAGCTGTTAGGTGCTCGCATCTATTAAAATAAAAGAGCAAAATGTATATTGAATCCTGTCTCTGTTAGGTGCTCGCATCTATTAAAATAAAAGAGCAAAATGTATATTGAATCCTGTCTCATTCAAGCAATAAGCAATATTTGGCCATACATACTTAACCTAATGCCTCAGTCTCATTCATCTCAGGATGGGATACATTTCCATTTTCAAAATATTTAAGTATTCCTTTATCAAAATGTATTTGGTATTTTGATCAATAGCATAGCTGCAAAAATGATCCAGAAGAAATGTGTCCAACACTGAAGTATTTATGATCATAGAAAACAAAACTTAATTTTATAAACATTACTGTATTGCTGAGAAACATGAAACAATGATCAGTAAAACACATTTAAAGGCAAAATCAGAGTAAAATTATTCAGCAGGAAGTGGTACAGGAAAAATGGGTTCCAAGAGGAAAATAATGTAAAGTTTCCAAAATTTTTTTTTTTTTTTGAGACGGTGTTTTTCTCTTGTTGCCCAGGCTGGAGTGCAATGGCCCGGTCTCAGCTCACTGCAACCTCCACCTCCTGGGTTCAAGCAATTCTCCTGCCTCAGCCTCCCAAGTAGCTGGGATTACAGGCACCCGCCACCATGCCCGGCTAATGTTTGTATTTTTGGTAGAGACGAGGTTTCACCATGTCGGTCAGGCTGGTCTCGAACTCCTGACCTCAGGCAATCTGCCCACCTTGGCCTCCCAAAGTGCCGGGATTACAGGCATGAGTCACTGTGCCCGGCAAGTTTCCAACTTTTTAAGAAGTTGTATTTGCATTTGTAATAAATGATGGTAGGTATCAAATCACTAACATATTTAGATTACATTGAATACATTTTTAATGATGTAAGTTTTATTTTTAAGTGAAAATATTTAACGTATGTTGGAAGTTATCTTTTGCAACTACTTTTATTTATTTTGAAAAGGTTTATAAAACTTTTTAAATGTGCTACAAGACTCATTGTTTTTCAGAACTATTTTAAGCAAAAGAAGGTAAAGACTACTGAGGTGGCTGCTATTCATCTCTTCCAAAGAGACTGTCTACAGATTAACACGACCAATTCTGCTACCCTCTCCCCTTCTTCCCCATTGACACAGTAAGCATAGTTCTTATTCAGTAACAAGGAGGATCTGGGAAACTTTAGATTCCAGAAAGATGAGGACAAAAATAACCCCCAAATTTCTAAAAATTTTGGAAAAATAGAACAAAAAAAATGTTTAATGTATAGCTAGCTGAGCTCATGAGAAGAGGTAAGTCAGGAGATTCCCAGGTGCCAGAAACCAGGTGGGAACTAAAATCTGGGGCAGTAGGTTTAAGCTGACGCTATGGCTGACCCAGTTCATCTGAGGTCGTTCATCTGCCCTGGTTAAGTCTGAGCTGTTAATCTCAGTAACCAGCAGCTTCCTATACCCAAGTGTAAGAAATGAGATTTTGTATAGTACAAGGTGGGAAGTTAGCACTAAGATCTCTTAGCAGAACCAGAACTCTCAAAGAAATGTGACCTCAGCAGAAGGATGGATTCGAAAAATTCATTCACCAGGACAGGCGGACTGCAAGGAAATTTATCTCTTCCTTCCTGGTTTATTAGAAAAGTCTCCCCCGAGAATTTTAGACAACAGGTCTACAACTTACAAGAGTTTGGGGTTTGGAATTATACGACCTGTGGGTCTGGAAACCCCCAAGTAGAAAAATTAACATAAAATTGGTTCCATGGAAAGAGATAATCCAGGAAGCCCAGAGAGGCAAATGTGAAACTACTCTGAAGGCACCTGCACACACACCACCCACAGGCAAAGCACCACTGAAAATGAGAGATCACCGTCCAAACTTATAAGGAAATATCTGCCATGAGCAAGAGTCCGCAGACAAAACCAACAAGAGTATGAAGACCCAAAAATTTCAGATAAAGAAAAAATTGACAGAGACTATAAAACAAGAATATTTAAGTAGACACAAAAGAAATAATTAAAAGTGGCTGTGCAGAAGCTATTTAGTTTAATCAGATCCCATTTGTCTATTTTGGCTTTTGTTGCCATTGCTTTTGGTGTGTGAATACAGAACGGGAGAAAATTTTTGCAATCTATCCATCTGACAAAGAGCTAATATCTGGAATCTATGAAGAACTTAAACAAATTTATAAGAAAAAAACAAACGACCCCATCAAAAATTGGGCAAAGGATATGAACAGACACTTCTCAAAAGAAGACATTTATGCAGCCAAGAGACATATGAAAAAAAGCTCACCATCACTGGTCATTAGAGAAATGCAAATCAAAACCACAGTAAGATACCATCTCACACCAGTTAGAATGGCGATCATTAAAAAGTCAGGAAACAACAGATGCTGGAGAGGATGTGGAGAAATAGGAACGCTTTTACACTGTTGGTGGGAGTGTAAATTAGTTCAACCATGCTGGGCACGGTGGCTCATGCTTATAATCCCAGCACTTTGGGAGGCCGAGGCGGGCAGATCACCTGAGGTCAGGAGTTCGAGATGAGACCAGCCTCAACATGGAGAAACCCCGTCTCTACTAAAAAATACAAAATTAGCTGGGTGTGGTGGTACATGCCTGTAATATCAGCTACTCGGGAGGCTGAGGCAGGAGAATTGCTTGAACCTGGGAGGCAGAGGTTGCGGTGAGCTGAGATCACGCCGTTGCACTCCAGCCTGGGCAACAAGAGTGAAACTCTGTCTCAAAAAAAAAAAAAAATTAGGTCAACCATTGTGGAAGACAGTGTGGAAATTCCTCAAGGATTTAGAACTAGAAATACCATTTGACCCAGCAATCCCATTACTGGGTAGATACCCAAAGGATTATAACTCATTCTACTATAAAGACACATGCACACGTATGTTTATTGCGGCACTGTTCATAATAGCAAAGACTTGGAACCAACCCAAATGCCCATCAATGATAGACTGGATAAAGAAATGTGGCACATACACACCATGGAATACTATGCAGCCATAAAAAAGGATGAGTTCCTGTCCTTTGTAGGGACATGGATGAGGCTAGAAAACATCATTCTCAGCAAACTAACACAAGAACAGAAAACCAAACACCACATGTTGTCACTGATAAGTGGGAGTTGAACAATGAGAACACATGGACACAGGGAGGGGAACATCACACACCAGGACCTGTTGGTGGGTGAGGGGCTAGGGGAGGGATAGCATTAGGAGAAATACCTAGATGATGGGTTGATGGGTGCAGCAAACCACCATGGCACCTGTATAACTGCACAAACCTGCACATCCTGTAACAAACCTGCACATCCTGCACATGTATCCCAGAACTTAAAGTATAATTTAAAAAAAAAAAAAAGTGGCTGGGTGCGGTGGCTCATGCCTGTAATCCCAGCACTTTGGGAGGCCGAGGCAGGTGGATCACCTGAGATCAGGAGTTTGAGACCAGCCTGGCCAACATGGTGAAACCCTGTCTGTACTAAAAAATACAAAAATTGGCTGGACGACGTGGCTCACGCTTTTAATCCCAGCACTTTGGGAGGCTGAGGCGGGCGGATTTTGAGGTCAGGAGATCGAGACCATCCTGGCTAATATGGTGAAATCCCGTCTCTACTAAAAACACAAATAATTAGCTGGGCATAGTGGCGCACGCCTGTAGTCCCAGCTACTTGGGAGGCTGAGGCAAGAGAATTGCTTGAACCCAGGAGGCGGAGGTTGCAGTGAGCCAAGATCGCACCACTGCACTCCAGCCTGGGAGACAAGAGTGAAACTCTGTCTCAAAAAAAAAGAAATAATTAAAAGTGTAAAGGGAACACACATCATGAAAGAAGAATGAGCTATTTGGGGAACGATCCCAAAGAAAACTCAGGCCCAAATGATGGGAAGTGCCTTTATACTGCCTTCTGTCTGGCAACTGTCAGGATCTTTAGTGAGATAGGACCCCCAAAGGTCTAGAGAATGTCCAGCCAGGCAAGTGGCAAGTGGCAAGTGGCAAGCCAGACTGCTGCAAACCTTTCTGTGCTGTGCATGCACCAAGCTGCATCAAAGTGATGCTTCCAGGAGGGCTGCATCACCCTGCACCTTGGAGCAAAGCCCAGTTTAGCCAAACGACCCTTCAGCAGACCCTTCCTAGAGTTACCTCTGTTGTTTGCAGAGTTAATATGAAAATCAGTTGGTGTTGTATTGCCTTGCTTTTAAGATCAACTGTGGGCTGGACGCAGTGGCTCACGCCTGTAATTCCAACATTTTGGGAAGCCGAGGCAGGCAGATCACTTGAGGTCAGGAGTTCGAGACCTGCCTGGCCAACATGGTGAGACACCGTCTCTACTAAAAATACAAAAATTAACTGCGCCTGCTAGCATGTGCCTGTAATCCCAGCTACTCGGGAGGCTGAGGCAGGAGAATCGCTTGAACTCAGGAGGTAGAGGATCATGACACTGCACTCCAGCCTGGGCGATAGAGCGAGACTCCGTCTCCAAAAACAAAAGGATCAATTGTGGGGTGGGGGCACAGATCAGTTTTCTGCAGAGAGCCATGGTGCTAAGCCAGAAAGATACACCAAGACTTGGGAAACTGTTCTGCAGTGCAGAGTCTGCAGAGAACAAGTATAGACTCACTGGATGGTCAGACAGGAAGGGATCTTGGGCATCATCTTCCTAAACCTTTGTTTTCCATAAAAGGAAACAGAGGCTCAGAAAGGAGAAGTAATTTTCACTAGGCTGTACCCCAAGTTTGTGAAAGAGATGAGGCTCAGACTTGGTATCTCCAGCCCTGAACCTGCAGCAGAGCTGGCTGAGAGCAAGCCTGTGTGAGTGGCCCGGCCTGCCCAAACTGCCCTTTCTGTTTCCTCTCTTGGATGGAGCCCCTCCTCCTCCATCCACAGCCTTCTAAGAGCGGGGCACAATCGGGTGTGTGTAAGATGGGCAGGAGGCAGGATGGGTTTCCCCTATTAGTTGACATAATTACCCTGCATGGGAGTAGAATAATATGAGAATTTTATTTTTGTGTGTTGATGTGGTTTGGTTGTGTCCTCACCCAAATCTCACCTTGAATGGTAATAATTCCCATGTGTCAAGGGTGGAGCCAGGTGGAGATAATTGAATTACGGGGGATGGTTTCCCTGATACTGTTCTTGTGGTAGTGAATAAGTCTCAGGAGATCTGATGGCTGTATAAAGGGCAGTTCCCCTGCATATGCTCCCTTGCCTGCCACCATGTAAGACGTGAAGTTGCTTTTCCTTTGTCTTCCGCCATGACTGTGAGGCCTCCCCAGCCCTGTGTAACTGTAAAGTCCATTAAATCTCTTTTTCTTTATAAATTACCCAGTCTCCGGTATTTCTTCAGAGCAGTATGAAAATGGACTAATGCAAATATACTGTCTTCAGAGAATATCAAATTCTGCTTATAAGACTTTACTTCAGGTTGCATTGTAATAAAATAATCTCTAATGGTAAAACTTTAAACAGGTGCATCCTAAGAACAAGAAAAGACAAGGAAGAGATACAAGCACCCTCCTCCATGCCTCAGCCCAAACTTAGGCCACCCCATCTAGCCTCTCAGTGAGCTAGCTCTAGTACAAAAACCCAAAAGGGAAGACTGGAAAGGGAAGAAAAGGACTAATCCATGCCTAGGAGGAGAAGCACCAGCCAGACAGCCTGCAGCAAGCCCACAGAAGATCTGGAAAAGAGCAAGGCTAATTTAGGCTTGGAACGTGACCCAGAGCCACCAGAAGCAGCTGTCACCCTGCTTATCCCCCTCCCCCCTGCCTATCATTCACTCCCCCGGGTCCTTGCAAAAACCTACTGCCTGTACGACAGGACCTGTTGGCTCCTAAGTGAGGGAGCAGCTCCTCTTCCCTTGGTGATGCCTCTGTGTGGGCTCTCTAACCAACCATATGTTTGAGCATGCCACACAGCCCTGCAAAAAAAAGACAGTAAGGCTTGTTCCTTGGGGACCCTGGTGTCAGTGAGGGTGAAACTTCCCGCCTGAGGAAGGAGGTGAATGTGAACTGCCCCATCCTACACAAATGATCTGGGGACAGCAGAGGAGACTCCACTGAACCCTTAGGTCAATTAGCCCAAAATTAAATTTAAAGAGCAATGACATGGAAATGAAGGACGGTCATTCCATTAAGAAGAGCAGATGTGGCACTGTGGTTAGGAGCATGGCCTCTGGTGTCCGATAGACTTGGACTGTCTCTCAGTCCAGGCTGCCACTTTCTGTTCATGTGACTTCATGTAAATTACTCAGCTCTCCAAACTCCAGGTTCCTTATCTATAAAACAGCATAATAACTGCTACCCCAAGGAGTTACTGGGAGGATTAAAAGAGATAGTGCATTAAAAGTACCCAGTTCTGTGTCTGCATGTGGTAGGTGCCTGATAAATGTTACTTCCTTTCTTCACCCTGGGCCAGATACCAGTGAAGATACGAAGAATAAAAAATGGTGATTGCAGAGAAAAGTTATGTACCAAGGGAAAACCCTGAAGACCCACATGAGGATGGGACCAGACAGGTCAAAAAGAAGGAAGAGCAACAGGGCTGAAAAAATCTTACCTCATTTACCTCATTTCATTCTAGGACTCCAGAGTCTTGGAGTTTCAGAGATCCCCTGTCTTCTCTTCCCCTCAAACCCTTTTTTCCACCCAGGCATGTCTGTCTGTGTCTTTCTGCGAACTGATCTACCCAGGTGCCAAGACCTACGCCAGCCAAGCAAGAAGCTCCTGGCCCAGAAGTTGGTTGACTTAGCCTCTGCTCCATCCCTGCTGGGGATCCCCTTACCTTGTACCAAAACCATTGCCTGAATCCTGACACCTGTTTGCCCAAGCCCTTAGTCTGAGCCCCTGATGCGTCTTTTGTTCTCCAGGCTCCAAGTGTGCATTCCAGGCAGCTCTCAGCTGACCTGGCCTGGGACCTCTTTGACCAGACCTTGGACACTCATTTCTCCCTGTCTCAGCTGACCTCTCTGATTTCTGACCTGCCAGGTTTTCAGTCTTCATCCTATCTGCCTAGATTCTCACTCTTCTTCCCTCCTTGACAGGTCTATCCCATTCTTGCCTGAGACCCAGGATAACAAGTAGCAACTCAAAGGCCAACTGGAATCCAGTGATGACCATTGCGGGGTAGGAGTTTAAGAAAAGAAAAGCTCTGAGTTCTCTCTCCTGTAAGGAATAGCACTGGCTGAAGCAATTACTCTGGAAGACAATTTGGCAATATCTAGGAAAGCCAAGGATGTGCACATCCCATCACTCAGAAGATTCGTTTGTATTGGTCAGGGTAGACTAGGACAGTGATACTGCAGTTAAAAACAACTCACAGGCCAGGCGCGGTGGCTCATGCCTGTAATCCCAGCATTTTGTGAGGCCGAGGTAGGCAGATCACGAGGTCAGGAGATCGAGAACATCCTGGCTAACATGGTGAAACCCCGTCTCTACTAAAAATACAAAAAAAAAAAAAAATAGCCAAGCATGGTGGTGCGTGCCTATAATCCCAGCTACTTGGGAGGCTGAGGCAGGAGAATCTCTTGAACCCAGGAGGCGGAGGTTGCAGTGAGCCGAGATCACATGCCACTGCACTCCAGCCTAGGCGACAGAGCAAGACTCCATCTCAAACAAACAAACAAACAAAAAACTCACAAATAATCAACAGTGTAAGACAACGAAGGTTTATTTCTGCCTCATGCTGCTCGTCTCTCACAGCTCAGCTGGAGTGTCTGTTTCACACTGTCCTCACGCGGGGACACAGGCTGATGGAGGCTCATTTTCTGCAACTTCAACGGTGACCATAGTAGGGAGAAGAAAAGGGCAAGTTGCATACAGGCTCTGGGAGGCTTCAAATGCTCACATTCATTGGCCAAAGTAAGTCATACGGATGCTTCTATTTTCAAGGGCATGGAGAAATGCAACCCAAGGCACTCACCATGGGTTTCCCAGACAGCAAGCTGGTTAGTACTGGGGAGATTTTCCCTCTTCCCAGCTAGTGAGGCAGTGTCCAGCTCATCTTCCTGCACTGGTATCTTCTTCCTCCCCCATCAGAGATGACTGTAACATCCCACAAGGCTCAAGGTCCTTAGACAAATCTGATAAGCCCAGCACCCCAAATCCAGATGGCCTAGCACCAAGCATCTTTTGTCTTTCCCCTAATAAAGCCACACTCTTATACTTTCCCTACAGAAAGGGACACTACAGTGTAGAAGAAGCTTTCCACTGGAATGAACCCCCAGCCCTGAGGGCAGGTGGTCTGGCCCTGGCATCACCGAGAAAGACTGCATGCATCAAGCCTTGCTAGCCCTGGTCTTGTGATTTTGTCCTTTTATAAAGTAGCACCTATTTCTTTATGCATGTCTTGTGACATTGTAGAATTCATTCAACCCTTTGCATGACCAATGTCAGACCTGAGCAACCCATCTAGCACAATAGGTAAGAAGAGAATCAGAAATACTGGTGAAGAGCAATAATGACTCACACAGTCTAACCTTATTCAAAACCCAATATTTGGTCTACTCTTATTCCTGGATGCAAATATACTCTTCCTTTCTCAAAGGAGATAACTCAAAGGCTCCATACCAACATAGCATCAAGCTCAAACCCCAAGATATCAAATTTTCACAGTAATTTTTACATCAAAGTGACGAGTAGTTATCTCTAGATCTTGGGTCAATATCTCTTTATTAGAAGACTAAAAAGATAAGCTGCTTTGCCAATGTACCAATATTTAATATTGAAATATGGGACAAAAAAATGGCAGTAAACACTCCCATTCAGAAAAGAGAATAATGGGTTACAGCAATTCTGAAATCTCAGAGCATTCTTCCCCAGGGATAAAGTGTATTCTTGATTAGGTCTTGACTCCATCTCCTGGAACATTCTCTGCAGGCCTGAGCTTACCCTTCAAGAGATATCCCTTTTCCACCATCTTTGGCCAAAATTGCAGGGAAACCCAGAAGATATGCCTTCCTTATGGGCAGAGCATCCTCCTAAGCACATTTTCCGGAGGACCCAAAAGTTGAAAGTTGTTTTAAGATTCAAATGAAGTCTAGATGAGGCCAATGGTTCTTTGGCAGCATGTGTAATTTTCTCAAAACTCTCAGTTTCTTATCATTTGATTCCAGGCAATGCCAGGGGTCAAGCTTCCTTTATAAATAAATCTCCTGTTAACTGTATTTCTTTACTTTCTTTCTCCCATGCCACTCTAGATTTAATTGAAGGTATTTTGGTCCACACCATTAATCTTTTTCCCTGTTACATTTTGTCTAATTGCTAGAACAGGGAACATTACTAAAAGATGCCTTAATACATCCAGAGATTTTTTAAATGGGTGTAACATCCATGGCTGTGATTTAATCCTTGCTTACAAAACTGAATTTTCATCATTCTTTGTCTGTCTCAATTTTATCTTTGACTGTTTGGAGATAAGAAGCATTTGCTTTTTCCAGCCCTAAAAGGGGTTTACATTGGCCAACTCTTTCCTGAACTCATCTCTTTCTTGTAATACCTTGCCAAGCGTTGTCAAGAGTAAGTAACACAGAACATTCTGCTGAATAGGTGCAGTGGCTTATGCCTGTAGTCCCAGCACTTTGGAAGGCCAAGGCGGGAGGATTGCTTGAGCCCAGGAGTTCTAGACCAGCCTAAGCAACAGGGTGAAACCCTGTCTTTACAAAAAATACAAAAATTAGCCTGGTGTGGTATCATGCGCCTGTGGTCCCAGCTACTTGGGAGGCTAAGGCAGGAGGATCACTTAAGCCCGGGAAGTCAAGGCTGCAGTGAGCTGTGACTGTACCACTGCACTCCAGCCTGGATGACAGCATGAGACCTTGTCTCAAAACAACAACAACAAAATTCTGCTTTCCAGACTCTTTCCCTAAATCTACAAGTTCATTAGGTAAATTATCTGCCTCTCAAATTCCTACAAGTGCTGTTGTACATAATGTTTCTCTGCTGCATAATGTGGGTGACCATTTCTCCACCCTTCTGTGTGTTTTCTCACTGCACATCATGCAGCACCTAAGCCAGCACCATGAACAAGTGTTTTGCTGAAGGAGTGCTGCTCTGCAGATACTGATTTATGTTTCAGACAGAATGGAAGGTTATGCTGACTGAACAAGATAAACTAAATCTCAGGAGCTAAAATCAAGGTAGATTTCTTCCTCATGCTACATATCCATCATGGGTTAGCTAGAAGCAGAGCTCCATGCTGTTCTACCCACCAGAAGGAGGAGGATACAGCCTCGCCAGCCAGAGGAGTTAATCCCAGCACTTTGGGAGGCCAAGGCAGGAGTATTGCTTGAGCCTAGGAGTTCGAGACCAGCCTTGGCAACATAGGGAGACCCTGGGTCTACAAGAAATAATAAAAAAAAAAAAATTAGTCAGGCATAGTGGTGCACACCTGTGGTCTCAGCTACTTGGGAGGCTGGGATAGGAGGATCGCTTAAGTCTGGGATTGTGGCAGTAGGAAGGAAAGGGAGAATCGCATATTAGATCCTAACAGCTTCCACCTGTGAGTGACATTTACCACCCGCACTTATATCTCATTGGCCAAAGATGTCACTTAGCTAGGTCTAACATCAAAGGGACAGGGAGTACAATTCTGTCTTGTGTACAGCAAGAGGAAAAATGGAAATTTGGCACATGGTAAACAGCACAAATGATTGCCATTCAGCTTTAGATATATACCCTTGAGAGACTCACATACATATGACCAGGAAAACTCAACTACAAGCATGGCTCTTGATACATATTTTGTAATAGCAAAACACGGAGTGGGGACAACTCAAGTGTCCATCATTGAGAGAGTGGATTTTTTAAATTGTGGTATATTTGCATAATGAAATTTTTTTTTGAGAGGGAGTCTCACTCTGTTGCCCAGGCTGGAGTGTGGTGGCGTGATCTCAGCTCACTGCAACCTCTGCTGCCTCCCAGGTTCAAGTGATTCTCCTGCCTCAGCTTCCCAAGTAGCTGGGATTATAGGCACGTGCCACCACGCCCAGAAAATTTTCATATTTTAGTAGAGATGGGGTTTCACCATGTTGTCCAGGCTGGTCTCGAACTCCTGGCCTCAAGAGATCCACCCACCTTGGCCTCCCAAAATGCTGGGATTACAGGTATGAGCCACCACCCCTGGCCCACAATGAAATATTTTTAACAATTTAAATGAAAAACTAGAACTACAAGCATCAACCTGGATAAATCTCAAAAATATAACATTGAGTGGAAAGGGCAATTTGTAGAATACAGCATGATGTTATTTGTGTAAATTTGTAAATATATACAGCATTATAACATAGTGCTCATAGAAGTACATGTAACTGTTGAATTGAACAAGAAGGGCTCATGGATATAATCATAAAGCAACTTTATTGTTCTCTATTGATGTTCCTTTAAATTTAATTAGTTAGGCATGTTCTTCCTTCACCCCAGAGAAATTTAGGCAGTTCTATCCAATAAACAATGTCCTCCAGTTAATAAATAATGTCTTAGTGTAATCATCATAACTTTTTACTTTGATTACTCCTTTTATCAGTCAATTATTGTCATAATTATGCTACATAATCAACCAGCCCAAAGCTCAATGACCCACAGAAATAAGCTTCCATTTCTAGCTGGCAAGTCTGAGGGTCAGTGGAGTGGCTGCACTGACATGGGCTGGCTCAGCACTAAGCATGAGCTCCATTAGAAGAGGCTCCAGGTGTTGGCCAGGCATGATGGCTCACACCTGTAATCCTAGCACTTTGGGAGGCCGAGGCAGGCGGATCACCTGAGGTCAGGAATTTGAGACCAGCCTGAACAACATGGAGAAACCCCGTCTCTACTAAAAATACAAAATTAGCCTGATGTGGTGGCGGATGCCTGTAATCCAAGCTACTCAGAGGCTGAGGCAGGAGAATTGCTTGAACCCAGGAGGTGGAGGTTGCAATGACCTGGGATGCACCACTGCACTCCAGCCTGGGCAACAAGAGCGAAACTCCATCTCCAAAAAAAAAAAGAAGAAGCTCCAGGTGTCTTATTCTTTAGGAACCCTGGTCTACCTGGGAAATGTTCTCTTGATGGTGGCAGAAGCACAAGAGGAAAGTCTCCAGTGCAAGGGCATCGCAAGCCTCTATTCATGTGACAACAGCCCACAGCCCTCTGGCAAGTCACGTGGCCAAGCCCAATATGAATGGGGTGGGGAAGCGCACTCTGCCACAGGAGGGGAGGGAATGCTTACAAAACATGCAGCTCAGGCCAGCTACAGAGGAGCCATCCAGTGAAGAAAGAGGCTGACTCCTCCCCCACCTTGCCAACCCTAGTTTCTGACCCTTCCAGGTCAGAGAAGGGAGAGGAAGGAAAAGGGGCAGGAAGTTCTCGCTTGACCAATACAGGCATCATCCTCTGTAGCCTAGGAAATGGTTAAAGGTGACTCTCATGGATGCTGCCATGAGTTTTCAGGGTCTTCAGGGATCTTTAGAGCTCCCAGTCTCCTGATAATGGCCAGTGCATGTCTTATCCAGCTGGTCACTGACTCCCTCCACAGCCCTGAGAATCGGGAATGTCCCCAGCTTCTATCTGCAGAAGTCTCTTTATCCCTCTCCCCAGGCCATCTTCTCTGTGGGCTCTAGAAGATCCTATGCAGTTCTCTTGCACTTCAGGCACAACTGATCTCATGTTCTTCACTACAGCAAACTATGGGAGTACAGGGAGCCCCCCAGTGAAGCCATCTACCTTAGTTCCATCTTTAAAGTACCTGGTCAGCCAGTGACCACCTGCATTAATCCATAAAGATACTACCTGAGACTGGGTAATTAAACAATTAAACAATTAAACAATTAAACAAAAGAAGTTTAATTGCTGGGCAATGTGGCTCACGCCTGTAATCCCAGCACTTTGGGAGGCCAAGGCAGGCAGATCACCTGAAGTCGGGAGTTCACGACCAGCCTAACCAACATGGAGAAACCCATCTCTACTAAAAATACAAAATTAGCCAGGTTGGTGGTGGATTCCTGTAATCCCAGCTACTTGGGAGGCTGAGGCAGGAGAATTGCTTGAACACAGGAGGCAGAGGTTGCGGTGAGCTGAGATCGCACCGTTGCACTCCAGCCTGGGCAACAAGAGTGAAACTCCATCTCAAAAAAAAAAAAGAAGTTTAATTGACTCACGGTTCTGCATGGCTGGAGAGGCCTCAGGAAACTTACAATCATGGCAGAAGATGAAGGGGAAGCAAGGCATGTCTTACATGGAGGTCAGCGAGAGAGAGAGGAGGAGGAAGAACCAGACATTTATCAAACAACCAGATCTCATGAGAACACACTCACTATCACAAGAACAGCATGGGGAAAACAGCCCCCATGATCCAACCACCTCCCACCAGGTCCCTCCCTCAATATATGGGGATTGTCATTTGGATTACAATTTGAGATGAGAGTTGAGGAGGGACACAGCCAAATCATATCACCACCCTTTAGATTTCTCAAGTGAGAGTCCGGCACTAATCCCCTGAACAGCCTAAAGTGCAGGGGATGCTCATCCAGGCTTGAGGTGGGAGGCAGACCCCTCTGACCTCTCCCCTTCGGAGAGCATGCACCTTGGAGCTCACTAACAGGAGCTGATGCCATAAATCCTCCTCAAATCTCGAATCTCTGACTCATTTATACTCTCATGGTGGATGAGGGTTAAGGATTCTTCAGCTGGTCTTCCTTCATAAATCCTCCAATGGGACCTCACATCTCATCTGTTGTCTGGGTGCCTCAGCTGAAACTTCCACTTTACCTGCCATACTGATATACAAACCTGTGTAGTAATCATAGAAACATGAGCAAGAAGGAAATACTCCAACATCAGGATGGTTGCTATGCCCCTGGGGAGGAGGAGATGACAAGAAGGGCATTAGAGAGGGACACAGACGGTGGCCGGGATGGTGAATTTTATGTGTCAACTTGGCTGGGCCATTGCACCCAGATATTTCATGAAACATATTATTCTAGATGTTTCTGTGGATATATTTTCTAGATGAGACAAACGTCTAAATCAGTAGGCGCTGAGTACAGTGGATTACCCTCTGCAACATTGGGCAAGACAGCCAATCAGTTTGAAGGCCTGAGTAGAGCGAAGACTGACCTACCCCGACCAAGAGGGAATTCTGCCAAAAGACTGGCTTTGTTTGTTTGGTTTTGTTTGGTTTTTAGTTTACACAAAGGCAATTTATGAACAGCAAACAATTTGAGGAGTCCTGTTCACAGACAGTGACCACAGCAACCCTCCTTCCTGAAGATACTGTTGGAGGAGCTGGGGGTGATGTCCTCAATCTACCGGCTCTTCATACCTGAGCAGGCAAGGGCTCGGGGGACCAACCGCACCCCAGGTCCAGGGGTCTTGGTCCTATTTCCTCCTGTGGCCAGGAGCTTGATGTGTAGGGCAGTGATGCCCAGCTCCTTGCACCTCTGGACCACATCCTGAGCAGTCAACATGGCAGTACATGGGGAGGATTCATCTTGGTCAGCCTGCTCCTTCATCCCACCGGCCACATGGCAGGTGGTTCCCTGCCAGAAAGATCAGTGACATGGACAAAGGTGTCATTCAGGCTGCCTTAGGATTCAAACTGCAGCTCCTCCCTGGGTCAGCAGCCTGCTGGTCTATCCCAAAGATTTTGAATTTACCAGTTTCCACAATTGCCTGAGTCAAATCCTTAAGAGAGAGAGACCCTCTGATATGGTTTGGCTCTGTGTCGCCACCCAAATCTCTTCTCCAATTGTAATCCCCACATGTCAGGGGAGGGACGTGGTGGGAGGTGATTGGATCATGGGGGTGGATTTTTCCCATGATGTTCTCATGATAGTGAGTGAGTGCTCATGAGATCTGATGGTTTAAAAGTGTAGCACTTTCCCCCACCTCTCTGTCTCCTGCTCTGCCATGGTAAAGATGTGCTTGCTTCCCCTTTGACTTCCGCCATGATTGTAAGTTTCCTGAGGCCTCCTAGCCATGCTTCCTGTTAAGCCTTTGGGACTGTAAATCAATTAAACTTCTTTTTAAATAAATTATCCAGTCTCAGGTAGTTCTTTATAGCAGCATGAGAATACACCCTCTTTTTTTCTGTTTCTCTGGAGAACCCTAACTAATATAAGGACTTAACTATAGATGGACAAGGTGAGGCAAGATGAGTATTATGGCTTGTAAAAGTTTTTCTTTTTCATTTGTTGTTAAAACCTGCATGGGCAGTTCCTGCCTTTTGCCACAGTGCATTTTATCCTTAGGTCAGGTTATGTTGCTCTTGGCCAAAGACTGCTTTGAGACAAATGCATTCCTGGAAACTACGTTATAAATCCAATTGTCATAAAGCAGATTGAGCTTTCCCATGGAAACAATGTTAAGGCTGAAGAATTACAGCAGGACTAGTACCCTGCCCTTACACAGAACTTCGTAGGTCAAAAAGGACTTTCACATACACTGTTGCATTTACTTCTGGAAAGTAGGCAATATGATCTCTTCTTGTACAGAAGAAATTGAGGCACGCCAGGCGCGGTGGCTCATGCCTGTAATCCCAGCACTTTGGGAGGCAGAGGCGGGCGGATCACAAGGTCAGGAGATCGAGCCCATCCTGGCTAACACAGTGAAACCCCATCTCTATTAAAAATACAAAAAAAATTAGCTGGGCATGGTGGCGGGCGCCTGTAGTCCCAGCTACTCAGGAGGCTGAGGCAGGAGAATGGCGTGAACCCAGGAGGTGGAGCTTGCAGTGAGCCAAGATTGCACCACTGCACTCCAGCCTGGGCGACAGAGCGAGACTGCGTCTCAAAAAAAAAAAAAAGAAAAGAAAAAAAGAAATTGAGGCACAAAGAAACAATTTGCTAGGGTCAGATGGTTAATAAAGGACCCAGCTGGGACCCAGTCCTCATTTGGTAGTCTTTTCGACTTCTTAACCATGCAAGGTCTCAGCTTCACACATAACAAAAAGTGTAACCAATGCAAAAATTCCAGAACTCCGGGCCCCCACAACTAAAATTTTGCTCTTAAGTCACACATACACACACACACACAACACAGCATGCCGATTCCTCAAGAGACCTCTGAACTATAAAGTGACATTTAATATGTAAATAACCACCACAAAGGCCCAGTGTGGTGGTTCACACCTGCAGTCCCAGCGCTTTGGGAGGCCGAGGTGGGAAGATAGCTTGAGCCCTGGAATTTGAGACCAGCCTGGGCAACATGGCAAAATCCTGTCTCTACAAAAAAATACAAAAATTAGCCAGGCATGGTGGTGCATAACTGTGATCCCAGCTACCTAAGAGGCTGAGAGGAGAATTACATCGAGGTTGCAGTGAGCTGTGTCCGTGCCACTGCACCCCAACCTGGGCAGCAAAGCGAGATCCTGCCTCAAAAAAAAAAAACAAAAAAAAAACACCTTGGACTTGGCCTCTCCAGACCCCCTGCTGGGAGGCATAGCCTTTGGCTGTGATGACACTCCTACTTTGATATTGCAGCTATACTATATTCTGCTCCAGTAATAAATTGCATATTTGGATGCACCGCCATTGTGAATCTCTGAACCTTCTTTAGAAATTGAGCCCTGTTTAGCGGCAGCTGTAGTGCATCGCCACTGTTACAGGTTGAGTTATTTATTTTCCCCCAAAATGTATGTGTTGAAGTTCTAACCCCCAGTACTTCAGAATGTAGCCTTATTTGGAAGGCAGGTCATTGCAAATGGAACTAGACGAGATGAGTCATACTAGAGTAGAGTGGGCCCCTAATCCAATATGACTTATAAAAAGGAGAAATTTAAACAAAGGGAGAACATGCAAAATTTGGAGTTATCCTTCCACAAACCAAGAACTAGCAGACGCTAGGAGGAAGATCTGAAACAGATCTCTCCCTGGTGCCTTCAGAGGGAGCGTGGCTCTACCTACACCTTGACCTCAGACCTAGAAAGCCTCCAAATAAGTTTCTTTTTGTTAAGCCACCCAGCTTGTGGCACTGTATTATGGCAGCCTTAGCAGACTAATGTGTGTGTAGCAAGCCCCCATTCTCTCCCTCTCCTACCTGCAACAAATGCTGCTGTCAACTCAATTCTGGAATCCCTAGGTTCTCCCCCTCATCATTCTCCACATGGGACCCTGTGACTTTACCTCTCTCTCCCCAAGCGAATGTGTTCTCTTCTTAGCCAAAGCATTGCCACTTATTTGTAAAATACAAGTAGTTTGTCCACAGCATGGGGATTGCTTGCCCAGAGCCCTACATACTTGCTCTCTCATATGAAAGGAAAAATAAATCTTGGGGCCCCCTAATCACTAAGCTAAAGGGACAAGTCAAGCTGGAAACTGCTTAGGGCCAACCTGCCTGCCATTCTATTCAAAGTCACCCCTCTGCTCACTGAGATGAATGCATATGTGCCTGCGTCCTTTGGAGAGGCTAATCAGAAACTCAAAAGAGCTCTTTCTGCTGCTCCCCAGCTCTCGGATACAGCCGACACCATGGGTTTCGGAGACCTGAAAAGCCCCACCGGCCTCCAGGTGCTCAACGATTACCTGGCGGACAAGAGCTACATCAAGGGGTATGGTGCCATCACAAGCAGATGTGGCAGTATTTGAAGCCGTGTCCGGCCCACCACCTGCCGACTTGTGTCATGCCCTACGTTGGTATAATCACATCAAGTCTTACGAAAAGGAAAAGGCCGGCCTGCCAGGAGTGAAGAAAGCTTTGAGCAAGTATGGTCCTGCCGATGTGGAAGACACTACAGGAAGTGGAGCTACAGACAGTAAAGATGATGATGACATTGATCTCTTTGGATCCGATTATGAGGAGGAAAGTGAAGAAGCAAAGAGGCTAAGGGAAGAACATCTTGCACAATATGAATCAAAGAAAGCCAAAAAACCTGCACTTGTTGCCAAGTCTTCCATCTTACTAGATGTGAAACCTTGGGATGATGAGACAGATATGGCGAAATTAGAGGAGTGTGTCAGAAGCATTCAAGCAGACGGCTTAGTCTGGGGCTCATCTAAACTAGTTCCAGTGGGATACGGAATTAAGAAACTTCAAATACAGTGTGTAGTTGAAGATGATAAAGTTGGAACAGATATGCTGGAGGAGCAGATCACTGCTTTTGAGGACTATGTGCAGTCCATGGATGTGGCTGCTTTCAACAAGATCTAAAAATCCATCCTGGATCATGGCATTTAAATAAAAGCTTGAAAGATTAAAGAAAAAAGAAAGAAAGAAAGAAACTCAAAAGAATGCAACCATTTGTTTCTTATCTACCCATGACCTGGAAGCCCCCTCCCTGCTTCGAGCCTCCCGCCTTTGCTTCTAGTTGTCCTGCTTTTCCAGACCAAACCAATGTTCATCTTGCATATGTTGACTGCTGTCTCATGTCTCCCCAGAATGTATAAAACCAAACTGTGCTCTGACCACCTTGGCCACATGTCATCAGGACCTCCTGAGGCTGTGTCACAGGAGTGCATCCTCAACTTTGGCAAAATAAACTTTCTAAATTAGCTGAGACCTGTCTCAGTTTTTCGGGGTTCACACTCGAGAAGACATGGTGGCCAGCTTCAGAATCCCAAAGTGTCAGACAAGATGAGGCCTTAGAAGTCAGGTCTTCCAAGCCTTGCAATTTGCAGAAAAAGATGAGGACAAGGAAAGGGGGATCATTTTCCTAGGATCGCATGCATAACTCATTAATATTAGGGGTGTGATGATGACCCAGGAGTTCTCTCAACCCAGTGCCTTTTTATCTGTTCAATACTAGGTTTGCCTCCAGGGGTGACTCTCGTTACCAGCTGTCCTGATGTGTACCTGCCTTGCTCCTTAAAAGTAAATTGTGGGACAGGCATGGTGGCTCATGCCTGTATTCTTAGCACTTTGGAAGGCTGAGGCAAGAGGATTGTTAAAGGCCAAGAGTTCAAGACCAACCTGGCCAACATAGCAAGACCCCCATCTCTATTTTAAAAAAAATAATTTTTAAAACAAATAAAGTGAATTGAATTTAGAATAGCAAACTTGGGCCAGGAGCAGTGGCTCATGCCTGTAATCTCAGCACTTTGGGAGGTCAGGTGGGGAGGATCACTTGAGGTCAGCAATTCAAGATCAACCTGGGCAACATAGTGAGACCGCATCTCTACAAAACATTAAAAAAAAAAATTAGCAGGGCATAGTGGCACACACCTATGGTCCCAGCTACTTGGGAGGCTGAGGTGGGAGAATGGTTTGAACCTGGAAGATCAAGGCTGCAGTGAGCCATGATCACACCACTACACTTCACCCTGGATGACAGAGTGAGATCCTGTCTCAAAAAAAAAAGAATAGCAACCTTGATTGAGTCATCTTTGTAACCCCCTTCAGCAGTCCTTCACTGTGTGTTTAATTTTTTTTTTTTTTTTTTTTTGGAGAGACACGCTCTGGCTATATCGCCCAGGCTGGTTTCATTTAAACTATTAGGCTTATGTGATCCTTCCACCTCAGCCTCCCAGTTGAGACAACAGGTACACAACACCACAGCTGACTGATTTAAAAAAAAATTAAAAAATCATAGAGACAGAGTCTTGCTATGTTTCTCGGGCTGGTCACCAACTCCTCCCCTCAAGCGATCCTCCCACCTCAGGCTTCCAAAACCCTGGGATTACCATCATGAGCCACCATGCCTGGCCTAATAAATGTTTTAATTGGATTGATCAAAACATCCCTTTCTGTTCAAATCTAGAAGATCTATAGGGAATAAAACTCTAGGTCAGTGTTTCTCAAAGTGTGCCCAGGGGAACCCTTGCAAAACTTTTTTTTTTTTTTTTTTCGGAGATGGAGTCTTGCTCCATCACCCTGGCTGGAGTGCAGTGGCACGATCTCGACTCACTGCAACCTCCGCCTCCTAGGTTCAAGCGATCCTCCTGCCTCAGCCTCCTAAGTAGCTGGGACTACAGGCCCACGCTGCTATGCCCGGCTAAGTTTTTGTATTTTAGTAGAGACAGGATTTCACCATGTTGCCCAGGCTGGTCTCGAACTCCTGACCTCAGGCAATCCACCCACCTCAGCCTCCCAAAGTGCTAGGATTAGGGGCGTGAGCCACAGCACCCAGCCTGCAAAACTTATTTTTAAGTGGTATCCCCAGCCTCCACTGCAGACCACTGAGTGAGACTCTTTGGTCATGAGGCCAGGAAACAAGCCCCAGGTGATGTTTTCATCCATGCTGAAGCCCCTGTTCTCAACCTTGGCTGCACACAGGAACTGCCCACTTGGAGAGCTTTAAGAAACACAGATAAGCTGGGTGCGCTGGCTGACACCTGTAATCCCAGCACTTTGGGAGGCTGAGGAGGGTGGATCTCCTGAGGTCAGGAGTTCAAGACCAGCCTGGCCAACATGACGAAACCCTGTCTCTACTAAAAATACAAAAATTAGCCAGGCATGGTGGCAATGAGCCTGTAATCCCAGCTACTTGGGAGGCTGAGGCAGGAGAATCGCTTGAACCTAGGAGGCAGAGGTTGCAGTGAGCAGTGAGCTGGGATCGTGCCATTTTACTCCAGCCTAGGCAACAAGAGTGAAACTCCATCTCAAAAAAAAAAAAAGAAAAGAAAAGAAACACAGACACCTGGGTCCCACCCCAGAGACTAATTCAACTGGTCTGGAGTGCAGCCTGGGGCTGGGGGATTTTTAATAACTGCCCAGGTGATTCTCTGTGCAGGCAAGATCGAACCCACTGCACTAATGCTTTAAGACACTTGAGCATTCTGTGTAAAGAAAGAGTAAACAACTTGTCAGTTTGCTAGTACTCCCCCCACTTTTAAAACTCAAAGTTGCCAGGCATGGTGGCTCACGCCTGTAATCACAGCACTTTCAGATGCTGAGGCAGGTGGATCACCCGAGGTCAGGAGTTCAAGACCAGCCTGGCCAACATGGTGACAACCCATCTCTACTAAAAATACAAAAATTAGCCATGGGGGTGCCCGCCTATAGTCCCAGCTACTCGGGAGGCTGAGGTGGGAGAATCACTTGAACCTCGGAGGTGAAGGTTGCAGTGAGCCAAGATTGAACCACTGTACTTCAGCCTGGGCAAGAGAGTGAGACTCTGTCTCAAAAAAAAAAAAAAAGTTCCAAGAACCTACTCAGTCCTGGACAAACCAGGACTGTTGGTCACCCCAATAAGGAATGACATCTACATGCAATTAAAGATCAACAGGGGCCAGATGCGGTGGTTCACGCCTGTAATCCCAGCACTTTGAGGTCAGGAGTTTGAGACCAGCCTGGCCAACATGGTGAAACCCCATCTCTACTAAAAATCCAAAAAATTAGCCTGGCATGGTAGCATGAGCTGAAATCCCAGTTACTCAGGAGGCTGAGGCAGGAGAATCACTTGAACCCTGGAGGCAGAGGTTGTAGTGAGTCAAAATCGTGCCACTGCCCTCCAGCCTGGGTGACAGAGCAAGACTCCATCTCAAAAATAAAAAAATATGGCCGGGCACGGTGGCTCATACCTGTAATCCCAGCACTTTGGGAGGCTGAGGTGGCTGAACAGGAAATCGAGACCATCCTGGCTAACACGGTGAAACACCGTCTCTACTAAAAATACAAAAAAAATTAGCCTGGCATGGTGGCGGACGCCTATAGTCCTAGCTACTCAGGAAGCTGAGAGGCAGGAGAATGGCGTGAACATGGGAGGCAGAGCTTGCAGTGAGCCGAGATCATGCCACTGCACTCTAGCCTGGACAACAGAGCGAGACTCCGTCTCATAAATAAATAAATAAATAGGATCAACAGGGCACAAAAGTGCTATGTTAGGAACTACACAAAGGTGAGCCTAGTGTTTCTCAGTTGGAACCCCCCTCCCCAGCCCACCCAACTCTGATTCTCTCCAGTTCTTTCCACGTAGAGAGCTCACGGGGTGTTGCAGTTTTGCTGTAGGGTGGTGGCTGCCCCTGCATCTCTAGTCCTGATTTCCTGACAATTCAGAAAGCATTTCCATGTTGGCCCAAAGTTTCTGTTTCCTGTTCCCTCCCACACTATTTTTAGGTCCAGCAGACATTTCCTGCCTTGGCCTATCCCACCCGCCTCAGTGTCCATCCCAGCCTCTGATATCAGGGTGCATGGAGGGTGGGCCTCAAGGATGAAGTGTCTGATTCCAGGTCTGGGACCCTGGTGTCCAGGAGCAGCTTAGCACCAAGCAGGTGATCCCCCCAGGCTAAGTTGCTTTCCTGGTTTACTTTGTAAGCTGTAAAATAGTAGTTTCTCAGGTCCTTTTCCTTCAGCCTGCCTATACCAAGCTCCCTTTGCCTTTATCTGTCGGTCTACAGCCTTAAAGGTGGACGAGCCCAAAGTGGCGGTATGTTAGCTGACTGTGCTACAACTTACTGCGAGCAGACAGCAAAGTTTCAGGCTTAAAGGTCTATCTGCAGCCTCCATTTTCCAAACACCTCCTGTTTGTCAGGCATTGTTCTTGTCTCATTAAAGCTCACCACAGTCTTATGAGGTGGCAAAAGGCTTCATTTCCCAGGTTAGAAACCTGAAGCTCAGAGAGGTAAACAACTCACCCCAACGTGCACAGCGGCAGAGCCTCACCAAACTCCATTTCACCAACTGACCAACTGAAATGCGTCTATGTCAGCATTTCTCACCCTTTTCTCTTCTTTTTGCAATCACCCTCCTGTGGAGCCTTTATAGACATTTTTTCTCCTAACGCTCCCTCATTTATGCAACGTTAATGCTACAGATATACCACATATCAGTTTGTGGACTGAATGTATATCTGTGCTTTATACATTTAAAAAATAAGAATTTGGGCTGGGCACAGTGGCTCACACCTGTAATCCCAACACTTTGGGAGGTTGAGGCAGGAGGACTGCTTGAAGCCAGGAGTTTGAAACCAGCCTGGGCAACATAGCAAGACCCCGTCTCTACAAAAAGTTTTTAAAGTTAGCTAGGCATGTTGGCCTGCACCTGTAGTCTCAGCCACTTGGGAGGTTAAGGTGGGAGGATCACTTGAGCCCACGAATTTGAGGTCGTAGCGAGACCACTGTACTCCAGACTGGGCAACAGAGCAAGACCCTGTCTCTAAGGAAAAAAAAAAAGAAAGAAAAAAAGATTTTTTTGCTCTTCAGGAGCCAATTTCATCCCCTTCGGGTGGTAACACCCTTGTGGAGAATGTCAGCAGGGCTTGAAGTATTACTGATTTATTCTCTCTGCGTCAGATGCTGGTGGAGAAGAAGAAGGTAAAACCATAGAGAAATGTTTCCCAAACTGATATTCCCCAAACTGTAGTGTGGAGAGGCGGTTCCCAGGAAGGACTCCATGACCAAATGTACCTGGGAAATGCTGAATGCAACCCCCACCTCTTGAAAAGTCATTTTATCAAAACATCTGGGTAGCTACTTCAAAAAACTGTTTATTTTTACAACTTAAATTATGTTTTACCAATATATCCTAAGTTGACCATCAATCTCTCATTTTTCTCTTGTCTTCTCATTTTTTCCCTCTCTGCATTTGAAATTTTCATAAATTAATATTATAAAAATTAACTATATTATAAATATTAATTGTATTATATGATAGTGTAACTATTAATTCTATTATAACATTATATTAATTTTATAATATTGTATTATGATTATATTGATTATATATTATATACAATATTGTGATATTAATTATATTATTAATATTATAAATTACATAGAGTTAATGTTTATAGAACATCCTTTTGGAAATAAGCCATAGATACAGAGTTGCTTTGTATCCCAAGTCAGTCTTGCTGGTGACATTGGCCTGTTTAGGTGAATAAGCAGCTTTTTCTGTGATCCAGTCAAGCCAGGCCAGTCAGATCAAGGAGCTGTGACCATCAACTCCAAGAGAACACAGAAGCCTCAGCCCACCCCGCTGTATTTCAGCCAGGTGCAGGCAGCAGGAACCCAAGAAAAGAAAGACATCATGGCAATGTCATTAAACCCTCACTTACTTTGTGCCAGACAGCGAAGCTGCCACTGGCAGGCCGCACTCTCTCTGTGGGGGCCGCTGCTACCTGGTGGGAGCCCACAGCACAGAGCATGGGGCCCTGGCCTCCTAGGTCCAGGCCAATCAGCAGAGGTGCCTGGCTGCTCTAAGAGCCCCTCTTCCCCAGGCAGCACCAGCCTGTCGCCTTGAAATCCCCTGCCCTGTCTCCACTCTCCTATCCCAGTCATGTTCTAGAAAAGGGGCTACACACCTGGCTTCCGGGAGCTTCATAGACCGATTGCATCAGAATCTCAGAGCATCAGAATGTGAGTTTCACACAGATGAGTCTGAAAAGACCGGTGTGTGTATTCCTGAAACACTAACTCTTAAAGGCCCCCATGTCAGACGCTTTGGGGACAACAGCCTTGGCTCAGGTGAAGCCCCCTGATGCAGGCTTGTTGCATTTATCTTGATGTGGCCTCTTAGCTGTAGTCAGGACCCTGGAGGGCAGGATGTGTTTGTTCATCTTTTTTGTCCCCAGTATGTAGCACAGTGCCAGGCACGTGCTGCGGATTTAATGAATACTTGTTACATCAGTAACCAAATGTACAAATGAATGAAGGAATCATCGCGCACTTAGGGCAGAGCTATCAGCCCAGGCAGCTCTGTCTAAAGGACCAGGGCCTGTTCTTTAGGGAGAAGGGATCAGTAGTTAAAACTAGAACAATACCTGGACAGCACATCTGCAATTACTCACAGCATTTGCTTTAATTGCTTAGTAAATCCACACAATGTAACTTTATGCGTCTCAAATAATTCCCTTGTTTTTTTTGAAAATCCTTAATAGAAAATACACAGCAGGTGGGTGTTACGTGGAGTAGAAATGCCTGACCGCTGACACCTGGCCACCTTTCCCGTAAACTGGCAGGGACGGAACCTGTGCTGGGATCCTGGAGGGGCTGCTCCACAATAGCCACCTGATTCTGAGGGGGTTGCAAGCTCATCCTGTACCTCTCCTGTCATGCCTGAGGAGCCTGTGAGCTGCCACATCCTGTCACAGCCCCCTCCTCAGCCATGTCATCCTCACGACTGCCCTGGGAGGCAGGCAGCCTTGGAGACTTCACTCCCATTCACGCTGAGACGTTTAGGGAAACCTGAAATCCGACCCCCTTGGTACAGAGCTGAGAGAAGGAGGTAGAGGCAAGACGCTGAGGAGAAGAGACACAAGCAAAGAGGGGAACAAGGACCTATTCTCAAAAGAGGATGCGCCCAAGCCACGGCCGTGGTGAGACGCCCGGTTGCCCTTCCACTCTCGGCCACCAGGTGGCGGGCACAGGCCAACTAAGCCAGGCAGGGCTCAGGAGCAGCTGCCCAAAGGGCGGCCCAGGCAGAGACAGCACTGCCAAGGTGGGAACATGCCCAGGAGGACACCGCACAACACACACCACACACACCCCTACAACACATACCCCACAACACAATGTACCACATACCACACAAGGCACGCCACACACACCCCAACACACAACACACACACCCCTATAATACACACCCACAACACAACACACAAAACATACCACACCCACAAAACACACAATGCATCCCAACATCAGCTACACACACATACCCACAACACAAACCACACATATACACCCCAACACACACCACAAACACCCCTACGACACACACCCCACAACACAATGCACATATCACATAACACACACCACACATACACACCCCAATACACACCCCTACAACACACACCCCTACAACACAATTTACCACACAACTCACCACACATCCATACAACACATACCCCACAACACACACACACAGTACAACATACCACACAACACACATCACACACCCAACACAACACACAATGGACAACTCACCACACATACCCACACAACATAACACACAACACACACATCCCTACAACACACACCCACAATACAATGTACCAGACAACACACAACACACGCAACATACACACAACACATAATGCAACACATAAACCCTACACACACGTCACACAACACACACACAAATACACACCCCCACAACACATACCACTACAACACATACCACAACACACACACATCACACCACACACACAACACACAGCATACACACCCTACATATACAATACAGCACCCACACACAGCACACACAACATACACCACAACAAACACATACAGCACACACAAAACACATCACACACACACACACCCCACACACGCAGCAACTGCTCACTATCCCTCCACTTTGGGAGATGCTGGATTCTTCTGCCCCACTCCACACCCTGCTTATTCAGCCTCCAACCCCAAATGACCCCCCACAGCACTCCTCCCCTTAGTCTCCTGGTATCTACAAATTCCAAAGTGCCCTTCATCATCTTTTCCCAAACACGCCTGCCCAGGCCTTTCCCTCCCACTGTCCCCCCATCTCCACCGTCCACTCCTCATGAGGGAAAAATAAAACCTCCCCACAGCGGAACACTTTCTGCTTCGCCAGGAGTTTTCCCACCTGCTTTCCTTTTGACCGTCTCAACCATCCTAGGAGGAAATTATGAGGACTGCCATTAGATGAGTCAGAAAGCAGAGTCTGGGAGGCTGAGCTCCTTGCCCGTCCAGATGGGAGGACAGAGGCCAGCCTTCAGATCCCAGGGTGCACCTCTGCGACCCCCACATCCCACAACCAAACCTGCGTTCCACTCTACTCCCTCTCCAGACACACACCTGTCACCGCAAAGAAGCCCAGGTGTGATGGGAGGGACAGGTGAGGGGAATCGAGAGTCACTCCCCAGATGAGGCAGAGAGCCCCATTCCACAAGGCTCCATCTGCTTTTCCAGAAGTCTCTGCCCTGGAAAAGAGGCACTCACAACCAGAGCTGAATTCTCTAGGGCTGAATTCTCAGTCTTCTCTGCACAAAAGCAAAGAAGACTGAGAAAGTCACTTGCAACTTAGTGAATGGTCGTTTACTGCTGGAATTTGTCCCATGTGTTTATGACTCAGCACAGGGGCTCCAGGGACAAAGGTTCTCAACACCCTGGCCACACGAAATGGGAGCTAGGTCTCTGTGGGACTGAGGCCCCCTCCCCCCCTCCCCCCCTCCACAATTCCCAGCTTCAAGTTGTTTTAAGTACAGCAGAGGGACCCAATCCTCCTTTTGGAGGCAAGAGGCATCTGCATAAGCCCTGCCTGGATGTCATTTCTTCACCTGCATCCATAGCACCTTCAGGTGGCTCCTGTAGGGATGTTAAGAAGCAGTAATTAAGGCTGGGTGCCGTGGCTCACACCTGTAATCCCAGCACTTTGGGAGGCCGAGGCAGGAAGGATCACGAGGTCAGGAGTTTGGGACCAGCCTGGCCAACATGGTGAAAACCTGTCTCTACTAAAGATACAAAAAATTAGCTGGGCGTGGTGGCACGCACTTGTAATCCCAGCTAATCGGGATGCTGGGGCAGTAGAATCGCTTGAACCTGGGAGGCAGAAGTTGCAGTGAGCCGAGATCATGCCACTGCACTCCAGCCTGGGCGACAGGGCGAGACTCCGCCTCAAAAAAAAAAAAAGGCAGTAATTAGGACTGAACACCTAAGACAAGGGACAGGCAGAGGGTGGGGACAATTAACTCAGACACAGTGCAGGTCCTGGGGCTCAGGCCTCTTTCAGGTCAAACTCTGTTTTCAGCCCCCGGGGGCCTTCCTGACTTCCCACACGGAGCCCCTTACAGCCCTGAACCCACTTTAGGGTGGCTTTCAGACCTTGGGGTGTGGACACCTGCTCCTGGCCTTGGGGGGGCTTCTCTCAGGCTCAGCCTCCTGCCCAGAGCTAGGACTTAGGTGAGTCAAGTGAGCACCCAGGGCACAGATGTGCAGGGCGCTTCCTCTCGGGGCAGGTACTACAGCCTGAGCACCTCGCTGCCTCCTGCTAGCCCTGCTCCAAGCTACCCTTTCCCCTCCCATCCCTTCTTCCACCTCACACATCCATTTCTTCATCCCAAACGTGGAGATCACAAATCTCACACAGTGGGTGTGAGGCCCAAATGAAATGTCACCATTTCAAAAATGCAGGAATGTTTGTTCATTTTTCTTATTTCTATCTTTTGAAATGCTTCCCAAAGCAGTAGAGGTTCCTAGCTGAATCCTTCATTCAGAACGTGTAAACATGGCCAAGGAATGAGGGCTTGTTCTGGTGGAACAACCGTGTTCTTGGGGGTCAGGGAGGCGGGAGGAACAAAGACCTTTTCCACCTGCAATGGAGGTTCCCGAAAGTGTGAGAACTTCCTAAAGACCGTCACCTAAGACGTTAAAACAGTCCCTGGAGTTCAGTGGGTGTGCAATAATGGCCAGTAACAGCATAGTCCGAATCCAGGCTGGACACATCACACAACAGATGCGAGGTACCCCATGCTAAGATAATGTGGCATAAGAAACTGTGGTCTCGGCCAGGCGCGGTGGCTCACGCCTGTAATCCCAGCACTTTGGGAGTCCAAGGCAGGTGGATCACCTGAGGTCAGGAGTTCAAGACCAGCCTGACCAGCATGGTGAAACCCTGTCTCTACTAAAAATACAAAAATTATCCGGGCATGATGGCGTGTGCTTGTAATCCCAGGTACTCAGGAAGCTGAGGCAGGAGAATCGCTTGAACCTGAGAGGTGGAGGTTGCAGTGAGCCAACATTGCGCCCAAAGAAAAAAGAAAGAAAGAAAATGTTTTCTTTCCACACAACAGAACTTGATGCAGCTGTGGAAAGGAAGGAAACCTGCTACCTGCCACAACACAGAAGAACCTTGAGGTGAAGTGAATGATTACACATATGTCCATGAAAAGATTCCCCTTACTTAAGGGATCTAAAGAACTCAACCTCACAGCAACAGAAAGTAGGATGGCGGTTGCCAGGGGCTGTGAGGAAGGGAAATGGGGAGTTGTTCTTTAATGGGTACCATGTTAGCTTTGCAAGATGAAAAGTTCTGGAGATTTGTTGTATAACAATGTAGATATACTAACACTACTGAACAGTGTAGATATACTAACACTACTGAACTGCACATGTGAAAATGGTTAGGAGGGTAAATTTTATGTTACGTGGTTTTTTACTACAATTAAAAATAAATGAGGGCCAGGCGCGGTGGCTCACACCTGTAATCCCAGCACTTTGGGAGGCTGAGGCAGGTGGATCACATTGTCACGAGTTTGAGACCAGCCTGGCCAATATGGTGAAACCCCGTCTCTACCAAAAATACAAAAATTAGCCAGGCATGGTGGTGGGAGCCTGTAGTCCCAGCTACTCGGGAGGCTGAGGCAGAAGAATCGCTTGAACCCGGGAGGCAGAGGTTGCAGTGAGCTGAGATCGAGCCATTTGCACTTCAGCCTGGGTGTCAAAGAGAGACTCCGTCACAAAAAAAATAAATAAATAAAAAATAAAAAAAAAAGTCCAGGTGTGGTGGCTCATGCCTATAATGCTAGTACTTTGAGAGGCTGAGGTAGGTGGATGGCTTGAGCCCAGGAGTTCAAGACCAGCCTGGGCTACATAGGGAGGCCCCCTCCCCGACTCCCATCCCTACAAAATATTTAAAATTAGCCAGGTATGGTGGCATGTGCCTGTAGTTCCAGCTACTCAGGAAGCCCAGGGAGTCAAGGCTGCAGGGAGCCATGATGATGCCCCTGCACTTTAGCCTGGGTGACAGGAGACTGCCTCTAAAATAAAGAAATATAAACTAAGAATGAATGATGAGTGAATGAATCTGAGTGAATGGGGACCCAAGCACAGAGTTCGAAATCTGAGACGGATCAGCCGAGAGCATCCCTCCCTCCACCGCCCCACAGTTTCACCCAGCTGAGACCAAGTTTCCACAAACAACCAAGCCAGTTTCAAAGGGGAAAGGAAATCACAGGGACCATGTGGAGGAGGTGGAAGGAGTTTGTTTAGATGATCGTTGTAAGAATTTCTGAGTTCAAGGTTTGTCATGTGCGCTGCGTTGAAGGCCATTTTAAGCGTCAACTCAGTGAATCCCTCCTTTCCAGGCACCTCCAGCACAGCCCCCAAACTGCAGGCACCCGCTCAGTGCTGGGCACACCCTCGCCGAATGATTTTGTCTGAGCCTTGGCCCCCCACCACCCCACGCAGGCCTAAAGCACACACAGCCAGGGATCCCCGGCAGGATTCCAGTTCCAGAGTCCTCGGTAGCATCTACCCAGGGAGCAGCCAAGACAGCCAGCATCCCCAGGTGACTGCACGCTTTCTGCCTACACCCTCCTGAATCTACTGTACTCAAACGTGGCCTCGTCACCTGGATGTTAAGACAGCAAGAACCCTGGCAAAGTGGGAACCAAGTGGACCTATCAGGAAGACAAGTGATGATGGCATTTCTGACCCCATGGGCAAAAGGCTTCTGTGAGAGCTTGCAGAGGCAAGCGTGTCAAGGCAGCCAGGGCTAGAGATGGAGGCCAAGCATCATCGCCCATGGCCTAGTTCTACCACTTTAAAAGGAAATGCCTCCCCAGCTCATGATACATGGCAGGCACTTTGCACAACTTATCTGATTTTGTCCGGGTGACCACCCTAAGGTGGCTGCTAATGTTCCATCCCAGGAGGCTCCAAGTTGTTGACTGGCTTGCCAGAGGTCAGGCAACCAAGGAGGGGTGGTGGCAGGATGGGAAGTTAAGCCTGCCTCTGAGGAGCTAGCACTGTCCCCCATCCCCCACCTCACTGTCCAGCACTTCAGCAGTCAGCCACGGGGTCCAGGGCCTCTGCGTGGGGACATCACCAACTCAGCTTCCCAGACGAGCTCAGGCTCAGCTCCTAAGAGCCTCCTCCTTCCCCAACCCTTGGCATAGAAAGTGTTAACGTGAGCGTCACAGCCAAACTCCTAACACCTGTTCCCTAACTCTCTGCATTTCCCAAACCCCACTGGTTTCCAAACCAGTCCTGGGCCTTAATTCATCATGCACCTTTTTAAACTTGTAATTGTAAATGAACTTTTCCTTCCTGCCTTTCTAGCCTCAGGTCACCCCAGTCTTTTGGAAAAAGTGACATCACACTTTGCATCCTTGCCTGTTGGTCAATTTCTTCTGTTCCAGCTCTGAGTTTTTGGCAATTTTTCTCTTTTCTTCCCTTCCTTGGACTCTCCTTGCTAACCCTTCAATTGTTTTGTAATCCTCCTCAGAGCATTCCTACTAGGAACATATTTACACTCCTCAATCTCTTGTTTTCACAGAAGAATAACACAAAAGCAAACACCACAACCACCACAATCAAAGCAGATAATTCCCAAGCTCTGGAAGCAACGCCTTTAAAGAATGGAGTCAGGTTTGATTTTGGGTGGGGGTGGGTCGGTGGAGGGTTGGGGCAGAGGAGGAGACATTCCTGGCTTAGGAGCAGGGAGTTTAGGGTTATCTCAAAATAATTGCACTTAAAAGTGGTTGCTTCACTTCAAAGGAGCTTTTAGGGCTGATGTGGGCTCTGGCCATCAGAGCCTGTCCACCGAGCATGCAGTAAAAATGTGAGAAAGAACAGAATCAGGGCCCCACCCTCCACACTACCCTGGGTCCCACACAGACAGCCAGGCTGCCAGGGCAGATTCCAGAGCTCTTTACAGGCATTACTGTGAATCTCACCTCCTCGCAAGATAGCCTCTTTTGTGGCAAAGGGAGAAACTGAAGCAGAGGGCAGGTGGTACCCAGTCCTCATGAAGCAATGAGGACTCTGGGCCACCCTGGACCTATCTCTCTTCCCACCCCCCGCCCTCCCACCACCCAACAACAACCCCTCACCAGGCTTCCTGCCTCACTTGGTGGCTTTCACACATGTCCCAGGCTGTGGGGGACCGTGGTGGTAGAAGGGGCTTCTGGAGAGACCCAGTGTCCAACGGGGAGACCATCATCACACACACAAGCCCCATGCCTCCGAAGGGCCAGGCCTCTGGGTTGATTGTCAAGAAGCAATTAGAAAAAGTAATGATGGACAACCTTTAGTGAGCACTTATGCTAGGGATTTGGCTTCACACCAAGGGCATTTTTCTCCTTTAAGCCTCCTCACCACCCAGTGAGGTAGCTGATCTAACCATTTCCAAAATTCAGACAGTGGTTCAACATCACCAAACATTAGGGAAAAATGAAAATCAAAACCACACTGAGGGCTGGGCACCATGGCTCATGCCTGTAGTCCCAACACTTTGGGAGGCTGAGGTGGGCAGATCACTTGAGTCCGGGAATTTGAGACCAGCCTGGGGAACATGGTGAAACACCATCACTACTAAAAATACAAAAATTATCCAGGCATGATGATGCATGCCTGTAGTCTCAGCTACTTAGGAGGCTGAGGCAGGAGGATCGTTTGAGCTCGGGATGCAGAGGTTGCAGTGAGCTGAGATCGCACTGCTGTACTCCAGCTTGAGCAACAGAGTGAGACCCTGTTTCAAAGGAAAAAAAAGAAGAAGAAGACAAAATCACAAGGAGATATCACTTCACAACCCGTAGGAGGCCATTATTAAAAAAAAAAACTAAGAAGTGTTGGCAATGATGTGGAGAAGCTGGAATCTTGGGCACTGTTGTGGGATTGTGACATGACGCAGATGCTGTGGAAACCAGCATGGTGGTTCTACTAAATAGATAACAAATCATTCTCAGAAGAACACAAGGATTCATGAGAATATGAGTGGCTTCAGATGTCTGTGCCCCAGATGATGCATTTTGATCAATAAATGAAGTGAATTCTTTCAAATAAAATTAGAACGGCCATATGATCCAGCAATTCCACTTCCGGATAATACCCCAAATAATTGAAAGCTGGGACTCAAACACCCGTGTTCATAGGAGCGCATTCATAATAGGCACGAGGTGGAAGCCATCCAAGTTTCCATCGATGGATAAATGGACAAACAAAATGTGGTATATTCATCCAATAGAATATTATTCAGCCTTCAAAAGGAAGGGAATTCTTTTGGCTGGGCGCGGTGGCTCACACCTTTAATCCCAGCACTTTGGGAGGCCGAGGAGGGTGGATCACGAGGTCAGGAGTTCAAGACCAGTCTGGCCAACATAGTGAAACCCTGTCTCTACTAAAAATACAAAAAAAAAATTATCTGGGTGTGGTGGTGTGCACCTCTAATCCCAGCTACTCGGGAAGCTGAGGTAGGAGAATCACGTGAACCTGGGAGGCGGAGGTTGCAGTGAGCCGAGATTGCACCATTGCACTCCAGTGTGAGACTCCATCTCAAAAAAAAGGCCGGGCCTGGTGGCTCAATCCTGTAATCCCAGCACTTTGGGAGGCCGAGGCGGGTGGATCACGAGGTCAACTGTTCAAGACCAGCCTGGCCAAGATGGTGAAACCCCGTCTCTACTAAAAATACAAAAATGAGCCGGGCGTCGTGGCGGGTGCGTGTAATCCCAGCTACTTGGGAGGCTGAGACAGAGATTTGCTTGAACCCTGGAGGCGGAGGTTGTAGTGAGCCGAGATCACACCACTGCACTCTAGCCTGGGCAACAGAGTGAGATTCCGTCTCCAAAAAAAAAAAAAAAAAGGAAAGGAATTCTGGGAGGGGCACAGTGGCTCACACCTGTAATGCCAACACTTTGGGAAGCCAAAGCAAGAGGATCTCTGGAGGCCAGGAATTCAAGAACAAGCTGGGCAACATAGCAAAACTCAGTCTCTATTAAAAGTTGTTGGTTTTTTTTTTTTTTTAATTAGCTAGACATAGTGGCACACGCCTGTAGTCCCAGCTACTCAGGAGGTTGAGGTAGGCGGATCGATTGCTTGAGCCTAGGAGTTCAAGGCTACAGCGAGCTAGGATTGCACCACTGCACTCCAGCCTGGGCAGCACAGCAAGATCCTGTCTCAAAAAAAAAAAAAAAAAAAGGAAATTCTGACACAGACTACACACCATGGATGAAACTCAAGGACATTATGCTAAGTGATATAAGCCAGTCACAAAAGACAAATACAAATACTGTATAATTCTATTTACATGAGGTACCTAGAGTAGTTAAATTCACAGAGACAGAAAGTAAAATGGTGTTTCAAGGGGCTTGGCTGGAAGTTTCAGTTTTGCAAGTTGAAAAGTTCTGGGGATAAATGGTGGCACAACATTATGAATGTACTTAATGCCACAGAACTGTGCCCTTAAAAATGGTTAAGATGGTAAATTTTATTTTACGTGTATCCTATCACAATTTAAAAGATTTTTTATCTTTTTAATTTTTATTTATTTATGTATTTATTTTTGAGATGGAGTCTCATCACTCAATCTGTCACCCAGGCTAGAGTGCAGTGAGTGGTGCAATCTCAGCTCACAGCTCACTGCAACCTCTGCCACTCGGGTTCAAGTGATTCTTCTGCCTCAGCCTCCCCAGTAGCTGGGATTACAGGTGTGCACAACCACGCCTGGCTAATTTTTATATTTTCAATAGAGACAAGGTTTCACCATTTTGACCAGGCTGGTCTCAAACTCCTGACCTTAAGTGATTCGTCCGCCTTGGCCGCCCAAAGTGCTAGGATTACAGGCGTGAGCCACCACGTCTGGCCTTTAAAATATTTTTTAATGAGGAAATTAAATTGTCCAGGATTAAGAAACTCTCCCAAGTGCAGGGCTGAAATTTGAACTCAAGATCTACCTGGGTGCCAGGCGAGGTGGCTCATGCCTGTAATTCCAGCACTTTGGGAGACTGAGGCGGGTGGATCACAAGGTCAAGAGATCGAGACCATCCTGGCTAACACAGTGAAACCCTGTCTCTACTAAAAACACAAAAAATTAGCTGGGTGTGGTGGCGGGCGCCTGTAGTCCCAGCTACTCAGGAGGCTGAGGCAGGAGCATGCCATGAACCCAGGAGGCAGAGCTTCCAGTGAGCTGAGATCGCGCCACTGCACTCCAGCCTGGGTGACAGAGCGAGACTCCATCTCAAAAAAAAAAAAATCTACCTGAGGCCAAAACACCCGACTTCCAAAGCTTTCTGTAGAGTTGGCCACATTCCCTTGCCTGTGTCCTGGTAACCACAGCACACTTTTCCCAGCCGACACTCCAGGCTCAGGTGCACTTGGTGGTTGGGGCATATGCATCTATTAATCCATGCCTATTTTTTGGGCACTTATGCACCAGGCTGTGTGCCAGGCATAGGGTATGATGATGAATAAGACAGAGCAGGTTCTTGTCCTCATGCTACTTATATTCTATGAGGAGAGACAGACAATAAATACATAAACAAATATCCAAGAAAATGACAGATCATAATGAGAATTGTTAAGGAGATAAACTATTAATAAGAAGGGGAATAAGGGAGGGTGGGAGGAGAGAGCAGGTGGCTTTAGCTGGGATTGTCAGGGAACGACCTTCTGAGGAGGGGACATCTCAAATGGGGCCTACAGGTGTTGCCAACAGAGGATACAGTTTATCAAAGACGGAGCCAGGAACAAGCTCACCACGGTGAGAGAGAGGGGGCCAGAGTGGCTAACCCAGAGAGAAGGAGGTGAGAAGGGGTAGGAGATGGAGATGGAGAAGCATCGGGCCAGGTTCTAAGCGGCCCTGGAGGGCTTGCTGAACAGTCTGAATTTTCGTTTTTTTGTGTGTGTGTTTTTCTTTTTTTTTTTTTTTGAGACAGAGTCTGGCTCTGTAGCCCAGGCTGGAGCACAGTGGGGCGATCTCTGCTCACTGCAAGCTCCGCCCCCCGGGTTCATGCCATTCTCCTGCCTCAGCCTCCCGAGTAGCTGGGACAACAGGTGCCCGCCACCATGCCCAGCTAATTGTTTTTTGTATTTTTAGTAGAGACGGGGTTTCACAGTGTTCGCCAGGATGGTCTCAATCTCCTGACCTCGTGATCCGCCCGCCTCAGCCTCCCAAAGTGCTGGCATTACAGGCGTGAGCCACCGCGCCCGGCCCAACAGTCTGAATTTTCTAAGGGCAATAGGAACAATTGAAGGGTTTCAAACAGGGAGTCATAGTGTTTGATTTTTGCTTTAGAAAAAACTCATAGGTGTGGCTTTTTTCTATGTGAAGTGAACTTGTCCCTGGGGTGTCATCAAACCTCTGCTCTATTGGGGGACTCAGGGCTCAAACCAGGACCTCTTGGAGTCTCCTGGATGGAGGCGTCCTGGCCCGCGATACAAATGCACTTTACTTTCGGCCAGGCGCGGTGGCTCACACCTGTAATCCCAGCACTTTGGGAGGCAGAGGCAGGTGGATCACGAGGTCAGGAGTTCAAGACCAGCCTGTCCAACTTGGTGAAACCCCGTCTCTACTAAAAATACAAAAAAATTAGCCGGGAGTGGCGGCGGGCGCCTGTAATCCCAGCTACTAGGGATGCTGAGGTAGAGAATTTCTTGAACCTGAGAGGTGGAGGTTGCAGTAAGCCGAGATCATGCCACTGCACTCCAGCCTGGGTGACAGAGCGAGACTCTGTCTCAAAAAAAAAAGAAAAAAATGCACTCTACCCAGATCTTCTGCACCTTTGCCCCCTGGGGCACACTGACCTTTCCAGAAGGCTCTCTCAGAAAGAAGAGGGCCTTGAAGACAGCACCATATCCGGGAGTAGCTGAGAAACACTCTGAACTGTCACGGAAGGGCTGGGGGCTAGACCTGCCTTTCCCCAGTCTCCACATCCCCGATCTGTAATAGAGAACCAGTAGGGAGAGGGAGGAGGAAATCCCTGCTCGTCTTTGCTGAATTATGACTTAAGGAGTCAGTGTAGGAAGGATGTGGGAATTAATTCCCTAAGTTACAAGGTGCCCTTTCTCTAAAAGGTGGAGTATTTTTAGCTTCCTAAGCAGCTCAAGAGAGTCAGGAGCTGTTTACACACGAGACAGCTGAGACGCAGAGATTTCTGAAGACCCTAATCACTGACAGAACCACAAAGAGAACCCGGGTGTTCCCTTCCCAAGTGTGGCAGCCCCGGGGCCCCTGTACCTGTCTCGTCTATAAGCAGGAACCTGTGCTCCCAGGATTGGCCAGCCTCGTGGCTATTATACCTGCTGTCACCCAAGGCCCACCCTGGACCTTCTGAACTCTCTATCAGCTGCTAGCCCTTACACAATCCATCTCCATCTGCCCAAACTGTCAAAACTACGTGGCAGGGGGAGTGATGCTTTGCTTGACCACCACGATGGTTTACATTAAAATAACCCAGCTTCAGTTAGGCAGCCTGGATGGGGCTCCCTGTGTGCTCAGACTCTGAGCTGATCATTCTCTCTTCTCCGAGCTTCAGTGTCCCTGTCTCTGGGATGTCCTCAGTCTCTCCTCTGCGCCTCCTGCCATCCCTGTTTTCTGGTACCTACAATGGCCACCCCTTCTAAGCTGGGATAGCCAAGGCTTCATCTTCAGCCATCTGGTCCTCCCACCTCACGCTCCCCTGGACTGGAACCATCACCCCCTTCCAGAGGGGACCCAGCACCACCTCCAGCTCTAATCCAGCTCTGGGCTAAAGAGGCCAAATGACTACAGAACCCACACCCCTGTGACTGTCCTACAGACACAAAACTTAGCTTGACTGACGCCAAAATAATTACTTCCTTCCCCAGACTGGCTCCCTCTCCTGGGTTCCATCTTCTTAAATGCCACAGCATTTGGCAGCCAGACATTCATCCTCTCTGACTTCACCCATGCTCATTTCCCAGGGGAAGTGACTAGGTGGAAGAGTTCTCCTTTCAGCGTGCCTCTCCCCACTGTCCTCTCACCATCCCCACCACCATGCCCGGCCCTCACTCAGGCATGTGGCTCTGTGGCCTGGATGACCACAGTGTAACTCAAATGGCCACTAAGCTTCTGAGCCCTCCCCGACACCAACCACCAGAGGTATTTCTCCAAATCATAGATCTATCCGCACATGTGACTTCCTGATTCCAAAATCTTCCATGGTCCCCCACGGCCTCCGAGCCCTTCCTAATCCATTTTAACCACCTTTCAGAGGCTGCTCTCACACTCTGCAAAGCGCCCTTCTCCTCAGCAAGGCCACGTTAGTCGTTTCCAAAGGCACCACGCACTTTTTACTCACTTTCTTCGTGCAGTCCCTCTGCCTAAAATGAGAGTCCTTCCCTCCACTCCTACCACTAGGCAAAACCTAGACTCCATTCAGATGCAGTCTCCAGCGAGGGGGGCTTTCTCTGACCCTCTGTCCTAGGGGCTGCGTCACCCTGGCTACATCACCCAAAGTGCTGGGATTACAGGCATGAGCCACCACACCTGGCCTAATTTTTGCATTTTTAGTAGGGTTTCACCATGTTGGCCAGGATGGTCTCGATCTCTTGACCTCGTGATCCGCCTGCCTCAACCTCCCAAAGTGCCAGGATTACAGGCATGAGCCACCGCGCCCAGCCTCCACTGGTAATTTTCTATTTATAGGTCCTATTCTTTGTATCAGTCTTGAGCCGCTGGGCTACGGTCCTTTGGGTGATGGTCAGCTTCACCTGCCTGGGAGCTCCTGAATAAGGGCAGGTCCTGCCTCTGTATCCCTGGCTCCTCTCAAGGTGCTAAGCACATCAGGTGCTCAAACATTGACAGAATTAGATTCATTCATACATTCATTCATTTATTCAGTCAACAATATTTATTTAGACCCCCTCTCTATGCAAAGCATGGTTTTAGGCACTGGGGAGAGCGGAGGCAGGTGGTGGTGGTGTGCAAGGATGCTTAACCCAGAATCCACTAGAGAGCTAAGATGTGTGGCCGGGCACGGTGGCTCATGCTTGTAATCCCAGCACTTTGGGAAGCCAAGGTGGGCAGATCACCTGAGGTCGGGAGTTTGAGACCAGCCTGACCAACATGGAGAAACCCCATGTCTACTAAAAATACAAAATTAGCTGGGTGTGGTGGTGCATGTCTGTAATCCCAGCTACTTGGGAGGCTGAGACAGGAGAATCACTTGAACCCGGGAGGCGGAGGTTGCAGTGAGCCAAGATCACGCCATTGCACTCTAGCCTGGGCAACAAGAACAAAACTCCATCTCAAAAAAAAAAAAATGTGCACACTCATACCTGTGCCACCTGACATGTGACCCATGGCACATGCTTGACCCAGAATCCACTAGAGACCTAAGATGCATACACTCATACCTGGTCCATCTGACACATAAGAAGGGCTGTGTGAACGCTGCAAAAGGCAGGGGGGTCCCATGGAGGGACATATCCCAGCACAGTGACTGCCTCTTCCCCAACAGTCCAAGGGGCCTGCTTGGGACCCAGGCCTAGGAAGGGGGTTGGAAGCTATTGTTGAACACCAGGCAGCATCAAGCATTCCAGTTCAGTTCTGTTCAAAAATGCTTCAGGCACCGTGCTAGGAGCTACTCAGACATGTGAGTTCCCACTGTCCTTCACGGTCTCAGATCCCATGACCTTCAGGAAGACCTCTCCGTCTGCCCCAGGCCACAAGAACGTTCACTCCTCCAGACTCCTACCGCACTCACTCCCCTGCAGTGTGGAAAAATTGTGCTCCACCAGTTATTTTCTTTTTTGTTTTTTGAGATAGAGTCTTGCTCTGTCACCAGGCTGGAGTGCAGTGGCACAATCTAGGTTCATTGCAACCTCTGCCTCCCGGGTTCAAGCGATTCTCCTGCCTCAGCCTCCCGAGTAGCTGGGACTACAGGTGCACACCACCATGCCCAGCTTTTTTTCTTTTTTTTTTTTTTTTGAGATGGAGTTTCGCTCTTCTCGCCCAGGCTGGAGTGCAATGGCGCGATCTCAGCTTACCACAGCCTCTACCTCCCAGGTTCAAGTGATTCTCCTGCCTCAGCCTCCCAAGTAGCTGGGACTACAGGCACCTGCCACCACGCCTGGCTAATTTTGTATTTTTAGTAGAGATGGGATTTCTCCATGTTGGTCCGGCTGGTCTCGAACTTCTGACCTCAGGTGATGCAACCACCTCGGCCTCCCAAAGTGCTGGGATTAAAGGCATGAGCCACGGCGCCTGGCCTAATGTTTGTATTTTTAGTAGGGTTTCACCATGTTGGCCAGGATGGTCTCGATCTCTTGACCTCGTGATCCGCCTGCCTCAGCCTCCCAAAGTGCCAGTATTACAGGCACGAGCCACCATGCCCAGCCTCCACCAGCAATTTTCTATCTATAGGTCCTATTCTTTGTATCAGTCAGTGCCCAGCAGAAAACAAATAGCACACTCTAACTAGGATGATTGCAGGAAAGATTTTTTTTCGAGATGGAGTCTCACTCTGTCGCCCAGGCTGGAGTGCAGTGGCATGATCTCGGCTCACTGCAACCTCCACCTCTCGGGTTCAAGCAATTCTCCTGCCTCAGCCTCCCAAGTAGCTGGGACTACAGGTGCGCACCACCACACCCGGCTAATTTTTGTATTTTTAGTAGGGTTTCACCATGTGGGCCAGGATGGTCTCGATCTCTTGACCTTGTGATCCGCCTGCCTTGGCCTCCCAAAGTGCAGGGATTACCTGGCTAATTTTTGTATTTTTTAGTGGAGACAGGGTTTCACCATGTTTCCCAGGCTGGTCTTGAGCTCCCAACCTCAACTGATCTGCCCGCTTTTGCCTCCCAGAGTGTGGGATTACAGGCCTGATGAGCCACTGTGCCTGGCCTATTGTAGGAGAGTTTTAAAAAGAAAGGGGCTGTTTACACAGGGCAGATTGAAGAGGAACCAGAAGAGACAGGGCTATACCCCAGGGCTGGAACAAGGCACCTATTCCCCCTTTGAACTGAAGGAACTAGGAAAAGGTTTACCACTAGTCCTGGAGAAGAGGGAAAATAGGACACTTGGACAGAAGGCACAGCTGTCCCTTCAGGGATCCCCAGAGAGGGAGCGGGAAAAATAAATCCCCAAAGCATCTTCCTCTATCCCACTGATCTTTTGCCAGAGCTTCCTGCTGGCCAAACGGAGGGCAACGGAGGCCCCAGTGTAGTCTGCACGAAATGCAGACAGGGGTGGGGCTAGGCCCCCAGGGGCAAACAGGTGATATCTGACACATTCTCCAAACTTCAGGAAGCTCCCAGGCGCAAGAGGTGTTTGTTCTGCACCTGGCATCAGCCTCGCTCAGAATGCACCTTGAGAGTGTTCTGGCTGAATTAGTGACCATCATGTTCCTTCTCAAGGTTGCTCCTAGCCCTCCTCAGGGACAGACTCATTCAAAGCAAAGGAGATCTGCAGACGGAGACCAAAAGCCTGGAACTCTGGAGAGAGCTGGCCTGAACTGGACTTTAGGACAGGAAGGCAGTGTCTCTGCACCTCAGTGACTTGACCTGTTAAAAATAAAACCAATTAAGAATCAGAGGATTGTTACAAGGATAAAGAGATATTTTACAAAGCATGTAGAGGTGTGTCTGTCAGATAACAACACTGGATACTCAATACATGTTAATTGTCACTGTTGTTTGCTGAACTCCCACTGTCTGCAGAGCAATAGGCCCTGGCCCCAGCTCTGATAAGATCCCCCTCAGGCAGAGCTGGCTTTCCTCGGAATCCATTTCCACCATCTTCCCTTCCTCTTCCCAGCGGCTAACATGGAATCCATTTCCACCATCTTCCCTTCCTCTTCCCACCGGCTAACATCTCGGGGTACAATGTTCTGTACCTTCTGGGCCTGAGAGGTGATGGGAGGTGCAGCTGCTTCCTGCAGGTGCCGCTGCTGATACAGACCCTGACACAGATCCTGAGGCTGACGAGGGGCCTGCCCACCCAATGCCAAGACCCAGGGTTGGCCTCACAGATACATCGGGATTTGCAGTCTTTGTCCCTAATCCACCTAGTAGACGCTCTGGGTTTGGGTTTTCCACCCAAGACTGGCCAAGACCTGACTGTGGAGTCCTGGGACCACCGTGTTCCCTTTCTAGGGGAGCCAATGTTTCTCTCTCCAACACCGAGCCCATCACCTGGCTTGTAAACATCTAGAGAGGGAGGCTGGGGAATGGGACCACTGGGATTCCAGGGATCCTCACCAACACGATTCAACATAATTCCCAAGTTGTACCAGGAACGTGGGAGCCCACAAGTCCGCCTGAAGTTTCTCTAAACATCAGGGTCTCGGGTACGAGGCGGCTCCAGCCACAGCCCCCAGCCAGGGGCTGGCAAGGCGTGCAGGGCTTTGCCCTTTATCATCATGTCAGCCCAGCCAGGAAGCTCCCCCGCCCTGCTCATCAGCACCATAAACAGGGCCCAGAGCAGGAGAGGTGGGGGTGGAGGTGGGGGGATGATGGACTGCTCTCTCCGCAGCAGTCAATTAAGAAGGAAGTTTAAGTTAAAAGGGCCATTGTGTTATTCCACTTATGAGAGGAATGTGGCCTGGGGTGGTGGTACCTGCTCTCACGGCTCTGGTGCTCTCCCTGTGATGGTGATAAGGGGGCTTTGGGGGAGTGAGGCTCTGTCTCCTGGAAGTGCTCACCCTGAGCTGCCTGCAGGGCCCACAGCAGGGTATCCCAGTCAGCAGGTTCATCCAGGACCCCAAACCCCACAGCAGGTCCCCCAGGCCTCTCTGGCACATCCTCTTTTGTCCGCTCTGTGTCCTATTCTCCACCCTCTGAGATGACCAAGTCCATCTGCTCCCAGACCTACGCAGATGTGGCCATGTGAGCCAGGTAGTTTGAATAGGGGGCTACACTCCATCAGCATCAGGGCCCACGCCAGTGTAAACGCCCAGGACTGGGAAGACACTTGAGGGCACTAGAGAAATAATACTCTCACCAGCTGGCTGATACTCACAATTTCACCCTTAGACATTCATGTCTTCGACTTAAAACTCCCTATCTTCAGGAGTCCTCATGTACTCCTACCACCCCCTTCCCTTTAGGCGCTCACATGTTCATTCCAATGGCAACTTTCCAGAGACAGTGGCCTTGCTCTGGTTGTCCACCTTGGAGGACACAAGTCCTGGTACCAAGAGGGCCATGGCCTGCCAGTGAGGAGATGCTGCTGAGGACTGGCCCCTCTGAGACCAAATGGCTCAGTAGAAAGGGCAGTAGCCCAAGAGTCAGGAGTCCTAAGCTGTGTGAGCTTCAGCAGGTCATTTACTCTCTCCAGGTGGCAGTTTTCCCAACTCTAAAATGAGGGGATGGGAGCAGATGTCCTCTAGCTTCCTCCCTGCTCTAGAATGCTCGGCTGGGCATGGGCCTGACCCTCAAAGACAAAGAAAAGCCCCAGCCCAGGCATGCCCTGTGGTGGCTGAAGGCAGCTCAAGTTTAAAGTTTTCAGCAGATGCTTCCAGGCATCCCTTCTGCCTCTTTTCTCCCATCCTCAGGCTCCTCCATGGGCCCCAACTCTTGGGTCTCCATGTATCCTTCTGGACCATGCTGATGTTGCCACACACTCACACCAAGCAGGTCTTCCAGCCTTCTGAGTTTGCATAAAAGCAAGGTCCTGGACCAGGCACAGTGGCTCACACCTGTAATCCCAGCACTTTGGGAGGCCAAGGCAGGTGGAATGCTTGAGTCCAGAAGTTCCAGACCAGCCTGGGCAACATGGTGAAACCCTGTCTCTACAAAAAATACAAAAATTAGCTGGGCATGGTGGCACATGCGTGTAGTCCCAGCTACTCAGGAGGCTGAGGCAGGAGGATTGCTTGTGGCCAGAAGGTTGAGGCTGCAGTGAGCCAAGATTGCACCACTGCACTCCAGCCTGGGTGACAGAGTGAGAACCTGTCTCAAAAAATAAAAAATAAAAAGAAAGGTCCTTTGGCACGAGAGTCTGTCCTTTGACCTTAGGTTGAACACGACTTTTCCAGGATCTACCTGTAACTCCAATTCTGTAGCATCGTGGAATGGCGCCTGAGCAAGGCCCAGAGTGGAGATTCCATGCCTATCTGTGGCTCCTTTCCTCAGCTCTGCTCTTGCCTCTCTCCTGCACCCACCCTGGGCCTGCTCCCAGGCCTTCCTCGCAGCCCTTCCTCTTGCTTCTGTGTGCAGCTTGGCCCTCCTATCTCCGGACCACCTCCTGTGCTGGCGCGGGGAGCGCATTTCCCACGTACTCCTTGGCGATCGTCATCTTCCCTTCTGGTAGTTCACGATCACATTAGTGAGGACAGAGGCCAAGACCAACAATTACAGCAGCACTGGATCCCTTAGTGGAAATTGTCATGCTATTCCACACCCGTGTCACACCCTGACTTAAAGGAAAGAAAGAGGCCAACCCAAAACCTTCGTACGCTTTCTGCATGAAAAGTTTGCATGAGAGGCTGGGTTCAATAGCTCACGCCTGTAATCCCAGCACTTCGGGAGGCCGAGGCGGGCAGATCACAAGGTCAGGAGATGGGGACCATCCTGGCTAACATGGTGAAACCCCGTCTCTGCTAAAAATACAAAAAATTAGCTAGGTGTGGTGGCACGTGCCTGTAGTCCCAGCTACTCAGGAGGCCGAGGCAGGAAAATCGGTTGAACCTGGTAGGCAGAGGTTGCAGTGAGCTGAGATCGCCTCACTGCACTCCAGCCTGGAAGACAGAGTGAGACTCCGTCTCAAAAAAAAAAAAAAAAAAAAAAAGTTTGCATGAGAGTCCTTGGGTAGAAGAACATCAAGGCCCTCATGCACCCCCTTCCAGAGGTAGCTGCCAACACCTCAAACCTCAGGGCGTCCCAAGAGTCCCTCCCTGCAGATAAAACACTTAAAGCCAACATTAACCATTTCTCAGTCACATATGGCCTGTCCCAGGAGAGCTCTTTAATCTATAGTCACCTTGGTAAAGGGGAGGTCACAGAGCTCTTTTGCCTCAAAGACTTCCCTGGTCTTGGCATGTCCTAGGTTGTTGTCTTGTCCCTTCACCCCAAGTCGGGGTGAGGACCAAAGGGATGGTCATTCAGTGGAGGGAGGGGTGAGCAAGGCTGATGTCTATTTCTCTACCAAGTTGAAGCATGGCGGTGGAGGAGTCAGATGCCTGGACCAGGGACGGTTGGCAGGAGGGAAGAATGAGGATGCCCTCCCCCTCATCTGATCCTCAGGTGGTGGCCCACCATGTTTGCAGGAGTGCCGCCAACAAGAAACAGTTCCAATATTGTGTGTTTGCCAGTGGTTCATAAATCAGTATAATTTAGCTCTCCACAAGAGGCCTAAAAAATTATTTCTCCACGTCCTCTTTAACTCATACCTTCTCCCCAGGAAGGCCAACAAAAAATTTTCTCTCTTAAAGCCTGGTGATGAGAAGTGGCTTGAACTCCAACTGTAAAAACCTGAATTTAAAGCATAGATACAATACCTCTCAATTAAATATGTATACATATATATTCAATCTTTTCAAACAATAATAGCTGTGATCTCCAATGTGGCTAGCCGGTTCTCCAAATTCCAAGGCACCAGTAGAAAGCTTAGAAAGAGGTAGGTTAAGCCGAGTGTGGTGGCTCACACCTGTAATCCCAGCATTTTGGGAGGCCAAGGTGGGCGGATCACTTGAGGCCAAGAGTTCGAGACCAGCCTGGCCAACATGGTGAAACCCCGTCTCTACTAAAAATACAAAAATTAGCTGGGCATGGTGGTGCATGCCTGTAGTCCCAGATAGTCAAGAGGCTGAGGCACAAGAATCACTTGAACCCGGGAGGTGGAGGCTGTAGTGGGTAGAGGAGGCAGTGAGCCCAAGATAGTGCCACTGCACTCTAGCCTGGGTGACAGAGTGGGACCCTGTAAAGAAAAGAAAGAAGGAAAGAAAGAAAGAAAGAAAGAAAGAAAGAAAGAAAGAGAGAGAGAGAGAGAGAGAGAGAGAAAGGAAGGAAGGAAGGAAGGAAGGAAGGAAGGAAGGAAGGAAGGAAGGAAGGAGAAAGAAAGAAAGAAAGAAGGAAAGAAGGAAAGGAAAGGAAGGAAGGAAGGAGGGAAGGAAGGAAGAAGGAAGGAAGGAAGGAAGGAAAGAAAGAAGGAAAGAAAAAAGAAGGGAAGGAGTGAGGGAGGGAGGGAGGAAGGAAGAGAGAAAGAGAGAGAAATGAAAGAAGGAAAGAAAGAAAGAAAGAGAGAGAGAGATGGGTTAAGAACAAGGAAAGAAAGCACAACTTGAGTCATAAATACTCTCAAGAGACAGTCCCTGTTGCTATATAAACTGACACCAAAACTTTTAAATAAAATCAGAAAGTCTGTCCCTAGTGGAATATTAAGTGCAAGGTGGGATTTGGAGGATAAATCCCTTATCTTTAAAGTTGACATCAGGGAGATTGATCACCCACAAAGCCAGGGCGCTCGCTCCTTCTAAGAGAGGGACACAGCCCCTCTGCTCAGCGGACCACAGACCTGAGCCAGTGGGACACTTTCTACACTCTCATGTTCACCGAGAGACCCTCCTGCCTGAAGAAGCCAGAAACTCCCTCATCCAAATGACCTGAATATCTGCCAAATGGCTTTGCCAGGGCCTGATGGTCCAAGTGCAGAGAATAGCATTTTTAATTTAGCTGCTTTTCTGCCTCTTTGTTCTTGCCTGTACTTCATTATCTTGAGAGGTCTTTAATAACTGAGCAGGCCTGGAACATTCCTCCTCGGCTTCTCCCACATGGCTTTTTCCACCACAGTGCTTGGAGGAGGATGCTGGAGCCCTGAGCTGGCTCTGGCTGGAGCATCTCCTGCTGGGGCTGCTGGCACGAAGCCCCAGGGCAGGAACTGGGAAGAGAGGGTCCTGGAGCCTCCTTTGGAATTTGTCAGCCACAGGAAATGAGATTTATAGCAGAAAAGAAGAAGATATGTCGCCAACACTTCCTCCCCACCCTGCACACACACATACACCCATGAGTCCTCCGGCAGCAATGCCTGAGTCATTGTGTCCCATGAGTTGCTAGGTCAGAGGGGTTTCAGGGTGAAGGGTGTCCTAGGTTTACAACATGCCGAATCAGGTGTTTTCCCATAGCTCACTATGACACTAGGCACATACCCCCACGGACAGGATATTATTACATAAACAGCAGGTCCCCAGCTGCTCAACACCCAGGTGGCAACTATAGAACGTTCCAGATCTCCAAAATGCTTCTCAAACTATCAGGTTTTCTGTCTCTCCAGGTGGGAAGAAGGGAGGTTGGTGTTGTCAAGGTCACAGATGCAGGCACCAGGCTGGGATAGAAGCACCCAGGCTGAAGCCAGCCCCTGGCCCAAGGGGCCCACTGCTACATTCAGCAGGTTATATTCTGCAAGACCACCAGCAAGGGTCAGGGAGACGTCTCAAAGAAGGTGGTGCTAAAGCCAAGCCCGTGGTGTCTGAGCTGTCTTCTACGGGAGGGCTCCCGAGTGTGAGCCCAGATACCACAGGCCTGAGACCATCTGCAGCTCAGAGCAGGCCAGAGCACAAGACATTTGAGAGCTGATAAGCCTAGGGCCAGGCGCGGTGGCTCATGCCTGTAATCCCAACACTTTGAGAGGCCGAGGCAGGCGGATCACTTGAGGTCAGGAGTTCGAGACCAGCCTGACCAACATAGTGAAACTTCTTCTCTACTAAAAATACAAAAATTAGCCGGGCGTGGTGGTGCATGCCTGTAATCCCAGCTAATCGCTACTCTGGAGCCTGAGGCAGGAGAATCGCTTGAACCCGGGAGGCAGAGGTTATAGTGAGCTGAGATTGCACCACTGCACTCCAGCCTGAGTGACAGAGTGAGACTCCATCTCAGAAAAAAAAAAAAAAAAAAAAAAAAAAGAGCTGATAAGCCTAGAAAGGAAAGCAAGGCAAGTCAAAAGGTTTGAATGTTGAGGAAAGAGTTTGGATTTCCTTTGCCCTAGAAAATGGATTTCTAACGAGGGCTTTAGAGTAAAGCAACATTCTGGTGATGGTTAGAAGTGCAGCCCTCAGAGGCAGATTGCCTGGCTTCCAATGCCAGTTCTGCCACTGACTGGCTATGTGACCTGGGGAAAGATACTTAATCTCTCTAGGTCTTGGTTCTGCTATCTGTAAAATGGGATAAAGTGGTTCATCAATTATAAGATGCACGGTGTGTTTTGTTTTGTTTTGTTTTTAACACATCTAAAAATCATCTTAGACTCATTGGCTGGGTGGCCACAATGACACAGTTCTCATTACTTGTGCAAACATACTAAGAATTACTAATGTCATAGAAAACATACTAAGAATTAATGTCATTTGGAAGAAAATCCACACTTTTGAGAAATACTGCATCCCTTAATGGCACAGAAAAAATTATGCAGAAGAACATAACTCTGGGTTATGATGACTCTGAGTTTCAAAACAATTCAGAAGGATGGCACCCTGAGGATGTGGAAATTTTAAGTGTATCTAAACATTTCTTTCATTTATAAACACCCTAAGTATGCACAGAATAGATCTATGATTTTGAAAACCCACGTTTAACAAACCTAAAAGGGCACTTTCATTAAATATAAAATTACAATTTTATGTGACTGAAATCATTGTGTCATAGTTTTTCTCTTAGTATTACAAAAATTAGGCGCATCTTACAATTGGGGGTGCCTTTAAGTTGATGAGATATGGTTAGAACCATACAGACCTTTTAAGAGCGTTAGGAGGAGTAAATGGGTTAATATTTTGGAAGTACACAGAGTGTCCTGGCACACAATGATTCCAATATGCATGCTATGAGATAAATGAATTGAATCTATTTTTTTTTATTTTTTATTTTTTGAGATGGAGTCTTGCTTTGTCACACAGGCTGGAGTGCAATGGCGCGATCTCGGCTCACTGCAACCTCTGCCTCCCAGGTCCAAGCGATTCTCCTGCCTCAGCCTCCCAAGTAGCTGGGATTACAACCATGCACCATCACATCTGGCTAATTTTTGTATTTTTAGTAGAGACGTTTCACCATGTTGGCCAGGCTGGTCTTGAACTCCTGACCTCAAGTGATCTGCCTGCCTCAGCCTCCCAAAGTGTTGGGATTACAGGCGTGAGCCCTGTGCCCAGCCAGATAAATGAATAGAATATGATTTGTGTTTTATAAATGTTCTTAGCAGGGCTAAGCGTTAAAGGAGTAGACTGTGGGGACACAGGGCAGGAGACCCCTGTAGTGGTCCAGGAGAGAGACTATAAAAGCCCAGGAGAGAGACTATAAAAGCCCAAGGTAATCATGGCCGTGGGGACAGGCAGAGGGGATGGGCAGATGAGAAAGAGTCTTGGAGGTGGGTCTTCACCCTTCTGTTACTGGCTGTGTGCACATGAGGAAGACAGAGGAGGTGAACACAACCCCCAAGATTTATCCTGGGGCTGCAGAGTGGGGCTTTCACCTGCAATGGCAAATCCTGAGAAACAGGTATGGAAAAGAAAACAGTGGGTTCAGGCCGGGCCATGCTGCCTGGGGATGTCCGTGGGACATCCAGGTGGAAGTGTCTGGCAAGAAGCTGGCAATTAAGGTTCAGAGCTCAATGGACATATTTGAGACTATGGAAAGAATGAGGGAAGGAAGGAAAGAAAGTAGAGAGGGAGGACGAGAGGAAGGAAAGAAAGGAGAGAGGGAGGGAGGGAGAAAAGGAGAGAGGGAGGATGAAGGGGAGGGAGGGAGAAAAGGAGAGACGGAGGATGAAGGGGAGGGAGAGAAGAGGGAAGGAAGAGAGCTGAGCTGTTCCTACAAAGGATCATCACCCCTGGAGCACTCACCCCCTTCTCTTTAATACCTGATTTAATTGTACACGTGTCCATCTCCCCACTACAGGGTGAGCCGGGGGCAGGCCATGCTTAGCCCAGAGTCTGGCATGTGCCTACTGTCACATGAGCATCTGTTGGATGGATGTCTCTCCCCATAGATACCAGTATCTGCCAGGTGGAAGCCTCATCTCCGGGTGCCTCACTCCTCACAGTGCTCCCGCAGTCCATGCTGGTGACTGCAGAACAAAACTGACTGGGAACCAAAATGGATCAGGAGGCAAGGGCAGGCTCCTTGCCAGCATTAGTGCTCAACAGAGGAGGGAGAGAGAAGAGGAGGCAAAGGAGACAGGAGGCAAGAGGAGAAGGCAACACAGAACACACCCCATGGGCACACAGATGAAGGAAGAGAGGAACGAGACCACGCGAGGGGCAGCCAGTAGATCTGGATCTGCCAGGCATCCCAATTGCTGGCCCCTGTTCGACCTCTGTGTCCCTACCTTCGTGTGTTGCACAAATCACCCCCACCCCACCAGGGGGGAACCCCACCCACTCGGCTTTCCTGGGGCAAGTTCTTCAGATCCCAGGCAGCAGCTGAAAGGTTGAGGAAAGAGCCCCTGCTCCCAGGAGCTTAAGGCAGGGCCAGGCTTAAGCCCTCTGTGGCTGGGGAACCCGGAGCCGAGCCCTCACCTTGCCAGGTGGGCTTTAGTTTCCTCCTCTTGCCATGAGCAGGTAGACTCGGAGCCTCCATTCTGTTCCCTCCTCTGCCTGCCCTCCCCATCCCCGCAGCCTGCAGGAAGAGCAGCTGCAGGACACAGTGATGGTGTCTCCGTGGCGCTTGTGAGCTCTTCCACCCATCCCTATTGTTCCAGACCCTTCATCTTTCCCCACCATGTATCTGTTTCTTTTGTACCCACTGCCCTCATTCAGGCCTTCGGAACCAGAGTTCTGCTCTGCAGCATACAGTAGGTCTCAGCCATCACAGTCAACTTTGCTGGTCTCTGCTGCCAGTTCCAGGGCACCCCACCCACACCCCAAGACCTGCAGGTCTGGCTGTCAGCCCCGGGCATATTCCTGCGATCACGTCATTGTTCCATGTGAGTCACTGTCTATTTCAAGGAGAAAGGCTGAAGGGGAAGTTTGGGACCACCCTCCTGGTTCACACCCTCCACCAAACAGGCTTTCCGTGAAGCCCCTATGCTGAGGGGACAGTCCAGCCCTGCCCTGTCCGCTCCCGGGCCCAAGTTGAGAAAATGGGCAGAGAAAGAGGCAGACCACCACCCAGCCCGATCTGCACTGAGCCCTGACATTTGCAAACCGCAGCTGGAGGAGGCCCCAGATCCAGGGGAAGCAAAGGAAATAGGGGCTGGATGAGGTCAGGGGACCTGTGCCCCACCCGCTCCACGCCCCCCCACACTCCCCATGGATGCCTCAGAATGAATCCAAGCTGGGTTTTTGGTCACTGTGCACCCACCCTCCACCCCAGGCCCATCTGAGCCCTGCAGAGTCTGCTCCCCAGCCAGCCGCCCCTCCCGCCTGGCCCTCGGGTGGGTCACAGGAGCATCCCACCCAACACTGGCACGGGGAGACTTTCCAAAACCCTGTGGCATGATCCACTGCCCGTGCTCTTCCCTTGCCCCAGCCAGCTGGGAGGGGAGAAGGCCACCTTATGTCACCAGAGCTCAAAAGGGGGAGCTGAGCCTGAATGAGGAAGAGGGGACCAGGAGGTCATAGGGAGCCCACAAGAGACCAAGGCCTAAGAAGCATGGGGTCGTGCCTAGAAAATGATGGCCTTAGTGGCCGTGAGAGTCCCCAGAGACCAAGGGGATTTCAAGGAGACTCTGAGGCAGAATTAGAGTTGGGACAGGCAGAAGGAGGGACGGCGACATTCAGAGGAGGGAGGAGTAGGCTGCAAGTTGTAAAGAGAGACGCAGCAGCCAAATGTAGCCAGAAGTTTCGTAAGGAGGTGGAGGGGGCATGTCGATGGGGAATCTGGAGAATGATAACCCCAAGAAGGCCCTGAACTGGAGGCCAGAATGGGGTCCTTGGAGGGCATGTTGGCAAGTCAGCCCCATCTCCGGTGGCTCCAAATGCAAACCTTGGGGAAAACTAAAAGGAAAAAAAAAAAAGCAGCACAGATTTTGGCAGTGAATTTTCCTGGGTCGGTAGAGACAGAGGAGGTAGGCGGCATGTGGGTTTAGCGCAGGGAGATAAGTGTTGAGAAAAGCTGATTTTTTGGATACACTTTATGTCTTGGTGCTTTGTTTATCCAATTGTCAAAGCTCCGACTTCATCTGTCCAAAATAAGTTGGACAGTTTCATGGGTATTTTTACAATGTGCCTGCTCCTTGAGGGTGGAGACATTCTCTTGTTCATCTTTTTTTTCTAGCAGTGTGATAATTTAAAATATGCAGTAATTGGGGCATGGGTCCCCGCCCATGAGAACAGCCATCAGCCAACACACCTTCCCCATGACCATCAGCTGGGCTTGCACCCTCTGCAGTGCTGGGTCCCAAGAAATATTTGTTGCATTGAAATGATGAATGAGCATCAATTTAATGAGGGGAAATATCAGTCAGTTTAGTCAAGCAACTGGCTTGACTTGGGGATGGAGGTACCTTTCTTTTCCCTGAATTCTGGTCTTAATGAGGGCCCTAGGCTGGCACACAGAGCTTGGAGCAGTATCACGTGGAGGGCACTGCCCCGACACCTGCTGTTTCCTTCACATGGTCCTAAATGAAGGGCCAGCCCAAGGGGAGCAGCTGGGCCCCGCTGTGTTTTCAGAACCCAAGATTGCCTCTGGCATCAGCAAATAGCACCAGAAATTTTAATCAGAAGGCAGGGACAAAGTAAATAAATAAAAAGAAACCAGTGACAGCTGCCTGCCATCACCCTAATTAAAAACAAATATGCAATCCACCATGGTCAGCTTTCTGCAGTTCCTTGGCTCCCCCTTCACACACACACACACGTGTGCACACGCAGGCAATAGGCCACCTGTGTAGGGACAGAGGTCACCGTCATGCGGGCAGAGCCCTGGGCCCAGACAGAGAGAGACTCCTCAGTGCGTTTGAGTAGGTTACCCAGATAGACGCGGCCACAGTGCTGAGCCCCTGCAGTCTTGCGTCCTCACACCAGCCTCAAGCTTGTCCCTGGGAGCTGGACCTCCACCCCCAGGCTTCCCAGCATGCTGTTCCTTAGGACTGGGAAACTCCTGGCACAGGTTTCCAGGGCCCACTCCTTCCCTTCATTCCAATATTGCTCAGATGTCACCTCTTCAGAGAGGCCTTCTCTGCACATCCTATCAAAAATAGCACACGTGCAACCTGTTGCCTTCTTTTTATTTTTGTATTTATTTATTTTTTGAGACAGAGTCTTGCTCTGCTGCCCAAGCTGGAGTGCAGTGGTGCAATCGCAGCTCACTGCAGGCTCAAACTCCTGGGCTCCAGTGATCCTCCTGCCTAAGCCTCCTGAGTAGCTGGGACTACAGGCATGAGGCATCACATCCAGCTAATTCCTTTATTTTTTGTTAAGGCGGGATCTTGCTATGTTGCCCAGGTTGGTTTCCAACTCCTGGGTTTAAGGGACCTCGCAGCTGAGACTACAGGTGCTAGCCACCACGCCTGGCCTCCTGTCACCTTCTAACCCCTTGTGTCATTTTATTTGTCTTCCAAGCCCCCCTCTCTATGTGAGGTTATATTATTTTTACTTGTTTTCACTAGTTTATCTGTTACCTTCTCAGCCCCCTGTGCTAGCCCTGCACATTCACACCAACCTGTGGACAGGGATGGCTGGACTCACTGGGTCTCCCGAGCTGCTCAAACGATGCACGGCACACAGTAACCTGCCAACAAATATTTATCAAATGAACAAAGGGTTTTTCCTTCCATGTCAAGATGACCTCTCTGACTTACCATGGGAAGTGAAGCTGCTCTTTCCAGTAAAGGGTGAGGTGTAGAGTGTTCCCCTTCACTCTCGTCACAAGGCCACCAACCCGAGGCCTGCACAGAGGTGGCTCTAGGAGAAATGACCATCACAATAGCCTCCCTGTGCCAGGCCCTCTGCTAGGTTCTCTGCGTGTATTTATTTATTTATTCATCACTTATTTATTCCCTCTGATGACCTTAGTGGTGGCTATTTGTACCCCCATTTAGCAGATGAGAAAGCCAGGGCTTGGAGGAGGAACTTAAGTTTCCCAAGACCATTGAGCTCATCCATGATAGAGCCAGAACTTAAACTCACATCTGTTTGATTCCAGAGCTCAGCTACAAAGAAAGTTTTTCCTAGGACAAAACTACAGCCATTGAACCATCCCTACTAAAACCTCCCCTCAGCCACCCAGAAAGCACCTGGCCCTGACCCTGCTTCCTGGAGGTCACCAGACTGCCCAGGGAGGGGCGCATTTCCCACCTGCACACTCACAGCACTGACGGTGCTGAAGGAGTTAATGAGACTCAGCCTCGCACCCAAGTTTCCAAAGACTCATCAAAGCCTTTGGGGGGATGAGGGAGAGGTGGGTTTGGTGGGAGCAGGGGGAGGGTGCAGAGGGCAGGCTGTGGGATGGAACGCTCTCCTTTCTAAGCATTGTCTGCCGTTATCACAGGGCAGGGAAGAGCTTGCTCAGAGGCTCCCCCTTCCCTGAACGGATAGACATCTCTTGGAGTTATCTCAGCCAGAGGAGAAAGCTGTCACCCCAGGGCAGCCAGACTCCCGAGGCCTAAGACAATGGGGCGGAGTTTCCGGCCAGGGTCAGCTGCAAGATGGGAGGCAGGGCCCCAAGACGGCCAGCAGCAGGCAGAAACTCAGGGCACTGTCAGAGAGACCCACGGGGGCAGGGAGACCCAGGCTCCAGGACGCCCCAGCTGTTGACTCACTGCATGTCTCAGGAACAAGTCACTTCTGTGTGTCTTTGTCTCCTCCTCAAAAGGACAAACTCATCCCACACCTGCCCCTCCAGGGCTCAGAGGAGATCGGCCAGGGAAAGGGAAATGGAAGGCCAGCTACTAACAGAGAGAGGCTTTAAGTAACAACACAGTTTTCGCTGAGTGCAATAGCTCGCACCTGTAATCCCAGCACTTTGGGAGGCCAAGGTGGGCAGATCACTTGAGACCAGGAGTTCAAGAACAGCCTGGCCAACATGGTGAAAACCCGTCTCTATTAAACATACAAAAATTAGCTGGCACGGTGGCAGGTGCCGGTAGTCCCAGCTATTCAGGATGCTGAGTCAGGAGAATCGCTTGAACCTGGGAGGCGGAGGTTACAGTGAGCTGAGATCACACCATTGCCCTCCAGCCTGTGTGAAAGAGTGAGACTCCATCTCAAAAAAAAAAAAAGAGAGAGAGAAATAACGCAGTTTTCCAGAATCCTGAAGTTTCCTGTGCACAGGCGCTCCATGGGCACTTTCCACAGGTATCATCTCACCTTAACCCCCACAACACTCTGAGAAGTAGGTACTTTCTTTTTTTTTTTTTGAGATGGAGTCTCGTTCTGTCACCCAGGCTGGAGTGCAATGGCATGATCTCAGCTCAATGCAACCTCCACCTCCTGGGTTCAAGTGGTTCTTGTGCCTCAACCTCCTGAGTAGCTGGCATTACAGCTGCCCGCCACCACGCTCAGCTAATTTTTGTATTTTTAGTAGAGATGGGGTTTCACCATGTTGGCCAGGCTGGTCTTGAACTCCTGACCTCAAGTGATCCACCCGCCTCGGCCTCCCAAAGTGCTTGGATTACGGGCGTGAGCCACCACGCCTTGCCAGAAGTAGGCACTTTCATTGTTCCTGCTTTACAGATGAGGAAACTAAAGCTCCAAAGGGTTAAGTCACTTGCCCTAGGAACTTCTGTGCTGCATTTTTAGATCCCACCATCCTCTAGCCTTTCCAGTTACTATCAACTCAATTATGGGTCCAGAGCTCCCCAGGAAACTTTCCACGAGGAATGAGGATGGTTCTATTGTCTGCCACAACACCTCTGACCCATTTAAGCCACAGACAGTATGGGCCCGTTGACCAACATATGGAGCTGTGGAGCTGTGTGGTTCTTTTCCGCTCTAATGATACATTTCCTGCTTCATGTCATCGCTGGCTTTTGGAGACCCTTTGATGGGCGGGGCCCCCTCATGGCACACAGCTCACTAGGTGGGTAAGGACCCTGGGAATCAGGAGATTGAATTTCAGGCTCAGTTCTGCTGCTAACGGCAGTGTGACCTCTGCCTGTCGCATGGTGGGAAACCTGCCCTCCACACTTTAGAGTGGCCTTCCCAGGGCCCACGTGAGCCCTCCCCGCAGTTGGTCCTATGCAATGTGCTAGTGCTGAGTTGCTGAAAGGGCAGTAAAAAGGAGAATGCTCTCCAGGAGGTAAGGAAGGACGCATGTGAGGTCAACACTGTTCAGCACAGAACATTGAGGCAGAACAAGTTCCCCACGGGAGGCCCCGAGGCCCCACTCTGCAGCAGGAGCTCATACAGGACCTGGACACCTGAGATGGGACCCAAAGCTGAATCCAGGGGTAACAGATTCTGCCAGGGGCCAATCTAGCCAAGCACGAGTTACCTGTCCAGTCTCTATTAAACATACAAAAGTTAAATTCTTTGATCATGCAGTTCGATGTCTTTGATCATGCAAATAATTTATAGACCCCAGAGCCTTGTAGTAAGCTTATTGCCCAAAGAGGCTCAGTGAACACACAGAAACTCTAGGACTGTTAAAGGCAGAAGAAACAAAATGACCTTCTTAAAAGAAAGTATCATCTTTGGCCAGGTGCAGTGGCTTATGCCTATAATCCCAGCACTTTGGGAGGCCGAGGCAGGCGGATCACGAGGTCAGGAGTTCAAGACCCACCTGGCCAACATGGTGAAACCCCGTCTCTACTAAAGACACAAAAAATTAGCCAGGTGTGGTGGTACACGCCTGTAATCCCAGCTAATTGGGAGGCTGAAGCAGGAGAATCGCTTGAACTCAGGAGGCGGAGATTGCAGTGAGCCGAGATCATGCCATCGCATGATCCAGCATGACAGGGTGAGATCCTGTCTCAAAAAAAAAAGCATAATCTTTTAGAGCACCATCTCCAAGCACGTACATGGGGCAGATTTGAGGGTGGTTGTTGATGCTGAGAGTTTAAGTTTAAACAGGGCATTTGAACAGGGCGCCCAGACCAAAGATCCAACTGATTTTTCTAGGTGTGACCCCGGTACTCCAGCAGAACCTTTGAGGTTCCTGTCAACTCTATTTTTGTCCCTCTGTCTGGGAAAACTGACTAAATTTCCTTTTATTTGGAACCAAGCCCAACTCTGAAGTTGGGTGGATGTAGTCACACTTCCGCACCCAAGTTTCCGCAGGTTTGAAAACAAGGCTGGGTGTTGCAGAGAACAGCTGTGCTAACAAGCACGGGTCTTATCTGTCGGAGCCTCATCCTGCCGGGGTGTCCCGTAGAGCCAGGGCAGTGACTGAAGAGTGGCCAGCCACACCCCCACGGGCCCGGGGGTGGGCAGGGATCCTGAGCCAGAGTCACAAAGGGGCTGGCTTATCAGATAAGGAGCCCCTGGGAAAACCCTTAGCAAGGATCTGAAGAGTCCGTTCACCGGGATGGGGGACTTGCCTCCCAAAACTGCTTCCAGAACCTTCTCCAGAAAGACTGGCCTGCTTAACCCCACCCTACCTGAGCTGCCTCCTTTCTCTGCATTCCAGTACCCAAGTCGCATTGAGTCAACCCATCTCTGCGCACAGGGTCTAGCTCTCTTTCTAATCAACTATAAGCCCTCGGAGTCATCACGTGTCCTCTTCCATGCTGGACCCTTTATCAAGGCCTGCCTTGGAGGGAGCTTTTTCCATCTGCCTGGATGCCTCGGTGGTTCTCAACTGTGGCTGCACAGCAGAGCCATCTCAGGAAAGTTAGAAAATACCCCTGCCCTGGGCTTACCCCAGAGTTTCCAGTTTAACTGGTGTGGGATGCAACTCCAGCATTGGGATTGATTGATTAATTGATTGATTGGAGACACCGTCTTGCTCTGTGGTCAGGCTGGAGTGCAGTGGTGCAATAGCACCTCACTGCAGCCTCAACCTCCCAGGCTCAAGCAATCCTCAGCCTCCTGAGTAGCTAGGACCACACGTGCACCCCACCTCACCCGGCTAATGTTTTTTGTTTGTTTGTTTTGTTTTTTCATTTTCTTTGTGGAGACAGGGTCTTGCTGTGTTGCCCAGGTTGGTCTCAACTTCCTCGCCTCAACCCATCCTCCCACCTCAGCCCCCAAAAGTGCTGGGATTACAGACGTGAACCACTGTGTGCAGCCCTTGGTATTTTTTTTAAAATATGCAGCCAGGGCTGAGGTCTTCTGCTCTGGAGTGTGGACACCAACCTGGAGCTGCAATTCCTAACTCTAAAGGCTGGGAATTTGAAATGAGGACCCAGGAGGGAGCGGGTAGAGTTCCCCCACACAGCCTCTTTAAAGAGCACAGAGATCGGCCAGGTGCGGTGGCTCACGCCTGTAATCCCAGCACTTTGGGAAGCCAAGGCTGGTGGGTGGATCACAAGGTCAGGAAATCAAGACCATCCTGGCTAACACAGTGAAACCCCTTCTCTACTAAAAATACAAAAAATTAGCCGGGTGTAGTGGCAGGCACCTGTAGTCCCAGCTACTCGGGAGGCTGAGGCAGGAGAATCGCTTGAATCCAGGAGGCAGAGGTTGCAGTGAGTCGAGATCGCACCACTGCACTCCAGCCTGGGTGACAGAGCGAGACTCTGTCTCAAAAAAAAAAGAAAAAGCACAGAGATCAACATAGTGAGTCCCTCATTGGACTGGGGCTGCTGGCTGGGGGAAGGGAATTGGCCACAGGGTAGAATCTTCCTCCCTCCCAAAGCAGAGACCATGACTTCCAGCCAGGAAAGATATCAAAATGCTTATCAATGGACATAATCGGTCAGAACAGTTCCCTGACCATCCAGACTGATGCCAGCCACACTGTTATATACCTACTGGATGCCAGCCCAGCTCTGGGCTTCTGTGCTCACCCTTTAAAACTCACCACAGCAGGCTCAGTAAACATCTGCTTCAATTTCTAACTCTCTGTCTCTCTCTTTTCTTTTTTTTTTTTTTTTTTTAGAGTTGGTCTTGCTCTGTCGCCCAGGCTGGAGTGCAGGAGTGCAGTGGCTCACTGCAGCCTCGACCTCCTGGGTTCAAGTGATCCTCTCACCTTAGCCTCCTTAGCAGTTAATTTCCCTATTGAGAGTGTAAAAGTCATAGTTGTTCATGGTAGCAAATCCAGGAAAGCATGAAAAGGAAATCCAACTCGTACACACACTCACCCACACTTACACCCACACTCACACACTCACCCACACTCACACTCACTCCCATATACACACTCACACACATACACACATCATTCACACACACACACTCACACTCACACACTGATGCACACAAACACTCTCACGCACTCACATACACACACTCATATACACTCACATACACACACACACACACACAGTGCCTCTCAACTCCTGGGATTCAATGAGTTAATAACTATAATGTTTAAAATAGTACCTGGAACATAGTAAGTGCTCTGTGAGTGTTTCCTGATAATCTTCTTTTTATTACCCAAGACATTTTGGCACTCATGTAAGGGCCAAGAGAGTAAGAAAAATCAAAAGGCCTCTTTGTTTGGAGGCAGGAAAGATTGCTGGGTTTTGGGTGGTCAGGCATCATTTACCGGATCCTGAGAATGGACAAAGGCCCAAGCCCTGAGCTTTGGAAATGCCCCAGGAACAAAGGCCAGCATGGGCAGGAGCTTGGGCAGACTGCCCAGCTGGGACCCATGCACCCACCGTCAGACCTCCTGCAGCTCTCCTTTTCTTTAGGTGTGATGGGATGAAGCGAGAGGGATTCCCCGGGCAGGTGTAAGAACCCACAGGCCATCACAGTGCAGCTGTTTGCTGAGCTCTGCTGTGGTTTTGCCTGCTGAGTGAGAACTGCAATCCGCAAGCTGAGGGAAATTCCAAGGAGGCCTGGGAGGAAGATCTGGGAATGGCCACATTGCCTGGGAGAGCAGAGGGGTTTTTAAGTCTGAAAAAAGAGCAGGAAAGGAAGAGGAGGCCTGGCAGCCCAGTGCCAATGAACAGGGATGCCGGAAAGGGTAGAGACGTCTACTGGGCAGGGGAGTCTGATGTGGAGTGTTGCTGGGTGATTGATGTGTGGTGTGACCCTCTCTTCTGTACCTCCACAAGACCTCCAGGAAAAGCTACACTTCTCCCCAGGGCTTAGGGGTCAGATTTTTATTTAGAGGCTGTAGCAAAGTTGGCTGACCCAAAGCCTGGCACAAGACAGGCACAGAGGCCCCCCACAGGGAGCAGGTCCACAAAGGCTGCTCCTGATCTTCATTTCAGGCCAAGCTGGACTCCACAGGATAAACCAGCAGAGGTGGAAGGGCTGGAAGGAATCCTACAAGACGACTTGGCAGGATGCAAGACCCAACAACAACACTGGGTTGGTGGGCTGTGCAGGGGAGGCACGTGGCCGGCTCACACACAAGGGAATGTTTGTGCAGGAGGCTCCAAAATCCCCTCCGTGCATATGTATCATCTGTCTTATCACTCCAGCCACTGGGCAGTGGATCCTGGGAAGAGCATGTGTGAGGGAGGGGCCCAAGCAGTTTCCTTTGATCCATCCTTATCTACCCTAGAGGGTGTGAGGCCCACAGCTCCCCGAGGCCAGGTCTATAATTCACACATTCTGGCCTCTGGGCTTCAGAGGGGTTATGTTGGTGAAAGTGCAGTCCTAGTCTGTACCAGCCGTACCCTCCCACCAGGCCCTGGGGATTAGGACCAGGGGGGCTCCCGCATTCCTCCGGACCACCTCACCTCCAGTCTCCTGTGTGTAGCAGCCTCTCAAACTTCTCTGGGGCAGGCCCAGAGCCTCTACTGGCACCTAAGGAAGGCTGTGTGGCATTTCAGCTGGAGAAAAGAGGAAGTGAGATCGTTTCTCCCCAGGAACCTTAGGCCTTCCTCTCAGACAAGCCCTTTCGCCTGGCATCTGCCTCCCACTGCCCAGTGAGTCAAGCCCAGTGCCTGGAGCTAGGAAACACCTCCTCAGTGCCTGACAGACCTGCCTCAGCAGTGCCAGGGGAGGAAGTGCCAGCAAGAGTAGCACAGAGTCACCCACCTGCCCCCCTGTCCTGTCCCCAACAAGCCTCCATGTTTACTCTCCCAGGGGCAGCCATTCCACCCCTTGCCCTTGGAGGGCTGAGCCGTGCTTTTAATCCTTTTATCCCAGAGCTAAGCCTGGGCCTCTGCTGAGTCTTCCAGGAAGGGACACTTCTGGAAGGCTCCTCTCTCCTCAGGACTAACCTCTTTCTTTTGTCCTTGCCAGAAGGAGAGCCTGTATGGTACCAGAAAGATGGGGGAATCAGAACTCCTGGGTCTTGCCCATTTCACTCTCCACATCAGCTGCCCATGCGGGAACCTGAGTTGAGTACCCACTGAGGGAGGTGAAGGAGGATGGTCTGGGCTCCCTCCATGGCTGGAGGGTGAGACATGGGCCAGCTCCACAGCCAAAGAGCTGTCTCCCTTGAAGACCTTCCAGTTAACATTTCCTCTCCAGAGAAGATAAACAACTGGGCTGGTGATATCAGGGGCCACCCAGTGCTTAAAGCCAGGGAGGATTGCTCCTCTGAATTTGAGTTTGTATTTTGGTGCTATCTTACCAGTAACTCTCACCTTGGCAACCTTAAGAGGTGGAGAGGGCAGGTTTTACTGTCTCCGTTTCAGAGACATGACAAGATGGAAACTGAGAATGTGATGTGGCTTACGCAGACCTCCCAGACACTACATGATAGCCAGATTAAACCTGAAGCTCCTTCCTCTTCTCTGAACTGTACACAAGGGAAGGAAAGGTGCCCAGCTCGGTTCTCTTCTCTGGCACCCTGGGATTATGGAGGCAGCGGGGTGGGGGGGCGGGGGAGAGTGGCTCAAGGTAAGCCTAGAGGTACATCCCAAAATTCCACATCTCCTTATAACAATCAGTCATTAGTCACTCATCAAATAAGCAGTAAGTACCTACCTCATCCCAAGTACTGCTCCAGGACACTTCCAGTGGGAAGGGAGGGACATTAAACAACCAGTGACAAGAAAGCCAGAGCTATGGGAATCTAGTCTAGGAGCCAGGGACAGATTCCTGGAAGAAGCCCATTTCAGATAAGACCGGAAGAGTGAATCAGAGTCACCCAAGCCATGAGGAAGAGCACGGACACCCTGTCGTCCGCGTGGAGATCTTTAGATCTTTAGCAGATAGTTGAATGTGAGAGGAGTCTAGACTACAGATAGAGACTTAAAAATTAGTAGCCTAGGGATAGATGGCTTTAGCCTTTCCATGCCCAATATCCAAAAATTTCCCCAAGTAAACAGACCCTAAGCGAGAGAAGCATGCAAACGATTTCTTTTTTTTTTTTTTTTTTTTTTTTTTTTTTTTAAGACAGAGTTTTGCTCTTGTTGCCCAGGCTGGAGTGCAATTGTGTGATCTCGTTTCACTGCAACCTCTGCCTCCTGGGTTCCAGCGATCCTCCTGCCTCAGCCTCCCGAGTAGCTGGGATTGCAGGCATGCTCCACCACGCCTGGCTAATTTTGTATTTTTAGTAGAGATGGGGTTTCTCCATGTTGGTCAGGCTGGTCTCAAACTCCCGATCTCAGGTGATCCATCTGCCTCAGCCTCCCAAAGTGCTGGGACTACAAGCATGAGCCACTGCGCCCGGCTTTTCTAAACAAGCTTCCTATTATATTTCCAGTTCCAATCAGCTAGATCAACAAGCCTTTTCCTTTTTTTTTTTTTTTTTTTTTTGAGACGAAGTCTTGCTCTGTAGCCAGGCTGGAGTGCAATGGCGCGATCTCGGCTCGCTGCAACCTTTGCCTCCCAGATTCAAGCGATTTCCCTGCCTCAGCCTCCTGAGTAGCTGGGACTACAGGCACACACCACCACACCCGACTAATTTTTTGTATTTTAATAGAGATAGAGTTTCACCATGTTGGCCAGGATGGTCTTGATCTCCTGACCTCATGATCCGCCCACCTTGACCTCCCAAAGTGCTGGGATTACAGGCGTGAGCCACTGTGCCTGGCCACCAACAAGCTTTTTCATATGGGAACTGTAGATCCAGTGGCCACTGTCTCTAAGGCCAACCATTCTGCCTAGAGTCCACCATCCCCTCCCTTCTGTCCCAGGCCCACCCGAACTGGGTTTACCTCTGTCTTCCTCTATATTGGCTCTCTGCCTCCACTGCAGTGCAAGATACTCCCATCATGAACATCCTCTTCTCACTCCTGTGGCTCCCTCAAGCCAAGCTCCTGGTTCTCTCCTCCTTTTCTATGCCAGGTGTGCGCCTGTTGCTCTCAGGTGCATTCTTAACCCTCTCCTGCTCTCCTCTGTTCTGAACTGCTGTGGGGCTGACTCCTGCAAGCTCTGTTCCCCAAGTTCTGCGGCAAACAAGCTTCCAAACAGCAGACAGGGTCATCCCATGAAATGGGGGAACAGGAGACAGCAAGCAAGAAGGGCATTTCTCCCCCTTCTCTCTCTGTGGGTGGGGTCTCCAGCAGGACCTGCATCTCCTTCACATTTCCGCCTCCCACCCGGCAGCCCCTGCCATGCTTCTGCTTCCCACCAGGTATCCCTGACTCTGGGCTCTCGTCCTGCCACATGTCCCTTCTTTATGATGCCAGCTCCTGAGGTCAGTTCCTGCTCATGATCATCAGAATACCACCTCCTCCTCCTCCGCTCTTCCAGTCGTGAGGGCAGTGGCAGCTTCCCCATGCAGCTACCCTCTGGCTTCCGCTTCCTCACTGCCCTCTGACCTTTCTGCAATTCCAAGAACCTTGGATCCAGCTATCTGCATTATGTTCCCTGCATTGCAGTGGCCCTTAAACTTCTTGGTGTCGGAGCTCCTTTACATCTTTTTCTTTCTTTCTTTTTTTTCTCAGAGACAGGGTCTTGCTCTGTTGCCCAAGCTCGAGGTGCAGTGGTGCAATCACAGCTCACTGTAGCCTCAAACTCCTGGGCTCAAGAGGTCCTCTGGCCTTTGCCTCTCAAGTAGCTGAGACTACACCATGTGCCACCATGCTCAGCTAATTATTATTATCTTTTTGAGGTAGGGTCTTGCTATGTTGCCCAGGCTTGTCTCAAACTGGTTGCCCCAAGCAATCCTCCCACCTCAGCTCCCAAGTAGCTGGGATTACAGGGATGAGCCATCAGGCCTGGCTTCCTTTGCATTCTTAAATATTGAAGACACTAAATAGTTGGATTTCATATACTGATATTTACCATATCTGATAGTAAAACAAAACAATTAAATATTGGCTGGGTGCAGTGGTTCACACCTGTAATCCCAACACTTTTGGAGGCCTAGGCAAGAGGATTGCTTGAGGCCAGGAGTTCGAGAGACCAGCTTGAGCAACATAGAAAGACCCCACGTCTTCAAAAAATCTAAAAATTATCCAGGTATTGTGGCACATACCTGTGGTCCCATCTACTCAGGTAGCTCAGGTGGGAGGATCACTTGATCCCAGGAATCAGAAGTTGTACTGAGTTGTGATCACGCTACTGCACTTCAACCTGGGTGACAGAGTAACAGTCTATCTCAAAAAAAGAAAAAAATTAAATATGTATTGATTTAAAGTAATAAGCCCATTATTTGTTAACATATTAAATACTTAAAAATTTTTATTAAATATATTTATATTCAAAATAATTAGATGATAAAGAAAAAAATACATTTATGAGAAAAGTGGCATTGTTTTACATGTCTGCAAATCTCTTTATTGTCTCGATTAATAAAAGACAATTGGTGGGCCAGGCACGGTGGCTCATGCCTGTAATCCCAGCACTTTGTGAGGCCGAGGTGGGTAGATCACCTGAGGTCGGGAGTTCAAGACCAGCCTGACCAACATGGAGAAACCCTGTCTCTACTAAAAATACAAAATTAGCCGGGTGTGGTGGCGCACGCCTGTAATCTCAGCTACTTGTGGTGGTGCACGCCTGTGATCTCAGCTGCTTGGGAGGCTGAGGCAGGAGAATTGCTTGAACCCGGGGGTGGAGATTGCAGTGAAACAAGATTACGCCATTGCACTCCAGCCTGGGCAACAAGAGCGAAACTCCGTCTCAAAAAAAAAAAGACAATTGGTTTCTCATCTGCTTCTATATTCAGTCTGCTGTGATGTATTCTTTTTATTGAAGTATCTGAAGAAAATCCAGCTTTGCAGATTTGTAGTTGAGAAAGTGAGGAATATTTTAATAGCTGTTGCAGATAATTCTGGATATTCTTCTTTGCATACCAAAACTCAACAAGTGGTCCTTTCTTAAAGGTAGCTTGCAATGTGTAATCTGAAACCACATCAGTGAACATTTTACACTCTCAAACAATAAAACACATTAGTCTCTCTTGTATTTTAAATGAATATTTTCTCTATGCATGCTTTTTAAATCTCATGCATTGGTCACTTGAAAAATATTAGTTCATTGAATTATAAAAAGCTTCCAAGTGTGGGCCCATTTTATGTGATATCAAAAAGCTATATTCATTGCCATCAACACCAATCTTATCTGAAAAGCCTTTCAGTATCAGCCAGCCATCACACTCACAGCAGCAGATACAAGCTTTGCAAAATTCCAATTTCTCCTTCAAAGCTGAAACTTTATAATTGGCCACAAATACTATCAGTTGTTTTTTATTGAAGTGATAGACTCACTTTGTTCATTTTCAACAAAGTATCTGCAAAACATCCAAGTCTGAACAACCACAGTTTGTCAGTCATTCTTTCAAGTAAAAACAAAAACAAAAACAAAAACAAAACAAAAAAAAAAAACCATGAGATCCAATGAAGAAAAGGTCTATCTAGTTCAGCTCATAGGCCAAAAAAATCATACATACTTTTTTCTTTTTTTTTTTTGAGATGGAGTCTTGCTCTTGTCGCCCAGGCTGGAGTGCAGTGGCACAATCTCAGCTCACTACAACCTCCACCTCCCGGATTCAAGCAATTCTCCCGCCTCAGCCTCCTGAATAACTGGAACTACAGGTGCCCACCACCATGCCCGACTAATTGTTTTGTATTTTTAGTAGAAACGGGGTTTCACCATGTTAGCCAGGATGGTCTCGATCCCCTGACCTCGTGATCCACCTGCCTCGGCCTCCCAAAGTACTGGGATTACAGGCGTGAGCCACTGCGCCCGGCCCATACTTTTTTCTTAAGACAACCGTCATTCATCACTCTGCACTAGAAGTTTATGCATACTTCCTATTTCATCACATGGAAAAATAGGAAGAATCATGGGTTAAGACTTTATAAAATTAATACTTCTTACTGCTTCATCAAAAACATTTTTAAGTGAAATGGGCTTCTTTTTCTTTTTTCTGCGAGTACCCGATGGTGAATAATACAAGGCAGCTGCTACAGTGTGGGGCCGTTGCCTCAATTTATGCTAAGGCACCAACCTGATAAAGAATTCAAACACTGAGGAAACTATCTCTCCAAAACTTTCTTCTATGGACTGTTAAATGGGGCTTCCCTCTGGCTTTGGACTGGGTTCAGCCAGTGGGAAACACCAGCCGGAGACTGGAAGACAGGAGGCGAGAGACCAAGACACATGTTCCGCCGGCTCCTCTCTCCCAGGTCACCGGGGTTCCCTGCAATCCCGCCAGGCAGCCCCCTCTGGACAGCAGTCTCTCCAGATCCCCTTTCCTCTCCCCTCAAGCCAGTGGACAGTAATGGCTCCCAGCTGTTGCTATTATTATACTGTGCCATCTCCTGTTGGTTTTCTGTACCCTTACCCTCCTACCGTAAATGGTCCTTTTATTAAACTCTTTCCAGTGATCTTTGTGCATACCATTGTTTCTCTGCATATACCATAACTTACTGTCAACTCCCAACCTCATAGTCCAGGCATCACCCTTCCTCAGCAGCCAGTCCTTTCCTTTCTGTCGATGGCTCTGTTTTCTCACCTCCTACCTCCTACCTGCAGGGCCACCAGATTTTTGTTTTTGTTTTTTTGAGATGGAGTCTCGCTCTGTCGCCCAGTCTGGAGTACAGTGGCGTGATCTTGGCTCACTGCAAGCTCTGCCTCCCGGGTTCACGCCATTCTCCTGCCTCAGCCTCCCGAGTAGCTGAGACTACAAGCGCCCACCACAACGCCTGGCTAATTTTTTGTATTTTTAGTAGAGACTAGGTTTCACCGTGTTAGCCAGGATGGTCTCGATCTCCTGACCTCGTGATCCGCCTGCCTCGGCCTCCCAAAGTGCTGGGATTACAGGCATGAGCCACCGCGCCCGGCCGAAGGCCACCAGTTTTACAAGTGTTCCGCTCCTCTTTCCTTTACACTCTCCTTTCCTTAGGCACTCTTCCTCCTTCACCATTTCACTTGGGTCATATACCCATAAAGAGGATAGGGATAGGCCATTCTGTTACTTCATCCTCCAGTTCGAGTAAGCCTTAGGGATCATCTTTCTTTTGCTGTCACCTCTGAATGTTATAATGTCTTTCCTAATCCCTACAAAACAATAGGGACCATTGACTTTATGCTTATACTTTATGTGAAGACACAAACTTGACCTTTAAATAACAGTTGCTCTCCAGATAGAGAACAGAACTAAAGAAAGGACAGAGAGACAGAATGGTAGGGTAGAAATAGTGCTGGGCTGGGAGCCAAGACCAAAGTGTTCTAACCTAGCAAACCAAGATGTAACCCAGGAGCAGTAAAAGCAGGGTTTCAGGGACTGGGTGCAGTGGCTCACGCCTGTAATCCCAGCACTTTGGGAGGCCGAGGCAGGCGGATCATGAGGTCAGGAGATCAAGACCATCCTGGCTAACACGGTGAAACCCCGTCTCTACTAAAAATACAAAAAATTAGCTGGGCGTGGTGGCGGGTGCCTGTAGTCCCAGCTACTTGGGAGTCTGAGGCAGGAGAATGGCATGAACCTGGGAGGCGGAGCTTGCAGTGAGCCGAGATCACACCACTGCACTCCAGCCTGGGTGACAGAGCGAGACTCCATCTCAAAAAAAAAAAGCAGGGTTTGAGGTCAGGGTCTTATTAGCTGAAATGAGGACTTATTTTGTAGTTTTGTTGTAAAGATAAATGAAATAGTATATATGAGGCACTTAGTACAATACTTATTGCATTGGCCGGGTGCCATGGCTCATGCCTGTAATCCCAGCACTTTGGGAGGCCGAGGCGGGTGGATCACCTGAGATTGGGAGTTCGAGACCAGCCTGACCAACACGGAGAAACCCCGTTTCTACTAAAAATACAAAATTAACCGGGTGTGGTAGCGCATGCCTGTAATCCCAGCTACTCGGGAGCCTGAGGCAGGAGAATTGCTTGAACTGGGGAGGCGGAGTTTGCAGTGAGCCGAGATTGTGCCATTGCACTCCAGCCTGGGCCATAAGAGCGAAATTTTGTCTCAAAAAAAAAAAATACTCATTGCATTATAAAAAATGGTAGTTATTGTTAATTCTGTTCCGTTGTTACACTAATGGTATCGTCACATTGTTTCAAACAGTGTTGTGTCACACGTGCCTTGGAAAGCATCTGGCACACATTAGGGATTCAATAAATATACGTGTCCAATGAATAAATAAATCAATGAGTTCTCAGCTTTGCCAATGACAAACAGTGCGATCTTGAACAAACAACTTCGCTGCTCTGGGTCTGTCTGTTCTGCTATGAAGAAGAGTATGGGCACAGGGTCGTCATAGTCCCTCCCAGGGCAGATCTCCATGCCACAGAATAGGCAGAGCTGGGGGCCAGAGGAAACTCGGTGCTCTGGACCAAAGGAGTGTGGGCACTGGTAGAGTGGGCTGGTGAGAAAATGCCAAAAGCAAGGCAGTAGGGTCTGTAGGTCTCCACTTGCCAAAGGAGTCAAGTAATTACGGCTGCTAATTCCCCTGGACCCCAAAACCTCCCTGTGTTTTCCCTGGCTCCCCTCAGGTTAAAAGAAGAAGTTGTAGAACTGCAGGGGCAGGCCGGGCATGGTGGCTCACGCCTGTAATTGTAGCACTTTGGGAGGCCGAGCAAGGCAGGTGGATTGCCTGAGTTCAGGAGTTCAAGACCAGGTTGGGCAACGTGGCAAAACCCTGTCTCTAAAAATACAAAAAATTAGCCGGGTAGGGTGGCACGTGCCTATAGTCCCAGCTACTCAAGAGGCTGAGGCATGAGAATCGCTTCAACTGGAGAGGTGGAGATTGCCGTGAGCCAAGATCATGCCACTGCGTCCCAGCCTGGGCAACAGAGGGAGACTCTGTCTCCAAAGGAAAGAAAAAAAGAACTGCTGGGGGCTTCCCCCCCAACCCCCCATCCCTGTGTCCAGGGAGCCTTCCAGAGCCTGGGCACTGCCCAGCATTATATCGCCATGGTCTGTGGAATGCGCCTGAAAATGTGGCCTCATTCATTTACTCATGAGGTATCAGACCTTGCTAAGTGCTGGGAATAGCTAGCAGTTAACAAACTCATCTCTGCCCTCATTCCATTCAAGTCAAGGGGCAAGCATGAAACAGGTACTCAAATAAATAACTGATTTCAGGTTGTAAGAAGTACCACAAAGAAAAACAAAACAGGTAACGGGGCAGCTAGGGTAGTTAAAGGAGACTCCCTTGACCCACGGCATCCTCTCCTGGGCTAAGATGCAGGGACTGGCAACAGGGAGGAGAGCACCAAGGTACAGACCTGGGAGGGTGGAGAGAAAAGAGAAGGGAGGGGAATAGGAAGACAGAACGTGGTTCACAAGTTGGGGCAGGGCGCAGGGAGGCCTGAGTGGGGGCTCCTGGCAATTATATGGGTGCCTTGTGCTGCCCCACTTAGCTGAGCCCTGTTAAGGACCAAAAACTGCTAGTGGCCAAGGCCTTGGCTTTGCCTGGTGCTCACCTGAGTCCTCCACTCTGCTCCCCTCTGCTCCTCTCTGGCCTTAATCTTTTCTTTTCTTTCTTTTTTTTTTTTTGAGATGGGGTCTCACTCTGTCGCCCAGGCTGGAGTGCAGTGGTGCAATCTCAGCTCACTGCAACCTCCGCCTCCCAGGTTAAAATGATTCTCATGCCTCAGGCTCCTGAGTAGCTGGGATTACAGGCACATGCCATCATGCCTGGCTAATTTTTTGTACTTTTTAGTAGAGACGGGGTTTTACTGTGCTACACAGGCTGGTCTTGAACTCCTGACCTCAGGTGATCAGCCTGCCTCAGCCTCTCAAAGTGCTGGGATTACAGACGTAAACCACCATGCGGGGCCCCAGTCTTTTCTTCAGAGGCCTCCTCAGCACCCCCACCCCCAAACCTGAGCTTGTGAGAGTCTATCCGCCACCTCAGAGGCCCGGGCAGGGCCCCAGGGGAGGCCCCAAGATGACCTGGCCAGGAGTGTTTGTCTGTCTCTGGTAGGAGACTGAAAACACAACAGCATTTTTCCTAAAAATCAAGTGACCCCAAGACAGGTGTCATCCCAGAGGGCTGGGCCTGCAAGACCTCCAGGACTGCTCCCAGATCTCCTTGGCCTGCCTGTCAACGAGCTCCAAGGAGCCAGGGCATCACCACCACATGACCACGACAGTCACCCAGCCTGGACCCAGGGAACAGACTCCAGGAGGGCTGACTCAGGGCTGCCGTGGAGACAGGAGGGGCAGGACAGGGGTTGGGGTGGAGGGCAGACAACTGGGAGAAACTCAGGCCTGACCTCTACTTGATGCCAAACCTCTCCCTCCCAGAAGGCCAGCGCTCAATCTCGCCCTGGTTTATCCAAGCCAATATTTTAGGCCCTTTGCCCATGAAGTCTTTCCTAATTTTCTCACCTGGATGGAATTAATTGGCTCATTTGTTTCTCAGCAAACATTTATTGCACCTTCCATGTGGCAGCTGATACAGAAAAGTAAAGTGATCCTTCCTTGAAGGAGGCCACATTTTACTGGAGCACATAAGGAAATGAGTGTGAAGAATGCTGGACATACGTGTGTGTGTGTGTGTGTGTGTGTGTGTGTGTGCATATATGCCTATCCCGTGTCCTGGGAAATCCTTTGGTCTCAAGTAGACTGGGACACTTGGTTACCCTAGAAAAGATCAGGTTCAAAAAGAGAGAGGAAGCCAGGGATCTGGCTAATTCACTGATTAACCACCTTGGGTAGATAAGCGTTGGCTGGGCTGGACACAGTGGCTCACGCCTGTAATCCCAACACTTTGGGAGACTGAGGCGGGAGGATCACTTGAGCCCAGGAGTTCGAGACCAGCCCTGGCAATATGAGAGATGCCATTTGTACCAACAATTTAAAAATTAGCTAAGTATGGTGGCACATACCCGTGGTCCCAGCTATTTGGGAGGCTGAGGTGGGAGGATCATTTGAGCCCAGGATGTTGAGGCTGCAGTGAGCCATGATCAGTACTCCTTGAGCCACAGAAAGTCAGCTAGCCTGGAATTGCCCAACCAGATTTCTGACCTTGGATTCAGTCTTCAAAGATTTTTTTTTTCCTTTTTTCTTTTTTTTTCAAGACAGAGTTTCTGGCTGGGCACGGTGGCTCATGCCTGTAATCCCAGCACTTTGGGAGGCCGAGATAGGCAGATCACGAGATAAGGAGTTCGAGACCAGCCTGGCCAACATGGTGAAACCTCATCTCTACTAAAAATACAAAAATTAGCTGGGTGTGGTGGCGCGCACCAGTAATCCCAGCTACTCAGAAGACTGAGGCAAGAGAATCATTTTAACCTGGGAGGCAGAAGTTGCGGTGAGCCGAGATTGCACCATTGCGCTCCAGCCTGGGTGACAGAGCAAAATCCCAGCTCAAAAAAAAAAAAAAAAAAAAAAAGACAGAGTTTCCTTCTGTCGCCCAGACTGGAGTGCAATGGCACGATCTCGGATCACTGCAACCTCTGCCTCCCAGGCTCAAGTGATTCTCGTGCCTTAGCCTCCAGAGTAGCTGGGATTACAGGCATGCGCCACCGCACCCAGTTAATTTTTGTATTTTCAGTAGAGACGGGATTTCACCATGTTGGCCAGGCTGGCCTCGAGCTTCTGGCCTCAAGTGATCGGTTCGTCTTGGTCTCCCAAGTGCTGGGATTACAGGCATGAGCCACCAGGCCCAATCAGAAGGTGTTTTCTTCATGTGACAGATAAACCACTGCACTCCAGCCTAGGTGACAGAGTGAGACCCTGTCTTCTAAAAAAAAAAAAAAAAAAAAAAAGAAGGTGGCTATAGGTGGACACAGAGAGGGTGTGTCTATATATGGGGAAGTATTATTAAACCTTTCCTTTGGAAGTATTAAACCCACCATGCCCCTACCCCCATGGTCCTCTGATCCTGACTGCCCCTGGGCAGTTGCCCTCCATCCCCGGCTTGTAGCCCGTTCACAGCCCCTCGGCAAGGCTGCAGCTCTCCCTCACCTTTCAATGACCCCTCAGAGGGGGCACACTGGGATTCCATCCCCCTTCAACAGACAGAGGCATCTGGCACCCTCCCTTTGCTGGTAGCCTAGGCCCCAGTGGAGTCATGCTTTGGTGATGTCTCCAAGCAGCTGTCTTTAACCCATTCCTGTCCAGCCCTCCAGCTTACTCCACACACACGTTGACTCCTGCACTCATTATTCTGTGCCCCTGTAGAGCCTCAAACACCCTCGAAGGGGGTCAGGGCAGCTTCAGCTAGAGACAACATGACTCTTAGTGTATTCCCCTCTGAGAAGAGATCTGGGAGCGCCCCCCACCCCCACCCCCAGCCGAGACAGGGTCAGGAGGAGCAGCAATGTTGTTCTACCGATGCCACGCATCCACCAGACCCCACGCCTGCCCGCTGGCCACAGTCACGCTCAATGCCGCCTCTGTTGTAAGGCTCCTTGTGAAAAGCCCCTGTGTTGCGGCTCCCGGCTCCAGCGAGGTCTTTGGCACAAGGTCTCCATTCATGCCAGGCTCGCCTTTCTTGGCCACACAGGCAGCCCTTGCTCCAAGAGGAAAGCTGCTGGGTGCAGGGTGGATCTTCCCCCTTGGCTCCCAGAGAGGCCAAGACATGCTGCCTGAATTCCCTCTCTCCACTCAGTGCCACCTTCTGTCTGCCTCCTGGGAAATCTTGACATGAGCTCAGAAGGACGGGGCTGAGGAGCACCCTGTCTACCCCTCTGCCGACCATCATCTGAGCCCCCGGCTCCACGAAGTGTCAACGAGAGGTCATGCACAGACAAAGCGTACAGACAAAACTTTCTTCCTCTTCCAATGAGCTAGGGGATAAAAAGAGCCGTCTAAAAGACACCTATCTCTAGGGACTGAATAGAGAGTCAGGGCTGAGGAATGAGGCTGCAGACAGGGATGTTATCAGGCTAGCAAGTTAGCCGCCTGGCTTTCTGAAGCACATGCAGTTTGGTGAGTCCGAGTCCTTTACTATTCTGCAGACCATTCATGTCCCAAGCAATAGAACACAGCAGTGGCTCTCAAACTTCAATGTGCCTCAGAATCACCTGGGGGACTTATTAAAACCCAGGCAGGGCATGGTGGCCCATGCCTGTAATCCTGGCATTTTAGGAGGCTGCAGTGGGAGGATGGCTTGAGCCCAGGAGTTTGAGACCAGCCTGGGCAACATGGTGAGACCCTATCTCTACAAAAAATTAAAAAATTAGCCAGGTATGGTAGCTCACACCTGTAGTTCCAGCCACTAGCGAGGCTGAGGTGGGAGGATCACTTGAGCCAGGAGTTCAAGACAGCCTGGGCAACATAGTCAGACCCTGTTAGACTTCCCTTGGTCCCTACAACCTATAAGGTGAGTAGTCGTTATTCCCATTTCACAGGAAAAAAGAGGCCCAAGAGTCCATCACTGGCCCAAGGGTAAGCAACTAACAGAGTGGCAAGCAGCACAGGTTCTGAGGCCAGGTCGCCCGACACCAACAGGGGAGGTGGGGTTTGTCAAGAAGCTTCCAAGAGGAAAAGTGACTCAAGCCGCAAGGCGAATGCAGTGAACAGGATGCACAGTGAAGAAGGCGTGGGGAGTTTGTGAAACGTCATATTGAAATTGGGGGGTGTGGGATAAGTGAGAAGTGTGGTGGGTGTGGGTGGCCAGGTCAAAAGGCCACATCAAAGGGCCTTGCAGGGTGAGTTGTAGAGGCTGGGAGGAGGACACCCTGGCTGCGGCGGGGCCTTTGGTGCCACACCAAGGCCCCTGGGCCAGGCACTGCAGCTATCAAGTGCTACTGCAGAGTCTGAAGTTGACAATAGCACCACTAAGTCAGTGCTTCAGGGAAAGTATTCTGTCTGCCAGAGGGAAGCAAAAACAGCTTGAGGCAAGTTTACGAACCTGGCAGGTGCTGGCAGAGAGGGAGGCAACTTCCCTAATATAGTCATGTGGTAACTGGAACAGCTCTCTATGGGTTGTGTAATCCAGTTCTTATCACTCCCAACCTCTCCCCAAAGATTATCTATGAGTTGTCATCTTCTGTGCTCTTTCTCATCATCTGAGGGATCCTAGTGACCCTCAAAGAACTCTATGTCCTGCAGAGAAGGGAGAAGAGGTTAGGGTGAAATAAGCTGGCAGAGTGAGGGCCGGCAGACATTTACCCAGGTGGCCAAGGACTCCGGCACATCAAGCATCACTCAGTCTCTTCAAGATATCTTACAGAGAGAATTCTCAGGGCTCTTCCCCTATCTCTTTTTCAATCCTTATGATAGAACAGCAGCTTATTCTTTTTTGTTCAGCCTCCAAAGGAGAAGAACAAAAGAGCCCTGAGTCAAGTGAGTGCTCCTCTTAAAGGGTCCCCGGAAAGTGAACAAGTTTCCACTGCCCCGGCGTAGGTGGGGTGCTTTTGTCTGCTCAACCCCCTCTCCCAGGGGCTGCTCCCACTGGGGACAGGAGTGCAAGAGTGTGCACTGCCTGGTACAAACGTCCCTGCCATGTACCGGCAGAACCACACACAAGGCCCATCAGTCAGCCAGATCACAGAAGTATCTTCTTACATGAAGACAAGTGCATGGGCTGAGTGGGGACATGCCTAATTTCATTTCTCCTCATACAGGCTTTTAGTGAGTGGGCAACTGTCCAAGCCGGGCCCAAAGAAGAAAGTCGCCATTCCCATCCACGGCGCCTGTGGAGCACAGCCAGAGGTGGGGGGAGATGCCGTTTGAAGGAGGCTCTTTGGAAATTCTTCACATTTTTTGGCTTTTGTCTCTGGGCATTGAGATGGAGACCCACATTTTACTCTGTGGAGAGTTCCCAGTCTTCCTTTGCATTCAAAAGGAAGATCCTAGAAGAGAGCTGAAAGAATTCTGAGGCTTTTTCATCTCAATGACCAGTGGAGTCATTTAGGGGGTAGGGGGTCCTACGAGATTTGTTTCACTGCATTTCCCTTTCAGTCTATAGCCCCAGCCCCAGGCCCAGGTCCTAAGTGATGTAAATGTGATGCTCTTTCTGGGAAGAGCAGCTCTCCCAGACTCCCTGGATTCTCGGGTGAATGTGACAGCGAGCCAGGACACCTGGGTTCTGAGGACTCTGCAGGACCTCAGGCAAACCACCGTGAACTTAGAAGCCGCACTTCTCCCGACGTGGAGAAGAGTTTGGCTGCATCCTCTGACTTCGCATCCCGGGAGCAGTGAGGTCACCAATGGTGATAGTCATGGTGTTTTCAGTGTAGGAACATGAATAAGAGGCAGGGACACCATGGATAAGTCCCATCAGGAGGTTAGCCAGAAGCTAACCTCAGCCGGAAATTTCAGATTTCCACATACCTCTCTGTCCAGCAAGCCTTTTGCAGTTGTGAAGGAGGATCTCTGTTACCAATCTGAGATCCCTATCATTTCATTCCCAGATGAATTGCTCATCCCTCTCCCACCAGATGCCACTTTGCATCCAAATCAACAAGCAACCGGTGATTCATAAGCAAATGGGGGAGGAGGGAATCTAGGAGGCTGCCCATGAATACCATCCTTTGACTGTCTCTTCTCACTGTCTTCCTGATTCTGGGACTCCAGATCACCTATACTCTGCAGGACTTATGTCTTCCTTCCATTGTTTTTCTACGACTGAGAAAGGGGTTGCCTGAGCCACCCTGTCCCTTTTGTGACCAAAATAAAGTCTTTATCAAGGGCCCAAAGGAGAGATCTTATAGAAAATGGAGCACATATTTCTTTAACAGTTCTCCAGTACCCTCTCAGCAGCCCCTCTTAGAGATCCTTGTACCTATCATCAGGTTTTGTCCCCACCCACAGAACTGATCCCCCTCCAAGGGGAAAAGCTGGCCTAGGTTGAGGGGCACCAGCCTTTAGTAAATGAATCTGCCAGGGCATCATTAACTTACTGCAGGACCTCAGGGGAATCACTTAGCCTCTCAGCTTCAGCTTTCTCCAGCAAAAAAGGAAAAGGTTGGACTGGAAAACTTCTAAGATTCCTTCCAGACATGGCAGCCTAAGGCTCAAGTGTGAGCTCCACTTTTTTTTTTTTTCTTGCTCTGTCACCCAGGCTGGAGTGCAGTGTCACAATCTTAGCTCACTGCAGCCTCCACTTCCCAGGCTCAAGCAATTCTCCCACCTCAGCCTCCCAGAGCTCCACATCTTACTGCAGGACAACTCATCCATTTTCTTCTTCAGCTGTTCAGGTAGTGGCCCTGCCCCTGAGGCCTGGCTATGGCTGGAACACAGTAAGTATCCAATTCCTTTGCGGCTCAACCCTCCTGTGGGTGGCTACACAGTGCAAACCACAGACAGACAATAGCCATCTCTCTGTACAATGTGGGCCCTGATTAGACTGGCCATTTCTCCAGGCTCTGACCAGTGTCATAGCACTGTAAAGATAACCCTCTCAGGGCCGCTGCCCCAGTGTTCCCTGAGGGGGTTCCTTTCTGACTTCTGGAACCACAGCCTAAACAGATGCTTAGAATTTGTCTGCATTTTGGCAACTTCTCCAAAAGTATTTCTATTGCTTTTTTTGTTTGTTTGTTTGGCTTTTGCTTTTCAAATTTAGAAAACACATTTTCCTATGAAAATGGATTATACTGGCCAGGCGCGGTGGCTCACGCCTGTAATCCCAGCACTTTGGGAGGCCGAGATGGGTGGATCAGCTGAGGTCAGGAGTTTGAGACCAGCCTGGCCAACATGGCAAGACCCTGTCTCTATTAAAAATACAAAAATCATCCGGGCGTGGTGGCACATGCCTGTAGTCCCAGCTACTCGGGAGGCTGAAGCAGGAGATTCGCTTGAACCCGGGAGGCAGAGGTTACAGTGAGCCGAGATCCTGCCACTGCACTCCAGCCTGGGTGACAGAGCAACACTCCATCTCAAAAAAAAAAAAAAAAAAAAAAAAGAGAGAGAGGGAAATAAAATGGATTATACTGATTCAAATTTAGAAAACACAGTTTCCTCTGAAAATGGATTATATTGACTTGTGTCAGCCCCTCCTTTCTTGAGATGAGCCCAGCAACTCCTTTACAATGAAATCCTGATCTTTGGGAAAATGGCCTTTTCCTTTTTGTAGTAGACGGCTTCAGCTTCCCACATCAAGGGACAATGCAATGTTCACTTCCAGTAGCCTGGCTCCACTTGAGCTGCAAGCTCCCTACAGCCCTCTGCTTGCTTGGGTGAATGAGTGTGCCACTGGGTGTGTTGCTTCATATGAGTGTTTATCTCTGTGTCTGAGTCTCTATCTCTCTGGCTCTGTGCTTATCTCCCTGCATGTGGCTCTCTGTGGCTCTCAGAGCCTCTCTCTCTGCCCCGCACTGTTTGTCTAGGCATGTGTTGGCGTGTTTGTCTCTCCATCCGCACAGGTCTCTCTGCGTCTGTACACAGATGCTCCTGTTACTCCAATAGAGTCAGCCCACTTTCCCTTTCCATTCACTGCCAAATTTCAAGTTTTTCTGTAGGTAACCAGTGGTGGCTTGGCCCCCAGGAGCAGCCTCTTTTCTAAACCTGTGCCTTCCCGGGAAGCCTGAGTCAGCACAGCCAAACTCCCTCCAAAACACAAGTCCAATGCCAGGAGGATGTGTGGGTGATGAGCCTTTCACCAAGTCTCCACAGGATGACACAAGAGAGATTTTATCCCATACCCCATCGCACCACAAAAATTCAATCACACGTCCCGGGTAGACGACATGGCTCTCTCATTAGAATTCTTCTGAAAGGGTCGCTTTTTTCGTGTAGTTGACACCGCAAGACCTGGCTCACCTGCAGCCCCCTTTAAAAACACCACCTGCACCATGGGCCCTACGGCAGTTGGGCCACAGCTGATTGGACCAAGGGTGGGCACCTGACCTGGATGCTGCCGCTCTATTGGTTGGCCAGTGTCCAAGAGCTGGTGATTACCTGAGCCAATCAGGTTCTCCTGCAGCCAATGCCCAGGGGGACCCATGTGGTGGTTGGCAGAGAAGCAGAATGGCCCTGGAAGAAAAGCAGAGAATGGCCCTGGAAGGCAAGCAGGGACGGGAGGGATGGAGCTATGAGGCCGCAAAGCAGAGGAGGCTCAGTCCTCTCCCCAGAATGAGAAGCTGCAGGTACAAGGCTGTACAGCCCCAGGCTCTGTCACAGTGCTTCTCTGCACCCCTACCTAGCAGGTGCCACAGGACACATTGGGTTACTGATAAATCCTGTTAAATGGTGCCTGGATGGGTTCCTGAAACACCTTCTTGCATTTTGGGGGCTCAGAAACTGATACCCCAAATTATGGCGAGGCGACATGCCGAACTGTAGAAGCCTCAAGGTCTCTCTGACCTTTCCTCCACCCCCACTGTCTCTCCCAAAGAAGCTGAAGTTCCTTTATGTGCCTGAGATCCAGACAATTGTTTCTTCTTTCCCTCTCTGTAAGACCAAGAATGTAACCACACCTGAACAGACGTTTTCGCTGTCAAAGAGAACTATTTCTGGTTAATCTCTGTTCCCTGATCCATTCATTCTCCCCAGTAATCCCCCCAACAAAATTCCTGTTCTCCCCCGTCCATAACCTGTTTTGCCAGGTTGGAATACAAGCTTTTGAACCTCACTGGGCGAGGGGGGTCTTCAAGCTGCGGGCTCGTGTGTCTATATGTTAAATAAATGTGTATGTCTTTTCTCCTGTTAATCTGCCTCATGTCAGTGATTTTCAGGAAACCTTCATAGGGCCAAGGGGAAAGCTCTTCCTTGACCCCTAAACCCTCAAATCACATCCATCCTCCAAAAGGCCAGCACTTGGCTCATTTCTGCTCTTCCTGCTTGGGTGAATTTCCCTGGATCGCTGGGAAGCCAGCCCTCAATAGCCAATAGCCCTGTTGGCTATTTTCTTTTTTTTCTTGTTTTTTTTGTTTTTGTTTTTTTTTTTTTTTTGAGACGGAGTTTCGCTCTTGTTGCCCAGGCTGGAGTGCAATGGTGTGATCTTGGCTCACTGCAACCTCCGCCTCCTAGGTTCAAGAGATTCTCCTGCCTCAGCCTCCCAAGTAGCTGAGCTTACAGTCATGCACCACCATGCCTGGCTAATTTTGTATTTTTAGTAGAGACGGGGTTGAGAAACACCGTTGGTCAGGCTGGTCTCGAACTCCCGACCTCAGGTGATCCTCCCGCCTTGGTCTCCCAAAGTGCTGGGATTACAGGCACAAGCCGCTGTGCCCGGCCTGTTGCCTATTTTCATGTGTTATACGTACAGGTTAGGTGTGCTGCTCGGTGGGGTGTCTGGTACCCTTCCTTGAATTACAGTCTGTGTAACTGAGGCCCTGAGGGAAGTTTGGGTCAATTCCCCATGTACAGATTTGAGGTTGGGGTAAACATGGCTGAGAGGCTTTCCTCTCCCATCATGTCCTTCTCATACCATGGCGTGAGGACAGTTCTTCCCCTAGTACCCAGTCGAGAAATCCTGGATCTCTTTGTCTTTGAATAGCATGGACCATCCACAGAGCACCTGCTACCTTGTTGGGTCCCATGAGTTCCCTCCACCCAATGTGCTCCACTCTGGCTGGGCCATACGGTTAAAGGGGAGTGAAGCTGGAGAAGAATGTGTGGATGTTGAGGCTTTCATCTCTTAAACAAATAGCAAATTCCTCTGGGCTGCCTGTGCTGGAATTAAACAATGATGTGTTCAGGGAGGCTCTAAGGCGTTCCCTTAGCAACGCCCAGGCTGTTTTCAGGCAAGATCTAGTTAAAGAGGAAAGAGAACAAAAATAATAAAGGGACGGGTCTGGATGGAGTCCAGGAATGGGGGTCTTTTGGCTGAATGTGTGTGTTTTGTGTTCTGATGTGTTTGCAGTCCTCCTTTATGCTAAATTTCCTCTCGCCTTCCCTGGTACGTCCCACTGTTGACGAGGTGGGCTCACTGGAATACTAATGGCGGCTAAGAAGAACATACGCTATGCAGGGGGACGGGTTAGGTAGGGAAAGATGTCACAGCTGGGACTACCTAAGGGAGAAGTGACACATGTGAAACCTGCTAGGCTGGCTCTTGCTACCATAAAGGTCATGGGAGGAAGAGGGTGAGTGGCCAGGCTCCTCAAAGGTGCTTGGGCCTTAGGCAGGGCAGAGGCCTGTATGGTAGAAATCCATCAGACCCTACTCAGAGTGTGTTCTGTGGCCAGCAGCAAAGGCATCCCCTGGCAGCTTGACAGCAATGCAGAATGTCAGGCCACCCCAAGCACGCTGAAGCAGGGTCTGTATTTTGACAAGACACCCAGGTGATGAATGTATGCCTATAGTTGGAGAAGCACTGATCAGAACCCTTTCTCTGTCTCTCCCAGGATTCTGCAAATCATTTTGTTTGTTTGTTTGAGACAGTCTGGCTCTGTCACCCAGGTAGCTGTGCAGTGGCTCAATCTCTGCTACCTGCAACCTCCGCCTCCCAGGTTCAAGTGATTCTTGTGCCTCAACCACGCAGGTAGCTGGGATTACATGTGTGCACCACCACTCCCAGGTACTTTTTTGTATTTTTAGTAGAGATGGGGTTTCGCCATGTTGACCAGACTGGTCTTGAACTCCTGGCCTCAAGGGATCTGCCTGCCTCGGCCTCCCAAAGTGCTGGGATTACAGACGTGAGCCACTGCACCTGGGCGGATCCTGCAAATCTATCACCACCTTTCTAGAGTCAAAGTGGACTACTAAAGCAAGGCGGCAACTCCACATAAAACCAAGCAGATTCGGTTTGCTGACTGATAATGCAGTTTTCGGGTGTGTGTGTGTGTGTGTGTGTGTGTGTGTGTGTGTGTGTGTGTGTGTGTTGAGACAGGTCTCACTCTATCAGCTATCACCCAGACTGGAGTGCAGTGGCACAATCTCAGCTCACTGCAACCTTCACCTCCTGGGTTCAACCAGTTATCCCACCTCAGCCTCTGGAGTAGCTGGGATTATAGGCTCACGCCAACATGCCCAACTAATTTTTTTTTTTGAGATGGAGTTTCACTCTTGTTACCCAGGCTGGAGTACAGTGGCGTGATCTCAGCTCACTGCAACCTCCACCTCATGGGTTCCAGCGATTCTCCTGCCTCAGCCTCCTGAAGTAGCTGGGATTACAGGTGCCCATCACCACTCCCAGCTAATTTTTTTGTAATTTTTACTTGAGACGGGTTTTCACCATGTTGGCCAGGCTGCTCTTGAACTCCTGACCTCAGGTGATCCACCTGCCTCGGCATCCCAAAATGCTGGGATTACAGGCGTGAGCCACCACATCTGGCCAATTTTTGTATTTTTAATAGAGACAGGGTTTCACCATGTTGGCCAGGCTAGTCTCGAACTCCTGACCTCAAGTGATCAGTCCACCTCGGCCTCCCAAAGTGCTGGGATTACAGGCGTGAGCCACTGCACCTGGCCTTGGTGTGTTTTTTAACATTGATTTTCTGTGATGATGATGAGAAAGATGGTGCTGATGATGAAGATGACATGGGTTGAATTGTGCCCCCTGCAAAAGATATGTTCAAGCCCTAACCCCTGGGACCTGCAAATGTGACTTTATTTGGAAATAGGATCTTTGTGGATGTAATCAGATCATTACGGTGGACATCATCCAATAACTGATGTCCTTATAAGAAGCAAGAGAGCTGGGCGTGGTGGCTCACACCTGTAGTCCCAGCACTTTGGGAGGCCGAGGCGGGCAGATCACGAGGTCAGGAGATTGAGACCACCCTGGTTAACATGGTGAAGCCCCATCTCTACTAAAAATACAAAAAATTAGCCAGGCATGGTGGCACATGCCTGTAATCCCAGCTACTCAAGAGGCTGAGGCAGGAGAATCTCTTGAACCTAGGAGGTGGAGGTTGCAGTGAGCCGAGATCACGCCACTGCACACCAGCCTGGGCAACAGAGTGAGACTCCGTCTCAAAAAAAAAAAAAAAAGAAGAAGCAAGAGATTTGGACACAGACACACAGGGAGAATGCCATGTGATGATGGGGGCAGAGACTGAGTGACAGTGTCACAGCCAAACAGCAAAGGAATGTCAGGGATTGATGACAGCTGCCAGAAACTAGGAGACAGGAATGGAACAGATTCTCTCTCAGATTTCCCAAGAAGGAACCAACCCTGCCAACACCTCAGTTTCAGACTTCTGGCCTCCAAAACTGTGGGACAATAAATTTCTGTTCTTTGAAGCCACCCAGCTTACAGTTCTTTGTTCTGGCAATCCTAACAAACTAATAGATACTTTCCTCTCTTAAAGCAATTTTACATGCATTTTCTTGTGAAAGCAGAGGCAGAGAAGCATTTTAATATTTTACATACAAGAAAGCCCCTTTAGCTGGGCATGGCAGCTCAGCCTGTAATCCCAGCTATTCAGGAGGCTGAGGTGGGAGGATTGCTTGAGCCCAGGAGTTTGAGGCTGCAGTGAGCTATGATCACACCAATGCACTCCAGCCTAGGTGACAGAGTGAGACCCTGTCTCAAAAAAATAAATAAATTCTTTTTTTTTTTTTTTTTGAGATGGAGTCTCGCTCTGTCACCCAGGCTGGAGTGCATCAGCATGATCTCGGCTCACTGCGAGCTCCGCCTCCTGGGTTCACGCCATTCTCCTGCCTCAGCCTTCGGAGTAACTGGGACTACAGGCGCCCGCCACCTCGCCCGGCTAATTTTTTTTTTTATTTTTAGTAGAGACGGGGTTTCACAGTGTTACCCAGGATGCTCTCGATCTCCTGACCTCGTGGTCCGCCCGCCTCGGCCTCCCAAAGTGCTGGGATTACAGGCATGAGTCACTGCGCCCGGCCCAAAAAAATAAATAAATTCTTAAAGAAAGCTGCTTTAGGCCGGGAGCAGTGGCTCAAGCCTATAATCCCAGCACTTTGGGAGGCTGAGGCGGGCGGATCACGAGGTCAGAAGTTCGAGACCAGCCTGGCCAACATAGTGAAACCCCATCTCTACTAAAAATACAAAAAATTAGCTGGGTAAGGTGGTATGAGCCTGTAATCCCAGCTACTCGGGAGGCTGAGGCAGGAGAATTGTGTGAACCCGGGAGGTGGAGGTTGCAGTGAGCCGAGATCGCGCCACTGCACTCCATCCAGGCTGGGCAACAGTGTGAGACACCGTCTCAAAAAAAAAAAAAAAAAAAAGAAAGCTGCTTTATTACTCTGAGAAGTCACAAAGTAACGGTCCTAAGGCCACAGAGTGGGGAAATCATGAAGATGGGCCTGTGCAGAGAAGCTCACACTCTGGGGATGTGGGCCTGCTGGCTGGCCTATGCATCTGACCCTCGGCAGCTGCCCCAGACCTGAGACCACCAAGGACACTGAGTAAGAGGGGAGAATGGTGTCACGGGGCTCATTCTTTCCAAAGTGAAGATCCCACAGCTCCTTTTCCATCTGTATCACATGGGCTCACAGGTACCATACACAGTGTGTGTCCCAGCTCAAAACTGGATGTAACATGTTGCCAGTGCCCAGCCTGGGCAACATAGTGAGACTCCATCTCTACAGAAGATACAAAATTAGCCGGGCGTGGTGGCACTCACCTGTCGTCCAGCTACTCGACAGGCTGAAGTGAGAGGATTGCTTGAGCCCAGGAGGTCAAGGCTGCAGTGAGCCATGATTGCACTGCACTCAGCCTGGGTGACAGAGCAAGACTCTGTCTCAAAAAACAAACAAACAAAAAAATGGACATAACCCAAGTATGCATCCTACGTGTGGTCCAGAAATTCTAATTGGAGTTATCAAACATCACTTCACCTTCACAGTGACATTGCCCCCGAAGCCCCCAGATTCTGTTTTATTTTCCTCCTAACACTTAACCTCACCCACAATGCTCCTGCCTATCAACTTAATTAGTGTATATTTCCTGTCTCCCTTAATAGAATGTAAATTCTGGTCCCCAGAACATAGCCTTGTCCATGACAGGCCCTCCACAAACAATGGGAAGAGAACCCACTAAGAATAAAATATAATGGCATTTGCATGTACTGAAATGTTAAGCAGCCACTGAGAAGAAGGAGTTGGGTCCACGTAGTCAGTCCACAGGAAGATGGCCATGATGATATCACTGGGGCGGGGGAGCAAGTTGAAGAGTCATACACATTGTATTATCCTGGTTTTGAAATATGTACATATATATATATATATATATATATATATATATATATGCAAATATTCATGGGTTTTTATTATTTTTTATGTGGAGACAGTCTCTCTACGTTGCCCAGGCTGGTCTCAAACTCCTGGCCTCAAGCAATCCTGCAGCCTTGGCCTCCCAAAGTGCTGGGATTACAGGCATGAGCTGCCATGCCTGGACAGTACTTTTGTGTATATGTATGTACACACAAATACACATGTTTAGGTATATATTATATATATGTATATATATGTGTCTATATATGTATTCATGTGCATATATACATACATATCTAAAGAGAGACGGGACAGATGTACACTAACTATTACAGTGTGTGAAAGGAAAATAAAAACTTGGGACTGTAATTCACTCTGTCAAAAGGAAAAAATTAAGCTGAAAGCTGAGTCATGGAAGAAGCTGTCTTTCCTTTTGTTCCTAAGCAGACAGTAGCTACAGATAAAAGATTAAACATCTCCACAGGCAGCTACTCTATGTTCACCTTATCTTGTGTAATGTGCTGATTGACTGAGTGCGAGACAAATACAAAATTAACTATTCCCCAACTGTTCCTTTTCTATGGCAACATGTGGATTACCGTACCCACCTTTTCTCCCCTGCAGCCCGCTTTTCCTCTTTAAATATTGAAGTCCTTAAAATCATCCTTGGAGAGAAACACAGACCACTGACCATTTCTGTGATTTTCTGTGTTTTTCTTCTGGGCTGTCCTTAACCTTGGCAAAATAAACTTCTAAATTGATTGAGACCTGTCTCAGATTTTTTATGTATTTATTTATTTATTTTTCTTTGTGATGGAGTCTCACTCTGTTGCCCAGGCTGGAGTGCAATGGCACGATCTTGGCTCACTGCAACCTCCACCTCCCAGGTTCAAGCAATTCTCCTGCCTCAGCTTCTCGAGTAGCTGGGATTACAGGCACCTGCCACCATGCCGGGCTAATTTTTGTATTTTTAGTAGAGACAGGGTTTCACCATGCTGGCCAGGCTGGTCTTGAACTCCCGACCACAGGGATCCGCCTGCCTCAGCCTCCCAAAGTGCTGGGATTACAGCCATGAGCCACCACGCCAGGCCCTGTCTCAGATTTTTTTTTTTTTTTTTTGGTTTGCAAGTGGGTACCTCCTGGAGGTAGAGAGGAAGGGAGAATGGTGGGAGCCAGAAGCCGGGGACCAGGGCCAGGCTAAAGGAGGCAAAGCATAAGGCCAGTTACTTGCAGAGGCAGAAAATGTGCCAGAGTCAGGAGAGGGATATGAGGGAGGAAGACCTAGGACAGATTCTACCTCTGTGGCTCTTTGGCCAAGGGTTGGCCAACTAGGCCCCTGGGCTGGGGACAGTCTCTTGTCCCTTTTCCTTTTTTTTTTTTTTTTTTGTTTTTGAGACAAAGTCTCACTCTGTTGCCCAGGCTGAAGTGCAATGGCATGATCTCAGCTCACTGCAACCTCCACCTCCCAGGTTCAAGCGATTCTCTTGCCTCAGCCTCCCAAGTAACTGGGATTACAGTCATGCACCACCATACCTGGCTAATTTTTGTATTTTTAGTATAGACGGGGTTTCACCATGTTGGCCAGGCTGGTCTCCAACTTCTGACCTCAAGTGATCCGCCCGCCTCAGCCTCCCAAAGTGCTAGGATTACAGGCGTGAGCCACTGCACCCAGCCATGACACGGGTTTTTGAAAGTCCAGCACAAACAGTGTAAAAACATTGCTATTTTCCCCCAACCTTGCACCTTGCTAGCATCTGTTGTTTCTTGACTTTTTAATAATTGACATTCTGACTGGTGTGAGATGGTATCTCATTGTGATTTTGATTTACATTTCTCAAATGATCAGTGGTGTTGAGCTTTTTTTCGTATGTTTTGTTGGCTGCATGTATGTCTTTTTTTGAGAATTGTCTGTTCATATTCTTTGCCCACTTTTTAATGTGGTTGTTTGTAAATTAGTTCAACCATTGTGGAAGACAGTAAGGTGATTCCTCAAAGATTTAGAGCCGGAAATACCATTTGGCCCAGCAATCCCATTACTGGTTATATATCCGAAGGAATGTAAATCATTCTATTATAAAGATGCATGCACATATATTTTCATTGCAGCACTATTCACAATAGCAAAGACATGGAATCAACCCAGATGCCCGTCAATGATAGACTGGATAAATAAAATGTGGGCTGGGCACAGTGGCTCACACCTGTAATCCCAGTGCTTAGGGAGGCCGAGGAGGGCCGATTACCTGAGGTCGGGAGTTCGAGACCACCTGACCAACATGGAGAAACCCCGCCTCTACTGAAAATACAAAATTAGCCGGGCGTGGTGGCGCGTGCGTGTAATCCCAGCTACTCTGGAGGCTGAGGCAGGAGAATCGCTTGAACCCGGGAAGCAGAGGTTGCGGTGAGCCGAGATTGCACCATTGCACTCCAGCCTGGGTAACAAGAGCAAAACTCCGTCTCAAAAAAAAAAAAAAAATGTGGTACATATGCACCATGGAATACTATGTAACAAGATCATGTCCTTTGCAGGGAGATGGATGGAGCTGGAAGCCATTATCCTCAGCAAACTAATGCACAACCCGAAAACCAAACACCACATGTTCTCACTCATAAGTGGGAGCTGAACAATGAGAACCCATGGATACAGGGAAGGGAAGAACACTATCTGGGGCTGGTTGGAGGTAGGGAGATTGGGGGAGGTTGAGCTTTAGGGAAAAGAGCTAATGAATGCTGGGCTTAATACCTAGGTGATGTGTTGACAGGTGCAGCAAACCACCATGGCACACGTTTACGTATGTAACAAACCTGCACATCCTGCACATGTACCCCAGAACTTAAAAAATTAATAATAAAATAATTTTTAAAAGAAAGAAAGGAGCTGGGCGCGGTGGCTCACGCCTGTAATCCCAGCACTTTGGGAGGCTGAGGCGGGCGGATCACGAGGTCAGGAGATCGAGACCATCCTGGCTAACACGGTGACACTTCATCTCAACTAAAAATAGAAAAAATTAGCCAGGTGTGGTGGCGGGCGCCTGTAGTCCTAGCTATTTGGGAGGCTGAGGCAGGAGAATAGCGAGAACCCAGGAGGCGGAGCTTGCGGTGAGCCAAGATCACGCCACTGCACTCCAGCCCGGGTGACAGAGCGAGACTCCGTCTCAAAAAAATAAATAAAATAAAAATAAAAACAAGAAAGAAAAAGAAAAACAAAAAGAAGCAATAATGTCCAAGACAGGCCCTCTCCCCAGCTGAATTTTTAAATTGCAACAAATAAACTAAAAAGGCCAGCAGAAGCCCCCAGCTCCATCACCAGCTGAACTGCAGGACGTGCCCTCCCCTCCGGCGCCCTCCTCCCCTCCTCCTACCCCCAGGGGCAACTGGCTGTGAGAGCAGCTCCCACAGGTTTCCTACCCTTGGCCAAACTGCTATTCCTTAGACAAGCCCTGGCTTTCCTGCTCTGCACTGTTGTTAAGCCTCTAGCTCTTTCCTCTTCTGAAAACCTCCTTGCTCCCCATGCCATGGGTCTCTCAGGTCCAGCAGGAGAAGCTGGGATCTCCTCACTTCAGCCAGCACAGAGGGAGCGCAGGGCCCTGTTAGCCTCCCACCCAGATTCTGCTTTCAGCTCTGCCACCCTGATCCCCTAGCCTCTCAGCCTCAACGTCCCTATACATGAGGCAGGCAGAATAGATTGTTGTCAAGATGCAAGGCTATCGTACGTGTAGAGAACCCAGCCTGGTACCTGGAACAGCAGAGGTGCTGGGTACAAGGTGTGCTGGGCGGGTGGATCACCTGAGGTCAGGAGTTGGAGACCATCCTGGCCAACATGGTAAAACCCCATCTCTACTAAAAAGACAAAAATAAGCCGGGCGTGGTGGTGTGTGCCTGTAATCCCAGCTACTCGGGAGGCTGAGATAGGAGAATCACTTGAACCCGAGAGGCAGAGGTTGCAGTGAGCCGAGATCGCACCACTGCAGTCCAGCCTGGGCAACAGAGCAAGACCGCGTCTCAAAAAAAAAAAAAAAAAAAAAGGCTGGCTGATATTGGAGCGCATGCCCTCTTCCCAGAACCACGCTGGGCACTGTGGAAACAATGATCAAGGTGCTAAAGTGCTTCCTACCAGAAGCCAGCTGTCTGCGTGAAATTAGAAAGACACACAGGAAGAGAAAGTGCAGAAGAGTACATGGGAAGTGTCAGTAATAGTAACGCTGGACAGCGCCTTGGCCTCACGCACTCTCACCCACCCTTCCCTCAGCCCTGGCCACAGCCCCTGGGCTCAGCTGCACCTGTGACCATTTCATTTCTGCCCCAGGGCCCCTCTGTGCCCAGGACAGGCACTCTGGACACTCACACATGTGACAGGATAACGCTTGGCCCATAGGGAACACAAGCCAGCGGATAAATGCCGTCTCTTCCATTCTTCCCAGGGATAGTTCTGAGCCCCATTCTGTGTACTCCTCAGAGGCTCACAGCAGGTTGGAGCCCAGCTGCACACAGCAGTGACAGCTTGGAAATGCATCCTTAGATTGGTGTGCCCTCCTTTCCCATTCACTCTCAGTCTCCTACTCCCATTCTTTGGGATCCACTTCCTAAAATGAACCACCTGGATCCAGGTCCCCGTCTCCAGCAGTCTTTCCCAGTGGGAGAAGAGGCTAAGTGGCTCAGGGCACAGGCTCTGGTCTTGGACTGCCTTGGCCACTGGCTAGGGCTGTGAGCCCAAGCAAGGGGCTTCCCTTCTCCCCAGCAGGAGTAGCACCTGTTTGCCTGGTCTAAGAGTTGCTGTGGAAGTCAGTTGGAGCAGTGGTCTAGCAAAGAGGTTGAGAACACAGTCCCTGAAGCCAGATTCCTTGACTTTTCAACCTATTACCTGTGTGACCCTGGAGAAGTTACTTGATCGTCCAGTGCCTCAGTTTCCTCATATGTAACACGGGGACAATAATAATAGTACCTACTTCATAGGGTTGTTATGAGGATTAAGTGTATTAATACACGTAAAGTATCTAAAACAGTCTCTGCCTATTAAGATCATGTCTGCAAAGCTCTTTGCAGAATACCTGACTCTGGATAACACTCAATACTGAAAAAATAGAGAGAGATTATGGGCCAGGTGGTGCACATGCCTGGAGTCCCAGGTACTTGGGAGGCTGAGGTGAGAGGATCACATGAGCCCAGGAGTTTGAGAAAATGTAGGAGAGGCCAGGCACGGTGGCTCACACCTGTAATCCCAGCACTTTGGGAAGTCCAGGCGGGTGGATCATTTGAGGTCAGGAGTTCAAGACCAGCATGGCCAACATGGTGAAACCCCGTCTCTACTAAAAATTCAAAAATTAGCCAGGTGTGGTGGCATGTGCCTGTAATTCCAGCTACTCGGGAGGCTGAGGCAGGAGAATTGCTTAAACCCGGAGGCAGAGGCTGCAGTGAGCCGAGATCACACCACTGAACTCCAGCCTGGGTGACAGCAAGACCCTGAAAAAAAGGAAAGAAAGAAAGAAAGAAAGGATGGATGGATGGATGGAAGGAAGGAAGGAAGGAAGGAAGGAAGGAAGGAAGATAAATGTAGGAGAATATCTTTGTGAGTTAAAACTGGAAAGGACATCTTTTTTTTTTTTTTTTTTTAGAAGGAGTTTCGCTCTTGTTGCCCAGTCTGGAGTGCAATGGCGCGATCTCTGCTCACTGCAACCTCCGCCTCCCAGGTTCAATCGATTCTCCTGCCTCACCCTCCCCAGTAGCTGGGATTACAGGCATGAGCCACCATCCCTGGCTAATTTTGTATCTTTTTTTTTTAGTAGAGACAGGGTTTCTTCATGTTGGTCAGGCTGGTTTCAAACTCCCGACCTCAGGTGATCTGCCCACCTCGGCCTCCAAGGTGCTGGGATTACAGGTGCGAGCCACCACACCCAGCAGAAAGGCTATCTTTTACAAATGTTTATAGATTTTGGGGGTATAAGTGCAGATTTCTTACATGCATATACTTCGCCGTGTAGCCTGGGCTTCTAGCATACCCATCACCTGAATAGTGCACATTGTACACAGCAGGTAAGTTCTCATCGCTCACCCTCCTCCCACCCTCCCACCTTTTGGAGTCTCCAATGTCCATTATTACACCCTGTATGTCCATATGTACCCATCGTTTAGCTCCCACTTATAAGTGAGAATACATGGTATTTGACTTTCTGTTTCTGAGTTATTTCACTTAGGACAATGGCCTCTAGTTCCATCCAGGTTGCTGCAAAAGGTATGATGGCATTCTTTTTTTTTTTTTTTTTTTTGAGATGGAGTCTCTCTCTGTTGCCCAGACTAGAGTGCAATGGCGCAATCTCGGCTCGCTGCAACCTCCACCTCCCGAGTTCAAGCAATTCTCCTGCATCAGCCTCCTGAGTAGCTGGAGCTACAGGCATGCACCACCATGCCCAGAAAAATACTAATTTTTCTATTTTTAGTACAGACAAGGTTTCACCATATTGGCCAGGATGGTCTCCATCTCTTGACCTCGTGATCCACCCGCCTCGGCCTCCCAGAGTGTTGGGATTACAGGCATGAGCCACCACGCCCAGCCTGATTTCATTCTTTCCTGTGGCTGAGTAGTATACCATTTTCTTTATCCAATCCTCTGTTGATGGACGTTTAGGCAGATTCCACATCTTTGTTATTGTGAATAGTGCTGCAATAAACATATGAGTGCAGGCATCTTTTTAATATAATAATTTATTTCCCTTTGGATAGATACCTAGCAGTGGTATCGCTGGATTGAATGGTAGTTCTATTTTGAGTTTTTTGAGAAATCTCCATACTGTTTTTCACAAAGGTTGTACTAATTTACATTCCCACCAACAGCGTGTAAGTGTTCCCTTTTCTTCACATCCTCACCAACATCTGTTGCTTTTTGACCTTTTCATAATAGCCATTCTGACTGATGTAAGATGGCATCTCATTGTGGCTTTAATTTGCATTTCCCTTATGATTAGTGAGGTTGAGCATTTTTTCATATGTTTGTTGGCCACTTACTTTTATGTCTTCTTTTGAGAAATATCTGTTCATGTCCTTTGTGCGCTTTTTCAATGGGGCTGTTTTTTTCTTGTTGAGCTGTTTGAGTTCCCTATAGATTCCGGATATTAGTCCTTTTGTCAGATGCATGGTTTGCAAATAATCTTTCCTATTCTGTATGTTGTCCATTTACTGTGTTGATTATTTCTTTTGCTATGCAGAAGCTTTTTAGTTTAATTAAGTCTCATTTGTCTATTTTTGTTTTGTTGCATTTGCCTCATAAATATTTGTTGTTATTATTGTAGTCTAGTCAGGAGGAATAAAAACCCAAACTGAGGTGGGACAGTAAGAAGAGACAGTGACAAGGAAGAAGGAACAGAACAAATGCAGTCAGTGATTGGACTTAGGGAGTGGAGAACAGGGGAGCCTGGGGAAGGCCTGGTTTCTTAGCCTGGGTGCAGGCAGGGTGGCAGGAAGGCTGGGATCAGAGGCATAGAACCATTGTGGCCATGAACCTGTGAAATACTCTTTTAAACTCTTCAGCCTAAGTGGCTGATGAACGTGGAGCAATGGAAAAATACCTGTAGCAGCGCAGAACAGAAGTGAAGCAGGTGCAGGGAGGGGCAGAGCCTCCCCAGCTGGCCCAGAGAGGGCTTCCAGAGTGAGAGGTGCTTAGTCTGGCCCAGCACAACTGGTCTGGGTCCTTGGAGAGTTCCAGCCCCGTGCGGGGGGCAGCACCCATCCACCATGCTAAGCCTAGGATGGATGCATGTGCATGCAGATGTCCAGGGAGCTCCTAGGAGGGGCTGGGGAAGGTGGCAGGGCAGAGGGTGTGGGCAGGGACACTGCCAGTAAAGGTGTCTGGGACCCATCCCTCAAGGACAGAGATGCTTTCTAGGGTGGAGAGGATGGGCAGAGCCATCCCCAGAGAGGAAGCTGTGTAAACGCAGGCCCGGACCCAGGAAAACACCCAGCCTGTGCAGAGGAGACCAGGAGTCCCCTGAGAGGGCGAGGGGGCAAGAAAGGCTGGGACTGAATTGTGAAGGCTCCCATGACAGACACTGTCAGGCCTCTGAGCCCAAGCTAAGCCATCATATCTCCTGCGACCTGCACATATACATCCAGTTGGCCTGAAGCAAGTGAAGAATCACAAAAGAAGTGAAAATGACCAGTTCCTGTCTTCACTGATGGCATTCCACCATTGTGATTTGTTCCTGCCGCACCTTAACTGAGCGATTAACCTTGTGAAATCCCTTCTCCTGGCTCAGAAGCTCGCCCACTGAGCACCTTGTGATCCCTGCCCCTGCCCGCAAGAGAAAAATCCCCTTTGACTGTAATTTTCCTCTACCCACCCAAATCCTATAAAACGGCCCCACCCCTGTCTCCCTTCGCTGACTCTCTTTTCAGACTCAGCCCACCTGCACCCAGGTGATTAAAAAGCTTTATTGCTCACACAAAGCCTGTTTGGTGGTCTCTTTACACAGACACGCATGACAGACACCACACGCTCACACCACACACACACTCCACACACACCACACACACTCCACAGACACCACACACACCACACATACCACACACACCACACCACACACCCACACTACACACACATACCACACGCCACACATACACACACTGCACCACTGCACCACACACTCACACTACACACACACGTCATGCACACACTGCAGCACAACACACACAGCACACACACCACACTCTGCACAACACATTCATGCCACCCACTCACACCATATACTCAGACCACACACACATTGCAGCACCACACACACACCACAGCACACCACACCACATACACCACACTCTGCATCACACACTCACACCACACATATACACGCTGCACCACACACTAAACATACCACAGACCGAACACACTGCACTACACACACTACATACAGACCACACGCCACACACACACTGCGCCACACACTCACACTACACACACACACCACACACACGCTGCACCACACCCTCACACCACACACTCAGACCACACACACATTGCAGCACCACACACACCACACACACATATGCCACACCACACACTTACACTACACATACACACCACACACACCACACACATGCTGCACCTCACAAACACTACACACACCACACTCTGCACCACACACTCACACCACACATATATATGCTGCACCACATACTTACACTACACACACCACACTCATCACACACACTGCACCACACACTCACACCATACACACTATACCACACACACTATGCCACACTCAGACCACACACACACACTGGACCACACATACCATACACTGGACCACAGACACACACATAATGCACCACACACATTTCACACACACAACACCCACACATTTCACACACATAGCATTTGCACATACACATACACCACCTACACACTACACATGCACATTACATCCTTAACCACCTGCACACGTGACAAACTCCACCTATACACTACCCATGCCCACAAGACCACCCTCTCATGCACATACGACCACACACACACACACACACACACACACACACATACTGCACCACGCTGGAGTTATGCCTCCAATAAATGTGAGCACTGACTTGTGAACAACCTGAATGAATAAATGGTAAAAGGCTTTCAGCCGCTGGTGCCACTTGTGGGCATTCAGACCCCAAATAAGGTTTGCATCTCCTGGATTTGGGGAGACCTCAGGGAACTCCGTCCTCACTTCAATCAGCATCACAGGACCAGGACTTCTCTCTGCCACTTGTGACCAGGCCAGGGCAGAAGCTGCCCCTCCCAGCTGGAGTTCCAGCCTCACGTGCCTGCTCCAGCCCCTCCTATCTCCCTCTGACGCACTTTGGCACCTTCCTGTCTTGAAGGACCCTGCCCCCAAAGGGCCCCCTCCTGCCTCTCCTTGGATAAGCTCAGGTTATCTGTCCATCTGCTGGCCACTGGCCTGTTTATCTTCTTAGTGCTTTCTTCCTGAAATAGCTCGGGGTTATCTAAGCTGCCAGTGTGGCCCCGCCTGCCTGACAGCCACCTCCACCCCTCCAGGGAGATTGGTCACTCAACCTGGGCAGTCCTTCTCCTTTAATCCAGACCTGAATTCCACAGTTACTAGACCAAGCTGGAGCCCTTCCTGGGGAGGCCCCGCACCTCCACCTCCATCAGGTTCCGCAACTGCCATGCATGTCCAGGACAGTACCTGATGGCTTCTGTCCTCCCTGGGGGAGGTGGTCAGGGCTCGTGAGCTGTCCAGTTACCCCTTAAAGTTGCCAAACTCAAAGCCAAGCTCATCCGAAATCCTCTACCTCTCCTACATTGCCATTCGAGCAGTCACGACAAAGACCTGGTGTCCAGTAGCTCACTAGGGTGACTACAGCTAACGTCAGTTGATTGTCCACTTTAACTTAGCAAGTTAGCCAGGCAGGTGACAGGCACCTGCAGTCCCAGCTACTCAGGAAACTGAGGTAAGAGTATTGCTTGAGCCTAGGAGGTTGAGGCTGCAGTGGGCCATAATTGCGCCACTGCACTTCAGCCTGGACAACAGAGAAAGACCCTTTCTCCAAAAAACTAAAATAGCTAGAATTTGATCATTCAAGTGTTCCTAACATGAAGGAAAAATAAATATTTAATGTGATAGATATTCCAATTACTCTGATTTGATCATCTGAATGATCAAACTATCACATATACCCTGAAAACACATATACTCATTACGAGCCACCATGCTCGGCTGATTTTTATTTTTTATTTCTTTATTTTTTTTTTTTGAGACTGAGTTTCGTTCTTGTTGCCCAGGATGGAGTGCAATGGCGCGATCTCGGCACACCACAACTTCCGCCTCCCGGTTTCAAGCAATTCTCCTGCTTCAGCCTCCCGAGTAGCTGGGATTACAAGCATGCACCACCACGCCCAGCTAACTTTGTATTTTTAGTAGAGACGGGGTTTCTCCATGTTGAGGCTGGTCTCGAACTCCTGACCTCAGGTGATCCACCCACCTCGGTCTCCCAAAGTGCTGGGATTACAGGCGTGAGCCACCGTGGCTGGCTTGATTTTTTTTGAATTTTTATTAAAGACAAGGTCGTGCTTTGTTGCCCAGGCTGGTTTCAAACTCCTGGCCTCAGGCGAGCCTCTTGCCTTGGGCTCCCAAAGTGCTGGGATTACAGGTGTGAACCACTGCATCGGCCCTAAGTATGCTTCTTTATTTATTTGAGACAGGGTCTGGCTCTGTCTCCCAAGCTGGAGTGCAACAGCATGATCTTGGCTCACCACAGCCTGGAACTCCCATGCTCAAGTGATCCTCCCACCTCAGCCTCCCTAGTAGCTAGGACTACAGGCATGCACCACCATGACTGGCTAATATTTTTGGATTTTTTGTAGAGGCAGGGTTTCACCATATTACCTAGCCTGGTCTGGAACTCCTGAGCTCAAGCAATCTGACCACATTGGCCTCCAGAAGTGCTGGGATTACAGGTGTGAGCCACAGCACACGGCCCAAGCATGCTTCTTTAAAACAACAACAAGGCTGGACGTCGTGGCTCACACCTGTAATTCCAGCACTTTGGCAATCGGAGGTGGGTGTTTCACGTGAGGTCAGGAGTTCGAGATCAACCTGGCCTACATGGTGAAACCCTGTGTCTACTAAAAATAGAAAAATTAGCCGGGCGTGGTGGCAGTCACCTGTAATCCCAGCTACTCGGGAGGCTGAGGCAGGAGAATTGCTTGATCCTGGGAGGCAGAGGTTGCAGTGAGCTGAGATCACACCACTGCACTGCACTCCAGCCTGGGCGACAGAACGAGACTGTATCTCAAAAATAAAATAAGATAAAAATAAAACAACAACACCTTTCCGAGACTCCACAGTAAAATCTCAGTCACCTTCCGGAGCCCTTGCCACCACAGCAGTGCCCCTCATCAGCACCACTGCCCAAGCCCAGGCCCTCGGTCCTTCCAGGCCACAGTCCTCAGACAGCCTCCCCATGGGCACTGGGATTCCAAGTCTCCTACACTGAGGCGTCACAGAAATAGACTTATGCTATCATTTGCTCTCGGCACTTCCCTGCTTGAGAACTTTCTATGGCTCCCTGTTTCTGGCTGCATCAAGTCTGAACACCTGTGTCTGGCTCTCAAGGCTCACTTCCACTTGTCTAACATCAAATCCCATGACTCTTAAGTCAGTAACCCCCACACAAACGTGCTCTTGGGGCCTCTATGCCTCTGCCTGAGCCGGCAATATTTCCTCTACCTTGTTAAGACTTCCTCCCACTCCAAGTCCTAGTTTTGTTAAATCCTCTTCCAGCCTTCCCATCATTCATTGGTTCAGCTTATTTTATTTTATTTATTTATTTGAGACAGAGACTCACTCTGTTGCCCGGGCTGGAGTTCAGTGGCACAATCTTGTCTCACAGCAACCTCTACCTCCCAGGTTTAAGTGATCCCCTCACCTTAGCCTCCCTAGTAGCTGGGACTACAGGCACATGCCACCATGCTCACCCAACTTTTTTATATTTATATTTTTTAGAGTTGGAATCTCACTATATTACCCAGGCTGGTCTCCAACTGCTGGGTTCAAAAGATCCTTCCACTTTCGCCTCCCAGAGTGCTGGGATTATAGATGTGAGCCACCATGGCCGGCCAATTCAGCCAATTTTAACTGAGCACTTTCTATGGACCGATGTGGCAGGTGCTGCCTCTGACCAGCCTCGACTCTTAGTTCCAACAGCATGAGTCACTCCTTCCACACACTTGGGCACAGACCCGGGAGGTCTTATAATGTGCCACATTACAGGCTTTGCGTCCCACCAACCATGTCACAAGCTCGAGGGCAACAACCTTGTCTCCTACGTCTTCTGTGTCCCCCATGGCCCTGGCTCCTCCACTTGGGAACTTCACAAACCACAGGCTCTCGATTTTTCATTTGGAAGACTAGCACAGGGTTGTCAACTTTTTATTTTATCAAACAAACACATTTTTTTCCTTTTTTTTTTTTTTTTTTTTTTGAGACAGAGTTTCACTCTTGTTGCCCAGGCTGGAGTGCAATGGTGTGATCTCGGCTCACCACAATCTCTGCCTCCTGGGCTCAAGCGATTCTCCTGCCTCAGCCTCCCAAGTAGCTGGGATTACAGGCATGTGCCACCACCCCCAGCTAATTTTGTATTTTTAGTAGAGACGGGGTTTCTCCATGTTGGTCAGGCTGGTCTCGAACTCCCTACCTCAGGTGACCCGCCCGCCTCGGCCTCCCAAATTGCTGGGATTACAGGCATGAGCCACCGCACCCGGCCCAAACAAACACATTTTTTAAATTACTGTGTTGTCATAAACAAAGTCACATTTTAACACTAAGAAAGGAGAAAGAACATAATCCTAGAATAAACTTTTGAAATAACGCTATACTGCTAAGCTTATTCAATTTCAAAAGTTGAATACACAACTTTATTTATTCAATTTCAAAAGTGGAATAAACAACTTTTGAAACTGAATAAGCTTAGCAGTATAGAAAAATTCAACATATTTTTCTTTTTCTTTGTTTCAGAAAATCTCAGAAAAAGAGGACAGTCTTTTCCATGGAATACATTTAGCAAGATGGAAGATTCATTACATGTCTTTTCTTTTTCAGTTCCCAGGGGACAGGTGACCACTTTATCAATGTCCATCCCAGCATTTGGGAGCCACTGTCGACAGCCCCTCACCAGGGCTGAGCACAGCTCAAGTGAGTGGAGTAGTCATTTGATCTCTTGCTTTGGTTATTGGCAGGGGAAGCTATCCTGAGTGTCCTCTCACCAGATCAGGACTGGGATCCAGGGACATGACTAGTCCAGGCAGTGCAGCGGATGACCCCACACCCAGCTGTCCATCCCCTTAGACTCTGTCTCAAACATTTGTCTTTTTTTTTTTTTTTTTTTTTTTTTTTTTTGAGACAGAGCCTTACTCTGTTGCCCAGGCTGGCTGGAGTACAATGGAGTGATCTTGGCTCACTGCAACTTCCGCCTCCTGGGTTCAAGCGATTCTCCTTCCGCAGCCTCCCAAGTAGCTGGGATTACAGGCATCCGCCACTATATCCAGCTAATGTTTGTATTTTTAGTAGAGACAGGGTTTCACCATGTTGGCCAGGCTGGTTTTGAACTGCTGACCTCAAGTGATCACCTGCCTCAGCCTCCCAAAGTGCTGTGATTACAGGTGTGAGCCACCCCACCCAGCCCATTTGTCCTGATTTTGTGCTCCTGGAAACTGGACTCTGTAGGCACGCAGGTGTTTGTGACACTCACTGCTTCCCACTCTTGGGCAGTGAAGCCCTTGAGTCTCAGAGGAGCCAGGAGGGAGGGGGCATCTGGAGTGGTGAACAGGAGCCGGAAGCAAATGAGTCCCAGACACAGACACCCCCACACCATGGCGGCACAGCTCCTGGGGTGAGAGCCCTGAGCTTCAGTCCCCTGCTGCTGGGGCTCTGCCCTCTCCTTTCCCTCTCTGAGTGGGGCCTCTTCAGGAGGGAAATGCAACCTAACTTTCCACTGCTCAGCCCTGCATCCCTGCAGCCGCTTCCAAAAAAAGCCATTGCTGCCTGGATGGGAGAGAGAGAGAGAATTTTTCCAAAGGATGTGTGTGTGCATTGTTGGGAGCAGCAAGCATTTCAGTGAACCCCGGGTCACAGCACAGCCTGACAAATGGCAGGAAGTTCAGGACTTGGGCCTGATAGTTTTTGCACAAAGGCCCCATAGCCCAGCCAGGTGAGCTGGGCCCGGGGACGGACACAGGGGCCACCACCCGGCACTTCCTGCCCTTTGTTGGCCCATGTGACAGCCTTCCCGGCGCTCCAAATGGCCTTTCTTTGGTGCCTGACTCCTGTGCTTTATTTATGGAGAGGAGCTCCTCAATATAGAAACGGGTGGGCCAGGAGCCGGCGGCAGGATGTGGGAATGCAGACTGGCAGGGTGCCCACCACCGGGGGCAGGGTTGCCGAATTAAAAGTATGTGGCCATAGACACCCAATAAGCCTGCCTGATATTTATATATCTGACAAGATGTTCCGCACGCTCCCCTGGCACATTTCAGGGAATCACAGCCTGTCCTGGCAGAAGGCCTCCCTGTGGCCCCACCCTTGGGTTCTCATGGCCTGGTTGGCCTCTGCCTGGGTGTGAGTCAGGTCACCTGCCCTGACCCTCCAAGGTTGCGTGGGCTTCTTGAAGGAAGGGGCCATTTCTTTCTACCATAGGATAACCTTTGTTGCTGGCATCCTGGGGGTCAGCTAGATACCTGGGATATGTATTTATGGGCAACAGTGCATGTAGGACCCTTTTATGCTCCCAATCTTTTCTTTGTTAGCATCATTTCTGGTGGAAATCTTCCCAAAGGCAACTACACATACCCCTACTGTCTCAGATAAGATACTTAGAACAGAATTTGCCCTTTTCTTGGAAATTTGGGGTCTCAGTTCTGAGTCCTGGGTGGAGAGGTAGAGAGAGCCCCGACCAGTTAGGTTTGAGATCCGGGCTCCCACGCTCACACTGCCTGGCTATCTGTGCAACCTGGAGCAAGTTTCTTTTCTTTTTGAGACAGAGTCTTGCTCTATCACCCAGGCTAGAGTACAGTGGCATGATCTCAGCTCACTGCAACCTCCGCCTCTCAGGTTCAAACAATTCTCTTGTCTCAGCCTCCGAAGTAGCTGGGATTACAGGCACACACACACACCTTGCAGAGGTTGGCCTGACAATACTGTTCATCTAATTCACATGTTCTGCAGTTCCATGATTTGTTTTGTACCATGTGGTCATGCAGTGATGTCAATACAAAAGTGATTGAGTTACACAAGGCCATTTATCCTCCACACTAACTCACAGCTGACTTTTTGAGTTCCCATGACCATTTTTGGTAGATTTCCTTCTTTCCTATCTTGACTTTAGGCTAATTTTTAAAAACTGATACTGTAGAGATGGGGTCTTGCTGTGTTGCCCAGGCTGGTCTCAAACTCCCGGGCTCAAGCAATCTTCCCAACTTGGCCTCCCAAAGTGCTGGGATTACAGGCATGAGCCACTGCGCCCGGCCTAGGCCAATTTTAGACCATTGTTTATGGATCCATCCACAGCAGCAACTCTTTCTCTTTCAAGTTTGTGACTTCTTGATCTGCTATAACTATATGCAAATCAAGTATGAACAGCTAAGAGTAAACATGTAAATGCACAGATTTATGTGTGTACTTGAGGCATAATTCTGACTAATCAATGACTTTGTGTTTCCTTTCTAATTCTTACTTTTTTTTGTTTGTTGGTTTGTTGGTTTTTTTTTTTTTTTTTGAGACGGAGTCTCGCTCTCTTGCCCAGGCTGGAGTGCAGTGGCACAATCTCGGCTCACTGCAACCACCACCTTCCAGGTTCAAGCGATTCTCCCGCCTCAGCCTCCCAAGTAGCTGGGATCATAGGTGCTTGCCACCATGCCCAGCTAATTTTTGTATTTTTAGTAGAGACGGGGTTTCGTCATGTTGACCAGGCTGGTCTCGAACTCCTGACCTCAGGTGATCTGCACGCCTCGGCCTCCCAAAGTGCTGGGATTACAGGTGTGAGCCACCGCGCCTAGCCTTTTTTTTTTTTTTTTTTTTTGAGATAGAGTCTTACTCTGTCACCCAGGCTGGAGTGCAGTGGTGCAATCTCTGCTCACTGCAAACTCCGCCTCCAGGTTCCAGTGATTCTCCTGCCTCAGCCTCCCAAGTTGCTTGGATTACAGGTGCCTACCACGACACGTGGCTAATTTTTGTCTTTTTAGTCAAGACAAGGTTTTACCATATTGGCCAGGCTGGTCTCGAACTCCTGACCTCAAGTGATCCACCCACCTTGACCTCCTAAAGTGCTGGGATTACAGGTATAAGCCACCACGCCAGGCCCCTTTCCTAACGTTTGACCCTATTGTGGAGAAAGGAAGTTGTCAGAAAGCCAAAAGCACCCAGCGTGGTGGCTCATGCCTGTAATCCCAGCATTTTAGGAGGCCAAGGTGGGCAGATCACCTGAGGTTAGGAGTTCGAGACCAGCCTGGCCAACACAGTGAAAGCCCCATCTACTAAGAATACAAAAGTTAGCTGGGTGCAGTGGTGTGTGCCTGTAACCCCTGCTACTCCGGAGGCTGAGACAGGAGAATTGCTTGAACCTGGGAGACGGAGGTTGCAGTGAGCCAAGATCGTACCACTGCACTCTAGCCTGGGCAACAGAGCAAGACTCCATCTAAAAAAAAAAAAAAGTCGAAAGCACAATGAGGTACTACTGTACCTTGCTAATATACCTCTATTATACCTTTATAGAACACAGCAGGAACTTAATAAATTATTGTTGAATGGGATATCCTCCCTTTCTACTAAAAAATTCACTGAGGGTATCAGTCTGCCTCATCCAAGTTTATTTCTGAGCAAAGGTGTGAAGTGTGAAGCAGACTAGGCCTGCATGCTTGTTTCACAAAACCCTGCTCCTCTGTCCTCTTCCTACAAAACATAACATTCCTTTCCCTTCCTCACAGCCTCCATGCCCCTCTTACATGGAGCCCCAGCCCATTATTCCCATGGAAGGAAAGGGATGAGGTAATTAGATTATCCTTCCTTCTCAGAAGGCAATTTGGAAGCCCCAGACGTCTCTAGAGGCCACACAGAGGCATTTCAGGAAGGTGATGCTGAAAAGATGATAATAACTGTGCCAGGTGTGGTGATTTACACCTGTAATCCCAGCAGTTTCGAAGGCCAAGGCGGACAGAACCCTTGAGTTTGGGGCCAGCCTGACCAACATGGTGAAACCCCGTCTCTACCAAAAAGTACAAAAGTTATCCGGGCATGGTGGCACAAGCCTGTAGTCCCATCTACTCAGGAGGCTAAGGCAGGAGAATCACTTGAACCCGGGAGGTGGAGGTTGCAGTGAGCTAAGATCGCACCACTGCACTCCAGCCTGGGTGACAGAGTGAGACCCTGTCTCAGAAAAAAAAAAAAAAAAAAAAGAAAGAAAAGAAAAGAAAAAAAGATAATAACTAACATTTGCACAGGCTTGGAAATTCACAGAGCATTCCACATGCTAGTGTCACCTAATTCGCTACCCCATCCTGAGATGGTATTGCCCGCATATGACAGGCCAGGTAGAGTTGAGCTATTTTCCAGGATGAATTTTCCGGCCAGGAATTTTCTCAGTGTCTCCACCCATCTTAGCTGGAAGGAAGCCAGGATGGTGGGAGATGGTGTTGCTGGGGAGTCAGGGGTGGTCACCTCCTTCTACGAGGTAAAGACAGAGCTATCCTTGAGTGGAGAGAAAAAGCGAGGAGGAGGCAGGAGGCACCAATCTCGGCGTCTGAAGTAAGACCGTAACTTCCTTATTAGAACAAGGTAATTAGCTGTAGGTTCTGGCTGACTTTGCCATCAGAGTACACTGGGACAAACCTGGGATTTGGGATCAGAAGACTTGAGCTGGACTGGAGCCCTGGCAGCCTTAACTGTCTCACCCTGGAGAAACTTAAACTCTCTGCGCTGCCTGTCAATTCCCTTGTCTACAAAAGGAGAATGATAACAGCAACCATAAAACAACAACAACAACAACACAACGGCAGCAGCGACAATACAGCCACAGCAGCAACAATACTTGCTCTCATTCTTCTTCATAAGGTCAGTATGAAGATCAAGTGGGTCCGTGCCCATGGAAATGCCCCTACGACATAAACCACAATATTCTAGCAGGTTGTCCTTGGTTTTCACTCATCCCACAGATATTAATTGAGCACTTACTATGCTCTGGGCCCTGAGTTAAGCCCTGAGAATTCAATGAAGAAAGAAATGGAAAGGTATCCCCAGTGTTTGTCCTCATAGGATCAACTACTTCATTTCTCCACGACCCTCTGCTTTGGAACCACTAGGCTGTGGAGCAGGGTGGGCCGCCTCTTTGGACATCAGTGTCATTATCTGTTGTAATTGTTGCTGTAAGAATTAAGTGACTTTGGCCGGACGCGGTGGCTCACACCTGTAATCCCAGCACTTTGATAGGTCGAGGCAGGCGGATCACCTGAGGTCAGGAGTTCAAGACCAGCCTGGCCAACAGCAAAACCCCATCTCTACTAAAAAAACACAAAAATTAGCTAGGCATGGTGGCAGGTGCCTGTAATCCTAGCTACTTGGAAGGCTGAGGCAGGAAGAATTGTTTGAATCTGGGAGGCAGAGGTTGCAGTGAACTGAGATCATGCCACTGTACTCCAGCCTGGGTTACAAGCGAGACTCCATCTCAAAAAAAAAAAAGTATTAAGTGACTTAATTTATATGAAACATCTACATGTGACTTAATGCCTGTCACAGAAGAGACACTCAATGATTGTTAGCTTTTTCTCTAAAAGTGTCCTTCAAGATCACACCTCTCTCTCTGAACAAGAAGACTTAGTCACTGACTAAAATACCTTCCTGTGCTCAATGCAGATGGCTAAGACATTTCAAGGCTCTGCTGCTCCATGGAGCTCTGAGCTTTAAAGCATTCCATCCACCTTGGTCGTGAGCACGCTCTGTGCTTTGCCCTCCAAATAGACCTAGAGCTCCTGGAAGGTAGGGACCCACCCACCCAGCCTGGTTCTCCTCCTGTGGTGGGCCCAGGAAGGGACTAGCAACCTGTCCGCTCTCAAGTCAGTGAGAATGCACTCACAGCTCTAGTTCTGTGGACTTCCCTTCTGGCTTGCCACTGAAGTGTGAAGTGTTCTGAGAGCAAGGCCAGGAAGGGTCAGGAAGAGCCTCTGACACTCACAGTTAAGGAAGGATAATTTAATAGTCTTAGGAACAGTCATTATTCTATTTTCTCTGACAAAACCAGTCCAGGTATGAAAAACCAGCCACAGTCGGGCGCGGTGGCTCACACCTGTAATCCAGCACTTTGGGAGGGTGAGGTGGGTGGATCACTCGAGGTCAGCAGTTTGAGACCAACCTGGCCAAAATGGTGAAACCCCGTCTCTACTAAAAATAATTACAAAAATCAGCTGGGCATGGTGGCGCATGCCTGTAATCCCAGCTACTCAGGAGGCTGAGGCATGAGAATTGCTTAAACCCAGGAGGCAGAGGTTGCTGTGAGCTGAAATCATGTCACTGCCCTCCAGCCTGGGTGATACAGTGAGACTCCGTCTCAAAAAAAAAAAAAAAGAAAAACCAGCCACAAAGATTGTGAACTGGACACTATTCTCTGGCTCCCTTCTCCCAGCTTGTAGAGCCCACCTCAACCCTAGGGAGTGTCCCATGTAAGAACATGGTTCTCCAGTCTGGCCACAACCTCCTGCCCTCCTGCCATGGTTCCAGGCCCAGATGGCTTATCTGTGCTAGTTAGGAAAAGGCACTGCATGTTCTGGGCAGGCCAAGCCCACACCAGGGCACAATCAACCTCATCAGTCAAGGCAGCCCTCCCAGCTCCTGCAGTGATGGCAGCCACTAGGTGCCATTGATGTGGAAGCCTGCAGGGCTACCCTGACCTCGATGGAGCTTCTGGCCATCACAGCCTGGGCCACTGAGGCCACCAAGCCTTCTCACTCCTCAGTAGAGATGTTACTCAAGCATATCTTTTTTTTTTTTTTTTGAGACAGAGTCTTGCTCTGTCACCCAGGCTGGAGTGCAGTGGCACAACCTCGGCTCACTGCAACCTCTGTCTCCCAGGTTCAAGCACTTCTCCCACCTCAGCCTCCTGAGTAGCTGGGATTACAGGCACCTGCCACCATGCCCAGCTAATTTTTGTATTTTTAGTAGAGACAGAGTTTCACTATGTTGGTCAGGCTGGTCTCAAACTCCTGACCCCAGGCAATCCACTCGCCTCGGCCTCCCAAAGTGCTGGGATTTGCAGGCGTGAGCCACCGTGCCTGGCCCTTTTTTTAAAGACAGGGTCTCCTGTCATCCAGCCTTGCCCTCCCAGGCTGAAATGATCCTCCCATCTCAGCCTCCCCAGTAGGTGGGACTACAGACATGCACCACCATGCATGGCTAATTTTTTTTTTTTTTTTGAGACAGAGTCTCGCTCAGTTGCCCAGGCTGGAGTGCAGTGGCTCGATCTCCGCTCACTGCAAGCTCCGTCTCCTGGGTTCACACCATTCTCCTGCCTCAGCCTCCTGAGTAGCTGGGACTACAGGTGCCCATCACCACGCCCAGCTAATTATTTTGTATTTTTTTTTAGTAGAGACGGGGTTTCACCATGTTAGCCAGGATGGTCGTGATCTCCTGACCTCATGATCCACCCTTCTCGGCCTCCCAAGGTGCTGGGATTACACATGCATGGCTAATTTTTAAAAAAATTTTTTGTAGAGATGGGGTCTCCCTGTGTTGACCAGGCTGGTCTCGAACTCCTGGACTCAAGCGATCCACCCACCTTGGCCTCCCAAAGTGCTGGGATTACAAGCGTGAACCACTGCGCCTGGCATCAAGTTCGTCATCTTGTTTTTATTTCCTCTATGATTCAGTCTTCTCGCTCTGGGAGCTGGGCCACAGGATAGCCTGGGAAATAGACACTTTCTGGCCTCAAGAGTTGAATCTTCTCTCTGTCCTTGGCCTATTGTTCTAGAACCTGAGAGAGTGTGACTCTCTCATTCCTTAGGGCTAATTCTCTGCCCAAAGGCTTTTGAACTCTCCATGCAGCTCCATGCAGGTAAAGGGCTCTATGCAGGTAAAGGAAGCCCTTTGATAGACCTGAGCCCCGATGGAAACACAGCCTCATTTTAAACTGGACTGTAAATAAACAGTCATCCTCGACATCTCAAGATGCTTTCGTCTAATTGCCCTTCCATGCGTGAATGCCCACCTTTGGGGCCTCTGGTGAACCCTTCACTCATAGGTCCTCCTGGGGAATCCATTTCATTTTTTACATTGCTTTCATTGATGAAAAGTTCATTCCACAGATCCGTTCCAAAGTCCCAGATCCGGCCCTCAATTCTGGGGACAAGCCAGACCCGGTCTCTGCTCACAAGGAGCTTAAATTTAAGCAGGAATGGAAGGCGGAGAGATCTCAGGGAGCATATAAATTATGATGAGAAGGTCGGGTGCGGTGGCTGCCCCCTGCAATCCCAGCACTTTGGGAGGCCAAGGCGGGAGGATGGCTTGAGCCCAGGAGTTGGCAATCAGCCCAGGCAACATAGGGAGACCCTATCTCTATAAAAAATAAAAATAAATTAGCCAGGCATAGTGGCACACACCCAATGGTCCCAGCCCCACGAGAGGCTGAGGTGGGAGGATGGCTTGAGCCCAGGAGGTCAAGGCTGCAGTGAGCTGTGATTATATTACTGCACACCAGCCTGGGCAACAGAGTGAGACCCTGTCTCAACAAACGAACAAACAAACAAGCAAACAAAAAAGCACAATGGACATTGATTGTCTCACAGTTCTGGAGGCTAGAAGTCTGAGTGCAGGGTGTGGGCAATGTTGATTCTGGCTTGGGTCTCTGGGGGAGAATCTGTTCCAGAGCTCTCTCCTGGTTCCTGGTGATGGCCAGTGATCCTAGGCGTCCCTAGGCTGTAGGTGCGTCACCCCAGTCTCTGCCTCCATCTTCACATGGCCATCTTCTCTCTGTGTGCCTCTCTCTGAGTCTCCACATGGGATTTTCCTCTCTGTATCTTCTCTTCTTTTTTTTTTTGAGACAGAGTCTCCCTCTGTTGCCCAGGCCAGAGTGCAGTGGCATGATCTCGGCTCACTGCAACCTCCGCCTCCCATGTTCAAGCAATTCTCCCACCTCAGCCTCCCAAGTAGCTGGGATTACAGGCGTGCACCACCACACCTGTAATTTTTGTATTTTAGTAGAGACGGGGTTTCACCATGTTGGCCAGGTTGGTCTCGAACTACTGACCTCAGGTGATCTGCCCACCTCAGCCTCCCAAAGTGCTGGGATAACAGGTATGAGCCACCATGCCCGGCCCTTCTCCTCTTCTTATAAGAACATCAGTGGCGTGGGATTAAGGGTCTACCTTCTTCCAATATGACCTGGTCTTAACTACATCTGCAATGACACTATTTCCAAGTAGGTTGCGTTCTGAGGTGCTGGGGGTTAGGACTTCAACATACATCTTTTTTTCTGGGGACTAAATTCAATTCATAGTACTTGGTAAGTTTAAACTCTTTCTTCTCTTCTAAAATAGATATAACGAAAGTATCTCCCCCCTAACATGAACATTAAATTAAGTAATAAACATCTAGTGTTTAGTCTTTTGAATAAACATTCAAAAAGACGGCCACTACCATGACCAATGTTAATAACTGGCCAACCTGCTATGAATTTTTCCAGAAAGGGACACATCCCATTCCTTTTTCTTTTTAAGCCCCAGTGTCTAGTCTAGCACAAAATTAGAGCTCAAACTTTTTTGCAGTATGAATGAGCAGTTGCCATTTTGAGAGCAATGTTAAGATCAAAGGAGTGACTTTGAAGGTCTATTTCCTTCAAAAAAAAAAAAACATATATATATATATATATATATGGAGAAGAATTAGGCGATGGTCCAGATTTTCCTGGATAACTTTTTTTTTCTTTTTTTTTTTTTGAGACAGGATCTCACTCTCTCACCCAGGCTGGAGTACAGTGGTGCAATCTCAGCTCACCACAGCCTTGACAATCCTAGGTTCAAGTGATCTTTCCACCTCAGCCTCCTGAGTAGCTGGGAGTACAGGTGCGCACCACCATGCCTAGCTAATTTTTGTATTTTTTGTAGAGACAAGGTTTCACCATGTTGCCCAGGCTGGTCTCAATGTAAAATGTTTTACATTGATCCACGTCACTAATCAATATCTAGATAGGCTTTTTTTTTGCCTTCGCTAATCTGTTGCTTCATTAAGCCTTAAGCTGCATATTTCAACCCATGCACATATAACTTCCCAGTTAGATCCCAAACTCCTAAAAGTCCAGTATCGTACCTTTCACTCATTCTCTATCCTCCAGGATCCCAGCCAAGTGTGATGCTCATCCTGGTCCCTAGAATCACTTGTGGCAGAATCCACCATCTTAGTGTTCATCATTATTTCAATCAGCAAACATTTGTGGAGCTTCTTCTAGGAGCTGGGAGTCAGCAATGAACATGAGGCAACATCCTCCCTCTGCTGCAAGAGAAGGGGCAGGAAAGGACAGGCTTGGGTGCTCCCATTATCACAGCATGGCAACAACTCCAAGAGCGATATGAAAAACATGCCCCAGGGAAGAGAATTCAGAAAATAAGCTTCACAACTGAGGTTCTTTTGAGCTGAACAGTGGGGGGAAAAAAGAGGATTCAGCCAGGCACCGTAGCTCACACCTGTAATCCCAGCACTTTGGGAGGCAAAGGCAGGTGTATCACCTGAGGTCAGGGGTTCGAAACCAACCTGGCCAACATGGTGAAACCTCATCTCTACTAAAAATACAAAATTAGCCAGGCGTGGTGGCACACACCTGTAATCCCAGCTGCTCGGGAGGCTGAGGCAGGAGAATCACTTGAACCTGGGAGGTGGAGGTTGCAGTGAGCCAAAATCGTGCCATTGCATGCCAGTCTGGGCAACAAAAGCAAAACTCCGTCTCAAAAAAATAAAAGAGGATTCTTGGAGAGAAAGGGGTTTTCACTTGAAGGGTACAGTTCTTCAAATAGCTATGGCAGAGTTGACTGCCTAGCTTTGAAGCCCAGCTCTACCTGTATGATTTTGGATAAGTGATTTAACCCACTAAACTCACTAGGCCTCAGTTTTCTTTCTTTCTTTCTTTCTTTCTTTCTTTCTTTCTTTCTTTCTTTCTTTCTTTCTTTCTTTTTCTTTTTTTTTTTTTTTGAGACAGGATCTCACTCTTCTCACCCAGGCTGGAGTACAGTGGTGCAATCTTAGCTCACTGCAACCTCCACCTCCCGGGTTCAAGTGATTCTCCTATCTCAGCCTCCCAAGTAGCTGGGATTACAGGCACCCGCCACCACACCCAGCTAGTTTTGTATTTTCAGTAGAGACAGGGTTTCACCATGTTGGCCAGGCTGGTCTCAAACTCCTGACCTCAGGCGATCCTCCCACCTCAGTCTCCCAAAGTGCTGGGATTACAGGCGTGAGCCACTGTGCCTGGCCTAGGCCTCAGTTTTCTTATCTGTAAAATAGGAAGACAATTGTTTGTTCCTCATAGGTTTGTCATGAAAACTAAATAACGCTTGCAACGCACTTCAAATAGGGCCCAGCACAAAGTAAGTGTTCTGCAAACAGTAGCTATTGATCATTAGACTTGCCCGACACAGGAAGAAGAAAACATATTCAAAGACTGAATTCAAGGTTAGAAACCTGGTCAGGCAGTTCCAGGCTCGACAACTGTCTGTAGCGTAGAGGTGCCTCATTCTATGTATTCAGTGTGTTACAGTTTCCAAGTAAAGCCTTGGGTGGATTTTTGGTTTCAAAAGTGGAGAGAAGGCCGGGTGCAGTGGCTCATGCCTGTAATTCTAGCACTTTGGGAGGCCAAGGTGGGTGGATCACGAGGTCAGGAGTTCAAGACCAGCCTAGACAACATGGTTGAAACCCCATCTCTACTAAAAATACAAAAGTTAGCCCGGCATGGTGGCAGTGAGCTGAGATCATGCCACTGCACTCCAGCCTGGGCAAAAGAGCGAGACTCCGTCAAAAACGAGCAAACAAACAAACAAAAGTGGAAAGAAAAATGCTGAGGGGTCACGAGAGGAAAATGAGGAGGCTGGGCTTGGGGGTGGTCCTGTGGAATGGAGACTTGGGGTTTTGGAACCTGCAGGGCACTGGGCGGAAGCAGGGAAGTCGCAGAGCTTTATTTCTGTGGACAAAGCAACAGGCTGCAACTGTGGTACTTAACAGTTGCACAGACAATGCAGTCTTTTGATCCTTCCTGTAAGAGGTGGTTGCTGCCGGAGAAGCAGCCTCTTCAGTCATCAGATGATAGAAGGGTGTGAGCTGTGCTCTTTGGTCTAGCGGTCCCCAGGGAGGCATGTTAATAAATGTTAGATCCAGGCTTTCTTCTAAAAAGTCCAAATTAGTTTTCCTAGTGAGTTTGCAGCAGTCTAGATAAAATAACTTGGATGTAAGAACTCGAACTCCTTGACAAAGCAACTGTTAGATACTTCCTAAAATGTGAGGACGCTGCAGAAACTCACGCTCTTGATGGTTCCTATGGAAAGGATGGGGACCTCCCCCTTCAGAATAAACTAGGTACACTCACTCCCACCTTGGGACAGAGGAACAAACCACGGGATCTTGACCCTCGCACCCTGCCTCATCCATCACTATGTCTATGTCTAGGGGTTCATAAAAAACAGCACATGACAGGCCACAGTGGCTCACCCGGGTAATCCCAGCACTTTGGGAGGCCGAGGTGGACAGATCACTTGAGGTCAGGAGTTCGAGACCAGCCTGACCAACATGGTGAAACCCCATCTCTACTAAAAATACAAAAATGAGCCAGGCATGGTGGCAGGTGCCTGTAATCCCAGCTACTCAGGAGGCTGAGGCATAAGAATCTCTTGAACATGGGAGACGGAGGTTGCAGTGAACCGAGATCGTACCACTGCACTCCAGCCTAGGTGACAGAGCAAGACTCAGTCTAAACAAAAAGGAAAAAGCAATAAAAACAGCACATGGCCGGGCGTGGATGCTCACACCTGTAATACCAGCATTTTGTTCAAGACCAGCCTGGGTGACATAGTGAGACCCCTGATGATGGTAAATAAAGCATAAAAACATGACTTTTTGCTTTTTAAATTACCTTTGGAGGAAGATTCATTCATCCAGCCAGTATTTATTGAGCACCTACTAAGGCCAGGCACATGCTAGGCCTCAGGTGTAGGTGTGAAGACAGAGACATGGCCCGAGGTCTCATGGAGCTCTGAGTGTCGTGGAGGGGGCAGTACTGCACACACAAAGAACCAAATCTGGAAATGCATGACCCACACGTGCTGTGAGGGAAGAGAAGGCAAGAGCTCTGTAAGCTCTCGGATTCTCTAAGTTCATGATTTTACTCAAGCCCCTAAGCTATTTGATTGTCAGGATTCTTTCCAACTTGAGAATTCTGGAATTCCCACATGGCCCCTGCAAACAGCATTTGCGATGGTGGGGGGCAGGGGAGGCTCTGCTTTTTCGTCAGCTCCTCAGCCGCCTCTGCTCCAGGCTGGTCCTCTTGGAGCTGTGGGCCCTGACTGTCTTCCTGCCGCAGAGAGGCCGATCTTACAACCCCAGCTGTGCACTTTGAGTGTGCAACTGTCATCAAGTGCCCCGGTGACATGGGGAAGAACAATGCTTCAGAGGTTAATGAAGTCATGGGAACCTCCACTGCTAAATCCCAGCCTCGTGTGTTGCTGTCATTTGTCCGTATCTGGGCCACTTGTTTGCTCTAGCGGGTCTGCAGCCCTGTCCCCATGGGTCCTGGCAGGGCTGCTCCAGTTTTACTGTTGAGAGAAGGACACCTGAGCTACATACTTTTCCCGGAGACCTGAGGCCCTGAAAACGGAGTGTGTACTCTAAGAGCAGAAAGTATGATGGACTTGCATAAATCCGGGCTTGATTTGTGAATCAAACTTCCAGGAAAGGTGAATAGAATCCCGTAATAATTACTAACCAATCAAGACAATTAGGAAGCCTTCTGCACATGTGAAAGGGAGAGGTGGGGAACAATAGTGCGAAAACGCTGGAGTGGGGTGGCAATTCTGATTTGTGCAGATGGAGGAAGTAGCCCACAGCTGAGCAGGATCCTGTGATTACACGGAAAGTTGTGTGTGTGTTTGCCTTCAATGCAGGGCATGGTCTCCTGTGTATTGTATAATAAAGGCTCAGTTAACTGGAAATTGTAAGGCTAAGTACGTGTCCGTTCTTATTCAAGTTGGGTGGGCCTCTTTGGGGATCCAGGGTGGTGTGGATTTGAAAAGTTTACAAATGACTTTGGTTAAGTGATTACAAGAGGTTGTGTGGGTGAACCAATCATTTCCTTGAATTTTTTTTTTTTTTTTTTTGAGACAGAGTCTCGCTCTGTTACCCAGGCTGGAGTGCAGTGGCACGATCTCGGCTCACTGCAAGCTCCGCCTCCCAGGTTCACACCATTCTCCTGCCTCAGCCTCCTGAGTAGCTGGGACTACAGGCGCTTGTCACCATGCCTGGCTAATTTTTTGTATTTTTAGTAGAGACGGGGTTTCACGGTGTTAGCCAGGATGGTCTCTATCTCCTGACCTCGTGATCTGCCTGCTTCAGCCTTCCAAAGTGCTGGGATTACAGGCGTGAGCCACCACGCCCGGCCATTTCCTTGACTTTTTAAAAATGCTAGTAGTCAGCTGGGCCTGATGGCTCACCCCTGTAATCCCAAGACTTTGGGAGGCAGAGGCAGGCAGATCACCTGAGGTCAGGTGTTCGAGACCAGCCTGGCCAACATGGTGAAATCCCGTCTCTACTAAAAATACAAAAATTAGCTGGGTGTGGTGGCACACACCTGTAATCCCAGCTACTAGGGAGACTGAAGCAGGAGAATTGCTTCAACCCGGGAGTAGACGTTGCAGTGAGCCAAGATTGCATCACTGCACTCCAGCCTGGGCAACAGACTGAGACCCTCCCTCTCAAAAACAAAACAAAACAAAAAAACACTAGTAGTCTGCTTCATCAGCATCATATATTTTAGATTGTTCCTAGGGGCAGATAGTTCATCTTTTCACCATGTTTATGGGACACAGAAGGCAAAGTTGTAATACAATGAATATCTCTTTGCAGCCATTTATTCACGCTCTGAATATCGTAGTAGTTTTGGGAGTCAGGCTGCCGGGTATGAACCCTGACTCCATAACTGTTAAGCTGTGTGGTTTTAGTCAAGTTACTTAATTTCCACAAAGGCCTCCAATTCCTTATCAGTAAAACAAGATTAATAACAGCACTTACCTCGTGGAGTTGTTGTGAAGATCCAATGGGCCCATCCATGTAAAACACGTAGCTCAGTGCTAGCACACACGGTAAGGATTGGTGGACTCCAGATAGCATTCACGTTGTTCTTATTACTGAATGCCAATATTGCAACTACTGAGCCCTCAACCTGGGCCAGATGCTGTGCTGAGAATGAAACGGACACAAACAAAGTGAGGTTTTTGCCCTCAAAGAAAGAACTTGAGGTCTGTCTGTGTGCATAACTAACGAAAGGTCTGTCCGTGTGCGTGACTAACAAAAGGCAGGCAAAATCAGACAGTGAATGAAAGCACCAGCACAAGGCAAAGGGAATCCAGAGGAGGAAGTGTTTCTCTCTGACCTGAGGGGCAGGGCTCAGGCCAGAATAGGCTAGGAGATCACTGGCAGGTGGGAGCAGGTTAAATCCGGCACAAAGAGCAGCATCTAAAGCATTCAAGAGTGAATGTGAGGCCAGGTGCGGTGGCTCACCCCTGTAATCCCAGCACTTTGGGAGGCTGAGGCGGGTAGATCACTTGAGGTCAGGAGTTTGAGACCAGCCTGACCAACATGGTGAAACCTTGTCTCTACTAAAAATACAAAAATTAGCCAGGTGTGGTTGCGGGTGCCTGTAATCCCAGCTACTTGGGAGGCTGAGGCAGGAGAATGGCTTGAACCCGGGAGACGGAGGTTGCAGCGAGCCGAGATTGTGACACTGCACTCCAGCCTGGGTGACAGAGCGAGATTCAATCTCAAAAAAAAAAAAAAAAGAAAGAAAGAGTGAAAGTGAGTGTCATAGTTGAATCTAAAGGGTTTTCTCCACCAGGCCCAGTGGCCCATGCCTGTAATCCCAGCACTTTGGGAGGCCGAGGCAGGCAGATCACCTAAGGTCGGGAGTTTGACACTAGCCTAACCAACATGGAGAAACCCCATCTCTATTAAAAATACAAAATTAGCCAGCCGTGGTGGCGCATCCCTGTAATCCCAGCTACTCAGGAGGCTGAGGCAGGAGAATCGCTTGAACCCAGGAGGCAGAGGTTGCAGTGAGCCGAGATCGAGCCATTGTTGGCCTGGGCAACAAGAGTGAAACTGTCTCAGAAAAAAGAGTTTTCTCCCAGGCAGTGGGAGAAGAGGTTGGAAAGGTTAGCGGGGGCCAGAATTAGGGAGTTTGGGCAGGTGCGGGATGAAATCCCATCTGACTTCGAGTCCACTTCTCTGGTGGCAGGTGAAGGGAAGGAAGGAGAGGAGACGGTGAGGATGCAAAAGTCAGGCACTGCCAAGGGTGTGAAGGAGAGCCAGGCACAGCTCTGTCCTCAAGCAGCCACAGCTCATCAGGGAAATTAGCTGCATACATGTCAACGTCAGGCAGCAGGGCCACATAACAAAGCCACATTGATATCGTCTCATCCCAAATCTCATATAGAAATGTAATCTCCAATGTTGGAGGTGGGGCCTAGGGGGAGCTGATTGGATCATGGGGGTGGATTTCTCATGAATGTCCTAGCACCATCCCTTTTGGTGCCGTCCTTGCAAAAATGAGTGAGTTCTTGTGAGATCTGGTCATTTATTATTTATTTATTTATTTATTTATTTTATTTTAAATTTTTTTTGAGAGGGAGTCTAGCTCTGTCACCCAGGCTGGAGTGCAGTGGCGCGATCTCGGCTCACTGCAAGCTCCGCCTCCCGGGTTCACGCCATTCTCCTGCCTCCGCCTCCCGAGTAGCCGGGACTACAGGTGCCCGCCACCACGCCTGGTTAATGTTTTTGTATTTTTAGTAGAGACGGGGTTTCACTGTGTTAGCCAGGTTTGTCTCTATCTCCTGACCTCGTGATCCGCCTGCCTCGGCCTCCCAAAGTGCTGGGATTACAGGCATGAGCCACCATGCCCGGCCGAGATCTGGTCATTTAAAAGTGTGTAGCACCTCCTCCCTCGCTGTCTTGCTCCTGGTTCTGGCCATGTGATGCACCTGCTTCCCTTTTGCCTTCCACCATGATTATAAGTTTCCTGAGGCCTCCCCAGAAGCTGATCAGACGTAGGCCCTATGCTTCCTGCACAGCCTGCAGAACCGTGAGCCAAATAAATCTTTCTTTTTTTTTTTTTTGGAAATGGAGTCTAGCTCTTGTCACCCAGGCTGGAGTGCAGTGGTGCGATCTCAGCTCACTGCAACCTCTGCCTCCCGGGTTCAAGAGATTCTCCTGCCTCAGCCTCTCAAGTAGCTGGGATTACAGGCGCACACCACCACGCCCAGCTAAGTTTTTGTATTTTTAGTAGAGATGGGTTTCACCATGTTTGCCAGGCTGGCCAGGCTGGTCTCAAACTCCTGAACTCAGTGATCCACCCGCCTCAGCCTCCCAAAGTGCTGGGATTACAGGCGTGAGCCACTGCACCAGGCTAAATCTCTTTCTTTATAAATTATCCAGCCTCAGGTACTTCTTTATAGCAATGTGTTAAAGCAAACTAAACATGGCCTGAGAAGGACTATATTTGAGTCCTTGTGGATAAACTGTAACCTAGCTTAACAGGCAGACAAAATTGAAAACCTAACTTAGGAGTATGTGCCTGTAACAGTAGCCAAGTCTTGGCCAATCCCAGCGGCCATACTTCAACCATTCATCTAATGTTGAGTGTACAAACTGTGTTCAAATAAGGCAAACACACCAAGCTGTAACCAATCCAGCTGTTCTGTACCTCGCCTCCAATTTCTATACGTCATTTCCCTTTTTTTGTCTATAAATCCTCTTCCACCACGTGACTGCACTAGAGTCTCTGTGAATCTGCTGTGATTCTGGGGGCTGCCCAATTTGCAAATCGGTCATTGCTCAATCAAACTCCTTTAAATTTAATTCAGCTGAAGTTTTTCTTTATCTATCTATCTATCTATCTATCTATCTATCTATCTATCTATATACATATATATATATATATATTTTTTTTTTTTGAGATGGAGTCTCACCCTGTCACCCAGGCTGGAGTGCAGTGGTGTGATCTCGGCTCACTGCAACCTCTGCCTCCTGGGTTCAAGCGATTCTCCTGCCTCAGCCTCCTCAGTAGCTGGGACTACAGGCACCTGCCACCACGCCCAGCTAATTTTTGTATTTTTTAGTAGAGATGGTGTTTCACCATATTGGCCAGGCTGGTCTTGAACTCCTGACCTCAAGTGATCTGCCCATCTCGGTCTCCCAGAGTGCTGGGATTACAGGCGTGAGCCACCACGCCCAGCCTGAAGTTTTTCTTCTAGCAAATGTGAAAACAGAGTAATACACATTTCTATCTTCGGGTTATCCTAGGGAAATAAGGTTTTCATCTGCTCATCTGTAAAATGGGATCATGGTAATATATTTACCTTTCCAGATGTATGAAGATTAAATTATGTTAGGAATGTAAAGCGTTCAGCACCATGCCCAGAATACAGGCAAAATTCCATGCAGTACTATCCAAGTGCTGATTCTGGTCCTGGTCAGCCTCCGGGGTGGAGGAAGCTAACTGCATGCTGTTTTTATTGTACTGGGCAGGGGAATGGGAGGAATAGTCAGGGGCTGAGTGAGAATGGAAAGCAGCTTGGGGTGTATGGAGAAGACTGAGCCGAAGCTGATGCCTTGGGCTTCTTTTAGTTCAACATAAGTAGTAATTGACTCGTAACTCCCTCCCCCAGTTTCATCTCCATGGCACATTTTCTTTTGCACCTGCCAGGGGACCTGTGCTTTTTTGAGTTGTAAGACCAACAGCTGTGGGACACAGATGCATGCAATGGGCTGTTAGAACAGGAGCTAGAGTTCTAAGCTGGTTCTGGAACCTGCGCTGTTGACGAGTTGAGTGAATGAGGACTTCACCTCCACTCTCTAGGACTCTGCTTTCTTCCCACATTGGGTCAAGTGCTCTCTAACATCTGCTGAGCCTTCAGCTCTCTCTTAGGTGCTAGGCCTGGTCCCAAGGGCCCACGTTCAGGTAACTCCATTACATCCGAGCAGGAGGGACAACCCCAATTTTGCAACCCACAGCTCTGGCCTGCAATGGATGCAGCCATTGTGGAAAACCCTCTCTTCCTGCTGCGCCAGGGCATGACCTGCTCTTCCAACCCACGGCGAAGAGCGTCCAAAAGAAAAACGCCTGCTGAAGAGCAGGCTCCTCACCGGAGTGAATGCAGCAGGAATCACATGGGCCTTGGAGCTCTGCTGTGGACACAAAGTTTTACTTTTTAAATGTATTTATTGTGCACCAGCTAGGCATTGTGCATCCCCCCCACACACAAATTCTCACAGAGATTCTGCAAAATTGATGTTACTTATTTCATAGAGGGGAAGACTCGGGCTCACAGAAGTTAAGTAAAAGCTCAAAATCACATGGCTACTAAGTCACAAAGCAAAGATGAAGTTCTGGGCTGACTCATTCCAAGGCTATTCCTATCAACCATGACAAACTGCATCTCCATCCATACCTTCAGTGACGAAGTTCCCTTGGCCTGAGATTAGTCCTTCTATCTCTGCTTCTCACCCCATCTCTTGTAACTTCTCCCTTTCAATTATTGTCTTCCTCTTGGCCCACAGTCATGTACACATTTCCAATTTTTTTAAATTTAATTTTATTTTTTGAGACAGGGTCTCACTCTGTAACCCAGGTGGAGGTGGCACGATCTTGGTTCACTGCAACCTCTGCCTCCCAGGCTCAAGCGATCCTCTCATCTCAGCCTCCTGAATAGCTGGGACTACAGGCATGTGCCACCACACCTGGCTAATTTTTACATTTTGTGCAGAGATGAAGTTTCACCACATTGGCCAGGCTGGTCTCGAACTCCTGGGCTCAAACGATCTGCCCACCTCAGTCTCCCAAAGTGCTGGGATTACAGCCATGAGCCACCACGCCCGGCCTACACATTTCCAATTTTTAAATGAACCAATGCACACAAACTCTTCCCTTGACTCCATGTTCTCCCTCCTTCCCTTCCCATCCACACTCGCTGCCTCCATTTCCTCATCTCCATTCTCTCCCTTCAGTTACTGCACTTCACTAAAATCACCCTGGGTAAGATCCCCAAGGACCCTTTCATTGTAAACTTCAGCTGGTAGATTTCAGTCCTTGGAGCAGGTGACACTTTTGACCACCTTGTTCTTATTAAAACATTCTCCTCCCTCCGTTTCTATGGGTCCCTTCTCTTTTGGTTGACTTTCTATTCAGCAATACATTCTCCATATCCTCTTCCTATGCCCATTCCTTAATGTTGATATTTTGAAGGGCTCTGCCTTCAGCCTCTTCTCTTCTCCACTGCAGAATATTCCTGGCCCATCATCTACAGTCATGGCTACAACCCCATCTGCTTGGTTATGGTTCTCGGATCTCCATTTCCAGTCCTGACTTTAGGTCTGAGCTTTACTGTCACAGATAAAACTTCTAGGGTGGGTGTGGTGGCTCACATCTGTAATCTTAGCACTTTGAGAGGTCAAGCTGGGAGGATCACATGAGGCCAGGAGTTTGAGAGCAGCCTGGGTAACACAGCAAGACCCCATCTCTATTTATTGGGGGGCGGGGGGGAAGGAAAGAACTTCTAGACATAGCCCCTGAGTCTTGTCTTGGATATAACTTTGAGATGTGGTCATGGGTCTTCAGAGTCAACCTGTTTGAAACTGGACCCATCATTTTCTTCTCCCACATTTGCTTCTCTTCTTATATTCTCCATCACAGTTTGTTTCATTTACTCTCCCTCCAACCATGGCACTCAGATAATTCATGCAGTCCTGCCGTGTCTTTCTGCCCTCAACACACCACACACACCAGCCCACACACCATGTCCCCATCCAATGGGCCACTGAGTCCTGTATCAATGCTACCCCTCAGACACCTCTTGCATCAGGCCCTTCTCTTCTTTCCCACCACCACTGTCTGAGGGCAGGCCCTTTAGGGACAGTTGCACTAGCCTCCCCAAATGCTGTGCTCACCTTCCGCCTCACATCAGCCTGCCCTTGCTAAGCCCACTGCGGCTTTCTCTCATGAAAAGCTGGTCTTGGGGCCAGGCACGGTGGCTCACACCTGTAATCCCAGCACTTTGGGAAGCTGAGGCGGGCAGATCATGAGGTCAGGAGTTCAAGACCAGCCTGGCCTACATGGCGAAACCCCATCTCTGCTAAAAATACAAAAAAAAATTAGCCAGGCTTGGTGGCATGCGCCGGTGATCCCAGCTACTCGGGAGGCTGAGACAGGAGAATTGCTTGAACCTGGGAGGTGGAGGTTGCAGTGAGCCGAGATCGCGCCACTGCACTCCAGCCTGGTTGACAAAGCAAGGCTCTGTCTCAGAAAAAAAAACAAAAAAAAAAAAGAAAAGCTGGTCTTGCCCGTTCAAGCTAAAACCCTGTAGTGACTCTTCATTGTCTAAGCGTCTCACCTTTACCCACCTTCCAATCCTCATCTCCCATCATCCTGACAAATCCTATGCTCTGCTGAGGGCGAAATACCTGTAGATCTTGTTCCATCTGCCCAAAAAGCCTTCCCTTTCACTCTTCCCTTGGTGAAGTCCTTCAACTCCTCCAAAACCCAGTTCCCTCCTCTGGAGCCTTCCTTGACCTCCCCGGGTGGGGCTGAGCCATCCTGCTCTCCGCTTCCCACATGCCCACCCGTGCCATGTGTTACAGCCCCTACTACATGTTAGTCATGTTTGTGTACAGGGTTGCATTCTCAGCACAGTGCACCGAACCTAGCACACTCTGCCTATTAGGGTAGATATTATTGAATAATAATACATAAAGGCATGACTTTGGGGTGAGCTGCCCAACTTGAGTCCCAGCTGATATTCATAGAACCGCACCACTTGGCAGTCAGGGGTAACCCAACCTTGGAGAGAAAATCCAACCACTTCTTCATCTATGCAGCATTTGAATGTCATGCACCTGTTTGGGGTCAGACACCACCATACTGGGCACTGGATTCCAAGATGAATTAAACACTGCTTCGACCCACAAGGAACTCAGAGGTCAGTGATTAGAAAGCCCAGGTAAGAGCATCCCTGGCTCCTTATGTGTAGGAGCTGTGGCTCCAGGATGGATACATGTGTGCACTCATCTTTTCTTGGGGGATGTGGTAGCGGACGCTTTGTCTCACCCCTAGATGTTGTGACTGGGGATCAGTATTACTTAGAATGAGGGTCAAGAGGACTTACTGAGTCTGCACATAAGGATGCACTTAGGTAAACAACATCACCAAATTGCACCTGGGGCAGAGAATTATGGCCCCTAACATTGACAGCCAGGGGCCATGGAAAAATGTGTAACCTTGTGCCATGGGTTCCTGCGTAATATCTTCCAGGTGACATTCATATTTGCATTCAAGATCTGTATCTATAGATCTGTATCTGTATCTATATGTATGATGTTGTAACTGAGGGAAAGGCCCAAACTGGGCTTGCTCTGTTGATAACAAAATGTCACGTTGCTCCAGCATAAGCAATAGAAAATAGTTGGAACTCTAACAACAACCCCAAAACAATGAATTCTCCCTTGGAACTAAAAAGACTAAGAGACTTGATGGGAATCCGAATGCCAGAACTCTCTCAGAAGCCAGACGTACAATGGCTTGGAAGATGTGGGGCTAAAAGTCCGCCTCAACATACCTTTCTGTAAATGGTCAAATTTAAAGCCCTCCAATCAGATTCTGCCAAGCCAACATTCCTAAATCTTTTCATTGCCTTCTGATCCCATAAATTTACCCCAGGCCTCAAACTGGGGAGACATTTTTTCTTTTTTTTTTTTTTGAGATGGAGTCTTGCTCTGTTGCCCAGGCTGCAGTGCAGTGGTGCAATCTCAGCTCACTGCAGCCTACACCTCCCAGGTTCAAGCAATTCTCCTGCCTCAGCCTCCTGAGTAGCTAGGATTACAGACGCATGCCACCAAGCCTGGCTAATTTTTGTATTTTTAGTAGAGATGGGGTTTCACCATGTTGGCCAGGCTGGTCTCAAACTCCTGACTTCAGGTGATCTGCCCACCTCAGCCTCCCAAAGTTGTGGGATTACAGGCATGAGTCACCGTGCCTGGCTGGGGAGACAGATTTGAATTCACTCCTGTCTCTTTGCTGACCAGTTTTGCAAATAAAGCCGCTGCTTTTTCCAAAGCTAGTGCTTCATAGTATTGGCTTCTGTGCCCATGGGGCAGCAAAACCATTTGCTTGATAAAAATGCGGTGGCTCTCGCCAGTAATCCCAGCACTTTGGGAGGCCGAGGCGGGCAGATCACCTGAGGTCGGGAGTTCGAGACCAGCCTGACCAACATGGAGAAACCCCGTCTCTACTAAAAATACAAAATTAGCCGGGTGTGGTGGCAGATGCCTGTAATCCTAGCTACTTAGGAGGCTGAGGCAGGAGAATTGCTTGAACCTGGGAGGCGGAGGCAGCCTGGGCAACAGGAGCAAGACTCTGTCTCAAAAAAAAAAAAAAAAAAAAAAAAGTGATGTGCTGTTCTTGGTGGTCTGAGTAAGTAAAGGATGAATAAGAAAGACGCCATGTTAAAGAAGCTGAATGTCTGCTAGGAGAGCTAACGCATGTATACAAATAACCAAAATGCAACAAATCCCAGAAGGAATGATCCTGCAGAAACTTCCTGATGAAAAGCTTCAAAAACAGCACCCATAAAGTGCTTTGGGTTTCAAATATAAGCTCAGGTGTTCTGGGCTGGCGAGCTTGCTAGTTAGAGCACAATGCTAAATGGGGCCAAAGGCACAGGCCAGTTACCTGGGGGTAGCTCATCTCAGTGGCCACCAGTGACCTCAAAACCCAGCCAGCCTCATTCCAGAAAGCCACGTTGTGCATAAGTTGAGGGGGGCTGTTGGATACTGGGGAGAGTCCAGCACAATTGTAACTTTTCTATGTCTTCTCTAAGCCCAGATGTCTGCTCTCATTTTAATTTTGCATGATCTTGTAATGGCACCAATCCCAAATCATGTGAATTTAAAATGCCCTAAGCTTCAAAATATACGCTCTCTCTTTATAAAGTTAACATGATTGCTTCTGAGTTTTTAGATAAATTGAATGATTGAGTGCAAAAACACTGTTTAAATCAGAGTGCGATACACATTTTTTAAAATCCCAGTGTAAAAAAAAATATATATATATATTGCTTGGTTTCAGAAGAGAAACAAGCCTTTTGTTGACATGATATCAGGGGAACAGTACTAAAAAAACATCAAAGATAGTCACACACACAAATATCCCAGAGTATTCATAGGGAACACCCTCTGTCTTTCCCATATGCGGTGTGGAAAACGGGGCCAGAACGATCCTGCAGAAACTTCCTGATGAAAACAACCCCGTCAGCCCTTCCCAAGCTTGAGGCCGGCTGCCACGGAACCCCAGCCAGGGCTCCAGCGCTTCCTTCGCGGCTCCAGGGACGCAGTGCCCTGCAGGCATCGCCTGCTTGCAGCCGACTTGAGGGGCTCACGGAGTCCCCTGTGCCCGGGACGCGGCTAGATCCTGGAGAAAACCCCTCCACCCAGCCCCATCTGGCAGATAGACTCCAGATTAGCAACCCCGGAGTCACGTGAGCCAAATTTACGCCGTACCCGGGTTCCAAGGTTAATCACCCCTCGCCCCCTCCGCTTCCCGGCTCCGCCGATGTGCCTCCTCTTCAGGCGGGCCTGGGGTCTGCGTCTCCCAGGCAGCTTTGGGGGTGGAAAAAAGGAGGGGAGCGGGGGAGGGGAAAGGAACTTCTTTGTTCTTTCACCGGATAAACTCAGTTTACGGAATTCTCCAACACCCACTCCCACCCCCAGTGTGCAAATATCTCTGATCCTCACTTGGAGGGCGAACTACTTCATTCATTGAGACTTTTGTGTTCCTGGCCCTAGGCTAAGTATTATCTTGTAAGATCACATTTAAGTTTCCCAACAACCCCCTGAGGTAGGTGTTATTATCCCTATTTTACAGATAAAAAGAAATGAGGTACTGAGAATAGCTTGCCTAGGGTTTTACAATTAATAGATTGGCACAGTTAGGTTTTGAGCCCCAGCCTGTTTTGACCCAAAAGCCCTAATCTTTATAGCTGTTCTTTATATAGCAGGAATAAGAGTAATAACCACTCCTTGCAGAGCAATTACTATATTCCAGGCACGGTGCACGGTATTTCTCCAAACTTCTCTCAGAGGCAGGTTTGCCACTTACCCGTTATGTGGCCTCAGGAAGTTTCTTAACCTCTTTTTGACTCAATTGCCCTGTCTGCAAAATGAGGCTAAAAATATGGTTGTCATGAAGAGTAAAAGAATTAATATATGTAAAGCCTGGCACACATTCATCCCTGAAATTGTTGTTGCTGTTGTTTTTTAACCATCATCTCCATTTCACAGGTAAGGAACCTACCCTTGGAGAGGTGAAGGAGTGAATTAGTCCAGCTTGCCCGCTGCACACCTAGCTGCAGAGAGACCCCGCTCAGAAGCCGTGCGGGATGGGGGCCCCACAGGCAGGTGAATTGCACTTGGCAGGTGGGAGATGAGCTTCTCCGGGGTCGCTGCAGAACGCGCAGCAGCCCGGGAGGCCGTGAATGGTTATCAGTTACCACGCAAGGCTGGGGGTCCGCCCGCTCCGGATTTGCTCGTAGTGCGAGGGCCCCGGCGGTGTGCTGGGGGATCCCGCCGGGCCCACTTAGAAGCACTCGGGGGGACACACCTGTTCGGGACACCTGTGGACGGGGCCCGGCTGCACCGCAGGAGCCCCCCGCCCTGGCCCCCGCGCACACACAGCCCCCCAAGGCGCGGAGGCCGCCGGCCCTCCCGCCCGTCGCGCTCCAGGGCGGAGTTTCCTCCTCTGCTCATTGTTCACGGCCCAGCGCCCGCCCAGCCCCGGCCCCGGCCCCGCCCGGCCCGGCCGCCGCCGCTGGCGGGCTCCTGGGGGAGGGGGAGGGGCGGGGGCGGGGGCGGGGGCCGGCGCTGACGGGACGGGCCAGGAGTAGCCGCAGCCGCCAGTGGGGCCGCAGCCGCGCAGACGCCGCCCAGGACGCAGCCGCCGCCGCCGCCGCTCCTCTGCCACTGGCTCTGCGCCCCAGCCCGGCTCTGCTGCAGCGGCAGGGAGGAAGAGCCGCCGCAGCGCGACTCGGGAGCCCCGGGCCACAGCCTGGCCTCCGGAGCCACCCACAGGCCTCCCCGGGCGGCGCCCACGCTCCTACCGCCCGGACGCGCGGATCCTCCGCCGGCACCGCAGCCACCTGCTCCCGGCCCAGAGGCGACGACACGATGCGCTGCGCGCTGGCGCTCTCGGCGCTGCTGCTACTGTTGTCAACGCCGCCGCTGCTGCCGTCGTCGCCGTCGCCGTCGCCGTCGCCCTCCCAGAATGGTGAGTGGCCGGCCTGGGTTCCGCCGGGACTCCCACCGTGCCCATGTGCCCCCTGCCCGGCCGAGCTGCAGGGAAGCCCGGCGCGCCGCGTGGTCCGACCCCGAGCAGCCCTATCACCGCCGGGGTCACACACGGAGCCCTGACCTTGCACCATCCACGCCCCCTCCAAACTCCGCAGCGCGGCAGGTGCAGGGCCTGGGCGTAGATTCGTCTCCACTCTCCACTCGGGAGGAGTGGGCGGTGGATTCTGCCCGGGCAAACAGGGGCGCGCCGGTGCTAAGTGGGTTTGCATGGGAAAGAAAAGGGAGACCGCACCGCGAGGCTCCACGCTTCTGCGGGACTCTCGGGATCTGATTACACCTTTCCTTCGTGTTGGAGGGAATGAGGGGCTGTAGTGTGTATTCGTTAATTCCAGGCAAAGAGGCAGGCGAGAGGCTCCCGAGGAAGTCCCTGAAGCAGGTGACAAGCCTCCAGCCACGGCCCACGCGGGCGATGTACTTACCCGTTTGCAGAGGTTTTTTCTAAGTAATGTGTGCAGGCTCAACTCCTTGAGCCCGTGCTGGGGCAGGTACAGAGTCGTAAGTGGACCTTCCACAGTCCCAGAGTCACCTGGCTGAGTGGGGGTCCTACCTCCGTGTCCCTAAAACAATCGCTTCTTAGTGCGTGGCTACGATGGTGAGACCCCCCTCGAATCCTCTTGTTCAAACGGGAACTTGTTCAAACGGGAACTTCTCTCTCGTAGAATAGGATTGGGCTGCATTTTAGACACACCTTAGAAAATGTACCTGTCTCTCATGAAACACCTGCACCTCAGAAACATCCCCTCCCTGTTTCTTTTCAAGGTGAAATGTTACTCTTTCCCTTTTGGGGGACAGGCGATGGCTGCAAACTCAACCAGAACAGGTGTTCTTAAGCCCCTAGGGAACAGCCAGAGTCAGCTCAGCCCCACGGGAGAGGTGCATTTCTCATTCTCTTTTGCCCACCTGAGCACATGTCTGCAGGAAGAGCTGAGGTGGTGTGATCACCCTAGGGCCAGGAGGACTGCGGGGACAGCACAGACAGGGTAGGGATTCTGCTGTGAGCAGGTGCCGGCAGTTTGGGACTGGACTCTAAGGGGCCAGGGGAGATGGAAGGGCAGTACAGTCTCTCCTCTGCACCGCAGGAAACCTTTGGTAGTGGGCAGGCGCTGGCACTCAGGGAGCAGGCAGGCGTGGGCATCCTCCTGTGGCCGGCGGGAGACTCCACCAGCCTGACTAGAAAGGGAAGGTCCCGGCGGGGGGAAGAATGTGTGTCCCTGGAAGAGGGGCTGCAGTGTGAGGAACAGTCAGAACAGCTTTCAGAGTGGCAATCACTGAAGAGCCACACGACATGCAGGGTTGAGATGACACGAGAGTATGGTGGCTCCTTAGCCCTACTCTGGGGACAGCTGGACTTCAGGGTGGGCCTTCATACGAACCTTTTGTTGGGAAGCCTCTTAGAACCACCCAGAAGGGCGTTGGGCTGTGTCAGGAAAGAGGGGTTAGTCCCTAGTGCTTCTGAGCTTAAGGAAGCTGAGCCACCCTTCCTTTGAGGAGTGGGAGGCACTGTGGGACAAGACCCTCCCTGTCTGCCCTAAAAGGAAATGTTCATAAGTCACCAGTGGGCAAAGCTCTGACTCCAGCTCACTGCTGGCTTCAAGGATGGCACTGTTTTTCCTGGCACCTGGGCACTGCCAGAAACCATGTCTCTTCCATGAAGCACCACTTCTGGCCTAACACAGGGTTTGGCACATGGCAGAAGTTTGGTATGTGGCAAACAAAAATGACCATAACCCAGTGCCTGCTCTAACCAGCAAGTAACTTGGCCTATCTGAGCACTGTATGCATTATAGTATGCAGCACTGTTGGGAAGCACTTAGAAAAGTGCAAAGTGCTAAGTGGGGGATGGGGAGAGGATGATGATCATGATGGTGATGATGATTTGCATGTATTGAGGCCAGAAAAGGCTTGTGGGGGGCATGTTGCGGCAAGATTGGTCTGTTCAGTAGCTATGGTGCATTCTACACCACCCTCTAGGGACTCAGTAAGGCCAGCTCCATCCCTGTCCTTCTGAAGGTGTGGTCGCCTGGGCTGCTGTCATCGGGAATAGCATAAACACTGCCCCCCATCTGCTGGAATCCTGTGATTTGATTCAAAGCAAGAAAGATTTATAGCTCGAGTCTCTGCAACAAAGGAATTATCCCCAGACAGGTCCATCCCTGCCCCTCTCCCCCAGCTTACCTTCCAATATATGGGCAGATTATGCAGCCTACAGCAAAGAAAGCATTCACCTTAAGGGTTGGACAATTCATCAGACCCCCTTTCAGTGCTTTTTGGTTTGATAACCATCTGGCAGAACCACAATGGTAAGTCACATCTCCGTGCCTCCGTTTCGTTATTTGTGAGATAGAATAAAAGAACCAAAGGGACCTCTAGTTCCACCATGATAAGATATCTGGGGTTCCGTGTTCCCTCAGCTACTGAAAGGACAAGCTGATTCAGTACTCTCAATCTGATGTTCAATGGATGAATTCTGGGCAACAGAAAGGCAGCTTGGTGGGGTGGAAACACTCAGACTTTGGGTCAGAGAGATGTGCATGACCATGGACAAAATAGTGGACCTCCCTGAACCTCAGTTTCTTCATCTATAAAGTAATAACAGCCCTACCTTGTGGGTTGCTATGAAGATGAGCGAGTATATATATCATGGGCTTGGCTTTACGCCCAACTCAGGATCAACACTCAAAAAATAGCTATGATGATTAGTAAGCATATATATTGAGCACCTGGTGGGTTTAAGGGACCCCAGGCATTGGGATCCTGCCAATGTTTGTGGGTATCAGTGGATATATGATAATAAAAACTGAAGCCCCAGTGCCACTCTGTGGGAGAGGGAGGCATATGGAAAAGAGTATAAGATTTGGAAGGGGTGGTCTGGAGGTCTGGAGAAAGCTTCCTGAAGGAGGTGGGGTTTTCACATAGGGATTTTAAAATTAAAAGGGTCAGTGTTTCCTAATGTGGCTGAGGCTCTATGAATTGTAGTGTGTAGGGGAGATGCAGATTAGGGTCGGGGAGTCTGTGATGGTGGTTCTTGAGATGGAGTCATTGAGGCTTTGGGGAGATTAGCTCTCAGAACTGGAGAGAAAATTCCACGGTGGCAGGGTGTGGCTGCTCACGCCTGGAATCCCAGCAAATTTGAGAGGCCAAGGTGGGAGGATCACTTGAGCCTAGGAGTTCAAGACCAGCCTGGGCAACCTAGTAAGACTGTACTAAAAAGACAAAAAAATTAGCTGGGCATGGTAGTGGCACACGCCTGTAGTCCCAGCTACTCAGGAGACTGAGGTAGGAGAATTGCTTGAACGTGGGAGACAGAGGTTGCAGTGAGCCAAGATCACGCCACTGCTCTCCAGCCTGGGCAACAGAGGGAGACCCTGACTCAAGGAAAAAAACAAGGTGCCCAGGGCTGGGGTGGGGGAATGTGGGTGTTCCCAGCATGGTGCAGCTTGGGACAGGATCTGAGGCAGGAGCGAGCTGGACATGGCGGGGTTAGGAGCCCAGCCATTCAAGGGCAGACCCAAAAGCACCTGGTGTCAGTGTGGCCAGAGCTTTGGAGTGTGGTCGTCCAGAGAAGGGCTGAGGAGGGGAGCGTGGCCTGCCCAGGAGGGTCCTCAGGGTGTCCCCCAGGCCTAGAGAAGGTGGGGGAAGAGGCATGGAGGCTGTCCCCCATCTGGTTTTCCTCAGGAACCCATGTTTGAAAGGAGAGGAGGGTGCTGCCTGGGGTTTTAACACCACTGCCCTGTGGAAAGCTGAGAGGGGAAGGGGACTAGACTCCCTGTGGTTAGAATTCCCCCCCTTGCAGGGAGGGAGGGGAAGAGCCACTCCTAGCCACCCTCAGGCATCATCTCTGAGATGCCTTCCCTGGTTTCCTAGGGAGAACCAAAGTGTGTTCCATGATCTGTGTGTCTCCTCCACCATGCGGTGAGGCCCTCGAGGGGCCAACAACATACTTATCACCACCTCCAGGGCCCAGCCCAGCACCCAGCGCTGAGCGGTCGCTTGGGATACTCTGGACTGTAGAACTGAGGGGAACCGGCTTCAGCCCTGGCTTTAGGCTCCCTGGAAGGGGAGTTTGCATCCTGGGAAGGGATGTCTGGCCAGTGGGCTTGTTCTCCAGCAGCTAGAGCTGGTGGGAGCAACTGCTGAAGGTTAAGGCTTCTGTGGGGCTGGTGACCCCTGTGATGCTGGTGGCTGCTGTGGAGCTGGCTCAGCACTTAGCTCAGAGCCCTTCACTGTTTTTTTTTTTTTTGAGATGGAGTCTCGTTCTGTCACCCAGGCTGGACTGCAGTGGCGTGATCTCAGCTCACTACAAGCTCCACCTCCCGGGTTCACGCCATTCTCCTGCCTCAGCCTCCCGAATAGCTAGGACTACAGGCGCCCACCTCCACGCCCGGCTAATTTTCTGTATTTTTTAGTAGGGACGGGGATTCACCATGTTAGCCAGGAAGGTCTCGATCTCCTGACCTCATGATCCGCCCGCCTCAGCCTCCCAAAGTGCTGGGATCACAGGCATGAGCCACCGCACCCAGCTCAGAGCCCTTCACTCTTAAGGGAAGTGGGAGGAATCGTGTCTCCAGTTCACTGGACTTCTCAGGAGGGGACGTAGATGACCCCTATTCCAGGAAGTGCTGCTTCTTCACACCCTTTGAGGCAGAGGCCCTCTTCAGGGCTGCTGAATGCAAGCTTTGCTCTAGCTGAAATGGAAGTCATTCCTACATAATCAGAGAAAGAGAATGGCATTGCCCTGCCCATCCCTACCCACCAGCCTGAGCCTGCCTGGACACTTTCACTGGACCTCAGCCAGGAGCTCTTTACCCAGCTCTGGGCTCATTTCCTATTTGCACCCACTGGCCATGAAGCAGGGCAGGGAGCTCAGCTGGTGGGGTTTCCTGTCCCGGACCCAGGAACATGGGCTAAGTTGGATGGGCCTCTCTTTATCATGTATCCTGTCTGCTCTATGGGGCTGTTAAGAAATCAAGTGATGTAGCAGATCTGGGATGGTGACTCCTACCCTGCACAGGCCAAATGACGGGGGCATTCTCTATAAGAAAAGCCTTCAAGAAAATTGACACAGAGGATCCCTTAAAGGAGCCTCTTCATATTTGCAGTAACATTTGCCATATGACTGCTTCGAGTCGGCAGCCTGCAGGCTGTGCAATGTGGAATTCGGTTGGCAAAGGGTACTTTCCACACCACTTCTAAATGAGCCAGAAAATCATAGGACACAGAATTCTAGAGCTGGGGAGCCTTCTGGAAATCATCTACTACAACCTGCTTGTTTCAAATGGGGGATTGCAGGCCAGGGAGGTGGGTTCATTCGCCCAAGTTCCCAGTGACTCTCAATAAATAGCTTTCCAGGAGGTGGGTGTGCACACGTGTGTGTGCGTGTGTGTGTGTGTGCGTGCATGTATGTGTGTGCATGTGCGCATACGTGTCAGCTGTAAATACCAGAATAGAACTCAGCCCTTTCAGTGCTGATTCCCTCCTGGGAATTGGAAAAACTCACCAAATCCCCTTTATATATTTTTTTATTTTACTTCTTTTTGTTCTGAGATGGAATCTCGCTGTGTTGCCAAGGGTGGAGTGCAGGTGGCTTGCTGCAACCTCTGCCTCCCAGATTCAAGACATCCTCCTGCCTCAGCCTCCTGAGTAGCTGGGACTACAGGCATGCGCCACCACACCCAGCTAATTTCTGTAGAAATAGGGTCTCACCATGTTGGCCAGGCTGGTCTTGAACGCCTAACCTTGAGTGATCTGCCCACCTCAGCCTCCCAGTGCTAGGATTACAGGCATGAGCCATCATGCCTGGCGAAAAACCTCTTTAAAAAGGACTTTAGGATGGTGACAAACCTATACTGTGCCCACATCTCTTTCCCTACCCCTCTACCATAAGGGTAAATTGAGGCTTGGGGCCATGTTGCTATTTAAGAGTTAGACTCCTAAGGGTGCCTGGAATACTGTGCCATAGCACTGGCCACCATGCATTGTGCCTAAATATGTCGGTGTTTGCCACTGGCCCACTGGCTGAGGACCCCCTGTCATTTCCACAGCCTCTAGCCAAATAGGTGGTTAAGAAATGTTTGCGGGATAATTGGCTGCACAAAATGCAGCGTTCAGCTGCAGATTCATCAGTGGCCCTTGCCCACATCTCCCGCATCCCAAGCTCTTGCATTGTCTCTGAGTCCTGGCCCTGCCCTGAATCGCTGGAGCAGCAGCAAGCACAGACCCTCAGCTAAGAGGGTCCCCCAGCTAAGGTTGGCCCCTGGGCCACCTCCAACCATCCCCACCCCCTTCCCCGACATATATCACCACCACCCTCTCTTCTTTTGTAGCCTTATTCCCCTTGGGAATAAGCCACCTCACACTTCCGAGGACCAGGGTGTAGGGTGGCACCTCGTCCACCAATTGTCATGGCCAGAAGGCTATGTATGTGCCTCCACTCAGGGGGAAGAGAATTCTAAGGAGCGGCTGAGAGAGGCTTGCTATCTGGCCCTGGATTGGGGTGCAGGGACCTCCCAGAGCCAGGCCCCTAGGGATGTGTGGACTGACCTGGGGTCTACGCTGTCTGATTTCTTAACCTTCCAGCTACCTGACCCTGATCAGAGTAGAAGGGACGGCAGTTAAGCAAGCCGGTGAGGAGGGCACTCTGTAATTTTTGAACATACTGGCTGTGTGTGAGGCTGAAGCCACAGCTCCTTCTTACCTGAAATTCATGGAGCTCTGCCTGAGGACTGAGTCCCTTTGGTCTCCATCCAGCCAGGTTCCCATGCCAACCTACTCCCAACACACTGATTGGAACCACAGAGCCCTCCAGCTGGGGTAGCCTGCCTTTGCATGACCTTTATCTCACAGACCATTCCAGAGAGGAGAAACTGAGGCACAGATGCAAGGACTTGCAGTAGATCATACAACCAGCTCTTCTCCCAATATGTACGTGGTTCACTCCCTCACTTCCTTCAGCTCTCCCCATGAATGCCACTTTCTCAAAGAGGCCTACCGGGGCTGCTCTGCTTAGAAACCCCTCCCCCCCAGCACACTCTTTTCCTCCTACTCGCCTTTATTTTCTCCATAGCACTCGTCACCTGATATGTGTTCATTGGTTTGTTTGTTTGTCTGTCTCTTCCCCGTTAGACTGTAAGTTCCATGAGGGCAGGGACTTCCATTGTGCTGTAGCCACAGCACCTAGAATAGCACTTAGCTCAAAGTAGCTGTTCCATAAATATAGGTTGAATGAATGAGTTAGTAAGTGAGTAGGTGTCAGGGCTGGCTTAGAACTTGCCTGCCAGCCTGTGCTCTGTAAATGCAAGGCTACCTGATTCAAGAAAGAGGTGGCAGGTGGGGGCCGGCCTAGGTCCTGGGGGCATATGGGCAGGAAGGAGCAGGGATTCCTGGTAGGAAGCAGGAGGGGGCCATGTCTCCTGTGCTGTCCCCACCCAAAGGATCCTTCAGCTGAGGATTGGGGCTTGTGTTTGTTAGAACTTGATTTGGCTGCTCATAGCAACAAAAAAGAGTAGTGGATTAAATAAGACAGGCATCAGTTATATCTCTCTCATATCATAGAACTTCAGAGGGGTGGTATAGTGGTTCTGCCATCATTCACACGTGGCCTCGTGGTCCAAGGTGGCTGCTGGAGTTCCAGCCATCAGGAAAAAGGAAGGAACAAGAAGCATGTGGCTCCTCTTTAGAGTGTGCCTCCCAGAAACCACATGTGACACTTCTAGTCACATTTTGTTGAACAGAACTTAGCATGTGGTCACACTAGCTGAAAGGCAGGCAGGAAAGAGAACTTAGGGAAGAGTAATTTTTATTTCAGGCACCCAAGTGCCTACCCAAAAAACAGTGGTTCAGTTACAAGGAGGAAGCAGAGAGTGGATATTTGGAGTAGGTGACTGGCAAATGCTACTGCAGAACTGGTCCCTGCAAACCTTGGACGTCTCTGTAGCTGCCCTCTGTCCTCACCTTGCCGGTCAGATCAGCTTCGCCTCTGCACACAGCTCTCAGGAAACACAGCTCTCAGGAAGCCTGGTCCCACTTAGTCCTCCAGTTATGTGGCTGTAGCCTTCTGGTCCTGAGGGGCAGTTTCTGGTAATGCACAAAGAAACCTGGCTCCTTCCTAATTGGGTCTTGAGCTGCAACAGGGATCCGAGGTGTCCCAGGACCCCCATAAGCTGGGCCTTGGGCAGGGTAGGAGGGGAAGGACCTGGGTTCCCCCACTGGCCTGTGGATAGGGAAGAAGTGTTTCTGCTCCCCATCTCTCCCTCTCACCTCAGAGCAGGTGAGTGCAGGGCCAAGGAAATACTGTCTTAGGGGTTTGGCTATGAGCTCTCAGTGACAGCAGCAGCCGGGGGCCAGTGACTTTGAAACCTGCGGGTGGTATTCCGTGGAGCTGCCTTGGGGGCCACTGAGGGCTTGGGGTGCATACCTGGAGAGGAAAATTAAGAGGAGGCCGATTTGGGGGGAGTTTTACGTCCATCCTCTTCACGAAGGCCTACTTTTAACTGTTCCGTATGATAGGTCTCTACGTAAGAATTCCTTTGACAAAAAATTTTGCTGTGATGGTGAAGAGAAGAAAAATGGAAATCTCTGCTGATGCCCTAGACTCTGCAGTTAAGAGGCTTGGATTTTAGCCACAGCTTCGACACTTGTTAGCCTTGTGATCTCAGACTTGTTCCTTGACCTGGGCTTCTCCAGCGGGAAAATAGGTATTGTGCCCTCCTCCATAGCAAGGGCTAAATAGGATCATGTAGGTGGTGCCTCTGATGTGCAGAAAGCATCCACACGTGTTGATTTTTTTTTTTTTTTTTTTTTTTTGAGACGGAGTTTCACTCTTGTTTGTCCAGGCTGGAGTGCAATGGCGCAATCTTGGGTCACCACTACCTCCGCCTCCCGGGTTCAAGTGATTCTCCTGCCCCAGCCTCTGGGGTAGCTGGAATTACAGGCATGCACCACCACGCCCACCTAAGTTTGTATTTTTAGTAGAGACGGGGTTTCTCCTTGTTGGTCAGGCTGGTCTTGAACTCCCAACCTCAGGTGATCCGCCTAATCAGCCTCCCAAAGTGATAGGATTACAGATGTGAGCCACCCGCACCTGGCATGTTGATTTTATTTCTTGTATTGGCGTCAGCCCTAGCCCAGTGTGAGTCAACAGACCCTGTTACCCCACCCCCAACGCCATGCTAGAGCAGCATCCTCTGCGACCTCACAGGGCCAGGTTTTCTTCTTCAAGGCCCTTCCCCATTACTCAGGCTGGGGGCCTCAGTGCGGGGAGGCAGGGTTAGTTGGAGACCGCAGTTTTAGATGAAGGTGGCCAGGGTGGGCTTAGCTAAGAAGCCACTGAGATGGCGCCCCCTGCCTTCCTATTCCTGCCTGGTGCTCCTCAGCTCACCCCTAGGGGGCACTGCCCTTCACTTTGGGGCTTTGAGTCAAAACAGACTTTTTTTTTTTTTTTTTTTTTTTTTTTGAGACAGGGCCTCACTGTGTTGCCCAGGCTGGAGTGCAGTGGCACGATCTCGACTCACTGCAACCTCCGCCTCAGGAGTTCAAGCGATCCTCTCACCTCGGCTTCCCCCATAGTTGGGATTACAGGCACCTGCCCCCAAGCCCAGCTGATTTTGGGATTTTTAGTAGAGATGGGGTTTCCCCATGTTGGCCAGGCTGGTCTTGAATTCCCGGCCTCAAGTGATCCGCCCGCCTCAGCCTCCCAAAGTGCTGGAATTACAGACGTGAGCCACAGCGCCCGGCCCAAAACAGGCTTTCTGAAGCCACCTGCACCCCGATCCTGGCAGCCCCCTAGGTGGTTAGCCCATAACGTGGTTAAATGCAGTCTTCCACCTCTTGGCTCTCTTTCTACCTGGATAAATGGCGCTTGTGATTGGGTAATCAGCTCCTGGACACGCCCACTGTACACTCCCTCCTAGCCCTGGGATCCCAGTCTCCCTTTCACTTTCCTTTCTCAGATCATCCAACCCTGAGCCTACCCCCTCTCTTGCACCAAATTCCTCTTGATGCCATCGAGCCAGGCAGTGAAGCAGGCAGTGACACGATGTTGATCTTTCTATGGCCAGCTCTCCATTTTCCTTCTCAGGAAAGGGAGGGCATGGGGGAGGTGCATGGAGCTACAGTCCAACAACTAGAGAAAGGAATATTTCCTCACAAGGCCGAAAAGTGGGAGGAAGATAGGAAGGGAAGGTAGGAAGTACTCACAGATCTGCCTTGGGGGCATTGCTCTGTGCCTCAGTTTACCCACATGGTAAGTCTGGGCTAGCACCATATGAGGTTTTTTATTTTACTTTTATATTCCATAAAGCAAGCTGTGTTCCAAACTGTGTCCAGTAAGAACATTTCGTAATCCTCAAGATTTTAATAGTTATGCTCTCAATGAATATTTAATAAAATGAATACATTTCCCTTCTTAGAAGGTCAAAATACATTATGATCTTACATGCTTTGAAATATCCTCTAAGGAAGATTACTTATTACCTTTGTTTAACCCATCATTCCCCAAACGTACTTTAACTATGGGACCATTTCCTTTTCAGCCTCCTCTTTTTAGTAGAACATCGATCTAGATTTAGTAGAACATCGAGAGGAACAGCTTCCTCTCTTTAGTAGAACGAGAGTGTTTAACATCTTGTGAAACACTCATGTTTCCCCAGGACATTTTGGGGGAAATACTGATGTGAAGATAGAGTGACCAACTGTCCCAGATTACCCAGTATAAACAGGTTATCCTGGGATGTGGGACTTAGAGTACTAAAACCCAGACAGTCCTGCGTAAAGACCAAGCTGGAAAAGCGTTAGCTATAACAACACACTCACATGTGTCTAGCTGAAATGAAGAGGGCCCTCTGACCTTAGGGGATTTATAGGAAACAACATGGCAGGTCGCAGCCAGTTTGAAGGCTGCTTGCCCCAGAGTCCATTGGGAACAAGTTACATTCCAGGCTGGTGGCCCCTCAAGAGTGTTTGCAGTGGTGTTGCTTCTCAGCCAGAAGTGGGAGGCTCTGTTAAAAGAATTATGGAAGTGTGTGTTTTTGATGTTTGATCTTTCTGCCCAGATGGGGGCAGACATTGTTTGCCGGTTGCCTGTGGCTGGCTCTTTCCTGTTGTGCCTCTGCCCCCTGCTGCTTTTTGAGTCCTTGACCCTGACAGCATCACGGTGCTGTTTTAGATCCTGAGTCCCGTCATCCTGTCATCCTGCCCCAGGAGCTTGGAGAAGGGGATTCCAGGATGTTCTGGTAGCCAGCACTGTCATAGTGGCTCACAGACAGTTCTGGATAAACAGGGCCTGCTGAGTGCATGGGTCTCATCCACCTTCATGCTGTCATTGTTCCTGGGAGTTGGTGGTTGAGGGGGTAGTGTGCTTGTTTGTTAAGCCACCAGCTTGCATGTGCTTTTCCAGCTGCAGCTAGCACCTAAGGCACTACTCGCAGGTGGGACAATGAGGAGGGGTGCCCATTGTTCAGCCAGATGCAGTCCTGCATCCTGCCCCGGGGGCACTGCCAAGCGTAGTACAGGGCGTGCGTGCGTAGTACAGGGCGTGCGTGCGGAGGCCCTGCTGCTCCCTCCCCAGGCCTGTGCTGTCCTAACTCCTGCCCACGCCTCCCTGATCTGGAGGCCCTGAGAGCACCGCCCAAAAAGTTGCTTCTCATCCTGAGGTCATCCTGGGTTTTGCTTCTCCATGGCTGGGGTTCTAGAGAGCTTGTGCTGTGGATCGGCTTCTGGGGAAGGGCAGGGTGGGAGCCGTCCTGGCCTTTCGTTCACCCACGGCATCCTATGGGGATTACACTTGGGCAGGGAAATTCTCTGGCTTTACAGCCCTGGATGAATCTGGAAGTCTGGTCCTGTTGACACAGAATCACATCTCTGAATGCCACAGGCACTCTAGGGCAATCATGTCCATGTGCCAGCTATAACTGGCCCTGGGGTCTCCTGTTGGCTAAGCGCTGGGTATTTGTGTGGGTGCGCCACATGTACACAGGGCTGGTGGCAGGCACAGTGAAGAAAACCAGCAGGGTCCATCTGAGTTGGGTGTTGAGCTGAGGAGTGGGTTTGCAAAAGAAACAGATCCTCTGTCCAGACACTCACAACCCAGTGTCCTCCCTGCAGGCCTCAGTTTCCTCATCTGTGAATGAGGAGCTGGCCCAGTGGCTCTCAGGGGCCTTCCTGTTTAGTATTTCCCATGGTCTAAAGCTGGGTGATTTCGGCCCCAGGACTGCTGGCATCATGGGACTGATGGGTGTGTGTGGCTGCATATGCAGAGGGAACCCAGCTGGACAGTGTGGATGTTCTCAGCCATTGGGAATGGCTGGAGGGGGCTGTTCTCATGCATTTGGCTTCTGGGGACAGGCAGTGACACCACGGATTCCTGGGTAATGTGAAGGGGGGCATGGACACATGTCCTGTAGTGTCCTGGGGGCTCTTCGTGTTTTGCTGGCCTCGGCCCTTTCTTCATCTCACTGCAGGTCAGATGCCTCCCTTTCCCCTGTCCAACAACCAAGAGGGGTGCAGCACCTGGAGCCAGGTATATGTGGGCACTCAGACCCCACAGGATTGGAGAGCTGCACTAGGAGTGGGACTACATGGTTCTTAGATGCCAAAGAAGGCGTGGTGGTGCCTGGTCCTCTGACTGCTTGCTCGTCTCTACTTGTTGGGCTGAGATCACATGACATCTAGGCTTCCTCTAGCTGTAACATTATGACTCTGGGATGCGGAGGAATGTGATGCCTGCATGGCTTTTAAAGAGCAGGGGACAAGGGATGGCCTGGCACTGTGGTTCACACCTATAATCCCAGCACTTTGGGAGGCCGAGGCAGGAGGATCGTTTGAAGCCAGGAGTTCAAGACCAGCCTGGGCAACATAGTGAGGCCCTATCTCTACATACAGTTTAAAAATTAGTCAAGCATGGTGGTATGGACCTGTAATTCCAGCTACCTGGGAGGCTGAGGTGGGTACTACTTGCTAAGCCTAGAAGTTTGAGAGGCTGTAGTGAGCTATGATTGTGCCACTGTACTCCAGCATGGATGACATAACAAGACCCTATCTTTAAATAAATATGAAAATAATAAGTTTAAAAAGTAGAAAACTGTGGCTTCAAAACATACATTTGGCTGAACTGATGACAAAAAAGAAAAGCAGAGAACATCCCAGCCTCTGGTCACAGAGCACCGTGAACTCAGCCCCAGCCTGTCCCTGGCCCCTGCGTCCAGCCCGAGGGGTGGCATCAGCTCCTCGTGCTCTGCATCTCTAGACCTTGTGCCAGCAAAGACCAGGCTGTAAGGGAAAACAAGAAAGGTGACAGCTCCTCGGACCAGGATCTCTGGATCCTGTGATCCTGGCTCTGCCTCTCCCTAGAAGCTGCACTACTGCCATGCTCTAGAGGGAGGGAGGCTCTAACTGGCGCTGTACATGCTTTCCAGACGAGAAATCCAAGGCGGAGGATGCTGGTGATTTTACCTAGAGTCACGTCTTGAGGCTCCAGGTACCCCCTTTCCACTTTATTTGTTGCTGTTATTGCTGTTGTCGTCGTTGAGACAGGGTCTCCCTCTGTCACCCAGGCTGGAGTACAGTGGCACAAACATGGCTTACTGCAGCCTTGACCTCCTAGGCTGAAGCGATCCTCCTGCCTCAGCTTCCTGTGTAGCTGGGACCACAGGCATGCACCACCATGCCTTGCTAATTTTAAAAATTATTTGTAGAGGTGAGGTGTCGTTATATTGCCCAGGCTGGTCTTGAACTCCTGGGCTCAAGTGATCCTCATGCCTCAGCCTCCCAAAGTGCTGGGATTACAGGCGTGAGTCACCGCAGCCAGCCTCCCTTCCACTTTGAATTAGCCTTCTTTTCTTGTTCTGGGCATGGGAGTGGCCAAATAAACTTGGCCTAGACATCTGGGCCTCTGCACCCACCTTGCAGGGTAGCCAGACTGGGCAGAGAGAGAGGGCAGAGAGAGAACGGGGCATGGAGCCTTGAGGGCCAGGGGGCAAGAGACGGTGCCTTCCTTTCCTCCACCCCTTTTGGAGCCCCAAGTCTGACTTCAGAATCAATCTTGTGTGATCTAAGCAAACCTGACCCCTTTCCTGACCTGCAAAACTTCAGAGGGAAATATTTTGCTCCCAGTTTCTTGGAAAAAGAAGAGCTGTGAGTTCACAGCTGTGCGCATGAGTGTGTGTGTATGTCATTGAGGCATGTACTCAGTCATGCCTCTGTCCCCCCTCTCTGATGTCATGAAACTACTTTTAGGGGATGAATGTTCAGCTGTTTGGACACCTGGCTCCAACTGGGGCTGGCCCTGAGATTCTTGATTCACTTCCCTAGGCGGTGCCCATAGGAAACCGGGCTTCCTTGACGAACTCTAGCGTCTCAAACACAGGGAGGGCCATGATGACTTGGCTTTGTTTAAAAGGAACATGGCCTTTAACTTTCCCTGCAGGCCCTGGCAGGGGACAAGGGAGCCAGTCCTCAATTGTTTAATGATATCCACTTACTTGGTTTGTTTGTCTTTTTTTTTTTTTTTTGAGACGGAGTCTCGCTCTGTTGCCCAGGCTGGAGTGCAGTGGCTCACTGCAACCTCCGCCTCCCAGGTTCGAGCAATTATCTGCCTCAGCCTTCCGAGGAGCGGGATTAGAGACGCCCACCACCAAGCCCGGCTAATTTTTGTATTTTTAGTAGAGATGGGGTTTCACCATGTTAACCAGGCTGGTCTTGAACTCCTGACCTCGTGATCCACCCGCCTCGGCCTCCCAAAGTGCTGGGATTACAGGTGTGAGCCACTGCGCCTGGCCTGTTTGTTCTTTTTAAGCAACACCTTCCCACCCCCAAGTCACCCCCAACCCCACTTCCACTCCACTCCCTACTGTCCAAAAGATACAGGCTCCACTGTCAAAAACCACCAAAGAAATTCGGATCGTGTGCTCTGTGGGAGGTAACCATGCTTTTTCTTCCACCTCCTGGGCCAAGGAGAGAGATAGGTGATAGTTTTAGCTTTATTTGCCCTGCTTTGCAGAGTAAGCGGGTGACCATCAGAGAGCCTTAGCTCCTGCTCCTGCTCCAACCCCAGCATGCACGGATTTAGTCTGGGATTTTGCCTGGGGAACGTGCCCTGCTGTGAATTACTCTGCAGCAAGAAGGACACAGGTGTTATTCCTGGAAGGGGAGAATTCTCGCCAGGACAGAACACAAAGAGGATAGAAATTTGGAGAGCTGAACTTGCTGCCTTAACCTTCAGTGTCCACCAGACGGAAGCAGATCATTCCCTGGGAAATTCACAGGCTCCATTTCACAGAACTTTCTCCCTCTCTTCCCAGAGGCACTCTCCGTTTCAGAGGTGACTATCCCACAGCCATGCATGCGGGACTTCCCTCTGGCTCGGGGCCCTTGTTTGTTTTAGGCCAGGAGTGGAGACTCGGCCCTGGTGGAGGTTTCCAGAGGCCACTGAGAAACCCATACACATCTGGTTATTTTCACGGCTGCAGGAGGCCGGAGGTGGCGTGGGAAAGACAACGTGCTCCCTCAGAAAAATATTTACCAAGGTTGTTTTTGAACTTACTGCTAGGGGAAGAGTTGTGTGCCAAATGTCCGGGCGCTTTGGCTCTGGAAGTGTGTGTGTGCCTGGGGACAGGTTGCAGGTGCTCCTGGGAGCAGGGACAGGGCCAGTTGAGAAGGGTGAGGGTCGGTGCGAAGGGTGCGGGTCGGTGCAGACCCAGTGTGATGGGTATTGGGGGGCGGGGGCAGGGTAGAACACTCATCCCCGAGACAGTTGGGTTAGAATCTGGCTCTCTGACCTGGGGTGGGGCCTTCCCTGGGCTAGTCTGTCTCTCCTTTTCTGAACGAGGTACATAATAGGCCAGACACTGTGGCTCACTCCTGTAATCTCAATACTTTGGGAGTCTGAGGCAGGAGGATCACTTGAGCTCAGGAGTTCAAGGCTAGTTTGGGCAACAGAGTGAGACCGTATCTCTACAAAATAATCAAAAACATAGCTGGGTGTGGTGGTGCACACCTGTGGTCCCAGCTACATGGCAGGCTGAGGTGGGAGGATCATCTGAGCCCAGGAGGAGGTTGAAGCTGCAGTGAGCCGTGATCGCGCCACCGCACTCCAATCTGGGTGACAGAGCAAGACCCTGTCTCTAAAAAGATTAAAAATTAAAAGGTACTAAAGGTGTGTCCTCAGAGGGTGCTGGAGACACAAATGAGATCATATGCAGGAAGAACGTGGCGCAGAGTCTGGCCAATATGCTAAGACCTCAGTATTTGCCCAGTATTAAGTTTACAGTCATGAGGATAAACTGCTCTTAGGAGGTGTCATTTAATAGGTGGATTTACAGAAAGTTCCAGCATGTGAGTGAGGCAGCATGTCCACCCCTCTACCCCGTGGTCTCAGAGCTGCCCCGAGTGTACCAGGACACATGCAGCACCCAGACTGGGCACGGACGTTCCTGTCTCCTGCTCACAGCAGGGGGTCGGCAAGGCTGGCTGAGCCTGGCTGCCCCTTCTTCCAGCCCCGCCCTCAGTAAGGATACTGTAGATTTGGAATATTTAAACATTTTCCTCAAAGTTTTTACATTTCGGGGACTGGGCGTGGTGGCTCACGCCTGTAATCCCAGCACTTTGGGAGGCTGATCACGAGGTCAGGACTTCAAGACCAGCCTGGCCAACGTGGCGACACCCCATGTCTACTAAAAATACAAAAATGAGCTGAGCGTGGTGGTGCGTGCCTGTAATCCCAGCTACCCAGGAGACTGAGACTGGACAGTCACTTGAACCCGGGAGGCGGAGGTTGCAGTAAGCCGAGATCACAATACTGCACTGCAGCCTGGGTGACAGGGCAAGACCCTGTCTCAAAAAAAAGAGCTTATACATTCTAAAAAATATGTTCATTTTGTTCCAAGATAGATATGTCTCCCTCGACAGATGAGGAAACCAAGGTCCAAAGAGGTCCCCGGCTCACACAGACATCCAGGTCTCCATTTGCAGAGCTCACTTTTTCTGTGGAGGCTGCATCACATCTTGGATGTGGTCATTTAAACTGACCTTAAAGGCAGGGCGAGTGGCCACTCTGCCACCTCCCCCGGGTGCTGTCCTGTGGTGGTGACTTGTTTGGGAGCCCATCTTGGGCAGGCGAGGTTAGCGAAGGCATCCAGGCATCAGCCCTGTCCCCGTCCTCGCCTGCCAGCTGGCTGGTGTGTTGGCTGTCCCTGGGCACAAGGCCCAGGAAGACAGATCAGGATTCACATGGTCTGCTGCAGGGGAAGGGATTAGGAGGCCCCTGGGGAGGGTATTGTTTTAAGGAGGTTAGTCTGCTCTTTCCAGCTCAGGAAGAACCCATCCCCTTCTCTGGGCAGGCTGGTGGTCCCTAGACAAAGCCTGACACCACGTACAAAGCTCCAGGGGCTCGGCATGGGGACGCCTCTCTTGTTAGCAACAGCAACAACAGTGGGAGCGGGAGTGGGGAGCAGGATGGGGAGTGGGGAGCAGTTGAGAGGGAGAGGAACCAGAGCGGGCAGGGGTGGGCTGAGCCCCAGGGAGTGGCGACGCAGGAATCTTGGGTGGCACCGTCGATTGAATTCCAGGCTCTCCTGTTACCTCTCTGCCTTCAGCCACAGAATTATAGTCATGAGTCATTCCAAAGAATGTATCTAGAAGCTTCCTGCTGAGGCGCTGGGTCCTGTTAGGGGGTAGGGGTGGGGTTCCGCCCTCTGACCTCCACCTGGAGGATGCAGTGTCACCAACTCTGGGCCTGATTTTCATCAGGTGAGACTGTAGAGGTCATTGAACCCTGTGCTCCCTGCATTATGAGGAAACTGAGCCCCACTAGCTGCTGTGCCAGGGCATGATGGAGGATGAGGCTGGCTCCCCGCAGAGCACTTCTGCCCCTGCCACTCCTTCCCTGCCAGGCCTTGGGGATGGGAAGCTCGGTCAGAGAATGGGTCTGGGACACACAACGGAGTGGGGCAGCCCATACAGAAACAGCCTGAGGGTCTGCCTGGGGGTAGGGGGGTCATCCTCCCAACTAAGTCAGAGCACAGGGGAGGGGCCAGGAGCTGGTCTCCTGGTTCATCTCCCTCCTGTACTCTGCAGGGCCACAGTGGGCCCTGTGCAGCCTTGCCACAGATGTGTTTGAAGTGCGTACACATCAGTTTCCCAAAGACAGGGACTGCGATGGTCACGGAAGCCCTATTCACAATGGCCCTAAACTGGAAGCCGCCCAAATGCCCATCAGCAGCAGAATGGACAAATACATAGTGGCATGTGCACACAATAGAGTCCTCCACTGTAATGGGGGCGAACAGTCTGCGACCGCACACCACGAGAAGGATGAGTTACACAAAGCAAAGCTGAGTGAGGGAAGCCAGACCCAAGAGTCACGACGGTGTGATGCCATTGATATGAAATCCCACAACAGACACAACCCCGAATCTTCTCAGTCAGAATAATAGCGGTTACCCTCGGGGATGGAGAGGAACACAGGCAGGGCTTCTGAGACGAGCTGTCCAGTTTCACCATCTGGTGCTGGTTAAATGTGTGTATTCCCTCGAGGACAATTCATCAAGCTGTACACTTGTGATATGCACCTTTTTGGGGGGGTGGGGTGGGGTGGGGCGGAGTCTTGCTTCCATGCCCAGGCTGGAATGCAATGGTGTAATCTCGGCTCACTGCAACCTCTGCCTCCCACTCCCAGGTTCAAGCAGTTCTCCTGCCCCAGCCTCCTGCGTAGCTGAGACTACAGGCACGTGCTACCATGCCCAGCTGATTTTTGTATTTTTAGTAGAGACAGGGTTTCACCATATTGGCCAGGATTGTCTCGAACTCCTGACCTAGGCCTCCCAAAGTGCTGGGATTACAGGCGTGAGCCACCGTGCTTGGCTTTTTTTTTTTAAAAAAACAGGTTCTCACTGTCACCCAGGCTGGAGTGCAGTGTTGCAATGATGGCTCACTGCAGCCTCGACCTCCTGGGCTCACGCAATTCTCCCACCTCAGCCCTGCAAGTAGCTGGGACTACAGGTACACACCACCAGGCCTGGCAATCAATTAATTAGTTAACTAATTTACGCATACATACATATATACAGGGTCTCACTCTGTCATCCGGGATGGAGTGCAGTGGCGCAATTATGGCTCACTGCAGCCTCCACCTCCCTGGGCTCAGGTGATCCTCCTGCCTCAGCCTCCTGAGGAGCTGGGACTACAGGTGTGCGCCACCACACCCAGCTCATTTTTGTATTTTTAGTAGAGATGGGGTTTCACCATGTTGGCCAGGCTGGTCTTGAACTCCTGATCTCAAGTGATCTGACTGCCTCGGCCTCCCAAAGTGCTGGGATTGCAGGTGTAAGCCACTGCACCTGGCCACGTGCCATTTTTTAAATGCCTGTAATTCTTTAGTGAAACATTTTTTAAAATGATAGGGAAAGGGGCTGTTCTGAGAACCTCCTGACTGAGCACAGTAGAACCTACTGTGAGCATGGGGCAGCGGCACTGAAGGATGAAAACACCAGGCTCCAGACAGGCAGTTCAGGTGAGCCTCCCAGGGGGAGGGGCGCTGGGGACAGGAACCAGCAGGGAGAGGCCCAGGAGAAGTGGCAGGGAAGGCCAGATTAGGCGCCTTAACCTGCTGTGTTGGACTGGCCTTTTTTGCTGGCTGACTTCTACCCCAGCCCTGACACCAGCTGCTGCTGGCCCGAGGGTGTAAGCACCATCCTGGAACACACTTATCAGGTGTTTGTTGGGACTGGGTTCTGTGCAGGTGCCAGGGATACGAGAGAAACAGTCGTGGTCCCTCCCACAGAAGCCTCAGCATCTGCCCACTGAGGGGTGGCAATACCAGTAGACAGCACCAGCCATCCAGAGGGGAGGGCACCTCTCCAAGGACCCGTCATGCCATACATCTCCCCTGGCATCTATTATTGGATTGTGGAACTTTCAGATTTTAAAATCTATCTTAGTTTTTAAGTGGTTTTGAGTAGCTAGCTGACAGCTTAGGTATTTTCCTTTGCCATATGAGTTGCAAATATTTTTTCCCAGTTTGCCATGATGTGGCTTGGTTTCTAACAGGCTAGTACAAGTGACACTTGTCAGGCTCTTTAGGAAAGTCAGAATAGGATCCACAGCTGGGTTAAAAAACATAGTCCTCTTTGGCCAAGCACAGTGGCTCATGCCTATAATCCCAGCACTTTGGGAAGCAGAGGAGGGAGGATCACTTGGGCTCAAGAGTTTGAGACCAGCCTGGATAACATAGTGAGACTCTGTCTCTACAAAAAATTAATTAGTTGGGCAGGGTGGTAAGCACTTGTAGTCCTAGCTACTCGGGAGGCTGAGGTGGGAGGATTGCTTGAGCCTGGGAGGTCAAGGCTGCAGTGAGCTGTGATTGTGCCACTGCACTCCAGCCTGGGCAACAGAGCGAGACCATCTCAAAAAAACAAAGAAACAAAAATAGGCCTAGCCCCAGGGGGATCTTAGACATCAGTGGTCAGCATATGACTGCTTGGCCAGCTGTATTTGTCAGTAAAGTTTTCTTGGAACACAGTCAAACCCATTTATGTACAGGTTGTTTCTGCGGTTGTCTTCAGGCCCATGACGGCAAAGTTGAGTAGTTGCGGCAGAGACTGTATGGCCCCCTATAAGGCCTAAGATATTTACTTTGGTCTTTTATGGAAAAAGTGTGTGACCTCTGTTGTACAATACTGTGTCACAGAGTGATTCCACACACGAGAGGGTGTTCTTTCCTGCACACAGGGCCATGGAGAGAAAGCTGCCCCCAGTCACACTGGTGTCCCAAACTGACCTGTTTACTTGCTGTGGTGTTGAACGCTTTCTTCACTTGTGTGTGTGTGTGGTCCAATTGACTTACCGTACAGCTTACTGTAATAACCATTTTTAGGGGTGCAGTTCAGTGGCATTAAGTACCTTCTTCACACTGTCATGCACCTGCTCCTATCATCCACCTGCAGAAGATGTTCATCCTCCGACACTGAAGCTCTGCACCCATCAGATGCTAACTCCCCTTCCCTTCCCTCCAGACTGCCTTCACTTTCAAAGTGGAGATAATAACACATATCTCATGTCCTTTTGAGAATTAAGGAGATACCCTGGCCCTCCGTTGATGGTCAATATATTTCTTTTTCTTTTCTTTTTTCTTTTTTGAGATAGAGTCTTGCTTTGTCACCCCGGCTGGAGTGCAGTGGCCCGATCTTGGCTCACTGCAACCTCTGCCTCCCAGGCTCAAGCCATCCTCCCACCTCAGCCTCCTGAGTAGCTAGGACTACAGGCTACAGCACACCCAGCTAATTTTTTTGTGTGTATTTTTGGTAGAGACAGGGTTTCACCATGTTTTCCAGGCTGGTCTTGAACTCCTGAGCTCAAGCGATCTGCCCACCTCAGCTTCCCAAAGTGCTGGGATTTCAGGTGTGAGCCACCACACCCGGCCATGTGTATTAAAATATCTTTTAATACATTTGAGTTCCCTGCCTTCTTCCTCCAGAGTCTCACTTACCAGACTCTTCCATCTTGGTCCACACCCATCGTGATGGACAAGGGAAGGAGGCAGAAGTGATTGAGCTTCATTTCCCTGAGGAGGAAAGCCAGGCCCAAGAGGGAGAAGGGCACAGCCAGTGAAGTCTGAGCTCCAGCCCCCTCCTGACCCCCACCCCACCCTACTGCCTACCCCCGCCGGCCACCCCTGTGGCCCTGACACCAGGCACTGGTCCTGGAGCCCAGCTGACCTCACATAGAGCTCTCACAGGTGGCGGCCTTGCCCCGCCAGGATGGGGTGCGGGGTCATTATCAGGGTAGAACTTGAGGCTGACAGCCGGAAAGCCCCTCCCTCCATCTCTGAGCCGGTGAGGAAACACTTCCTGGAGTTGGGGTCCCCCAGGCCTGGGTTTCCTTTCCTTCTCCAGGAAGGTTCAGGCTCAGCTCCTCATCTGGGTCTTCTCTTGACCACAGCTGCCCTGGTGCCTCATCTTCTCCCCTCCCCAGATCAGCCATGCCTCACTGAGAAGGAAGAGCCACATGGGTCTGGGCAGACCTGCACCCACTCTCACCTTGGCAAGGCCTGTGCAGGTGTGAGTGGCTCGAGAGGGAGTGGAGGAGGAGTGGAGGAGGAGGTGGGCTGCGCGGCTCTAACGGGTAAGGGGAGGTGGGGTGCCTTTCCTTCCCCCCTGCACAGCTCAGCAGGAATATAATTATAGCTGCCATAGATCGGGCACTTTCTATGTGCACACACTGCTCTAAGTACTCAAAGGTATAGAGTTTGTTACTTTTATTACCCTGCTCTCCAATTTTGACAGATGGGGAAACTGAGGAACAGCATTCAGACATTTATGTTAAGTCGAGACTCTTGCCTGGTTATACAGCTTGTGTGTGGACTGGAAGCCGGGTGTCGGGCTCCCTGGTACATGCTCTTAGCCTCTGTCCTGTACTGCTTTAGTGGGGAGTTACAGAGGGGCACCTCTGAGGCAGGGATGTGGGCAGATGGGAGCCAAGTATCCTTGGGTGCTGTGCCCTGCTCCCAGGTGTTGAGGACAGGAAAGAATGAGGACTTGTCAGCCCTGGGAAGAAGTGGTGTGAACCAGGGCTTCTTACAGGTGATCTGGCCACAGTGCCCTCCCTGCAGGGAGAAATGCACCCAAGCGAAGGCTGCCCTTCCCCATCGCTGGGACATCTCCACGCTAGACAGTGGCAGCCCTCTCCTGCCCAGGGAAGCAGGCAGACGGGCCCCACCCTACAGGGAGCAGCGGGTGCCGGGCAGGCCAGCTGAAACAAGCTGATAAGGGCAGAACAATTCCAGATTTGAAGAATGCCCGGAATTATCTCCCCTAAGGGGGCAGCTCTCAGCCCCTCTGGGAGAGGTGATGCTGAGAGGCAGGCCTGACGACCCCACCCCTGAGGTGCCGTCCTGCTACCCAGAGGCCCCAAGTCTCACAGCTGCCAGGGTCCTGGGGACCACAGAGCCAACAGACCTGCCAGGGTCCCAGGGAAGGGACGGGGAGGGTGGAGCATGACTGGAGTCTGTGGCTGCACTTATCTACCTGACACTCAGCCTGTGTGGGGGTAAGGGGCGCACGTTGGGGACCCGGCCTTGCCCCAGACAGTTGGAGCAGCCCTTCCTGCTGTCTCTGTTCTCGTTATTAATCTCCATCCTGAACCCCTTGTCTTAGCTCTGATTTTTGTTACAGTATAACAAAATACTGTCGGCTGGGTGGCTTAGGCAACAGACATTTATTTCTCACAGATCTGGGGGCTGAAAGTCGCAGATCAGGGTTCCGGCATGGTCAGGTTCTGGCGAGGGCGTTTCCTGGCTTGTAGACAGGGCCTTCACGCTGTGACCTCACCGGGCAGAGAGAAGTTCTGCTGTCTCTTCCTCTTCCTAAAAGGACACTAATCCATCATGGAGGCTCCATCCTCAGGACCTCATCTAAACCTAAGTCTCTCCCAAGGCACCGCCTCCTAAGACCTTCACGCTGGGGGTTGGGGCTTCCACATATGCACTGGATGTGGGGCCCAGACAGTCAAGTCTGTCATACCCCTTATACCCAGGGAAGTCAAGCCACCCCACTTTTGGGGCCCTGAGCCCAAGCAGGGGACCATTTAGAGGGAAAGAGCACAACCCCAGGAGTCACTACCCCCTATTTTCCAGATGGGGACCTATGGCAGACCAAAAATGTACCCCCCCTCCAAAAAAAAGATATACAAGTAAAAATCTCTGGAACGTGTGATTATTATTATTATTATTTATTTTTAATTTTTTTTTTTTTTTTGAGACGGAGTCTTGCTTTGTCGCCCAGGCTGGAGTGCAGTGGCGCGATCTCAGCTCACTGCCAGCTCCGCCTCCCAGGTTCACACCATTCTCCTGCCTCAGCCTCCCGAGTAGCTGGGACTACAGGCACCTGCCACCATGCCCGGCTAATTTTTTTGTACTTTTAATAGAGACGGGGTTTCACCGTGTTAGCCAGGATGTTCTCGATCTCCTGACCTCGTGATCCACCCTCCTCGGCCTCCCAAAGTGCTGAGATTACAGGCTTGAGCCACCACGCCCGGCCACGTGTGATGATGATGATGATGATGATGATTATTATTATTATTATTATTTTGAGATGGAGTTTCGCTCTTGTTGCCCAGGCTGGAGTGCAATAGCACGATCTCCAGCTCACTGCAACCTGGGTTCAAGCTATTCTCCTGCCTCAGCCTCCCGAGCAGCTGGGATTACAGCCATGCACCACCATGCCCAGCTAATTTTGTATTTTTAGTAGAGATGGGGTTTCTCCATGTTGGTCAGGGTGGTCTCAAACTCCCAACCTCAGGTGATCCGCCCACCTCGGCCTCCCAAAGTGCGGGATTACAGGCATGAGCCACCGCGCCTGGCTGGAATGTGTGATTATTAACTTATGTGGACAAAGGGTCTTTACAGATAATAACTGAGGACCTCAAGATGAGAGCATGCTGGTTTTAAGTGGGTGGGCCCTAAATCCAATGACAAGTGTCCTCATAAGAGGCACATAGAGAAGGTGGCCATGTGACCATGAGGGCAGAGGTTGGCGGGATACTGCTTCAGCCAGGGAGTGTCAGAAGCACACACCTTGATTTTAGACTTCTGGCTTCCAGAATGGTGAGAGACTACATTTCTGTTGTTTTAAGCCTTTGTGGTAATTTGTTATGGCGGTCGTAGGTAAACTGATCTAGGACTTGAGGCGCAGAGATGGGCCAAGGTTCACCTGAGCACATGCAGATGGGGAAGAGAGCCGACACTGGTTGGCGAGAGTGAGGCGAGTCAGTTCCTCGATGGCCTTCCCATGCTGTCCTCTGCAGACAAGCTCCTTGCTCTTATCCCAGGTCAGGTTCCTCCTGGAGGCATCAACATCTGGTTGGCACCTTGCAGGGTAGAGAGGGGGAGATACTGGTTTTCTTAAAGCCACAGAGGTCAATTGTTTATAAGCGGCTGGATATAGCATTAATAAGATTCCAGAGCAGAAGACCAGAGCCAACAGCCTCCAAGGACAGGACCCACACTGGGCTGGAGGGATCCAGAAGGGCCTTTTGGTGGAAGGAAATGAGTGCCCAGCTAAGCAAGAGCAGGGCAAGGGGATGACCAGACCGCTGGGGCAGGGAATTAAGCGTACTGACTTAATTTTTTTTTTGAGACGGAGTTTTGCTCTTGTTGCCCAGACTGGAGTGCAATGGTGCGATCTTGGCTCACTGCAATCTCCGCCTCCCGGGTTCAAGCGATTCTCCTGTCTCAGCCTCCCGAGTAGCTGGGATTAGAGGCATGTGCCACCACGCCCAGCTAATTTTTTATTATTAGTAGAGACGGGGTTTCTCCATGTTGGTCAGGCTGGTCTCATACTCCCGACCTCAGGTGATCCACCCGCCTTGGCCTCCCGAGTGCTGGGATTATAGGTGGGAGCCACCACACCTGGCCTTTTTTTTTTTTTTTTTTCTGAGACATGATCTTTCCCCATTGCCCAGGCTGGAGTGCAGTGGTGTGATCATAGCTCACTGCAGCCTCAAGTGATAGCTCGTAGCTCACTGGGCTCAAGTGATCCTCCTACCTCATCGTGAGTAGCTGGGACTACAGGTGCCCCTCCACCATACTCACCTAATGTTTTGAATATTTTGTAGAGATGAGGTCTTGCTATGTTGCCCAGGCTGGTCTCAAACTCCTGGGCTCAAGTGATTCTCCCGCCTTGGCTTCCCAAATTGCTGGGATTATAGGTATGAGCCACCAAGCCCAGCCCTGACCTGATTAATAACACCCAAGACACACAGAGGTGGGACCGTAACATGGGGAGCATCACGTCCTTCACAAGGAAGGCTGGGGAGTGAGGGGGCTGCATGCAGGGGCGAGAGAGGGCACCTGATACCTTGGTGCTGGGAGGAGTCCTGGCCAAGTGAACAGAGAGCAGCCCCAGGTCCCTTACTGATCCGGCTCTCCCATGCCACCCTGCCTCGCTGTCCTGCCCAGCTGGCAATAAAAAGGCCAGTGTACAATGGCCAGCAGGACTTGTAGCCTGAGAAGGTGTGCCCTGGAGAGCTGGGGGTGGGGGGGTGGGGTGTAGACCTCAACCTGGCCGAACCTGCAATGGCATCACACCAGGCCCTTCCCGAGTCCTAGCAGCTCCCTGCACCCCCTGGAAAGAAGAGGCTTGTGGAGCAGATACCACATGTTGGAAAAATGAGTGTTAGGGTTGGGCAGCCCTTGGAAAGGCCCCGCCTATACCCCTAGGGAGGCCCAGCGCAAGCCCTCCCGCCTATACCCCTAGGGAGGCCCAGCGCAAGCCCTCTGAAATGACTGGCTAGGATGGCTCTGCTGTCACAGCCAAAGCAGGCTTACCTAGTATACAGTGTCGTGCTCAGGAGAGTGCGTACACACCCCGAGGGACCTTAGGAATCTTCTGGCCCACCTTTCACAGATGCATTTCAAGAGGGCAGACAGCTTGCCCAGGCCTGAGGGTCCAAGGCGGGGGCAGGATGAGAAGGTTCAGACCTTCTCATTTCCCAGCCTGCGCTCTTCCCTTTGGCACACCAATCGAGGAACACATCCGCTCATCTTGCCTGTCTCTCCCCTTGGAAGTTTTTTTTTTTATTTCTGTGGAGATGAGTTGGGGGTGGTAAGCAGGGGATAAAGAAGGAAGGAGAGGTCGATACTGGTGTCCAGGCCAGAGCCTCTCATCCCACCTCCTCCCTGGCCTCCTTCCACACCCCTCTTCCTGGAGCATTCTTTCCAGTTTCCTTTCCCACTATTAATAGTCAAGAGTCAATCCCAGGTCTGGAAATAGCCAGTAACAGAGGAAGCAGGCCCTCCTTGAAGATTGAAGCAGGCTTCCCACCCCAGGGGAGCAGACTGAAGTCTGTCTTCTCCTCCCACTGTCCCCCTGGCCCCCGGGGGAGCTGGCACTGCGTTAACTCATTCAACACAGGCTTCAACATCAGCAGGAATGTCATGTCATTTCTACCCTGCTGTGATGTACTGACCTCTTCAGCCCTGTCCATCACTCACCAAAGACTTTCACTCCATCCTCTCCATCTTAATAGGTGTCATCATTCTTGGTGACTCCAGTACTCACTTGGGTAAACAATGAAATACCCTGGCCTCTGTTTCTCAACATTTTCTCATCTCTACTTCATTGGGTCATTCCCGTTTCCCCCCCTGAACTTTATCAGCCCCTCAAACTGTATCACCTCTGAAATCTCAGCATTTCCTCCTTGTATCACTGTCTCTCTACCTTCCAACTTATCTGCTCAAGTAAACCCACATCACGATGCTTGAACTCAAGACCTAACAAAGAGTCCAGTAACCTTCCTCATTGCCTGTCAGCCCCTACCTGGCCTTATTTCTGTCTTTCTCCATCCTCTAGGTCAACAATCCACCATTAGAATCCTTGCGTTACAAAGATATCCCCAAATTCCTTGCACCCTCTCCTGCTGTCATACCTAGCAAAACCCCCATTCTCAGATAAACCTTTGCCTCCATTTTTCTACATCAAGCAGCTGAACATCGCTACAGTAAAATCTGGCCGATTGCATTAACTTTAAATTCATGATGCCATGCCTCAATTTGGCACCAAATACTACTTGACAATCACATTTTACTTCTCTAGCATAGTGGTTCTCAAAGTGTGGTCCTCTGGCCAGAAGCATCAGAATCTTTTGGGAACTTGTTAGAAATGCATATTTCACATCCCAGGCCTGCTGAATCAGGAACTCAGGGGCTGGATCCAGCTGCTGGTGTTTTCACAACCTCTGTGTGATTCTGACGCTTGCTGAAGATTGAGAACCTCTTTTCTAAGAGGTTCACGTTCCTATTTCCAACATGAGTATTTTACACTTTTCCCTCAAATACTCCCTTCTCCTTTTTTCTATCTATATCACTATAGCTGATTTCATCTAGACTTCATTGAGAAAATTAAAGCTGTCAAATGTAAACTTTTTCTACCACCAAAATACAGCTGCAGTTATGACTGTATCCATTTTCTTCCCTCCTGTTTCAAAGACGGAAGTGTTAGCTGGGTGCGGTGGCTCACGCCTGAAATCCCAGCACTTTGGGAGGCTGAGGCAGGTAGATCACTTGAGGTCAGGAGTTTGAGACCAGCCAACATGGTGAAACCCCATCTCTACTAAAAAAATACAAAAATTAGCCAGGTGATGGGCGCCTGTAATCCCAGCTACTTGGGAGGCTGAGGCAGGAGAATTGCTTGAACCCAGGAGAGAGAGGTTGCGGTGAGCTGAGATTGCACCACTGCACTCCAGCCAGGGTGACCGAGCAAGACTCCCTCTCAAAAAAAAAAAAAAAAAAAAAGTGTCTGACTATCCAGTGAAGGCCAAATCCTCTACTGGTGCTGAGTTGGCACAGGTCTATCTCCTCTGCATCTTAAGGACCCTATGAAACAGTAGGAGGAGAACACATACACAAAGAAAGCATTCATACCAGCTCTAGCATCTCCTACCTTCGAAAAGGAAACAAGTTTCTTGACTGTCCCAGCTCCCTCCAGCTGCTGCCGTATGTCTCTGGTCCCCTAGCATTTGAGAAAGAGTTGTCCACACATGCAAACTCATTTTCCTACCATTCATTCACTCTTCAGTCTGCCCGAGTCAGGCTTCCACCTGCACTGTGCCCACTGAAACTGCACATGGTGGTTGCCAGGGACTTCCCTTTGCCAGTCTCATCATTCAGCACAGCCAACCACTCCTTCCTTAAAACGTGAATCTAAAGCAGAAGCTTCTGTTGCATCTCCCTGTTTCCCCCTAGAGATAACTAGTATTCTAAACTTACTGTTAAATCCTCTGTAAAATTTTAGTAACATCTTCTGTTTCCCTAAAAACATTTAGTATTGCCGATTTTTGTGCCTTGTAAGTAGAACCGTATGAGTGTTCTTGTTCTTCTTTTATTGCCTAATATTATTCTTTAGATTAATGCTAATAGATGTAGTCCACCCATTTTCAGTCCTGTAGAGCATTCTAGAAGAATATGCTATCACTTTATTTATCCATACTACTGTCAGCTGTACTGTCAACTGTACTCTACTACTATCAACATTGCGTTTTCTTGCTACCTGTATGGGGCCAATGTGAAACTACTCTTAAGGGCATTTTTGTAAATGCACTGTGATGCATACTTGTCTCCCTAGGATAAGTGCCTAGTGATACAGTTAGAAGTTGTGGGCCAGGTGTGGTGGCTCACGCCTGTAATGCCAGCACTTTGGGAGGCCAAGATGGGTGGATCACTTGAGGTCAGGAGTTTGAGACCATCCTGGCCAACATGGTGAAACCCCATCTCTACTAAAAATACAAAAATTAGCCGGCCGTGGTGACGGGCACCTGTAATCCCAGCTACTCGGATACAGGCTGAGGCAGGAGAATTGCTTGAACCCAGGAGGCGGAGGCTATAGTGAGCCGAGATCGCGCCACTGCACTCCAGCCTGGGCAACAGACTCCGTCTCAAAAAAAAAAAAAAAAAAAAGAGTAAGGAAGTTGTGGATTGAACAATATGTGTACACGTCTAACTTTCTTTGATAATGCCACACTCTTTTCCAAAGTGTTTCAACCAATTTACACTACTTCATATTCTTGCTACCACTTCTTACTACTTTAAAATGTTTGTCAATCTGATGGGTATGAAATGAAAATTCTTATTTTGCATTTCCCTAATTACTAACATTTTCAGATGTTCTTAGGCTGTGCTTTTTTTTTTTCTGTAAAATGCATGTTTAATTTTTTTTCTATTGGGTTGTTTTCTTAAGTATAGAAGTTTTGGGGGCATACCTACAATTTTTTTGGAAAAGCACTGTAAGGATGCTTTATTTATTTAATCATTTATTTATCAGATTAGACTCGTGGATATTTATTTTATTCTTGGGGTTCCGATCCAGTATTTCTTGTTTTGTTGCTCAAATTGTTCCAGGTTTGGCCATTATGAGCTCTTTCCTGTTGACCCTCTTTCAGGTCTTGCAGGCTGAACTTGCCTTCCTCTTCGTTTCATTTTTATTTTTTTTAGCACTTCTTTATTTTCTGACATTACAAGATGTTCCAGGCTTATCTTGCATTTTCCTTGTATCAGCATTAGAAATCAAGCCCTTTCTCCAAGGAGCCTTGGTTCATTTCATTGTAGAATGGTATCAGAAACCAAACATGGACCTGGGTGTACCCTATGCTACTGGTTTGTCACTGCTTCCAGATGCTCTGAGTGGACAGAGCTGGGAAATATACATTTGTTTAGTATGTATTCATTTCCTCATCTGTCATCTATTTGTCTATTGAAACATGAGTTCCGACTGACTGACATCACTGCCTCTCATCAAGCATCACAGGGCTAGCCTCCTCCCCACCCGTTTACTTATTTGTAACTTCTTTCTCCAAGAGCTAGAAACCTGGCTTATGTTATCTATAGTTTATTTAATTATTTGTTCAATCCTAGTATACATGTCAAGTAGGTTTGAAATTGACATGCCCTTGTGAGAAACATTCTTACTACTTAAAATACACTGTTTTTATGCAGTTCGTTACAGTATCTAGTTTAAAAAAAAACTTTCCCAGAGTCAACTCTTGTTCTCCACCCTCTTCAGCGAGGTTATGTTATACTTTTTTTGTGTTTTTTTTTTTGAGATGGAGTTTTGCTCTTGTCTCCCGGGCTAGAATGCAATGGCACGATCTCAGCTCACTACAACCTCTGCCTCCCAGTTCAAGCGGTCCTGCCTCCCGAGTAGCTGGGATTACAGGCACGCACCACCATGCCTGGCTAATTTTTGTATTTTTTTTTTTTTTTTTTTTTTTTTTGGTAGAGATGAGGTTTTGCCATGTTGGCCAGGCTGGTCTCGAACTCCTGACCTCAGGTGATCTGTCCGCCTCGGCCTCCCAAAGTGCTGGGATTACAGGTGTGAACCAGTGCGCCTGGCCATGTTATACCTTTATAATATAGTTAAATTGATTTTCATAGTCTCCATTACATCCTAGGATTTCCTGGACATCTGAGATGATTATTTTTCTAAATTGACATTAAGTAAAGTTAATTCTTGGAGTACGCAAATCTTTGGGTTTCAACAGATGCAGAGTCTTGTGGATCCTTGTGCATCACTCACTGTCCTAAAAATAATCTTGTATGGAGTTGAGGAGTCTGCTCCTCCCAGTTCCCTCAACCTCTGGTGTCTACCTATCTGTTTTCTATCCCTATCATTTTGCCCTTTCCATAACATCAAAATGGAATCAAATGCTGTGCAGACTTTTGGCTTCCTTCACTTAGCAAAATGTATTTAAGTCTTATCTATATTGTCACATGAATCACTAGTTTATTCCTTTTTATTGCTGAGTAGTCATTATATGGCTATATAATATTCATTCACTTGTTGAAGAATATCTTGGTGGTTCTCAGTTTTGGGTGATGGTAAATAAAACTGCTATAAACATTTGCATGTAGGTTTTTATGTGACTATAGGTTTTCATTTCATGTAGGTAAATAAGAATGGAATTGCTGGGTCATATAATAATTGTTTGCTTCACTTTAAAATAAACTGCTAACCTGTTTTCCAAATTATCTGTACCATTGTGCATTCTGACCAGCAATGTATGAGAGATCCTGTTTAGCATTTGGGATCGTCAGTTTGTTTGATTTTAGCTATTCCAATAGGTATGTAATGGTGCTGCATTGGAGCTTGAATTTGAATTTGTCTAATGACTAATGAGGAGCATCTTTTCATATGCTTATTTGCCATCTGTATATCTTTGGTAATTTTTCCTTGGAGATCTTTTGCCTGTTTTAAAAAATTGGGTTTTTATTGTTGAGTTTTCCTTGTTGTTTTCTCTCTCTCTCTCTCTCTCTCTCTCTCTGTGTGTGTGTGTGTGTGCGTGTGTGTGTGTGTTTCCTATTGAACTCAGTAGGACTCACAGTACAGTGTTCAATAGGAGTGGAAAGAGAGGACATCCTTGCTTTGTTCTCAAACTTCACAGCAAAGCATTCAATCTCTTCCCATTAAGTATGATGTTAGCTGTAGGTTTATTTGGAGACGTCACTAATTAGGTGAGGGAAGTTCTCTACTATTCCTGGTTTGCTGAAAGGTTTTGTTTTGCTTTGTTTTAAATCATGAATGGATATTAAATTTTGTTAGATGGGCCAGGTGCAGTGGCTCACGCCTGTAATCCCAACACTTTGGAAGGTCCAGGCGGGTGGATTGCCTGAGGTCAGGAGTTCGAGACCAGCCTGCACAACACAGTGAAACCCCGTCTCTACTAAAATACAAAAAATTAACTGGGCGTGGTGGCGTGCACCTGTAATCCCAGCCACTCAGGAAGCTGAGGCAGGAGAATTGCTTGAACCCGGGAGGCGGAGGTTGAGGTGAGCCGAGATTGCACCACTGTACTCCAGCCTGGGCAACAGAGTGAGACTGTCTCCATCTCAAAAAAAAAAAAATTTGTTAGATGATTTTTCTGCAAATATAAAAATAATCTTGTATGGAGTTGAGGAGTCTGCTGATCATATGGTTTTTCTTTTTCTTTTTCTTTTCTTGTTTTTTTTTTTTTTTTTTTTTTTTGAGACGGATTCTCGCTCTGTTGCCCAGGCTGGAGTGCAGTGGCGCCATCTCAGCTCACTGCAAGCTCCGCCTGGGTTCATGCCATTCTCCTGCCTCAGCCTCCCAAGTAGCTGAGATTACAGGTGCCCGCCACCAAGCCCGGCTAATTTTTTGTATTTTTAGTAGAGACAGGGTTTCACCGTGTTAGCCAGGATGGTCTCGATCTCCTGACCTCGTGATCTGCCCGCCTCACCCTCCCAAAATGCTGGGATTACAGGCGTGAGCCACCATGCCCGGCTCATATGGTTTTTCTTATTTTGCTTCTTAATGTGTTGAATTGCATTGATTGATTTTTCAAATACTGAACTGTCCATGATGAGCCTCACTTGGTCATTATGTCCTTTCTATGTAGTGTTGGATTTGATTAGTAATTAGGGAAATAAAAATTAAAACCACAGTGAGATACTATTTAGTGCCTACTAAAATGGCAATAATGGAAAAGATGATAACTGTTGGCAAGGATCTGGAAAAATTGGATTCACAAAAAAATTGCTGATTGACATGTTAAAATGGGGTAGCCACTTTGGAAAATAGCTTGGCAGTCCCTCCAGATACTAAATAAAGAGTTACCATATGACCTAGCAATTCCAATCCTAGGTATGTACCCAAGGGAAATTGAAAACATGTCCACATAAAAACCTGTGCACAAATGTTCATAGCAGCATTATGCATAATAGCCCAAGGGTTAAAACAACCCAAATGTTCATCAGCCGATTAATGGATGAGCAAAAATGGAAGCTCCATACTGTGAAATATCATTTAGCAATACAAAGGAGTAAGGAACAGACACATGCTAGCATGGATGAACCAGGAAAACAAAAGTGAAAGAGAAAAGCTTGAAAACACATCAAAGTGAAAGAAGCCAGTCACAGAAGACCACGTAGTGTATGATCCCGTTTACATGAACTCTCTAGAATAGGTGAGTCCATAGACAGAAGTAGATTAGTGGCTGCCTACTGTGTGGCTTTTCTTTTGCTGTGTCTTTAGTGCGAAGGTTTATGTTAATCAAGGCACGAGTTAGGCTGGGCTTCACAATTTGTTGTTGCTATGAATACCTTCGGTGCACCCGGGGCTGCAAAGTCCTCCAGTAATATCTCTGTGGGTCCCTGCTTGGCTGTAGCCCATCCTTGTTTGCTGCTCCTCAAATAGTCTGCCTTTTGCAGCTCCCCACAGCTGTATTCCACTGTTTTTATTTGAGATGCATCCTCGCCATGTTGCCCAGGCTGGAGTGCTGTGGCACAATCTCAGCTCCACTGCAACCTCCACCTCCCGGGTTCAAGCGGTTCTCCTGTCTCGGTAGCTGGGACTACTCAGTATGTGCCACCAAGCCTGGCTAATTTTTTGTATTTTTAGTAGAGACAGGGTTTCATTGTGTTGGCCAGGCTGGTCTCGAACACCTGACCTCAGGTGATCTACCCACCTTGACCTCCCAAAGTGCTGGGATTACAGGCGTGAGCCACTGCGCCCTGCTGCTCCACTGTTATTTTTTACTTCACACTTGCTGGCCTTGTGGAACAGGGGAGGGGACCATTTCCTGATGTTCTGTTTAAGTCTCACTCAGGCCCTGGGAAGCTGAGCTTGAGGGTGCGGCCTTCACTGGCATTCCTGCCTCTTCCTAGATGTTCGGGCTGGGTTTAGCCCACAGCTCTGCTTTGCTTCAGGAATAAGGAGCTGTTTTATCTTTCCTATTCTCTTCCCTGGCTGCGGGAGGTTTCCGCCAGTGCCCTCAGGCTGTAGATTTTACTGACCTCCACCTGAAAGGCTTCTTTCCTGCCCTGTGGGAATGTGGTGGGTATGGAGTTTCAGCACCGGCTGTTTTCTTTCCCCAGCCAGCCCCACCCGCAAGGGTTTGCTTTTTCAAGGCTTCCTATGAGCACCTGGCGGGGTTCCCAGGAGTAAACTGCCCTGTGTTGTGGACCTTACAATGCCTACAGCTCACAGGGCTTCACATTTTCATACTAACCCATACACAGCTTTTAGAAATTCATTTGAAAATTGTCTTTAATCAGCTGGGTGTGGTGGCTCACGTCTGTAATCCCAGCACTTTGGGAAGCCGAGGTGGGTCCATCACGAGGTCAGGAGTTCGAGACCAACCTGACCAACATGGTGAAACCCCTTCTCTACTAAAAATACAACCGGGCGTGGTGGTGCATGCCTATAATCCCAGCCACTCAGGAGGCTGAGGCCGGAGAATCACTTGAACCTTGGAGGCTGAGGTTGCAGTGAGCCAGTGAGCTGAAATCACACCACTGCACTCCAGCCTGGGTGACAGAGTGAGACTCCGTCTCAAAAAAAAAAAAAATTGACCTTAATCTTCTTAACGAACTTTGTCCATGTCCCAGGTAAAGCAAGTGTGCTCGGGTCCCATTGCTCCCTGCAGTTGTCCATCTGTCTCCACTTTTCAGGGTCATTGTTTTCTTCATGACCTCAGGGCTCAAGAAAAGTCTTAACTTTTTGGCTTCTCAGCTTTTTTTTTTTTTTTGAGATGGAGTCGCCCAGGCTGGAGTGCAGTGGCACAATCTCAGCTCAGTGTAGTCTCTGCCTCCTGGGTTCAAGTAAATCTCCTGCCTCAGCCTCCTGAGTAGCTGGGATTACAGGCACCTGCCACCACGCCCGGCTAATTTTTGTATTTTTAGTAGAGATGGGATTTCGCCATATTGGCCAGACTTATCTCGAACTCCTGACCTCAAGTGATCGGCCCGCCTCAGCCTCCCAAAGTGCTGGGATTAAAGGCGTGAGCCACCATGCCCAGCCTCTCAGCTTTTTTCTTGTAGTCAGAGTAGGAGCAAAGTTCTTTCCAGTCTCTGCTCTCATTAGCTGAAACTGGAAGTCCTATTGTTTCTTTTGATGAACACAAATTCTTAACTTTGACGCTAAATGTATCAGTCTTTTTCTTTGGTTTGCGCTTTTCATGTTTTGTTGATGGACGATTGTACATGAAACAATTCCTTTTACAGACACATATTAGAGCAGAACAGATTGTGCTACAGAAAGTTCATGTAAGGCCAGAATGATTTGATCTTTGAATCCTGTTTTGGAGTTTCTTTATGAAAAAAGTACCTATTCAATTTATTTTTTTTCCCTTTTTTGTGGTTTTATACCTTTATTTGACATATTCGACAGTCAGCAGTTATTTCTCATCCACACTGACTGTCTATAGATTTTTGAAAGTGATAACAGGCACGTGGGTAACCAAAGTATAGAGCTTGTTTGGTGAATCTTCATCCTCATTCTGTTTCCTGGACAACCGCACAGGGATAGGTATGGGACATTCTTTATTCCTTTGGCCCAGACAGCTTTGATGAGCCTGGTATCAATGCGCACATCTGGAGTTCCCATCTCTTTCATGGCAAATTTCTGGATCTCTGTGAGTGCCTGAGGGGCATGCTGCTTGAAGCCCACTCCAGGAAGCTCTTGGGATTGTTGATGGTGCATTCTCGGGTCACCACCTCGTTGATGGTAGAACGGCCTTTCTTCTCACCACCCTCTTCGCAGGAGCCATTTTACCGCACCCAAGTTGGAAAGGCTCAATTTCTTTATGATTATAGGATAAATGATTATTTCCGTTTTCCTTGAGTCACTCTGGTAAGTTTTTTTCTTTCCCAAGAAATTTGTGGCAGGGCACAGTGTCTCATATCTGTAGTCCCAGCACTTTGGGAGACTGAGGCAGATGGATCCCTTGAGCCCAGGAGTTTGAGTCCAGCCTGGGCAACATGGTGAAACCCTATCTCTACAAAAAATACAAAAATTTTAGCTGAGCGTGGTGGTACATGCCTGTAGTCCCAGCTACCCAGGAGGCTGAAGTAGGAGGATTGCTTGACCCCAGGAGATTGTAATGAGCCAAGATCACACTGTTGCATTCCAGCCTGTGGGACGGAGTGAGACTCTGTCTCAAAAAAATAAAAAAAAGAAAGAAATTTGTCTGTCTCGTCTGCTTCAGATTTATAAATATTTGCCCATAAGGTATTATGCTTTAAATAACTATTACTATTTTTGTACCTCACATTGTTTACTTATGCCTTTGGATTTTTTTTTTTCCCCTTTTGATCAACCTCTCCAAAGACTTTTTGGCACTTTATTAGCCTGTTTAAAAAAAACAATTTTTGATTTTGATATGTGCTATTGTATTTTGGTTTCTATTTCTTTGGTTGTTCTTTCATTCCTCCATTTTTTTCTTTAGGTTGTTTTGTGGCTTTCTATTGTTAGATTGAAGGTGGTAGATAGAGGACCAGGCCTGGGCTGGTCTTAAAGGAGGACAATGGAAATTGGAGCGCGGCTCACACCCTCAGAATGCCTGTTCCTACCCCCACCCATACCTAAAGGTCTCTAAGAGAATTAGTTACCCGAGATCAGCTGAATGAGGAGTGAAAAAACCAAGCCTGGTTTTATATGATTTGGGATAATATGCTAGTACCAGCCCAAACTGGACAGTGACAGGAGAAAAGCTCTATATCCTGAAGGGTGGCGTAGAAAGAAAATTCTCCCAGTGGCCAGGACTTTAAAGAATACATTTCCTGGTCTTTTGTTTTTGAAGGAAAGGTCCACTGAGGCGAGGCTCTGAACAGATTCATCAGCAGGAGCTAATCATTTTTAAAACAATGCTAGGGAACTCAGAAGGAACAGCAATGGAGAATCAGTGTGACCTGGAAGGTTAGGCAGGCCTGTGGAGGGACCCACAGGGATAGGTCTGGAGTGTGAGGATATTTGCCTGCGTCTAGAGAAAGGCTCTGGGTAATCAGATGGGCAAGATGACCCCTTCAGCATATCAGTTTTCTTCTCCATCGCCTAATGATGGCGCTGTGGATCTGTGACCAAGTGGCGTGGTGGAGGGCGGCCCGTTCTGGACCTGCGTGTGCCCTCCAGGCTGCCACGTTTCTGTCAGCGGCGCCGTTTCTGGACTTCCAGGATGCTTTATTCACCATCACAATTACCCCACAGACCATAGGCTTTACCAAGGAGCTCACTCTATGGCAGGATAAGTGGCCTGTTAAATTTTATCAGACTTAGCCTGAACCCTACATGGGGCTAAATAATGAAGCAGGAAGGAATATGGCTAGAACCCAGGGGATTCCCCATGGTGCCAGTCATAAAAGTAAATGGAAAGACCTCTTACGGACAGCATCCTTAAACACTCTCATCCCCAATAAAAGCCAGTATCCAATACTAATGTTGCCAGTGGTGCAAACTGATGCTCGATGATGGTAGAAGTGATGACCTCACCAGACCCGTTCAGGAGAAGAGGTCTTGAGCACTGTTTCTGACTTACGCTTGATTCTTTAGCCACCTCAAGTATTTTATTAGCCAACGCATTATCTTTTTAATACATTACTTTCTCTTTAAAGCAGACAGAGTTAATTTCGAATGTTTGAAAGACTCCTGGTATTTTCACGAGGATATAGGAGAGCAGATCAGGAGAGCGAATGGCATTCCCCCCGCAAAAAGACATGTTCAGGTCCTAATCTCTGGTACCTGGTACCTGTGCAGGTGACCCTACTTAGAAATAGGGTCTTTGCAGATGTAATCAAGTTAAGATGAAGTCATACTGGATTAGGGAGGGCTCTAAATCCAATGACTGGTATCCTTATAAGAGGAGAGATATACGGCCGGCCCCGATGGCTCACACCTGTAATCCCAGCACTTCAGGAGGCTGAGCAGGGTGGATCGCCTGAGGTCAGGAGTTCGAGACCAGCCTGGCCAACATGGTGAAACCACATCTCCGTTAAAAATACAAAAATTAGCCTGGTGTAGTGGTGTGTACCTGTGGTCCCAGGTACTTGGGAGGCTGAGGCAGGAGAATTGCTTGAACCCACAAAGCGGAGGTTGCAGTGAGTGGAGATTGCGCCATTGTACTCCAGCCTGGGTGACAGAGACTCTGTGTCAAAAAAAAAAAAGAGTTACGCAAGGAGGAAGGTCTTGTGTTGATGGAGCCAGAGATCACAGTGACACAGCTACAAGCCAAGGAGTAGCCAGGATTGCTGGTAAGAGGCAGGAAAAGAGTCTTCCCTGGTGTCTTCGGAGGGAGCATGGCCCTGCCAATTTTGGACGTCTAGCCTCCAGAACCACGAGAGAATATATTTATGTTGTTTGTAGCCACCTAGTTTGTAGTCATTTGTTAACGCAGCCATGGAAAAGAAATGCACGATTCATTCAAGGAACGCTGAGTCTGTGAAAACATCGAGTTCTGGGACCTGGTTGACTGGCTGCGTTCTCTATCGTTGTGAGTCAACACAGTTCCCAGTTTGCGGGCCCTACACCTAGGAAGTCAGTGAGTTGCCCGTCCATTCTGATCCTAAAGAGCACACAAGCTGTTAGCTGCTGCTCGAAATAGCCTTGGTTAGACCATTGCGATCACTACGCTGGTCTTGCTGCCCACTGTGGAAACACACACACCTTTTTTCCTGGAAACGAAATTCTGTTATTTTCTCTACACTAAGGAACCTGGTGTCCGTCCCCACTGAAATCAGCAGCATTTCCTATTAACATACCTGACCAGTGAAGGTCAGCCACAAGAGTTCTCAGAACATATGAATAGTCCTCTTAACAATATCCCAAATGTAATCAAATCCAAGCCACTATCAATTATAGGATGCACTATTATTTTATGAACCACTAAGAAAAAAAGCCAAGCATGGTGGCTTGCACCTGTAATCCCAGCAATTTGGGAGGCTGAGGTAGAAGGATCACTTGAGCACAGGAGTTCGAGACCAGCCTGGGCAACATAGGGAGATCCTGTTTCTACAAAATTTCTCAGGTGTCGTAGTGCACACCTGTGCTCCCAGCTACTTGGGAAGCTGAGGCAGAAGGATCACTTGAGCCCAGGAAGTTGATGCTGCAGTGTATCATGCCACTGCACTACAACCTAGGTGATGGAGCAAGACCCTGTCTCAAAAAAAAAAAAAAAAAGAGAAAAAAAAGCACCACAGTCAAAGCGTGACCCACAATTATTTATAATACATTCTCATTTCAGAGACATGGAAAGATGTGAATCTCAGAAGTCATGAATTATGTTGCTTAAAGCCTTGTAAAGGGAGTGTCATTTGAGTTCTCATGACACACCAGAGCATGAGTGAGCAGGACATACATGATAAACACTCTGTTTCTCCAAGACTTTTTTTTTTCTTCTGAGACACAGTATCTCTCTGTCTCCCAGGTTGGAGTGCAGTGGTGCTATCTCCTGGGTTCAAGCAATTCTCCTGCCTCAGCCTCCTGAGTAGCCAGGATTACAGGCATGCGCCAACACGCCCGGCTAATTTTTGTATTTTTAGTAGAGACGGGGTTTCACCATGTTGGCCAGGCTGGTCTCAAACTCCCGACCTTGTGATCCGCCTGCCTCAGCCTCCCAAATTGCTGGGATTACAGGCGTGAGCCACCGTGCCCAGCCAAGACTTTCATTTCTTCCTATACATTGTTCCAGGGAATTTCTGACAACTCAGCTTTATTTAATGTAGGTTTCCATTGAGTCCAGGTTTCAGTCATCCAACTAAGAAAGCAATGAGAACTACCTGTAGCTGCTTGAGTCAGCATATTGGATCCAAAACCTATGCTATGCATACCCATACTGGGTAATTCAGCCTGATGTAAAATTATCATCATCCTCCTTTTGATACAGCACCCTTATGTTAAATATCCATAAATATTTGCAAGTTTTTTTGTAGATATTTTTAGTGTGTGAGCCTTCTCCTAGGTCAGAGTCTGTGTTTTTCCTCCTGGGACATATTGGAATCTGACTGTTGTTATAGGTATGAAGAAAATAAAGAGCAGTGGGGATCATGATGAGATTTGGCTTTCGGTGCCAATGAGCTGAAGTGAGGTTATTGAGGATCTTACAGGAGAGCAGTGGTAGAGCTTCCTGGCAAGTGAATTCCATTGAAGATGGAGATTTATGGGTAGTCTGATTCATCTACACCCTCTCATGTCACCATTTAATTCTCTAAGTTGGCCAGGCGCGGTGGCTCACGTCTGTAATCCCTGCACTTTGGGAGGCCAAGGTGGGCGGAATATCTGAGGTCAGTAGTTCGAGACCAGCCTGGCTAACATGGTGAAACCCCATTTCTACTAAAAATACAAAAAATTAGTTGGGCATGGTGGCGTGCACTTGTAATCTCAGCTACTTGGGAGGCTGAGGCAGGAGAATTGCTTGAACCTGGGAGGCTGAGGTTGCAGTGAGCCGAGATCGCACCATTGCACTCCAGCTTGGGCGACAGGAGCGAAACTCTGTCTCAAAAAAAAAATTCTCTAGGTCCTATTTTCACATAAGAGACCTGGTGAGCTTATGAATTAAGTTAACACCCTAATTCGGCAACTCACGGAATTAAGCTTTTAAAGTCTTTTAAAGGGCCCTCTCAGCCCTTCAGCTGCAAACAAAGAGACTCCTTGAATGTGTTCTTGGAAAGTCTCTGGTTTTCAGTCTGTGCTTTTATAGGAGGTTTAGGAATTTGAATTTGTTGTTCTCTTTCTTGAAACCAGTAGTTTTTACTGGCAGTGATTTTGTCGCCGTCAGGAGACATTTGGCAATATCTGGAGACATTTTTCATGGTTACAACTGGAAAGGGGCGTGCATGTGTATTACTTGCATCTAATAGACAGAGGCCAGGAATGCTGCTCAGCATTCTGCGTATAATGCATAGGACAACTGCCTATAACAAGAAATATCCAGTTCAAAATGCCAATAGTTTCAGAGTTGACAAATCCTGTTTTAAGCTGTTCACCACTGTAAGAAGCAACCATCCAGGGCTGGGTGCCATGGCTCACACCTGTAATCCCAGCACTTTGGGAGGCCGAGGCTGGAGGATCACTTGAGCCTAGAAGTTTGAGACTAGCCTGGCCATTATAGTGAGATCTCATCTCTACAAATTAGAAAAAAAAATTAGCTGGGTGTGGTGGTGCGTGCTTGTGGTCTCAGCTACTCGGAGGCTGAGGTGGGAGGACTGATTGAGCCTAGGAGGTCAAGGCTGTAGTGAGTCCTGATTGTGCCACTGTACTCCAGCTTGGGCAACAGAGCAAGATCCTGTCTCACAAACAAAACAAAACAAAAAACAATCATCCCACCAATTTCTTAATTCCCTAAATATGCTGATATAGTCCCTTAGCAATCTAGTATCTTGCCAGATGACACTATGATGCCATCAATAGTAAGAAGCACTGTTACTTTATGAACTACTAAGAAGAAAAAATGCCTGTCAAACCCTCACATTGCACTGTTCCCCCCGCCACCCCACTTTTTTTTGGAGACTGTGTCTCACTCTGTCACCCAGGCCGGAGTGCAGTGGCACAATCTTGGCTCACTACACCTCCGCCTCCCAGGTTCAAGCTATTCTCCTGCCTCAGCCTCCTGAGTAGCTAGGATTACAGGTGCCCGCCACCACGCCTGGCTAATTTTTGTATTTTTAGTAGAGATGAAGTTTCACAATGTTGGCCAGGCTGGTCTCAGGTGACCTCAGGTGATCCACCTGCCTTGGCCTCCCAAAGTGCTGGGATTACAGGCATGAGCCACCGCACCCAGCCTGTATTGCTTTTTAAAACACATTTGGTGAGTGTGCCTTTCATACTCTGGCAGCAGCCACTGGGCCACACCAAAGCCACTTCCTGGGCACTTCACTCTAGATTAGAGGTGATAATGTGACTGCTTATCCTTGAGATATCATGGGACACTTGCAAGTATTCCTTAATACTTGCAGAATTTTGACTGCCCTTTGTCCCCAGTAAGGCCTGACAACCAATCCTTGAAGTCTTGCTGCTGGCGGCTACTCCTGATAAACATTTCTGCTTTTCAGTAGCAAAATGTGTGTGTAAAAGATATGGGGATACTGTCCAGTGTATGGAGTAGCTGGGATTGCTGGAGGCCACATGCAGGGCTACTTTGAACCTCACTCAAGCCAGGCTGTAGATTCAGGGAGGCCAGCGCTGCTTACCCATGCCAAGCACTAGGTGGCGCTGCGGCCCAGGATGAGTGCTTGGCCTCACCTCCATGCATGATGTCACCACTCCTGCCTGCAGAGCCCGTCACGGCTGGAATGAGACTGCACGTTCATGGTGGCACTGCCACCTGCTTATGCTCATCCCAGGGGAGGCTGGCAAGGCAAAGAGCTGGCATTTTCATAGGAGCATCAACATAGGAGGCAGATTCTGCTGCCATCAAGTCTCACGGGGTGCGGAACTCCCAAATATAGAGAAATGGTATGGGTGCTGGCTGGCACAGAGTACGGGATGCAGCCATCAGCCCCCTTCCCACCACTCCCTTCTGCTCCAGACAGAAAACTAGGAATCACCTTAGATTCTCTTCTTCCCTCACTTAGGACATCAACAAGCAGTTGATCTCCAAAACAGTCTTGACTCTCTCCACCTTTTGTCTCCAGTGTCAATAGCTTCCTGTGGCCAACGCTGTTCATTCCATCTGGATTACTGTGATTGCCTCCTAACTTCTCTTTCCTCTTCCACACACTCTTCTTTCCAGTCTGCATTCCCCAAAGCAGCAGGAACAGGTTTCTCTGTAAGTCATCCTATAAAACTTCTGTGCTTTAATGCCTTCAGTGGCTTCTTTTTTGCACCAAGAATAAAATCTGGAATCTGCATGTTGGCCTCTGAGGAGTATGATCTTATGTCTCCTTCTTCTGCGTAGGATGTGATTTTTTTTTTTTTTTTTTTTGAGACGGAGTCTTGCTCAGTCGCCCAGGCTGAAGTGCAGTGGTGCCATCTTGGCTCACTGCAACCTCTGCCTCCCGGGTTCAAGCCGTTCTCCTGCCTCAGCCTCCCAAGTAGCTGGGATCACCACGCCCAGTTACTTTACTACCATCACCACGCCCAGCTTATTTATTTTTTATTTTTAGTAGAGATGGGGTTTCTCTATATTGGCCAGACTGGTCTGTAACTCCTGACCTCAAGTGATCTGCCTGCCTCAGCCTCCCAAAGTGCTGGGATTAAAGGCATGAGCCACCACACCCGGCTGAATGTGATTTTTAAGAGGGCCTTTTATTCTCAAAAATGTCTGGTTTGGACGCTCAGTTGCTATCACTGTCATAAGACCCTGCATTTTCTCAGCCCTGAACCTGACCCCTCCTTACCAAACTCCATTCCTGCTTGTCTTCTGTCAGCAGCTTTCCCTACTCGGGGGCTTTGCAGATTCTGTTCCTTCTGCTGGGGACACTTCTCCTCCCATTCTTCACACAGCATTCTCCTTGCTATCCTTCAGGGCTTAGCTTAACCATCATCGCAGAGATGCCTTTCTTTCCCTCATTCGACATGGTCCCTCCCCGCTCGTCTCTGCATCATTTCCTTCCTCACTTCCTCCGTGTAGTAAGCAGATTTGACGGCTGCTCTGTCCAGGTGGTTAGTCTCTGCCTCCCCACCAGAGTGTTAGCTTCTTGAGGGTACGACTCTCTGTGTCGTGTTCACCATTGTGTCTCCATTGCCTGACACAGATCCTATTTCCTCAAGAAATGACAGGTGAAGCCACCATGCTGCATGCAGTCCGGGCACTCGGCCTTTCTTTCTTGGCACAGCTCACCTAGTACTGAAATAGTAATTTGTGTAATTTCAGTTTATCATCAGTTTCTCCTAGATATAACTTCCATGAGAACAGGGCCCATGTCTTTTTTGCTTAAGCTCAGAACAGGGCCAGGGCAGTTCAGGAAGCATTAGTCTGTGGAATTTTCTGTGGGCCACGTGCCTGGGAGCTGGGGAGGAGGAGACAGAGGTGTTCCTGGCAGCTGGTTCTGGGGTAGCATATTGAGAAACTTAAAGGGGATGTGTGTGGGGCTGGACGGGGAGGGCAGGGCATGCATGACAGCCTCCACGTGTGGTGGGCCTCATTGGCCTGGGCTCGCCTTCAGCAGAATTTTGCTTTTCTGACCCTGCTGCACTCCAAGCTGCCCTCTTAGAGGTTTCATGCCAGGCGTGGTGGCTCACGCCTGTAATCCCAGCTCTGAGGGAGGCAGAGGCGGGAGGATAGCTTGAGCCCAGGAGTTCAAGACCTGCCTGGGCAATATAGCAAGACCCCATTCTCCACAAAAAGGAAGAAGAAAAAAAAAAGACAGAAAAAAGAGGTTTCTTGAACCTCCGAAAATTCTGGATTCACCAAAGACCCAGGCCTTTAGCAAGGCAGACAGCAGGGCTGCGAGCAAGGCCTCTGAATCCTGGGGAAGAGCTGGAGAAGCGTGGTGAGGAAGCCTCCCAGCCCTAACTCCATTCTCTGTTATCTTTACAAACAGCAACCCAGACTACTACGGACTCATCTAACAAAACAGCACCGACTCCAGCATCCAGTGTCACCATCATGGCTACAGATACAGCCCAGCAGAGCACAGTCCCCACTTCCAAGGCCAACGAAATCTTGGCCTCGGTCAAGGCGACCACCCTTGGTGTATCCAGTGACTCACCGGGGACTACAACCCTGGCTCAGCAAGTCTCAGGCCCAGTCAACACTACCGTGGCTAGAGGAGGCGGCTCAGGCAACCCTACTACCACCATCGAGAGCCCCAAGAGCACAAAAAGTGCAGACACCACTACAGTTGCAACCTCCACAGCCACAGCTAAACCTAACACCACAAGCAGCCAGAATGGAGCAGAAGATACAACAAACTCTGGGGGGAAAAGCAGCCACAGTGTGACCACAGACCTCACATCCACTAAGGCAGAACATCTGACGACCCCTCACCCTACAAGTCCACTTAGCCCCCGACAACCCACTTCGACGCATCCTGTGGCCACCCCAACAAGCTCGGGACATGACCATCTTATGAAAATTTCAAGCAGTTCAAGCACTGTGGCTATCCCTGGCTACACCTTCACAAGCCCGGGGATGACCACCACCCTACGTAAGTAATGCCTGGTTTTCTTCAAGCACCAAGAAACTTTTCAGGGCCAGGCGTGATGGCTCTGAAAAGGCTCATGCCTTGTAATCCCAGCACTTTGGGAGGCCGAGACAGGTGGATCACCTGAGGTCAGGAGTTCGAGACCAGCCTGGCCAACATGGCGAAACCCTGTCTCTACTAAAAATACAAACATTAGCTGGGTATGGTGGCAGGCGCCTGTAATCCCAGCTACTCAGGAGGCTGAGGCAGGAGAATTGCTTGAACCTGAGAGGGGAATAGTTTCTATTTCATACCTATTTATTTATTTATTTATTTATTTTTGAGATGGAGTCTCGCTCTGTCACCCAGGCTGGAGTGCGGTGGCATGATCTCTGCTCACTGCAACCTCCACCTCCGGGTTCAAGCAATTCTCCTGCCTCAGCCTCCCGAGTAGCTGGGACTACAGGTGTGCACCAGCACACCAGCTAATTTTTTTTTTTTTTTTTTTTTTTTTTTCAAGTAGAGACAGTGTTTCACCATGTCAGCCAGGCTGGTCTTGAACTCCTGACCTCGGGTGATCTGCCCACCTTGGCCTCCCAAAGTGCTGGGATTACAGGTATGAGCCACCATGCCCGGCCGATACCTGTTTACTTACTTACTTACTTATTATTTATAAGAGCTTGTCTTAACCTAGTAAATCAATTTCAAAATCTACCTATGGATCAAGAGCCTTAGGATCATGGCCCATCTCAGACCTGTGGACCCAGAGTTTCTGAGCGCTCCTGGTGATGTTGCTGCATATCAGAGGCATATGGTCTGAAGTCAGCAGGCCACCGCTCCACAGGAGGGTGCCACACAGTAGGAGTGCGGGCTCCGGCTGAGATAATCCTGGCTTCGAATCCCTGCCCTGCCATTGTTGGCACAGGAACTCGGGCAAATCACTGAGCCCCTCGGAGCCTCAGTTTCCTTGTTTATGAAATAGGGATGATGCCGATTCCTTCCCCAGAGGATTGTGAGGATTCAGTAGGAAAGTACCTTTGAGGCACCCAGTCCCTTGCACAAAGTTAAGTGCTCAGTGAACGTTTGCTGCGGCTGCTGTGACTTTGCCGGGTTATTCCACTGGCTTGTCATAGGAGTCCACTTCTTCCGTCTCTGTGGGAGGTAAGACCAAAGAACCTGGGAAAACTATTAGAGCAAGAAAAGATTGTCCTCTTCTCGCAAGGGTGCACTCATCTTTTCTCATTACCCTCGTTTTCCCAATGACAGCGTCATCGGTTATCTCGCAAAGAACTCAACAGACCTCCAGTCAGATGCCAGCCAGCTCTACGGCCCCTTCCTCCCAGGAGACAGTGCAGCCCACGAGCCCGGCAACGGCATTGAGAACACCTACCCTGCCAGAGACCATGAGCTCCAGCCCCACAGCAGCATCAACTACCCACCGATACCCCAAAACACCTTCTCCCACTGTGGCTCATGAGAGTAACTGGGTAACTCCAGCAGGGGTGGGGCAAGTAGGAGAACCCAGACTCGGGTAGAAGAGGCTTTAAGACAAGGTTTTCTGTTCTTTCCTCCAACGCAGGGCCCCTGGCTGGGGCTTTGAGCAGCACTTACCCATTCCCTCCTCCCTCTCCCTGGTTAGCCTGGTCCTGGCTTGAGCTGCCCTCAAGCCACGCAGCCAGGACATACCTGGCTCTGGAATGGGTCCAGCCATGCCTCCAGCTTGCCGTGAACTCTTTCCTATCTGGGTCACCCCTTAGTTGGGGGGAAATGTCAAAGATTCCATGACTATTAGCCCAAACCTTAATCTCAGTGGCTTCTTCCAGGCAAAGTGTGAGGATCTTGAGACACAGACACAGAGTGAGAAGCAGCTCGTCCTGAACCTCACAGGAAACACCCTCTGTGTGAGTAGCTTGCTGATCTGAGCCGCCAGGTGCAGGCTCACAGCAGGGCTGAGGGAGGGAGAGGGAATGTATGTTCTTTCTAGGTGCATTTTTAAACATCTTTCTAAGGTGCATTTGCTTTCCGGCCCTCATTTCTTCCTAGTAGGAAGTGGTCCTTTCCCATCTTACAGAGCAACAGACCAAGGTTTAAGACTTCTCTAAGTCAGGACACACCCACAGGACTGGACCCCCCCCTCCCACCCCCCGGTTTCCTCGGCTTTCACTGTGTGACTATTTCCAGTATGCTGAGTTGAGGGACCCTGATCCTAGTTCCTGTTTGCCCCTAGCTCTGGGAGTGACTTTGGTGAGTTGATCTCTTTGGGTTTCAGATGTCTCAATTGAAAATGAGAGGTGAGGCCAGGTGTGGTGGCTTACACCTGTAATCCCAACACTTTGAGAAGCTGAGGCAGGAAGTTTGCTTGAGGCCAGAAGTTCAAGACCAGCCTGGGAAACATAGGAAGACCCTGTTTTTACAGAAAGAAAAGAAAAGCAAGAGAAAATGAGAGGTGTAGTCTGTCTGCTTTAATCGTCTGTGGCTTCACATTTCCTGGTCTGTGGACTATCTGAGAGCCTTGATGGACGAACAGTGCTGGGAGATTCTCCCTCTAACCTGAGGAGCTGATGGGATGGGTGGGAGAGAAAAGGGCCCAGGAATGCAGGAGCCACTGCCAGCATTTCTCCAGTCTGGGTGGTGAGCGTGCGTGTGAGCACACCTGTGTGAGGGAGGTAGCAGTGTGTGAGCAGCCTTCAGGCCACCGGTCTCCATGGGTCCAAAGGCTTTGGTCTGGGGAGTGTGCGCTGTGCACACTCAGTAAATAACTGCCGAGCGCGGCGGGTGCTGGAGATGGCTGGCTCACTGCTGCCCTCTCCCGGTCAGTGCCGGTTTTTTGCAGCCACCCCCTAGGAACTAGAACTAGAACAGACCTGAACACGGTGTCTATAGATAGGATGGAGAATTTGGGCTTACAACACTTTAATGCTGCCTGAATTTTCTGCAGTTGTTTTCTTTTGGGTGTCCATTATGCCGGCATTTTCCAAGTGAACTTTACAAAAGCCTACATCTAGACCAGAGTTTTAAAAGGGAGCAGTGCTCTCCTAGGGCTGGGCTTATTGGACAAGGCAGGCATTGCATGATATGGGCTCTGGGGACAGTCAGGTGCCCGCCCAGCCCTTCCTCAGACCCTCTTTTTGGATGTAGCTTGGTAGGCTGTGTGATTGTTGTGAGACACTTTTTTTTTTTTTCCCTTTGCTAGAAAAGGAAGATGGAAAACCCTGGATCCCTTCCTGATGTCAGGGTGGGGAATTACTAAGCCTAAGGAAATTCTGGTAGAAACCTTAGGGGTGGTTTGTATGGGTTCTGTGCTAAGCTATCCCTAGAGTCCTTTTCTTTGTCTTAGTCATTTATTCCAGAATCAGGTCAGAGAAGCCCCAGGGAGGGGTGCCCCTAGATGGCATGGCAGGACTGGATACATGCTGCCCACACTTCTCCCCTCATCCTCAGCTCTAAAGCCACGTCAGCCACAATCTTTGTTCTTAGAGCTAAATAAGACCCCCTCCAAGATATCCTAGGGGTAGCTTCAAGATCCCACCTGTTCCCCTACTCAGTGGAGCCCCTTCCCTGTCAGCCTGTCCGTGGCTTCAGAGCCAGAGGCTCTGCCTAGGGCAAGGGCACATGTATTTCAGCTTTGGGGGTAGAGACCCTTCTGCTGAGAGCTGCAGCCTCCCCACCTGATTTCTCCGAACTGGGCATGAAAGGCTGGTGAATGGGAGTTTAGGGGGAATTGGAGTCTCCCTGCGGGCTGTGGGGTAGGGTTGCTGTGCAGTGCCCCCTCTCTAGCCCGTTCTAGGGAGGGAGATGAAAACAACCCCCAATCCGCAAACAGCTTGGAGGGAAAAAAGAGGCACTAGGGTGAAAGGAATGAAAGGTGCAAGCGTAGACCAGATAAACACAGTGCGGAGAACGGGCTGATGGGAACGAGACAGAGGAGGCAGGAACTGGCCCAGGAGAACAGCATGCAACCCTTGATTCCTGGCAGGCCTGCGTGGAGCACCAGCTGGGGCTAGAGAGGGAGGCAGGTTCTAGCACAGCAACAGCACTGTCCCGACCTTAGCTGGGAGGGCAGCCCCACAGGCCTAGGCTGCTGTCACGCTCCCCGCGGAGTCACCTGCGCTCTCCCCACCATAGGCAGGGGGCGCTTCGGATGAGAAATTGATCTCACTGATATGCCGAGCAGTCAAAGCCACCTTCAACCCGGCCCAAGATAAGTGCGGCATACGGCTGGCATCTGTTCCAGGAAGTCAGACCGTGGTCGTCAAAGAAATCACTATTCACAGTGAGTGGAGGGCAAGGGGGCCTGGGCTGGGGCCTGCATGGGTGGGAATGGGGGGCATGCAGAAGCCACATTGGAGGGTGGGTCACAGTGGTGCCCCTTCAGTTCCCTAAGAACTGTCAAGCCACACCCCCTCCCAGGTCACCCGAGAGACACTCAGGAGACTGAGATACGGTGCGTCCCTCTCTTGGGGCGCAGTCCCCGTCCCCCACTGCCTCGCTCTGGGCTGGGCCATTGGGCATCGTCTCCCTCTCCCACAGCTAAGCTCCCTGCCAAGGATGTGTACGAGCGGCTGAAGGACAAATGGGATGAACTAAAGGAGGTAAGCGGCCCCCCAAGTGTGGGGACAGAGTGGCTCCGAAGCCCCTTGTGGGAGGTCTGGTTACTCCCCTCTCTCTGTGGGGAGGAACCCCGTCATGTGCCTGCATGTAGAAGAGGGCGGCGGCACGGACCCTAGCAGACTGCAAGCGGAGGGGCTCTACAGTGAAGCCGGGGGCTGAGGGAGAGAGGATGCCCCCAGCCTGTTCTCTGCCACTTCCCATGCAGGCAGGGGTCAGTGACATGAAGCTAGGGGACCAGGGGCCACCGGAGGAGGCCGAGGACCGCTTCAGCATGCCCCTCATCATCACCATCGTCTGCATGGCATCATTCCTGCTCCTCGTGGCGGCCCTCTATGGCTGCTGCCACCAGCGCCTCTCCCAGAGGAAGGACCAGGTAAGCAGCTGTTTGCAGCCACACAGGGGAAGCAGCCCAGGTCACCAGAGGAACCCTCCCCTCGTGATTCCCGAGTTGCAGAAGAGGAAAGGGAGCAGGCCCTGGACCCTTTCTAACAGGCAGAGGCCACCCCTGATAGGCAGCCGCCTCAGTCCACAGAGCATTACAGAGGCAGCGTGGCAGAGGACAGAGCGTGGGCTTTGGAGTCGGGAAGACTTATTTATTTTTTATTTTATTATTATTATTTTTTTCAGACAGGGTCTTGCTCTGTCACCCAGGCTGGTGTCACCCACTGCAACCTCAAGTGATTCTTGTGCCTCAGCCTCCCCAGTAGCTGGGATTACAGGTGCCCACCACCACGCCCGCCTAATTTTTGTATTTTTACTAGAGATGGGGTTTCGCCATGTTGGCCAGGCTAGTCTCGAACTCCTGACCTCAAGCAATCCGCCTGCCTCAGCCTCCCAAAGTGCTGGGATTACAGGTGTGAGTCACCACGCCTGGACTGGAGTCAGGGAGACTTGGTTAGTCCTGGCCCTGACCTTGAGGAAGTCAGTCAGATGAGCTCTTTGGGCATCAGGTTCCTCATCTGCACAGCAGGGATAACCTCCTTGCAGAGCTGGTCTGAGGATTCATTGATAGAAGCAGGCCTAGGTGTTCTGTCTAACCAAAAATTCTTCTGCCTACCTTACTAGAATTCTCGCCATGATGGTGCCACCCAGACCCTGTGGTTCTCACTCCTGCCTGCACACCGTGGGGAACTTTAGAAAAATTCCCTTGCCTGACTGCCTCCCACACCAATTCAAACAATCTCTGAGTCCATCAGTGTAGTTGTTAAAAGCTCCCCAGGTGATTCTAGCATACACTCAAGGTTGTGTTTGAGAGGGACAGAAAGCGCCTCTGCCAGATGGCTGCTGTCTGCCGCAGGGATGATTCTAGAGACACCGTACCCATCCTGCCCAGGCTTGAGGGCTCAGTCACCCAGCCCGAGAGAGGTCATTTTTTAATAGTGTTTTTCCCATTCATTATGATAGGTGAGGTAGGTGCCTGGAGAGGAGGTTTTGGGGGAAGGGATGAAGGGGAGGAGAGAGCTTAGAGGACTCTGGAGAACAAAGTCCATCTCCACTAACTTCACAGGTTCTGCCACCAGGGTGAGGGTGAGGGGCAAGTCTTTGTTCCCAACTAGTTCCGGGCAGGCTGAGAGCCAGAATGACCACCAGGAGCAGCCAGCCCCACAGGCGAGCAATGAGGGCCTGCTTTAGCTACAGTGGGGCTCCTGAGTGGGAGGGGTACGTACATGCGCTGTATTAAGCTCAGAGCCCTCTGAAACCCCCTTCTCACCGGTCACCTTCCCCACTCTAGCAGCGGCTAACAGAGGAGCTGCAGACAGTGGAGAATGGTTACCATGACAACCCAACACTGGAAGTGATGGAGACCTCTTCTGAGATGCAGGAGAAGAAGGTGGTCAGCCTCAACGGGGAGCTGGGGGACAGCTGGATCGTCCCTCTGGACAACCTGACCAAGGACGACCTGGATGAGGAGGAAGACACACACCTCTAGTCCGGTCTGCCGGTGGCCTCCAGCAGCACCACAGAGCTCCAGACCAACCACCCCAAGTGCCGTTTGGATGGGGAAGGGAAAGACTGGGGAGGGAGAGTGAACTCCGAGGGGTGTCCCCTCCCAATCCCCCCAGGGCCTTAATTTTTCCCTTTTCAACCTGAACAAATCACATTCTGTCCAGATTCCTCTTGTAAAATAACCCACTAGTGCCTGAGCTCAGTGCTGCTGGATGATGAGGGAGATCAAGAAAAAGCCACGTAAGGGACTTTATAGATGAACTAGTGGAATCCCTTCATTCTGCAGTGAGATTGCCGAGACCTGAAGAGGGTAAGTGACTTGCCCAAGGTCAGAGCCACTTGGTGACAGAGCCAGGATGAGAACAAAGATTCCATTTGCACCATGCCACACTGCTGTGTTCACATGTGCCTTCCGTCCAGAGCAGTCCCGGGCAGGGGTGAAACTCCAGCAGGTGGCTGGGCTGGAAAGGAGGGCAGGGCTACATCCTGGCTCGGTGGGATCTGACGACCTGAAAGTCCAGCTCCCAAGTTTTCCTTCTCCTACCCCAGCCTCGTGTACCCATCTTCCCACCCTCTATGTTCTTACCCCTCCCTACACTCAGTGTTTGTTCCCACTTACTCTGTCCTGGGGCCTCTGGGATTAGCACAGGTTATTCATAACCTTGAACCCCTTGTTCTGGATTCGGATTTTCTCACATTTGCTTCGTGAGATGGGGGCTTAACCCACACAGGTCTCCGTGCGTGAACCAGGTCTGCTTAGGGGACCTGCGTGCAGGTGAGGAGAGAAGGGGACACTCGAGTCCAGGCTGGTATCTCAGGGCAGCTGATGAGGGGTCAGCAGGAACACTGGCCCATTGCCCCTGGCACTCCTTGCAGAGGCCACCCACGATCTTCTTTGGGCTTCCATTTCCACCAGGGACTAAAATCTGCTGTAGCTAGTGAGAGCAGCGTGTTCCTTTTGTTGTTCACTGCTCAGCTGATGGGAGTGATTCCCTGAGACCCAGTATGAAAGAGCAGTGGCTGCAGGAGAGGCCTTCCCGGGGCCCCCCATCAGCGATGTGTCTTCAGAGACAATCCATTAAAGCAGCCAGGAAGGACAGGCTTTCCCCTGTATATCATAGGAAACTCAGGGACATTTCAAGTTGCTGAGAGTTTTGTTATAGTTGTTTTCTAACCCAGCCCTCCACTGCCAAAGGCCAAAAGCTCAGACAGTTGGCAGACGTCCAGTTAGCTCATCTCACTCACTCTGATTCTCCTGTGCCACAGGAAAAGAGGGCCTGGAAAGCGCAGTGCATGCTGGGTGCATGAAGGGCAGCCTGGGGGACAGACTGTTGTGGGAACGTCCCACTGTCCTGGCCTGGAGCTAGGCCTTGCTGTTCCTCTTCTCTGTGAGCCTAGTGGGGCTGCTGCGGTTCTCTTGCAGTTTCTGGTGGCATCTCAGGGGAACACAAAGCTATGTCTATTCCCCAATATAGGACTTTTATGGGCTCGGCAGTTAGCTGCCATGTAGAAGGCTCCTAAGCAGTGGGCATGGTGAGGTTTCATCTGATTGAGAAGGGGGAATCCTGTGTGGAATGTTGAACTTTCGCCATGGTCTCCATCGTTCTGGGCGTAAATTCCCTGGGATCAAGTAGGAAAATGGGCAGAACTGCTTAGGGGAATGAAATTGCCATTTTTCGGGTGAAACGCCACACCTCCAGGGTCTTAAGAGTCAGGCTCCGGCTGTAGTAGCTCTGATGAAATAGGCTATCCACTCGGGATGGCTTACTTTTTAAAAGGGTAGGGGGAGGGGCTGGGGAAGATCTGTCCTGCACCATCTGCCTAATTCCTTCCTCACAGTCTGTAGCCATCTGATATCCTAGGGGAAAAGGAAGGCCAGGGGTTCACATAGGGCCCCAGCGAGTTTCCCAGGAGTTAGAGGGATGCGAGGCTAACAAGTTCCAAAAACATCTGCCCCGATGCTCTAGTGTTTGGAGGTGGGCAGGATGGAGAACAGTGCCTGTTTGGGGGAAAACAGGAAATCTTGTTAGGCTTGAGTGAGGTGTTTGCTTCCTTCTTGCCCAGCGCTGGGTTCTCTCCACCCAGTAGGTTTTCTGTTGTGGTCCCGTGGGAGAGGCCAGACTGGATTATTCCTCCTTTGCTGATCCTGGGTCACACTTCACCAGCCAGGGCTTTTGACGGAGACAGCAAATAGGCCTCTGCAAATCAATCAAAGGCTGCAACCCTATGGCCTCTTGGAGACAGATGATGACTGGCAAGGACTAGAGAGCAGGAGTGCCTGGCCAGGTCGGTCCTGACTCTCCTGACTCTCCATCGCTCTGTCCAAGGAGAACCCGGAGAGGCTCTGGGCTGATTCAGAGGTTACTGCTTTATATTCGTCCAAACTGTGTTAGTCTAGGCTTAGGACAGCTTCAGAATCTGACACCTTGCCTTGCTCTTGCCACCAGGACACCTATGTCAACAGGCCAAACAGCCATGCATCTATAAAGGTCATCATCTTCTGCCACCTTTACTGGGTTCTAAATGCTCTCTGATAATTCAGAGAGCATTGGGTCTGGGAAGAGGTAAGAGGAACACTAGAAGCTCAGCATGACTTAAACAGGTTGTAGCAAAGACAGTTTATCATCAGCTCTTTCAGTGGTAAACTGTGGTTTCCCCAAGCTGCACAGGAGGCCAGAAACCACAAGTATGATGACTAGGAAGCCTACTGTCATGAGAGTGGGGAGACAGGCAGCAAAGCTTATGAAGGAGGTACAGAATATTCTTTGCGTTGTAAGACAGAATACGGGTTTAATCTAGTCTAGGCACCAGATTTTTTTCCCGCTTGATAAGGAAAGCTAGCAGAAAGTTTATTTAAACCACTTCTTGAGCTTTATCTTTTTTGACAATATACTGGAGAAACTTTGAAGAACAAGTTCAAACTGATACATATACACATATTTTTTTGATAATGTAAATACAGTGACCATGTTAACCTACCCTGCACTGCTTTAAGTGAACATACTTTGAAAAAGCATTATGTTAGCTGAGTGATGGCCAAGTTTTTTCTCTGGACAGGAATGTAAATGTCTTACTGGAAATGACAAGTTTTTGCTTGATTTTTTTTTTTAAACAAAAAATGAAATATAACAAGACAAACTTATGATAAAGTATTTGTCTTGTAGATCAGGTGTTTTGTTTTGTTTTTTTAATTTTAAAATGCAACCCTGCCCCCTCCCCAGCAAAGTCACAGCTCCATTTCAGTAAAGGTTGGAGTCAATATGCTCTGGTTGGCAGGCAACCCTGTAGTCATGGAGAAAGGTATTTCAAGATCTAGTCCAATCTTTTTCTAGAGAAAAAGATAATCTGAAGCTCACAAAGATGAAGTGACTTCCTCAAAATCACATGGTTCAGGACAGAAACAAGATTAAAACCTGGATCCACAGACTGTGCGCCTCAGAAGGAATAATCGGTAAATTAAGAATTGCTACTCGAAGGTGCCAGAATGACACAAAGGACAGAATTCCTTTCCCAGTTGTTACCCTAGCAAGGCTAGGGAGGGCATGAACACAAACATAAGAACTGGTCTTCTACACTTTCTCTGAATCATTTAGGTTTAAGATGTAAGTGAACAATTCTTTCTTTCTGCCAAGAAACAAAGTTTTGGATGAGCTTTTATATATGGAACTTACTCCAACAGGACTGAGGGACCAAGGAAACATGATGGGGGAGGCAGAGAGGGCAAGAGTAAAACTGTAGCATAGCTTTTGTCACGGTCACTAGCTGATCCCTCAGGTCTGCTGCAAACACAGCATGGAGGACACAGATGACTCTTTGGTGTTGGTCTTTTTGTCTGCAGTGAATGTTCAACAGTTTGCCCAGGAACTGGGGGATCATATATGTCTTAGTGGACAGGGGTCTGAAGTACACTGGAATTTACTGAGAAACTTGTTTGTAAAAACTATAGTTAATAATTATTGCATTTTCTTACAAAAATATATTTTGGAAAATTGTATACTGTCAATTAAAGTGTTTTTGTGTAAACTGGTTCAAGCTCTAGTAGTTTCCTCGGACTTCTTAAAGCCTTCACTTGTGTATGAGGCTCATCGCCAAAGTGCCTGAGAATGTCGGCTCACACCCGTAGCACAGGAGCCTCCGTGCTGAGTTACACTTGTCCAACTCTGCAGGCAAAGAAATTAGGCAAGAGAAGGAGAGAAACCGGAAGAAAAAAAAAGGGGGATCCTAAAGGTGGTTATGAGTCTTTATGTTACTCAAGCTATCCTAGTGACTCTAAAGAACCTCACTTTCCCCTAAGATGACGTTGTATGTTTCGCTGTCTTCCTTCCCTCTACTTCTGCCTCAGATACATTGTGAATCACCACTATCAGAAATCCCCAAGAGGGCTGCTGAACATTGATCAGGTATGAAAACACTGGCAAAGAGACTATATATATACATATATATGTGTGTGTGTGTGTGTGTGTGTGTGTGTGTATGTATATATATATATATATATATATATATATATATATATGTAAAAACAAAGCTCTGTTCTGGCCCTGTTTCTGCCATAAAAGGATCTGTTTACTGCCACAAGAGGCTTCTGCCTATCCCTCCTCCAGGTCTGCAGTGAAGATAGATAGCGGTTTAAGGAAGGAATCACTGGAGATGATTCTTTCTTCATCTCCTAGTGTGGTATTATCCACAGCTGCATGCTTCTTCATCGGAAGGGGTAAACTTCATCATTCCAAACTTGCAGAAGGGAAACTGTCAGGTAGAACTGGTCCATAATCTTAGTTGCTAGACAACAATCTTGTCTACTTGCCTAGCATCTTACCATTTACAAACCATTTTATAGGAAACCTATAGGTTTACAAACCTATCTTATAGGAATTGTCCCCACTAGGGAAATTAGATGCAGGAGTTAAGTATTCTCTTTGAGATTGATCACACAACCATTTAAATGGCAGCATGGGCCTTGATTCTCTTTTTGCTCTTTAGTCCTACACTCTTTTCTCAGTATCACGTTAATGCCAGAGTTCCAACAACAGCAAAATACATTTCTAGAATGCAACTACTGTTACAACATGATTTTCCTTCCATGAAAGTTGTTGTGAAAAGCAGTTAAACCCTGAAGAGAGGTCTAGAGTTGGGCCCGGGTAATTTTGAGGTTAGCTTCGAGAGGGTGCCAAGGATACAGAAAGGAGTCCAAGTACAAGGAACTCACACAGGACCCTGGCCATGGTCGAGGTGCACTGTTCTAAGAGTGACCCACAGCTTATTGTGGGCCACAAGTTAGACCTAAGATCCCATTCTCTTTCTGAGTAGGTCATTCACCCTGATCCCTGCCTGCCAACCAAGACACACGCTCAGTTGTCAATTTAAATGTGTTATGCTCATTTGTCACTCAGAACCTTCCCTATAAGCTCCCTCCCAAATCACAGATTTCTTCTGTACCACAAGGGAAAAAAGTAAATAAAGAATAGAACTGGCTACATAATTAACACTAGTGATAAACACTGAGATATCTATTGCTTTCAAAGACCTTGGTGGGGAATGGTGGCTTATGCCTTTAATCCCAGCACTTTAGGAGGTCAAAGTGGGAGGATAGCTTGAGCTCAGGAATTCGAGGCCAGCCTGGGCAACACAGCCAGATCCCATCTTTACATTTTTTTTTTTTAAATTAGCCAGTTTTGCTGGCACATGCCTGTAGTCCTAGCTACTCAGGATGCTAAGGCAGGATCACTTGAGCCCAGGAGTTGGCGGCTGCAGTAAGCTATGATCACACCACTACACTCCAGCCTGCATGACACAGTGAGACCCTGTCCTAAAAAGAAAATCAATAGGATCCTAGCCAACAAGATCTGCTGCCAGTATTTACTTCACAGAAGAAATGAGGCAGAGAAGTTGTGCAATATTATGCAGAAGTCATTGGTCATCAGGAAATGAAAGCCAGGATTCCCAATTCCTCCTGGACTCTCCATTCTATGTCCCAAGTTTAGAGGGCAGCTGTACAATGCTGCTATGTACATCGCCAAGGGTCCTAACCACCTCTCGGGGTTTGCCAACCATTAAAACTTACGAACGTAGTGCTAGGCAGGCTACTTCTACGTAGTTTCTCCTTATTACAGTTTCTCCTATATTAAGAATCTCTCTGGCAAGGATATGATTGACGGCTGCTGCTTTTGCTGGGTGAAAGCCCACAGGAAAAAAGTCCCCGTAAGACAATAGTGAAGCTGTAGAGTAAGGATGGTGGCATCATCCTCTGCTGCCCCAACTGCCCTATGCCCCAGAAAGCCCAAGTCTCCAGTCCCCTCTTCCTTTTCTCTAAGAATGTAAAAGGCAAAGGAAGATGTAGCATACGTGGTGCTAAAGAAGGAATGTCATCAACCAGGATTTTGACTTACGCCAGAACTGTACAAGCCTCAGATGGTCTTTCCAGTCATATTAATACCTTCAGAATCTGAACAGTTAGTGATAAACCAATGTTGCCTTCATTTACAGGGAAAATAACCCCCCCCACGCCCCCCCCCTCCCCGTTTCTAGGGACTCTGCAGTCGTCATTTATATGAGAAGTTACAGGAGCATGGGCACACAGCCATTTCCCTATTAGATGCTCGGTCATCTTCCTTTGGCGGCAGAAGCTCCTAACGCAGCAACTTCCAAGCTCTGTAGTACAGTCTCCACATGTGCTTGACCTGGGAGCAGCTGGCTCTCATCTGTGTTTAGGGCCAAGCCTTCTTTACTTACTGCTGTCTTCCCACCAGAAGGTAGTGACAAATATATCAAGGGTAGTGTCCTGCATTTTGATCCTTTTGAGTTAATTCTCTGGAGGACTGACCAAGGAAAGGCCGATTCCTTACCTTATCACTGCACCTCATGCTTTCCTGTTTTGAGAACACAAAGAAACGTTACTTAAGGGCCACACTCAAAGGACACCCTAGAAATGAAAGCTCTGCAGTAAGGTTTGGATTATTCAATTTGTAAACTGAGAAAGCATGATCCCTGTTTGGAATAAAATCAGCTGACAATTCACTCCAGAATGCATGATCACAAAGCCACGATGTAAAGCAGACCAGGAGGTGGAAAGGGCAGAGAGGGGATCTCATTACTAAGAGTCCCACCACTCGGCCCCAGTGACCCAGGACTTTTATCTGGCATATTTCTCAGCTTAGTTTTTTCAAGATTTGGCCCATAAAGTGTCTTTCCCCTTTAATGGGGACAGGGATCCAGAATTTTCCCAAACTGCAACACTTCTAGGTTCTCTCCCTTTACTATCTTTTCTACAGTGAATTTTCCATTTCAGTTCAGTCTTTCCTTCTAGTTCCAGCCTGTACAAGCATATCCCCTTTAAAGAGGAACATAAGTCCAAGTGGACAAAGCAAATAAAATAAGGGTGGTCATTAACAGTAGATAGAAGAACATTTCATGAAATAATTTACCAGTGGTCTTTAAATAAGTGGAAGCCTCCCCGCAGAAACTTTGTGAGCATGGCCGGTACTTGTTCATCTGAGCACCGTCTCAAAGGAAAACACCCAAAGGCCCTTCGAAAGCGTATCACTTTCCTTTTGGAAGCCTAAATAAAACTCACCTTTCTGGGGGAAAAAACACAACTGTAAAGTACAAAAACATTTTAAAAGTTCACTTCAAAAGTAGTTTGAGCAAATACAAGAGATATCTTGTAGCATCCATATATAACATTTTATTAAGAAAATGAACAAAATACATTCTTTCTCCATATGTACATTACATACAACATAATTCTACAATTGCCATTTTTAGCAGATCACTCATTTATTTATTCACAAAGTAGAATTAACACATTTACCAAAGCTGGGATCTGAAAATTATTTGTACTATAAGAAAAAAAAAATCCTAAAAAGTCCATACAGATTGGATAAAAGATAAGCCAGAGATCATGAGGGGAATGGGGAAGATTGCAGAACACGACAGAGCCCAACAATGATTTGAAACAATTGATGTCAGAAGAGATCTGATACCCATAAAGCACTTCTGTTTAAAAGCTCCAACCAGCTCATGCCAGCTTTCCAGAGTCCCATGATTTCCATTTAAGACCATGTGGATACTTTAGGATACGGCCCTGACCCCACATTGCCACAGAAGAGGGGGTAAGAGTAGAACCAAACAAGTTAGCGGTTTTCTCCACACATTGAGTCTCATCTGAAATACTACTGAGGTGCAAAATGTGTGAATCTCAGCTAATGTGCACAGAAATACAATTTTTTTTGAGAGACATTTGCTTAAACGTGGTAAAGAACTCTTGTTTTATGGACTCCTTGCTTCATGTTCATTTTGTCTGTTTTTCTTTTGGCTTTTGACAATAGCTCATCCTTTTTGAGTGTGAGTTTAATTATGGCCATATTAAAAAGTCCATCATAAACAAAGACTCCTCCTCATGGTATGAATATGCTCCATATGCCCATAATGGTGCATAACGGACTTAGAAATTCCAATGAGTCTTAGGGTTGAAATTTCCAATGACCTGAGCAAGGCAGCTCCCTATAGCTTCTGGATAACATTTTACACCCAGAGTTCAGGCTTAAACAGACCTATCAACACAATTATTTTCGGATTGTCTGTCTAGAAAACGGCAATGCTCAAAGGAATATAAATAAGGGTGGGGGGACATATGCTTCCAGCCTGGTCCTTTCTCCATGTGGTAAAAAACAATGGAATGGCTGTGTTAATTTTTTTTTTAATCTTTTCTGGCCTTTACTATGTTTGGTAATGGAAATAAGTCAGGGAAAACAAAATGAACAGGTCTCATCACTTAATTAATACTGGTTTTTCTTCTTTATACTTAGTAATTTCCTAGTTTTTTAAATGATAAACCTATTTTGACAATCACTAACATCAATACATTTTATCGTAAGTCCCATATAAGATATTTAACATTCTCCAACTTTCGGCTCAGCTGGTTACAGCACCACATTTCCAGTCCAGGAGATGTTTTCACAAACAGAAGGAGCGATTCACAGCATTAATAAGCAGACTTGGAAAGACAGATTTTATTGGCTATGGAGGAAGTTGTATCTTTCTTCTCAATCTAATTTTCAGTCCAATTTTGGTTTTGAGAATCTATCTCTATCAGAGGGGATCTTAATTTCTGACTACTGAGTACTTCCAATTTATAAAAGAGCTGACTTTTAAAAAATTCTAACATCTTTCCCAAACTGTTTAGAAATATGCCATATTTGAAAGACGGAATACTGTTTGTTCCCAAGACCAACACAAGAAAAGGAGGTCCTCATCTTCGCTTTCCTGTACTCTTCCTCTGAGGCTAATAACTCAACTGTACATAGCTTTTGGAGTGGGAGCAAGATAAGAATCTCTTTAAAAAGAGCATTTTAAAAATGTATGTGTATGTGTATGTATGTATATTTATAAAGTATGTACGCATAAAGGAATCTGTTCACAGGAAAATGTTACATTATTTTCAACTCTAAATTATGCAGAAGACTATACAAAGTAGTTAATTAATACTATACTATCTACTTTCTTTTCAAAAGACATTTCACACAAATCCAAAAAGTAAGCCGGCTTAAAGAATAAGACAATCATAACACCTCTTGCCCAGGCTAATTGTAATGCTTAGGAAAGGAAGTCCACTTTTATTTTTCTGAACGGATGATTTGTAAGTAAGGAAGAAAATTGTTTACAATTGATCAGTCACCAAAATAATTTTTTTTTCTGGGAAAGGAAAAAAAATCCCAAGAAAAAGATCAGTACATGACTCTTTAATAAATTTATCTTCCCCCACGGAAGACTACTCCTAAGTAACCTTTTGGACTTTGATATCTTATTAAATTTGGGAGTGAGTTGATAATTACTTGGTATTATTTATAACTTGGTATTATTTGAGGCAACACACTACAGCTGTCACTTGCAAACACCTGATGGCATGGCTCTAATGGTGTAGGATCCTCTCCTTTGTTGTAACTGAATTTATAAAGATTTATAAAGCTCTGCCAGTTGCAATGGGATTGGGATTTATTCTACACGCCTCCTCTAATTTAATCAATCACTTTACAGATGTGGAGGAAACCTAAATAAAAAACCAAAATTATGAAATACTTCTAATGCCAAACCCAGATCTCATTATTGCTTGGCAAAGCAGAATTAACAGAGACCCTTGGGATGACATATAATTAATTTAAGGCAAGGAAACTAGTATCAGTTCAATTCTGTGTTACAAGTTATACATGAAATGACAATTTTCCTCCTATGTTAAAGGGCTAGAAAATAAAACCAACCAAATGACATGAGCTAAACTGTAACAAAGGCTTTCTTGAGATTTGTTAACAACGGAGAAATAAAGCTCAAAATTGGCTTTTTGAGTGGCTCCTTATTCATGCACACAGGCTTGTTCAGTATATCACACAGTGTTTCTTCTTCCTGCCAATTAATTTGGCATTCATTAAGTAATGAATGAAACTGAAGAATGATGATCTCCTCAGGCTTTGTGTGGCAGACAGCTCAGATATCTGAGCTAACTGCTGTGACTGCTAGCATCCCAGATGGTACAGAGCTATGTTGCAGCAAGAGCTTAAACTCAGTGAATAAGCAAGGGAGCCCCCAAACTGCATGTTGAAATGTTTTATGGCTGGTTTTCCTGCTGGATCCTTAACAAGGAACTGGTTGTATGTAAGAAGCTGCTCACCTAGTTTAAGATCTAGAGCCCATTAACACTGGATTTTCTGTTTTAAGATCTCAAACAGTTATTTGGAAGAAGGGAAATGCTACTTCCCAAGAAATGCTACTTCCCAAAGACTATTCAGAATTACTGAATATTCTAGAAGCATGAGCTTTGAGGCCTTTTGGTAGTCTTCTTCCCAGCATCTCATTAACAAAATTATTTTAGGGTTAGAAATGAAGAAATTTATTTTTCCTTTCGATTTGTGGACCTCTAAAATCCATAAGCAAAAAGCTCCTATTTTTCCTTCTCTAACATACCCTCATTGTCTTCTCTAGCTCGTTCCTGAAGTTTAATACTTCCAAGTCAAAATGCCTTAGATAAGCAAAATAGGACTTTGCACACAAATGTTTAATAGTTCACTGAGGCTGTCTGAAAAGCAGATAAAAAGGAAGACATTATTTTATAATTAAAAGTGATACCTTAGAACTGGTCCAATTCCCTACCAAACATTTCCCCTTTTTTGCCATTGATCCTACAGCTTTCAGACAACATTCATGTTAAATTCTGTTTTCCAGCAAGCTCAGCAGTGTTTGGGGATAGACAGCACATTGCAAATCTTATTTCCAAATAATGATTCTAATTAAGAAGATAAACTAGGACTACCCTTTCATTTTTGTGTTTTTAAGCTGTTAAGTGGGATCCAGTTCACAATATAAAACTTTAGCCAAAAAGACAGTGATAATTTCCCCGATGGCATTTCTCTCTGCACCACTAGAGAAACTAATTTACTATAACCTCTAATGACTCCTTAGGTTAAGGGCTACAGAAGCTACCGTCAGATGATTTCATTGGCTATGACTGGCCTAAGAGTTAGTCATTTGGAATTGGAGCTAAATTCACATTCTTTTTTTTTTTTTTTTTTTGAGACAGGGTCTTGCTCTGTTGCCCAGGCTGGAGTGCAGTGTCGCAATCATAGCTCACTGCACCCCAAACTCCTGGGTTCAAGTGATCCTCCCACCTCAGCCTCCCAAGTAGCTGGGACTACAGGCACATACCACCACACCTGGCTAAAAAACAAAAATATTTTAAGTAGAGATGGAGTCTTCCTGTGTTGCCCAGGCTGGTCTGAAATTCCTGGGCTCAAGCAATCTTCCCGTGTCAGCCTCCCAAAGGTCTGGGATTACAGGCGTGAGTCACTATGCCCAGCCTAAATTCACATTCTTGAGGGGAAGAGACATATATAAGGCTGCATTATTTTTATTTAAGGAAAAAAAAAGAAAAAGAAAAGCAATCATTTCATGGCAACTGAAGCCACTTCTAATATTCAACTATTTCAGAAGTTTAAAGTCAATTCTTAACACAAATTCTAACTTCAGCAGAAATCAATGTTACTCATGGGAGGTAGGAATAGAAACAAAAAGGTTAAAAAATACAATAAAAAGAAAAGACAAAAGGTAAATGGAAATTCTGATGATATGCTGAATTCAGGAACTCTGCTATCAAACCTGTACTTTACCAATAGTTCTATGACAAGAGATCCTAATGCCAGAAAAAGAGGCCAACACAGGTTTCTCCATTAAAGCTGCCACAGCCATTATTACTATCCCCAAATGAAAATGACTCAAGTACATTTATAGCAATATCTGAATGTTATTAATTTCTTATGAATTTCATTATTCTCTTGTCATAAATAAGGATAATAGAGCATTTGCCCCAGAATGATTTTGATCTTTTTTTTTCCAAGCAATACAATGTCCTACAGAATGCCACAGAAAATCTAGGAAGTCTAGGGCTAAAAAAAAGTGAAGAATAAAGTTACATTAGCTAAGAAAAATAAATGGAAAAACAATTCACAGTATTTGGTGGATAGAAGGAAACCAAAGTTTTAAAAATCATATATAAATAGAACCTCTAATACAGCATTTATTCAGAAAAAGAAAAAGCATTTGGTGAAGAGATCAATATACTGCAGTAATGAGTCCTCACCCAAAACAAATGAGGGCAACATCATTCACGTAAGCTAGTCAGCTTCGTATTATTTCAACAAACTTGGAAATGTCTGCCTTCAACCAACAGACCTCTAGACTAGAAGCTTTGGATAGCCAAGTCATTTCAGCATTAAAACAAATCACAGGGAGATAGAAGCCAGGGTCTAGAACCACAAAAGAATAGCGTTATTTGACTAATAAGGATAACAAAAATCTTTTGTGTTAAAGCATCCAAAGACCTAATCTGTAAGTACTATCATATGTAGACACTGTATGATACTCCTCCAGCCATAAACTTTTTCTGGGCAGCCTTCACATCCTAGATCGGGGCTACCTTAGGAATTCAAAACTTGGTGAGAATTCAGGCAAGAATTTCTACAAAGGGATGAGATTGTGGATGAATGTGGAATTTTAAGAAAAGAAGGGTTAGGAAGGGTGTTTTTTTTTTAATAGTTAGATGACTTTATTTAGAATATACATTGCAATGATTCCCTCCCACAGAAATCACTTCAAACCGTAATTCTCAAATACTGTGCAACATTCAACCAGCTAAGGATTTCACGTGACTTTCAGGAAATAAATGACCCACAATTACCCAGTGAATTCCATGTAGTGTTAAGAATAATTGCAGGTAACTTCTTCATGTAATTACCATGAAATTGAGTATAATTTAGAGAATAAAATCAGGAACATACTCCTAATTGCTTTTTTGATCCATTAAGCATCATTCTCAATCTCTCACTAAATGCTTGGGTGCCTCAAACTAGTTTTTGTTTATAGGCTAGATTTTAAAACACTGTTTTATTATAACTCTGTTAATGTATCTCTACATAGCACTTTTAAGGCAGATGTGAAGAGATCAACTGGAATAAGCTGCCAACCATTTATATACAATATAAATATTTTGCCCAAGAATGCAGTTTTACAAGCTTAAATCACTGAGCTCTAAACCCATCAAACTTTTCTATGATAAACCAGTGACTTTTTAATGTATTCTATCAGTTTTTACTTATTAGACATGGACAGGTCTGTTTTCATATAAATGAAAATCAGGTCTAAAAGATGGCCTTGATAAGAGTTAATACTGTCTGTCAGCTTCAGCACAGAGGTAGGCATTTAAGTCTGAATTCCTTTGCTTGAATAAGAGTGATACATTCTTCAATCAATCAAACTGGCCACATGAGGTCTCTGCCATTACCAAAATAAAATGCAAATGCACTTAAGAGGTGTCTTGAAAATCAGATTATTTCTCATGAAGTACAAGCACTGAAAATAATGTTGGATATCTACTTTAATTTCTGGTTGAAAACAATGTATTATACTAGGAAAAAGGATAAATGAGGTTGAAGCTGGAGATAATACAAATGAGAAAACTGTATCCCACTTAATTTATGTGTCTAAAGTGTTAGCCAGGTGTTTCAATTAGGGATTCACCTAGGCTAGAATAATTGTTAGGTAGTAAAGCATATACACTTGGCTATATAAACAATGTACCTAAATACCAAATTCGATTATTTAAATTATAATCTATGCTGGAATTCTTGGAAATACATGTAGCTCCTCACTAAATTGTGACATGTTGTGAGCAACATGTCAATCTTGGTCATGGATATATGAAGCACTACATTCTCTGCAATCATTTCCAGCAGTGCTCCGATTAAAGCCCCACAGTACAGAGTCTGACTTTTCAATTATCTCCTCAGTACATCTATCTCACTTTGGCAAGAGCAAATGGCTCGCTATGATTCAACCCCATTTAAACATGGCGGTGAGCAAAAAATTTCAGAAATGAAGGGGGAAAAATTCTACCTAAATAAAGTGAGGGAAGATGAAATTAAAACAAACATGTTTTCCAAAAAGACTAGTAGGGAAACATTTAGGGAAAAACAAAAATAAAATTACTGAGGTCAAGAACTTAGTTTCCTCCAAATAACATTTAAGGAACTGATGAAAAAAATTACAAAGCACTGTAAAAATAAATGGTGGAGGGCAGCAGAATTTCACTTGCTTAATCTTTTTAAAGTGCCAGAATTCACACTAAGCAAAACTAGAGCTTTTAAATTTAGGAAGTCTTATTTAGCAAGCTCAAGTTCTTCCTTGTCAATCTTCTGATTTGCACCTGTCTCCACAAAAGATTTAACAGGCTATATTAGTGATATTAACATTTTATGTTCTTGTGTCACTCAGGGGAATCGTTTTATGAAACTGTTGAAGTATGTAAGCAAACTGTATTTACTTGACTGGATAGCCACTTGGTTATTCTGCAGCTACACAAGTTGGTACTTGCTGAATTATATAGCATACCTTTCACAAGTAAAGGTACAGATCAAATTGCTTAAGAAATCACTGTTGACTGCTTTGGGATGCTAGGAAAGCCAAGGAGCCCATGATTCAAGCCTAGAACTAGCAAAAATATATTTCTATCCATCCCCAAAATAAGTAAAACCATGTACTAAAGACAGAATAAAGTGGGACCTCAATGTTTCATTCCTATACATGGTACTTTTTGAAAGTGCAGGTTAATTTCTTCTTTGGTGAGGCCTAATCTTGCTACTCAGGGACATACTTGATTCCATAAAGCTATTCACTCTTAAGAGCCACTGGATCGACCGACACTTCTTAATATGAATCTGCTTTAGCATGGTGGCAGTCAGCTTCATACAACATGCTTTTTGAGCAAATGTAAGCACTAGCCAGATGTAGGTTTCCCACATTGCATTCCACAGCACATCATCAGAAGACATGTACCTCTATCTCTCACACAAAAAATTTGACCCATGGAAAAGTCCATCTGCCATACCTTGTTTTTTAATGAAAAAATATCTGAACCATTCACAAAGTCTGGTCTATGTGCTTAATGAAATGCCTGTCAGTTGTATACCACTGGACAACCACAAACCATTTCTCTTCAAAATAACAATATCCACAAGCAGATATAGAGAGACAATGTGTATAAAAATAAATGAAAGCAAAGCTCTGGAAACTCAGCCTCCTCTCTCAAATGAAAATACTACAGAGATAGCACAAGATAAACGGGAGCCCTGGTTCTGCAGAGCTCTTCTGGACGAAAGAGTCATTTTCTCCTAAAATTGCTATTAAGATATTATTCACTACTAGATCCCTCCTGCTGGTCACTTTTAGAATGGCTCTTAAAAAGGTTCTGAACTATTGTCTCCTCAGTTTAAGGTTTCTGTGACTCAAAGTCAGATGCTATTGTAATATCTACTATAAAATATATCATTATAGAAATATTATATACCAATCTCAGATAGGTGCTTGGGTCAATCTCAGGTTTCATTTTTAGTTCTATGGCCAAGAGTGCAAACTTGAGACCTCAGTTCTGCCTACTGTTTAATGTAACACAAGACAAGTCAATACAGACACAGATATCACCTTAACATACATCAACTGTCCTAGAGAACTATACACTTGTTAAGAATGAAGTAAAGAGGTGAACAAGTGACACCATTTACACGCAGTTGTGTGATGGGAGGCAAAGTGAAATAGGAAGGGAAAAGGCAGGCCAAATGACCAACAGCAACAACATTCAAAATACTTGTAGTGCTGAATCTGTTAATAGTGCTTATTTCCCCCAATTAAAAAAAAAAGAAATAAAAATCTGAAAAGGGTAAACTGCCTAATTTTTCTTTTATACTCATTAATTCTTAAAAGATAAAGTAAGAAAAAATATATATATATATATATTTAACTGGAAAGTATACCAATTTCACTTTATTAGCCTAATTTAGGAATAGGATGAGGAGAGCGGGGTTGAGGTCAGGCATGAAGGAAGAGGGTAAAAACTTGTGATGGTTAAGATCCCTTCAGAACTCTGGTGCAGTCCTCAATCACTGCAGCTTTACTGTCAGTCAGTGGAGCTGCAATCCAAAAGACGGAAAATCGACTCCTGTTTTCCATTTCTGTGTCCAGTGACTCTTCAGTTACAGTGTGATGAGGTCTACCAGGTTGCCTTTAGGAGGAGTCATGCTGTCAGGAAAGAAATTTACTAAGGTGTCAAAGAGCTGAGTTCTTTGAGCATAGGTGTGATCCACATCAGAAAAGCCTGGTGAAGAAGATACAAAGAAACATCCATTGTGTTTAAAACATGTAACAGAAAAACTAGTTGAGACCAGCAGCAATGTATTTTATAATGGAGAAATCAAATCAGGCTTCAAAACCAGGCAGACACTACTGATCTGACCCCAGTTCTACTACCTGGCTGTGGTGTGATCTTAGATAAATTAGTCAGACTTTCTGGCTTTCAGACTTTGCTTCCTCAGCTGTAAGTATGTGATAATCCTGTTTACTTCATACAGTTATTGTGCAGATTAAATGTAGTTACATGAAAAGCGTCTAGCAGAAGGACTGGCACTTTAGTTACAAATAATACTGATCTCTCTTTTTTTCCTTATTAGGTCTTTTCTCTGCTGGTCCACTGAGGAAATTCCACTTGTCTTTTCTGACTTGTTAATGCTTCTGAACCACTAAAAAAGTTTTTTAGTAACAAAAATATAATAAAATCAAAATGAAAGAGGTCTTTAGAAATTAGTCTAAAATCATTAATGTCTCTGAGACAGCTGGAAGTAGTCTCAGGGAACTGAGTGGTAACAGAGACGACTGAGGGAGATACATGTACAATATGCAGAATGGTATCTGCACATAACACTATACCTTTATGCTACTATGTACCAGGCCCTATGCTAGGCACACATTATGTGAGGAATAAGGCAATGAACTACTTTTATCCTGATACACATTAGAAAGCATATGACATTTTTAAAAGGTAGGGACTGTTAATCTAAAGGATTTTTCCCTTAACCTCTAATAAACATTCAATTATCAAGTTCATTCCAGCTAAAGGAATATTCAGTGAGATGCTGTCTTCATCAATTGGTTTATCTCAGCTGCTTCAGATTTCTTACATACAAATGAGATATTTAAGTGATAAAATAAAATAAATAATTTCCCCTATCCCTGAAATAGCTGAGACATGAGAGCGCTGCTAAATGCCATGAGAAACAGAAACAGAGCCATCAAGAGTTATATATGCCATGGTGTTCAGTGAAAGTGACTTCAGATCAGACTGCTTTTCATTCAACTTAGAGTACCATTTTAGGTCCAACCTGTTTTAGTCTTGTAAAAGAACAGGAATAGACCATAACATTGCCAAGGATACCAGTTTCCTGGAAGGAAAATAAACAATACCTCAAGAACAGCACATTCCTTTTTATTTTTTAAAAATATATTGTTTTAAGTTTGAGGGAGAATGTTTACTTGAGATGAGCTTGAGTTTAACAAAGCCCACTATCGGATCATGGAAATGAATGGAAAGAAATACTCCAAAATATTAACAAAGGTTATCTCTGAACGGTGAGATTAGAGTCTTCCTATTTTATGCTTTTTTTTTTTTTGAAATTTCCAAATTGCTTCTTTTTCAACTTTTTATTTTGAAAAATTTCAAACCCACAGAAAAGTTTCAAGAATTGTGCAATGAACACCCCATATAGCCTTCACTTAGATTCATCTCATCAATTAATGTTTCATCAAATATGTTCTCTCTCTCTCTCTCTCTCTGTCTCTCTCCATGTGTGTACCCCACTGAAAATCTTTTTGCAGAACTATTTGGGAGTTTTAGACAGCTTTGCCCCCTATAGGCTCAAACTAATTTCAGCTCAGAACAAGAACATTAACTTACATAACCAATATATATTAAATTCATGAAATTTAACATTGATGTCCCAATAATACCAGTTATTTTTCAGTCACTTTTTTACAGTCATGTTTCCTACTAATCTAAAATCCAATCCAAGATCACACACTGCATTTAGTTTCCAAGTCTCCTGAGTTTGAAATAGTTCCTCAGCCTCTCTTTGACTTTAATGAATATTTTTGAAGAGTACAGAACACTTATGAGTGGAATGTGTTGAATTTGGGTTGCCTGATTGTTTCTTCATGATCAGATTCAGTTTATGCAGTTTTGGCAAGAATGCTACAGAAGTGATATTGTGTGTCCTCAGTGCATCACCTCAGAAGGCATGTGGTATCAGTTTATCCCAATACTGATGATGTTAACTTTGATCATCTACTTAAGTTGGTATATGCCAAGTTTCTCCAAGGTAAAGGTGTTCTTTTCTACCTTTGTAATTAATAAACTATTGATAGGGAGATAGTTTGAGACTGTGTAAATATCCTGTTCTCCCACAGCCCTGCATCCAATAATTTAGCAATCATTGATGATTCTTGCTGAAACAATTATCAGTTATATGATGGTGATTTTCTGACTCTATGACTCCTTCTACAGTTGTTGACATTCTATTGTAAAGAAGAGCTGTTTCTTCCCCTCCTCCCATTTTACTTATTTGTTCGCATCACTGTGTACTCAGGGATTCTTCTCTTGCTCAATGTTATACTCATTACTGTCATCATTCATTCTGATACTCATATTGTCCTAGATTTGACCAGTGAGAGCCTTTTTGAGCTGGCTTCTGTGTCTTTTTGAAATGTACCCATTAATTTTGGGGTACTTCCTTACTTTCTGGTATATATCCAAATTCATCTTTACACAGCTCTGGAGTCCTACTTTCTTTTAGCTGTGACTATTATTTAAAAACCAAACAAGAACAGCTGTGCTAATTGCCAGGGTGTCATTGTTTCTAGGCCTATGCATATATGCCTATCATATGCATACATTGTTTTACACTATTATAGTTCATGCTTTTATTGTTAATTCTAATTTCTTAAAGCCCCAGAGGATTCTTCCTTCTCTTATTCCATTCCATATCTCCTTTCTTCCACCAAGAAAACCCTGACTCCCAGCAACATCATATGTACTCATTTGCTCAACTTAAAATACATAAGAGTTCTAGATTTGCTATATATGTACCACTACCAACCAAACTCAACATTTCTTTGCTTTTGTTTGTAGACTATACCTCACTGAAAGTATACAGTCTAAGCACTGTACTAAAATGGCTTAGTTCTTTCTCTTACGTTCTGAGTATGTAGAAGTACAATGCTGTGTTATATTTTTAAAAGAAGATATTGATTCTGTAATGCTACTCTTTATAAAGTAACACCATTTTCTTGAGATCAAATTATCTAAGAAGGAAAAAACACTGAGTTCCTGTGTGGTAGGTACTTTAGGTATGATTACATTTCATTGTCACACAAACAATGAAGTATTATAATCTCCAGTTTCAGATGAGATGACTTAGAGAGATTCAATAATCTTAAGGTTATTACTATTTTTGTTCTTCATCTACCTCTTTTACACAGAAAGAGATTCAGTAATTCAGTGAAGTCTCACAGCTAGGGAGGGAAGAGATGGAATGTGGAACCCATGTCTGTCTGACTCCAAAGCCCTTTAATTTTTATTAACTCACACTCATTAAGTGCTTAAGTTGTAGGGCAATGTACTAAGCTCATTTAACTCTCAAAGGCACATCTTTTATTTTTATTTACTATTTACCTATGAGGAAATTGAAACTTACACTATCATTAGACGAATGGTTAAATTATGGTAGATCCCTATTATGAATAATTATGTATCACTTCATAAGAATACAACTGATCTAGTGTAGCTTCATAAAAACGTCTACAAGCCACATCATTAACTTAAAAAAACTATGCTGCAGAATATGTTTTTACATTATATAATAAATTAAAACAGCCCATACAAACCTATATATTTATATGAGTGTATGCATGCGTATATACAGTTGATCTTGATCATTTACAGATTCCATATTTGTGAATTTGCCTGTTTGCTAAAATTCATGTGTAACCCCCAAACCAATACTTGTGGTATTTCTGTGGTCATTGCAGACATGTGCAAAGTGGCAAAATATTTGAGTTACCATATGCACACGTCCCCAGCTGAAGCTGAACTCTGTGATCTCTGCTGCTTTCTAGTTTCAGCTCTTACTATCCACAACAGCCCTTTCACCATCTGTTTGGTGCCACATTTTTGTGTTTTTGGTGGCTTCACTGTTTAAAATGGCCCCCAAATGTAGTGCCAAAGTGCTGTCTGGCATTCCTAAGTGCAAAAAGGCCTTATGGGGAAAAATATGCACATTAGATAAGCTTGGTTCAGGTATGAGTTAGAGTGATGTTGACCATGAACTTAATGTTAGTGAATCAACAATATATATTAAATGAGGAATCTTTAAACAGAAACACACATAATACGTGGTTATATATTAATCAGTAGATAAAATGTTGTGACCAGAGGCTTGTAGGAACCTAACTCTGTACTCTTTGAATAATGAGAACCAACTGCATCTATGTCTGTGTATATGGTTGTGTGTGTGTAAAGATGTATTACGTATAAGTGATTATACTTGAGGGTAAAATACAGAGATTGAGGAAAGTTGTTTAAGGAGAATTCTAAGCTTTATATGTAATCAATGTTTTTTTCTAAAAATAAATTAAAAAGGGGTGGGGATCTAGGAAACTCATCAACAGTACCACAACTACTTAAATGGCACTGCTAGGACAAAAAGGTGATGATATTGATTCTAAACCTCATGCTCCTAATCACTATGTTTATCTTACTTTATTTTCATAAATAAAGTAAAATGGAAAGAGGAAGTAACCATTTGAGCAGTGGAAACTGGTAAAGCTCAGTGAGAGGTAGCATATTTAGTGGTTTAGAAAAGGCGCTCTGAAGCCATACTGACAGGGTTTTAATCCTGGTTTGCCATTCACTAGCACTATGCCTGGGCAAGTTAGTTTAGCCTCTCTGTAACCTAGTTTCTTCATATACAAAAGGGGATCATACAGTAGCTACTTCATAGGGCTACTGTGGGGATAATCATGCGTTAAGACATGCAAAGTGCTTAGAAGAGCACTTGGCCCCACAGTAAGTGCTCAATAAATATTAATTAGCTATCAGCATATCACTAGTAGTATGACTGATGACAATGACTGCTCTAAAAAGAAAGTGACCTATTAGGAGTAATTTTTTGTTTTTAGAGATGGAGTCTTGCTACATTGCCCAGGCTGGATTCAAACTCCTGGGCTCAAGAGATTCTTCCATCTCACACCACCATGCCTGGCTAGGAATATACTTTTAACTTAACATCCTACACGTAGCTGGATTTTCCTACTTGTGGTAAAGGAGAAATAACATGAATTCTCATTTTTTTCCTAGCATACACATTATTAAATGTACACTTCTTATTTCTAACACTAAACTTTATATTTGGACTGTAAACTTCTAAAAAGAGTTGTGAGGACCAAAAAAGGACAAACCTGGGCAATACAGTGAGATCTCATCTCTACAAAAAATGTAAAAAAGGAAAAAAAAATTAGCTCAGCATGGTTGTGCATGCCAGCAGTCCCAGCTACTCGGGAGGCTGAGGCAGAAGGATTGCTTGAGCCCAGGAAGTCCAGGCTGCAGTGAGCCATGACTGCACCACTGCACTCCAGCCTAAGTATCAGAGCAAGATCCTGTCTGAATGAATGAATGAATAAATAAATAAATAGGCAACATGCTTTACAGACCAGATTTTTCCTACTTGTCACATACCCTGCTGAAAATAAGTTTAATTGCTCCAATTCATACTTTCTAGAAATAAGATATAGCTCTTAAACTTAGCAAAGTGACTGAGTTCAACCTTAAAAGTGCCTATAGCCACCAGAAGCTCTAAAATCAAGATCCTTGGAGATTTTCTCCGAGATCACTCATTTTTCCAAAACTAAGATAATGTCACCTTCCATCTTTCTGATTCTTTAAAATTTTACATACAATATTAATACTTTTATTTAATTCTCACTAAGGGATGAACATAAATTGGATTATTTCTGGAGGAAGTCATTCAGAAAGTTCGGCTGAGGTTTTTTTTTTTTTTTTTTTGCAGACCTTAGAAAATGAAATATTCATTTATACAATGAAAGGTACAGTAAATAACCCATTTTATTTCTATTCTAATTGGCACAAAGATAGAACAGTCTGACAGAAAATTAATAAGAACAAGAACCAGGAACTCTAAATAGGCATGAAACCTTATGAAAAGTACTTCTTGTTTATAAATACTAAATCAAATTTCTCATTATTAAAATTAGCATACAATCTGAATTTGCTCCTTATCCAAATTCACCAGTGTTACAAAGGTGACTTTTTTAAAAAAATAGAGACAAGATCCTGCTATGTTACTCTGGTTAATCTTGAACTCTCGGGCTCAAGATGATCATCTCACCTCGGCCTCCAAAAGTGTTGAGATTACAAGCATGAGTTATCGCACCTGGCTAGAAGATTAAATTTTTAAGGCAGTCAATAGTAATGGTACCCTGAATGGAGCATTTACTGCTTTACTGTGATAACTATCTTGCAGAATTATTTCATTTAATTCTCTCAGCAATTTGAGGTAAGTATTCCCATTACCTCCATTTTACAGATAAAGAAACTGATAATTAGAAAGTTTAAATAACTTGCTCAAGATCACTTTTAAAAGAGATCCTGACTCTCAACCACCATCTCACATTCCAACCTCCTAATCACTAGGCTATATAATACCTCCCCTCAGACAAGACAGGAAACAACATCCCACAGGAATTTCCCCTGCTTGTATTTTTCTCTTTTTGTGTTTGTATTGTTCTCAGTATATCTGAGGTTTGTTTAGAATCCAAATAAAACAAACTATTCCTGACAAAATATATTAGTTGGCAGTGAATAGGTCAGAGTCAAAAGAAAGGAGTTAAGCTGAAGGTAAAATATTTGCTGACACCACCCTAATTGATATATTTAAATTGCTGCCAAGAAATTCTTGTTCTAAAGGCTAAAAATAAGTCAGTTAGAGATAGTTTAGTGCTATGCACTAATAAATAAAATAATGGGCCTGGGCTGTGGTATCAGACATAAGGCACATAATCATTTAAACAGAATATATGCCAGACCCCCAATTCATGTATCAGTACATCTGTTTCAAATGCTAGAATTCAGAAGGGCATGAACTTTCCAAAATAATGTTTACACCTAGGTTCTCCAGCTCACAGACTGGGGATTTCTAGTAGCCTAAGGTCTTCAACTCGAGTGTATGAATAGTGGTAAATCATTATCTAAATTCTTAGGAGAACCTTCTGGAGTCACGTTTATAGCAGTCTGCTCAGTCTAGTCCTGAGGAATCCTACATATTCTGGAGTTAGAACTTAGGACTGGAGTTGCCTTGATCAGTCGAGAAGCCTCAATCACTCGCTATGGATAAAGGGCAAGACCTCAAGAACACCTCTATTTTTTCATCCCAGTGAAAAGCACCAGAATTATATATACTCTTTTTTCTTTGAGGTACAGTTCACTTTCAAGAGATAAAAGGTCAAATAATGAAGAAACTAAATTGATATCCCAAAGTGTTATTTTATTCCAAACATAAAAAATAGTATTTATATTACATACAATGGAAAATTTCAATACTATTGCTCAACTCTAAGGCAAATAATAACTGCACCAGCATCAATGGGATTAATATGCATTCACTGACCAGAGGAAAGCTGGGAATTTCCATACTTCAAGACGATTATCTTGGTAAAAAATGAAGCTATCATAAGTTATCCTGATGAAAATGCCCTTGAAAATTCACCCAAGTAAAGGTCTGGGTTCTAGAGACCACCCACTTTATTACAGTCTTGGTATTTTTTTTTTTTTTTTTTTTTGAGATGGAGTCTTCCTCTGTCGCCCAGGCTGGAGTGCAATGGCACGATCTTGGCTCACTGCAACCTCCCCCTCCTGGGTTCAAGCAATTCTGCCTCAGCCTCCCGAGTAGTTGGGATTACAGGCGTGAGCCACCGTGCCCGGCTGATTTATTTATTTATTTATTTATTTAAATTTATTATTATTATTATTTTTTGAGACGGAGTCTCACTCTGTCGCCCAGGCTGGAGTGCAGTGGCGCAATCTCGGCTCACTGCGAGCTCTGCCTCCTGGGTTACCGCCATTCTCCTGCCTCAGCCTCCTGAGTAGCTGGGACTACAGGCGCCCGCCACCACACCCTGCTAATTTTTTGGTATTTTTAGTAGAGATGGGGTTTCACTGTGTTAGCCAGGATGGTCTCGATCTCCTGACCTCGTGATCCTCCTGCCTCAGCCTCCCAAAGTGCTGGGATTACAGGCATGAGCCACCACGCCCGGCCTATTTTTTATTTTTAAAGACAGTCTTTCTCTCTGTCACCCAGGCTGGAGTGCAGTGGCATGATCTTGGCTGACTGCAGCCTCTACCTCCTGGGCTCAAGTGATCCTCCCACTTCAACCTCCTAGGTAGCTAGGACTATGGGCGCACACCACTACACCTGGCTAATTAAAAATTTTTTTTTGTAGAGACGAGGTCTTACTATGTTGCCCAGGCTTGGCTCAAACTCCTGGTGGGCTCAAACATCAGCATCCCAAAGTGCTACGATTATAGGTGTGAGCCACTGTGCCCGGCCTACAGTCTAGTTAATAATTCATTAATACTAAAAGAGAGTATTACTAAATTAAGACTAAAGTGTTTGAGAAAAACTTGAGTTTCAACCAGAAGTTATCTTGAACAATTAAGATAACAAAACTCCCATTTTCAGGAAAGAGATAATCTATCTTCTGTGCTCCCAAAACATTGCCTACCCCATCGCTATTCTCTTGACGACACACAATTCCACAAAGAACGAACTGAGAGGAAAAACTATTTAATCAACAAGTATTATCTCATAGTGTGTATCAGTAAAACAGCCTGCATTCCAAGGCAGTGCTATACAAATTAATTTATTTTGACTGTGTTTCTATTGCTATCTGTTTGCATACTAACACAGCAATTGGTATAATAGTCATTGCAAACTGAACTGCAAAATGATACCTCAAAGCAACCTTGTAGCAGGTTATTAGAAATTTTGCATGATACCTTGAAACTTCATTTGCTCATCTATTTGACTGAAACATCTCACCTGATGTTTCACGTAAAAGAAACCAAAATCCAACCTTCCAAATGCTAGGGCATCTAGCTGGATAAATTATACTGCAATACTTACCCAGAGCTGTAAAATCTGAACCAGATTTGAATAGAGCTGATGCCAGGAGCTGAAACTGTTTAAAAAAAAAAAAAAAAAAAAAGAAGCAGCAAATTAGCTGGCTAAGTGCACTGAAGGAAAATAGCCTTCTATAACTTTGACCATTTATCAGCAACTACGTATTTCTGCATATGTGTGACATAGGTCTATTCACCAAATAGTGGCAAGAAGAACACATTCAGATTACAGAATATAATGACTTTTCTACTAGGCTATTATCATTTTCTAAAATACTGGGCCATGTCCTGGAATTATTTTATTTTAAAAATGTATTAAAGTATGTACTTATTAAGGAACAACAGCACAACAAAATAAAAAAGAAAACTGTCATTTGAATCTAACACATATGAACAGATTGGTGCCCTGGGTCCCGTTACTGAATTTTTAGCATATATGCATTCTCATCTCAAAAATAAACGTAAGCCACTGTAAAATACCTGATGTCTCAGCTGTGTAAATCAAAATCTGAGAAAAAAAGCATGTATAGACCATTCCTAAATTACAACTTAGATTGAGATTCCACAATTATATATAATTATATTGTTAAAACCCAAAGACCTTTTTTAATGGACATAATGTTGTAAATGTTGCTTAGATTTCCAGGCTGTCAGTTAAAGTTAGTTTAAAACAGACAATGTAATTGAACAATGAAGAAACAGAGTAAGACAAAACTATTGCAACATTAGCAATTTAACAAATAGGCACAAAATAAAAAATCTGGAGAACTATTTGTATTTATCTTGAATGAGAATGCAGGAAAAGAGACCAGTTAAAGGAATGAATTAGAGCAGACAAACTCCTCAATGGAGTTACTTGGCACTTCCCAAGACTTGAGCAGTTAGTATCACCAAGTCCTCAGGATATATTTCACATCTATGCTTGCAGCCTTTAACATTTCAGATATTAAATCATACCAACATTTGTAAGCCCTGATTAATGGTCCTTTGAAGATCAGAAATTGTACAAATATTCCATAGGTATTTATCTAAGCAAGAGTTATGAAAAGGGGGGATAAAAAGAAAAATTTAAAAATGTATAGAAGTTCTTTATACATTCTGGGTATCAGTCCTCTGTCAGATATATCTACTGCAAAGATTGTTTAGTATGTGGCTTGTCTATTTATTTATTTTTTGAGGCAGGGTCTCGCTCTGTCACCAAGGTGGGAGTGCAGTGGCGTGATCATGGCTCACTGCAGCCTCAACCTCTTGGACTCAAGCAATCCTCCTGCCTCATTTTTTGACTTTTTTTTTTTTTTGGTAGAGACGAGGTCTCACATGTTGCCCAGGCTGGTCTCAAACTCCTGGTATCAAGCAATCCTTCCTCCTAGGCCTCCTAAAATGCTGGGATTACTGGTGTGAGCCACTGAACCTGGCAATGTCTATGTTTTTAAAAGTCCTTTAATGAGCAGAAATTTTAACTTTTTTGAAGTCCAATTTATCCATATTTTTCTTCGATGATTACTGCCTTTAGTTCATGTCCAAGAAATCTTTACCTATCCCAATGTTGTGAAGATAATCTCCTATGTTTTCTTCCCAAAGCCTTATTCTTTTGGATTTTATATTTAGACCTGTAATCAATCTTAAATTAATGTTTCAGTAAACAGTGAGAAAGGTTTGAGATATCCAGTTATTCAGTATCATTTGTTAAAAACTTTCTTTTCCCCGTTGGACTTGGTACCCTGGTCAAAAAACAACTGACCACATACGTATGGGTCTACTTCTGGACTCTATTCTGTTGTACTGATCCATTTGTCTATCCTTAAGCCAGTACCACACTGTCTTGATTATTGTGGCTTTATACAGAGTCCTGAAATCAGATAGCATAAAGCTTCCAATTTTTTCTTTTTTCAAAATTGTTTTGGCTAGTCTAAAACCTTTGCATTTCCATGTAAATTTTATAGTAGTTTGTCTATTTCCTCAATGACAACAACAACAAAGACCAAACTTACACTGCATTAAAATAAAGGCCAATTTGGGGAAAATGGGCAGCTTTAAACAATTTTTAGTGTTTCAATCCATAAATATATCTCTCCATTTATCAAGGTCTTCTTTAATTTCTTACAACAGACTCATTCTACCCATTTGATATGTCTGATGCTAATATAAACTATGCTTTTCATTTTCTAATTGTTCACTGCTAGTATAAAAATTGCTAATAATTGCTTTTTTTTTCTATTGACCTTGTATTTTTGTAATCTTGCTAAATTCACTTGTCCTAGTATATTGTTTTGTAGACACCATGGGGTTTCGAATGTACATAATCATGTTACCTACAAATGCAAACAAATTTACTTTCTCCTATCCAATCTATATGTTTTTTATTGCTTTTTCTTTATTACACTAGCTAGTGTAATTCTGGTAGAATGTTGAATAGAGGGGCTAATAATATACATTATTTCCTTGTCACAATCTTAGGGAAAAGGGTTAAATGTTTAAGAATAGCCCTAGCTGTATGTTTTTCACAGGTGTCCTTTAGGAATTTAGATTCAAGAAGTTTCTTTTTATTCCTAGTTTGCTAAGAATTTTTATTATGAATGAGTCTGAATTTTCTTAGATGCTTTTCTTCACTTACTAAGATGATCTATGGTTTTCCTCCTTCATTCTGTTAACATGGTGAATTACACTGAATTTTTTTTCAAATGTTAAACTAGCCATATATTCCTAGAATAAACCACCACTTAGTCATAGTACACTAACCTTTTAATATATTCCTAATTAACTAAAATTTTCCTAAGAATTTTACATTTATGTTCATGAAAAATATTGGTCCATGATTTTCTTTGCTTGTAACGTCTCTCTTGGGATTTTATTTTATTCTAATTTATTCTGAGATAGGATCCCACTCTGTCACCAAGGTTCAGCGTGCAGTGGTATGATCACAGCTCACTGCAGCCTCAACCTCTCTGAACTCAGGTGATCCTCCCACCTCAGCCTCCAGAGGAGCTGGGACTACAGGCATGGCACCACCCAGCTAATTTTTTGCATGTTTTTGTAGAGACAGGTTTTTGCTATGTTGCCCAAGCTGGTCTCAAACTCATGGGCTCAGGCGATCCACCCCTCAGCCTCCCAAAATGCTGTGATTACAAGCGTGAGCCACCACGCCCAGCTTCTGTTGGGATTTTATATCAAAGTTAACCTGGCTTATAAAAGGATTTAAGAAGTATTGCCTTCCTCTAATTTCTGAGAGTCTATGTAAAATTGTATTTTTTTCTTCCTTCTTTGAATGGTTGATAAAATTTACTGCTATTATGGGCCTAGAGTTTTTTTTGTTAGAAAATTTTTTATTACAAATTCAATCTCTGTAGTAGATATGGAGTTCCTTAAGATTTTCTATTTCTTCTTGTGTCAGTTTTGGTAAACTGTGTCTTTTAAAGTATTTGTCAATTTCATCAAGTTGCGGCTTGTCAATGAAGTTTTCCATACCCACTTTACTTTTAATATATGTAGGGTCTAAACTGATGCCCTCTTTTCATTTGTGATGTGGATAATTTATGTTTTCACTTTTTTTCTTGGTGATATAGTTTGGATTTGCATCCTTGCCCAAATCTCATGTTGAATTGGGGGAGGGGTTTGGTGGGGGACCATTGGATCACAGGGGCCAATTTCCCCCTTGCTGTTCTTGTGATAGTGAGTTCTCATGAGATCTGATGGTTTAAACATGTGTGGCATTTCCCCCCTCATTGTCACTCTCTCTCCTGCCATCATGTGAAAAAGGTGCTTGCTTGCCCTTCACCTTCTGCCATGACTGTAAGTTTACTGAGGACTCCCAGTCATGCTTCCTGTTAAGCCTGTGGGCCTGTGAGTCAATTAAATCTCTTTTCTTCATAAATTACCCAGTCTCAGGTAGTTCTTTACAACAGTGTGAGAACAGGCTAATACACTTGGTAAGTCTTGCTTGGGGTTTATCAATTTATTTACCTTTTCAAAAGGCCAACTTTTCACTTTTAAAATTTCTCCATTGTTTGTTTCCTATTTCATGAATTTCTTATTTCCTACTTATTTGGGGTTGAATTTGTTCCTCTTTTCTAACTCCTAAGGTGAAAAATAAATTGTATTGGCTCTACATATAGGATAAGGAGAAAACTATTATCTTAACAATCTGATTAAATAAGTGAACTGTATGTACTGGCCTAAGGATTTTAACACATACCAAGGGATATTACAGACCTCTTTCCCAAACTCTGGATTCAAATATCCAACAGTCACCTCAACATCTTAAGTTGGCTGTCTCATAGATATCTCAAACTGAACATTTCCAAATTTAAACTCCTGAATGCCAGTCAGGAGTCCCCACAAACCAGTTCCCCACAGAACTTTCTCACTTCAGTTGATAGTAACTCCATCCTTCCAGTTTTTCAGGCCAAAACCTTTGAGTCGTTTCTTTCAAACACTAGATCTAATCTATCATAAAATTCTGTTGGTTCTATCTTTAAAATATATTAAGAATCTGCTCTATTTTACTTCTCACTGCTCTACTATTACTTTGGGCTGAGCTACAGTAACTCCTTGTTGCCCAGGCTGGAGTGCTGTGGCACAATCTCAGCTCACTGCAACCTCCACCTCCCGGGTTCAAGAGATTCTCCTGCCTCAACCTCCCGATCAGCTGGGATTACAGGCGCCTCCCACCATGCCCGGCCAATTTTTTGTATTTTTAGTAGAGACGGAGTTTTACCATGTTGGCCAGGCTGGTCTTGAACTCCTGACCTCAGGTGATCCACCCACCTCAGCCTCCTGAAGTGCGGGGATTACAGGCGTGAACCACTGTGCCCGGCCCAGTACTTATTCAATTCTAATGTACTATATAATTTGCTTCTTTAATGTTTATTGTCTTTCTCCACTAAAATGTAAGTACCTCCTGGGCAGGGATCTTGTTGGGTTTGCTGATACAGCTCCTCTGCCTAGAATGCCTGACCTATTATGGGGAATCGATACACAACTGTTAAATGAATGACACCAGCACTCTGGAAACTCCGCAGAAGTGTAATGAATATAAAATGTGTTATTGTAGCTGAAAACTTATTCTCATTCCTTCTCTATTATAGAAGTCTTCTCTGAAAGTGGTATAATTGATTAGGCATCCTTTTCTCATGGCTTTTCTAGAAAAAAATATCATTTTTTATAAGATTTATTGTAAGTTCATCACCAATTCAGAACCCATGTTCTGAAGACTGGAGGAAGCCAATAACATTTTTTTGTTATATAGTTGATAGTCAGCTGTCAATGTCCTGACAACAGGCACAATGATGATGATCATAACAACTGTGAAAAAAAAAATCTAAAAAACACTTTTTGTGTTTTGAGACTTAAATGAGAAAGTCATTTAATAACATTAAATGTCTGTAAAACATATAAACAGAACAAAAACAAGTTACTATAGAAAATGAAGAACAGTAAGCCCCTTCTCAATGAGTGGAATGATTTCCTACAATGAGATCTACATGTCTCACTGACAAATATCGTGAGTATACATGTGAACTGTTACCAGAGGATTTCTTCCCCCCAAACAGACTGTTGGATATAAAACATTTTAAAAGTTAAATATGTTCACAAATTTTAAAACAAAATATTAATACTATGGACCAGTAATTCTCAATGTCAGGAATGTTTTCTATTTTCTGTTCTTTAAGAGCAGACAGAGGAGAACCTTAGGGTGAGGGCATGGTGTTTTTTTTTCTTTTTTTTTTTTTTTTTTGAGATGGAATCTTGCTCTGTCGCCCAGGCTGCAGTGCAGTGGCACGATCTCAGCTCACTGCAAGCTCCGCATCCCGGGTTCATGCAATTCTACCTCAGCCTCCCCAGTAGCTGGGACTACAGGAGCCCACTACCAAGCCTGGCTAATTTTTTTGTATTTTTAGTAGAGACGGGGTTTCATCGCATTAGCCAGGATGGTCTCGATCTCCTGACCTCGTGATCCGCCCGCCTCGGCCTCCCAAAGTGCTGGGATTACAGGCGTGAGCCACCGCGCCCAGCCAAGGGCATTGTTTTAAAAAGTGTCCAAGGTGATTCTGATGCCAACACACACACACACACACACACACACACACATACACACTTCAACATTTCTTTCTAACTTCTACTAGGGCTCACCAATTCTTGCTAGATTAAGCTTTTATGAAATGGAATGGAAGCTGGTGGCACACAAAATCCTAAGTTGTTACTATTTTAAAAAGAAGAAAAACAGAAACCAGCTACCAAAATTTTAAAAATGGCTCAAATGAACTTGAGATACCTCCCTGTCCTGTTTTTTTTCCCCATTAGTTTAACTTTAAGAACAAACTGTCTTGTTTTCTTTGGCCTACTTGCAGCTCACACAGCTGAAATTATTTACTTTGAAATATTTTGTTTTGGCTTCAAAAATAAGGAAAAAATGATTGTTCCCAGTTACAGCTATTTTACATAGAATATGGAGAAAATACAAGGAAATCTATGCATAACTCTCAAATGCATGGCATAACAAAATTAACATTAATGGACTCTTCACAACTAAGTACAGTTATAAGTCATAAAAGATTAAATCAAACATATTCTGCCACTTGGCAAAACTATAATTATTTCTCCTATTTGCACAGTGTCATGAATTGACTGAAAACTCAAGGAAAGACAATTAACTGTCCCCCTTCATGGGGGTTCTAAAGCATGTCCTGCAGATTCTCTACCTACTGAAGGGCCATAATCAATATTGAGAGACTTAGGACTTAATTTTATAGTACGAAACTATGAAAGAGTATCTCTTTGTTATGGTGCTGAAGACATGCAGCCTCTATTGCTTGAAAGTACAATGAACCTGGAGCCTGAAAGTGATTCAACATTAAATCTGACACCTGTGTCAATGCTCAAGCATGCCGGGCACAGCTTGATACTGCTATTACAAAGCCAAAGCAAGGCAGGAGCTAACACGGAAAGAGACCTAAGGGTCAGAACTACATATAATCAGCACGAATTCTGTGAGTGGAAGGCAAATGCACTGCAGTTCAGATATTGCTAGATGAACAAGGATGCCTGGAAAAGGAAAAAATGACAAAAACACAAAAATCATTGCAGGCATTTTCACACACCATGGATAAGCAAACATGTCCTTAAGGATATGAAATCTTCAGAAACAGTTGTTTCTATCCCAATGTTATGTAACAAAAAACTGAAAAGTAATGATTGGCTAACTGATTTCTCAATCTTAGCAACTAGTGATGAATGAAATTAGTAGCCTATAGACAAACAATACTGCTACAACATTCACATAACTAAATATTAAGGCACCAAGGATTCTAACTCCCACCAACCTCTCTTCATTTTCTCCCTAAGCAACAGGGGAGTTTTCTTTCCTCTCTTGGGGGATCTTAACTATCCACAGAAAAGTTTATATTGAACCATTATGTAATCCTTAAGTAAAATAATCATGGGACTATGGACAAAGTAAAAATTTCTATTTGCTTTCCAAAACACAAAACTAAGTTAAAACTTTATACCTGATAATCCTTTTCTGAATGGACCAAGGGTTTTTGGTGACTTGAATCTTATCACACGAAAACATGCCTATTCAATTTTTATTTCACCTGCTCTGTGACATTTTAAAGATTACTGATGTCATCATATTTTCTTCGTTTTCCTTTACACACTCAAGAGCAAAATCATTAAATATAAGTTAGGAAGACATTTAAAAATACTTAATTTCTGAAATTTATTACCACCTTTCTTTACCTCTTTTGTCTCTTCTGGGTCTGAATGATCCACAGTTATATAAAGATCATTTTGTAAATATTTCAGAGCACTAAGGGGATCCACTTGGGCCTTTTCTTCAAACCTAGAAAATGTACACAAGGATAATTATCTGGAGTTATGAGAAAATATCAGAAATGTCTTTCAGACCTGGAATAAAATACACTGTTATACTGAGTATGAGGAGTTGTTCTGGATATTTAGAAAATGTCAGTTTAGGAATCCAGAATTAACAATACTGCCAGGTAGATAGTGTAGTTGTGGAGTTCTTGGAAATGTAATGGTAATGCCAGGTGGTCACAGGCAGCTGTGGTGCTAGAGACTGGGTAGGAGCATTTCCTATCTTCTCTTAAAACTACAAGGTAGCACTAAACCAACTACCAAACAAAGTGAATATACTACGTATTTTATAAAACAGAACTTCAGAAAATCCCAATGTGTTTCATCCAAAACAAGTAGACATAAAAATAAAAACACTTGCTTAGATTTGTGTATTTTCTAATGGAGATGCTTAACAGATACCTTGGAAACTGAAATAAGCAGGGTATTTTTAAATGAATATCATTAACACTGATTACTTTTAATGAGATTATGTCCATGTCTCAGTCAGTAAAAACAACTGCAGCAACCACTTATCAAGCATTTGTAATATGCTAGACATTGTATCAAGTATTTTACATGTATCACTTCATCTATTCTCACAATAATGCAATGATGATGATCTATTTTATCATCGTTTATCACACAAAAAAAACAAAAAAACAGGGTGCTGTGGCTCATGCCTGTAATCCCAACACTTTGGGAAGTCAAGGTGGGTGGACTGCTTGAGTCCAGGAGTTTGAAACCAGCTTGGCCAACATGGCAAAACCCCATCTCTACAAAAATTAGCCAGGTGCGGTGGCACATGCCTACAGTCCCAGCTACTCGAGAGTCTAAGGTGGGAGGACTGCTTGAGCCTGGGAGGTCAAGGGTGTAGTGAGCCATGATTGTACCACTGCACTCCAGCCTGGATGACAGAACGAGATCCTGTCTCAAAAAAAAAAAAGCAAAACTGAGGTGCAGAGAATGAATCTGGATGAGTTCTCCTAAACAACAACAAAAATCTATAAGTATCTATATCTATATATCTATTTGAAAAAGATAACGTCTCTGTTATACCATAATTACATACAGGTTTATTTCTAATACGTTGGTATACTTTTCAAAATATACAGACAAGGAAAAGATGAATTTTCTTTGAGTAGGAAAGATGATGAAGAGCCTTTCACGATGGTGTTCAGGTTGATGGCATCCTTGGTGACAGGGTTTCTGTACTTCACGCAGGGACAAAGACTAGCAAAATATTACAGCTCTCTTGTACCAGGCAGTACCCTAAGAGTGACAGCCAGGCTTACAGCCTTCAGATGAGAGTCCTTTAGGTAAAGACCATGTTACTTTACCATCTTGTCCACAACAGATTAGATTAGACCAAGGTTTTGGCACCCACGCTTTGATTAGCAGTTTATAAAGTAGTTTGGCAGAATTCTTCCTAATAGGGACACTCTCCCCAGGAAATGCTTTCTAAGAAGATTCTTTCTCTTTGATAATCTGAATGTGAGACACATAAGGACATGTAAAGAGCAGACAGAAATAGAGAAGGCAGTAAACAGAAGCCATGAGATGGCAGATTCTGTCTGTCCGTCCGTCCGTCTGGCCGGCCGGCCATCCATCCATCCATCCATCCATCTATCTTTCTATGCCTCTATCTATCTATCTACCTATCTATCTATGCATCTATCTAATCAATCTATCTATCTATCTAGGCCACAAGGTTGGGAGAAAGTCAGCAGTAGTCAGTAGGACAGGACAAGCAGATGGAGAAAGAAGCAGACAGAGGTACAAGGAAAAGCTACAGTAGCACCTGGCTACTAGAATTGTTCCAGTATCCTAAACAATTCTCCATCCAGTTTCACCGTTCAAATGCTGAGAAGGTGCCTTAATTCCCTGAATAATCTAATAATAAATTCTTTTTCAGCTGAGGTATCCAAAGCATGTTATTATCCTTTACAACCTGAAATAACCTAACCAACACACACCCACAGTCCTATATCCAGTAAAGAGATCAGTGTCCTGAAAGTTATGTTCTCCATCTTCATTTTCTAAGCTATTTTTGGCCAGCAAGAACTTATCACAGACTTGTGTCTGCAGCCTAGAATCGTATTTTAATCAACAGTTCTGCCCTGTTCCTAAATTAACAGAAATTAATCCTATAACAATTTTTTTTGCCCATTTCTACCCTCAAATCATCAAGTTTGGAAACCTGAATGTCGTATGAAAAAATAATAGTGGTATTTTATTTATTATATCAAGTGACATCAGTAAGAAACAAGGAGGTACCTACTTGGCACACAATATACTTCTTTCCCTCCTTCTAAATTTATATTCTAACTAAACAGAATATTTATTTTCCATTACGAACAAAACAAAAATAAGCCAGTCTAACAGTGTAGTACAAGCTCCCGTATTATAAAAAAATAAATCTGCTTAACATTTGAATTAAAAAGGCAATTTCTGTGTTCTACCCAATTCATAGACACAAACTTCTTCTATTCTGTCTATAATGTAGCGATGTCCCTCAAATTCTTGAATTTATCTAACAGCTTGGTAGAGAAAAAGGTCTAAAATAAGCCTTTTATTGTCTGAATTAGTAGTTGACAAGATTTTCAAGATGCCCTAAGAGTCATCCTCGACTGCTTTCTTTCTCTCATACCCATATCAAATCCATCAAGAAATTCTGTTGGCACAATCTTCAAAGTTTATCCGGAATGTTAAGATGCCTTCTTGATCTCTTGTGGAGTGTCTCTTCCTCTGCCTGTCCCTCAAATGGTGGTGGTCCTCAGAGAATACCCAGCAACCCTTCACTCTTCTTGCTCACCCTGAGCAAGCTCCTTCTCCCATGACTCACAACTGTAATGTCAGGCCAAGTCTTTTCACCAAATGTTCAGATGGTCTCCGCCTGCATCTCTCACAGACTTCTCAAACCTAAAGTGCCCCAAATTGAACTAATCTTTTCCAACACATAAACCCGTTGTTTCTGAAGAATTCCCCACCTGAGGGAAAGCAGCCACGAGTTTTACCCAGTTCTTCGGGAAGAACATGCAGAATGATTTTTATAAAATACAAGCCTGAATGTGTTACTCCTCTACTTAAAATCTTTCAATCTCCCCTAAGAGTAAAAGCTGACGGCCCTTTACAAGCTGTCCCTTTCCTAGTCCTTTCAACCTCATTTCCTACCACAATCAACTCACTCATTCTACTTCCACCACACTTCTTCTCAATTCACTTCTCAAATTATTCAGGCATCTTTTTAACTTCAGAGCCTTGACTATTACCTATCTAGAACACTCCCCACCCCACCAGACAGCTATATGATTCAGTCCCTTTTGTCCCTTAAGTTTCTATTCAAATGCCATCTTCACTGTGCAGTCTATCCTGATATTCTCATTTAAAACTATATTCCCACCCCCCTCACCTGTACAAACAATAACTCAATCTGTTTCTTTTCATTGTACTTACCATCTAACATGTAATATAAATTCCTTATTATGTTTATTGTTAGTCTCCCTTCTTAAGAACGGACACTTGAGGGCAGATTTTTGTTCATTTTCTTCATTGATACGTATGTATATATGAGGGTTAAGCGGTGAACTCTGGAGTCAGAACGCTCAGGCTCAAATCCTGGCTCTGTCACAGAATAATATACAGGGTCTAGCATAAAGTAATTGACAGTCTGGTCTTGAAATCCTGGCCTCAGGCAATCCTCTTACTTCTGCCTCCCAAAGTGCTGGGATTATAAGCATGAGCCACTGCACCTGGCCCTAAAGCAAATTTTTATTACCATATAACACTACAGTAACCAAAAGGAGAGAAATCCTTTTCTGCATTTTTTAGTAGTTTATTACCTTCTAGGCTAAAAATCAAACATGACTCAGGGTGCCTGCGTGCGTGTGTGCGCGCGCGCGCGTGTGTGTGTGTGTGTGTGTATATGTATATATATGAAAATGTTTGATTAAATGATTTTGCAATTTAATAATAAAGGTGACATAAAACTACAAGCTTTGAAATTGTATTGTGACACATCAAATTAGGAAGATATGGTATAGTCAACTATATCACTACATTCACAGTTAAGAGAGTTATCAAAAGCTCAGGCACGTGTCATTAAGTTAGAACTGATCTAATTTGTAGTTAGCTTTTAGTTACTTCAATGTAGGCATGTCACCTTCACAGAAATTATTTTCCATTTTTTTAACAGCTGCAAAATTTCACTTGTTCTGTATTTATAAATTTTTAGCATCAATATCTGTATTTTGTATCTTCTTTTGAAAAACGAAAGCAAAAATAAGTGGAATAACAGGGCATTTACAAAATTCATGATCTTCATAGTATTTACACTGTCTCATTATTAAATTTGCCAAGAGAAATATAGCTGATAATGTTAATTAAATGTTTTCAGTGAATTATTTTCATACCTGTGTTTTCTTATGAGGTACTTGCAATGCCTCAGTAAATAATCTTTTGAAGGTCTACACAACTTCAGTGACCAGAAGTCATCTAATCTCATCTTTGGAGAGCAAGATTTTCCTGGATTCCCACCAAATAAGTAATGAACCTATAATAAGCAAAATAAGCCAGATTTTTAAAAATGCATGCATACCCAAGATATTCTAGTAGCAGTGCATAACAGGTTAACTTCCTGAGCCCATTCAAATAAAAAAATTAAAAATTATACTGCATTTTTACCAAAAGCTTCTCTTGATTTTTCTCATTTCTATTTTGCTTTAAAGCACCATGGCTACTTTAAAAAACTGCACATATGCCAAAGTGAGTTATATTACCATAACTACAATGACAGTGGAAGGTATGAAACAAAAACAATGATAGGAAGAAGTTAATCCAAGATATTATTTGCTGAGGACAACAAATAATGGGGATAAAATTAATCACAATATTGATCATATAACAAATATCTTAAAAATTCTGACATAAATGCTGAATCACTAAAAGTTAACAGTCAACAGGTCAACTAGAAACTTTAAAAAAATTTTAGGCCAGGCGCGGTGGCTCACGCCTGTAATCCCAGCACTTTGGGAGGCCGAGGCAGGCGGATCATGAGGTCAGGAGATTGAGACCATCCTGGCGAACACTGTGAAACCCCGTCTCTACTAAAAATACAAAAAAATTAGCCGGGCGTGGTGGCGGGCGCCTGTAGTCCCAGCTACCTGGGAGGCTGAGGCAGGAGAATGATGTGAACCCAGGGGGCAGAGCTTGCAGTGAGCAGAGATTGCGCCACTGTACTCCAGCCTGGGCAACAGACCGAGACTCCGTCTCAAAAAAAAAAAAATTTTAACATCTTAATTTTGCTTTAACTGAAATGCCAAATATTAAATGGCACATATAATTTGTGAAATAACATTAAAAACATTATTCCATAATTCAATACCAAAAATGAAATGCAAAAGGAATTTATAATGATTTCACTATTACATTAATCAATTATCTGTTCCTCAGATAACTTTGGAAGACAAAACAGTGAAGAAACGCAATCACTTTCGTAAGTGGTAGAAGTGAGAGGTATAACTGCCTAAATTTATTGCACTTGAATGTTTTTCTGTATGTATACAAAAGCATTTAAATATTTAAATATTTTAATTACAATTAGTGTATACATTTATTAAATTTAAATTTAAATATTTCCTAAAATTTTAAAAACATTTATATTCATTGGTGTTATATAATAGTTATTATCTCTATCCTATGGATGGAAATTCATTTACTCCTTAAATTGAGAGGTTATAAAAGAAAGGGCTTTTACTCACTCCCATGTTATCTTTTACCTAAAGGTCTCAAAGTGTATTGCGTAGAATTTAAATAAATCATCCATGGCTTAACAGAAAGAATTGGTCTCTGTCAGTAATTTACTATGTAATCTAAGTCCAATCACTTAAGTACATGGTTAAGTTTAAGACAGAAATAAAGAAAGAACTCTCAACACTATGACACTAAAAATTCACAACAGAGGACCATTTCACAAGGCTGATTTAAAAGAGGTATCACTAGTATATCAGGAAAATTAAGATTAAAAAGACTTCGCACACAATAGGAAAATCTAAAACCAAAAACCATGTTATATCACGGAACAAGGTACCTAAATGCTGACAACTGTACATATTTTACTTGGATAGTCACATTGTAGAAACAATAGGCTATGTCATGTATCTAGATCTATACAGCTAAGAAGCTGCCACTGACTATTTTCAAAAAAGGAAAAGTACCAAGAATTACAGACTACGTAAAAATGCTTATTCTCTTAAGGAATTTTAGGGAGAAGTGATATTGGGTGTTTGTTATTCTATTGAATGTCTACTATGTATTTTAACTTTTTACTCAAATCCAATTTAAAACAATCAAAGATATATTTGGGGATTGTTTCAGATAGTAGGCCATGGAAAGTTTACAGGTCAATGTAGTTAGGATACCTTGTGTAGCTCATCGTATACAAGCTGATGGGCAAACCTTGGACATGGTTCTTCTTCCTGAAGACTTTTAGTTGGATTATCCTTTGCAGCTTGATCATTCTTATAGACACAAGACCTGCAAGACATTGCTTTTAAGGCATTCTAGAGAATTAGCAGCAAAGATAATACAACTGTAGCAAGCAAATTAACTGCATGTCTAATTACTAACAAAAAATTTTAGAAATGCGTTCACATCGTATCTTAAAGTTCTAGTTATTCATAAAACAATCGGAATTTGTTAGAACTGAGTTCTAAAGTTCTTTTGATGTCCAGTAAATAGCTCACATATCCTACTTTTTGTTATGAAATACAAACAGCATACATGAAAGCTCAAACTAAAGACTGAAAGAGATGCTATCTTGTCTATGTATGCACAATAAAAATGTACAGTATACATTGCTGTCATTTGACTGTAAATAAATGTCCTATTTAGAAAATAATAAATTCCTTAGCTGCAGAGCACTATTCCCCATTATGAATGGAGAAGCTCTCTGAAGTGCTTCTGTTCTGCACAATATTCACTTATGGAGCAATCACAGAATGTCAGAGCTGGATCCATGTTTTCCCAAAGCAAAATGTGCAGCACCAGTTCTGTGGGATGCTCTATGACACAAAAGTCATGGTTTGGAAATGCTAAGTAATACTGTCCCCTCCTTGCTATAGTCAAGCCTCTTCGTTTTATGAAAACTAAGATCTGGGAACATTAAAGAAACAGCACTGTTCTCAAGTTCACACATCTACTTGAGAACGGAACCTAGACTAAAATACAATTCTCTTGAGTCCCAGGCCAGGAACCATCTACTACTTGAAAAACACAGAGGTAAAATCCATTCACTGAACATCATTGTATACATAGGTACCGATATTGATTTTTTTCCAATACTGACTTTTAAATATACAATGTCACAAATTAACGTAATACTCTCATTTCTCTCTTTTTTGAATAAACCAACAACCTCAAATAATTATTACATTGGGATTGCAGCAGAGACAAGAGTTCCTTACCAACTATTCCTCACAATGTCATAAATCCAGAATGAATTTCTAACATTTTCTTCCCTCTTTTCCTTATCTTTGCTGAGTCCAGATAAGACGTGTATTTCATTCAGTTCTGGATCAATAGTTGCTCTCTGTGTAAATCCTGTCATTGGAACTACAAATTAAAGAAAAAAATAAGATGAAAATATTCACATTAGATAGATTAGTATTTCCTTCCTTCCTTCCTTTCTTTTCTTTCTTTTTTTAAAGAACAGCATTTCACTCTGTTGCCCAAGCTGAAGTGCAGTGAGGCACAACCATGACTCACTGCAGCCTAGAACTCCTGGGCTCAAAGGATCCTCCTGCCCCAGCCTCCCAAGTAGCTGGGACTACAAGCATGCACCACCACACTCAGCTAATTTTTTTATTTTTTGTAGAGATGGGGTCTTGCTATGTTGCCCAGGCTGGTCTCAAACTCCTGGCCTTAAGCAATATTCCTGCCTCATCTTCCCAAAGTGCTGGTGTTACAGGTGAGCCACCACATCCAGCCCCTACTAGTTTCTCTTGAAAAGATCAATACACCTTTATTCTGCTTTATGTGTCCACATACTTAACTTCTAACACACTACATAACTTTTTAACTAAACAATAAACAATTATATATTGCCTTCTCCTTACTCTATGAGCTCCACAAGGAAAGAGGCTGTTTTGTTCACTATTTTGTTCCCAGTGTCTAGAATAGTGCCTGAATATAACAATTACTAAATGATTTGTGGAAAGACTAAAGGAAATGTCAATTGCCAGCTACAGGGAAAAAAGAAGCAGAAAGAGGTATGCAATATAATCATTTTTACATAAGGAAGGAAAGGATAATGCTTTAATTAACTGATTTATTATCTGGGACAGTTCTAATTTGATAGTAGAGATTAAATATTCAAATCTTGACCTGGGAAAAAAAATTTGATAAAAGGTAAAACGCAGCGTTGCTTAATAAGGTCAGAGTCATTTAAAATATCTGTTCATCACATATAATAACTTCCAAAAATAAAATTTAATATTCTGGGCCAGGTGCAGTGGCTCGTGCATGTAATATCAGTGCTTTGGGAGGTCAAGGTGGGAGGATCATATGAGGCCATGACCTCAAGACCAGCCTGGGCAACATAGTGAGACCCTGTCTCTATGAAAACTAAAAATCAGCCAAGTGTGGTGGTGTGCACATGTAGTTCTAGCTATCTGGGAGGCTGAGGTGGGAGGATCCCTTGAGCCCAGAGTTGGAAACTGCCATGAGCTATTATCATGCCATTGTACTTCAGCCTGAGTGACAGAGTAAGACTCTGTCTCTAAAGCAAATAAATAAATAAATAAAAATTCTGGGGTATAATATGCCATTTTGTTTCCTTGAGTGGCTTAAACTCCCCAAAGTTAATAATGCTGTATTTTTATAAGAAATCTATTAAATAAATGATGATCACTTTGCATTACCCAATAATCTGTAAAACACTGATATGGCAAATGACAAATTTTCTTATTCTTATTTGAAAATGTTTGAAATATAATTTCATATACATAAAGTGCATATTATGAACTCAGCTACTTCACAACATAATTGTCATGATCTAAAACAATGTCATTGTTTTAACATTTCTTTTACCCATGAACAATTATCATGTGCTCAAAAAGCTAAACAAATATCAGATTGAAGTGAAATATTTACGTCAACCTAGAATACTATGTATTGCAGGAGATGCCAGCCATATTGATCTTGGTCTTCTTTATCTACTTTAGTGGGACCAAATAATCCAGTATTTATTTTTTCCTAGTCTACCTTAAATTCATGTCCTTTTACATTCTTATTCAACAAATTTGGGACATTTTAAAGACTATCCAAATGCATTTCACAGTAACTATATTATAAAATTATACACACACACACACACCATACAATTTGTATACATACATACACAATATTTATATTTATACACACACATATATCAACCTGATCTTAATAATAGCCTACACCCTCATGCCACAGTCTTTAGTGTATGTAAAGTCTGGTACAGTCGAACCTCCATATCCCTGGGTTCTATGTTCAAGGATTCAAACCACTACAAATTTAAAGTATTAAAAAAAAAAAACCGCAAACAAAAAACAAAACCCATAAATGGTTGCATCTGTATTGAAGACATACAGACTTTTTTTCTTGTCATTATTCCTTATAACAACTATTTACATTGTATCAGGTATTATAAGTAACCTAGAAATGACTTAAAGTATAGGAGGGAATGTGCGTAGGTTACACCATATCACGGACTTGAGCATCTGAGGATTCTGGTATCCAAGAGAGGTCCTGGAACCAGTCCCTCAAGGATGCCAAGGGACAATTGTATTTTCTTAATAAGGCATGGTAAATTTTCAGAAGTGATGTGCTCAGGTTCTGACCTCTGCTCCTCAGATAACTTTGGAAGATAAAAACAGTAAAGAACTGGAATTACTTTCGTAAGTGGTAGAAGTGAAGGGTATAACTGCCTAAATTTATTGCATTTAAATTTCATTATTCTATTTTGTCTTAATAGTGAGCCTTTGAATTAAAAATTTTATAACATGGCTTGGCAAACTATGGCTTGATCTGCCCTGCTCAGGGTCAAATCAGGCAATGTCCATTCATTTACATGTTGTCTACGGCTGTTTTCACCTACAATTATTACCAGAGCCTGTAACTCACCAGAGATAAAAGATGAAAAACTTCCAAATAAGTCATCGGATACAAAGAGAAGAAGTAGATTGTGAGGAAGGCTTCTGTGGAGAGCTTCTAATAAGGACATAGGGGCGTAAATAAGAATGAGAGCAGAGCTTAAAGTAACTCCCAATCTTTACTTTGTTAATCATATATGTTCCCAACTTGTGTGCCTATTCTCAGCTTACGCATTCTATAGGAAAGCTTGGTTGACAGTATGTGCTGTGCACTTATACAAGACCTTGATCAGTGTCTCATTTATGAGAGAAACCTACTGGAAAAAGAGACCTACACACTGTAAAAGAAACTGCTGTTAACTACCTTTCTTAATTGATACAGTCCTTTATTCATAAATGTTAAAGTTTAGACATGAATTATAGACAGGAGGAAAAAAATTAACAGTGTAAAAGAGAGGGACCTAGATGAACAAATAGAACAACCAGGAAAAGACAAATCACAGAAAAGAACATAACTTGGGGGAAAAAAAACCCTATGAGTATCCTTGAGGAGATTAAAGAGAATATTTCATGTGCAAAACAAGAATAAGCTGCCATAAAAAGGAGCAGGGACTATGAAAAGATACTAAAAAGTGAAACTATGACCAAAAAATTCAAATGACAGAATGAAACTACAGACATAGTTAGAAACAAAGTCAGTGGTCTCTAGATAAAACTGACAAATCACCAGAATAAACAGCAAAAAGATAGAAATTATGAGGGAAAAGTTAAAGGACACAGAGGATATACCCATCGAAGCCAAATTATCTGAAAAAAAGACCAGAAGGAAAGAAGAAATAATGTAGAAGAAAAAATAAAGTTTCCCTGAACTGGGTGTCCTGTTTGAGAGAGCCCACTGCAAGCTAGGCATGTTTAATTTAAAAAGATGGTGCACACATATATCTATGTTGTTTTTTTTTTAAAAAGATGGCATGTAGATATATAGATGTACATCTCCACCTTAATATGAAATGTTAAAACTCGAAGAAAAGAAAAATTCTAAAAGCTTCCAAAGAAGGAAACAGCAGATTATTATATACAGAGGAATAAAAATCAAACTAACATTAGACCTTGTCAGGGGCTCAGAACACAAACACTCTGGCATGCTAAGTACTTTGAACTAAAGAACACTGGAAGGCCTCAGAACAGCTTCAGAACCAAGTTCTTTCTCACCTTCTTCTGCCCTCCTGCCTGTCTTCCCTCATTCTCCCTAGAAGTGAGTCATCAAATCAGAATTCCTCTTCCTCAAGGTGGGTCATAAAAACTAGAACCTCTTTTTCCCAAAGTCAGCCTAGACTTTTAAATTCTAAAAACTAGAATTACTGATCCAACTTTCCTCTGCCTTTCTGTCTAGGAGCTCGCCATAAAGAAATTCTGTGATCTACCCTTGTCTGATAGTAGGTCACAAGACCCTTGCTGTAGCAGGGTCCTGCCCCATTCCCAGGAGGAAGAAGTACTACACAGAGGGGCCAAGAAGAATCTGAACAGACGGGCCTTGTTGGGTTTCCCCACCTCAGTCTACCTGCATTAAATCATAGCCTTTTACCCAATCATATTTCTAACCAGCTGTTCATTCTTCATTAAATCTTAGCAAAAAAATGGACAGTTTTCCCCGTATCTTTGGGTCATTTCTTCTGAAGGCTCACATGCCACGTAAAACTTTGATTAAATCAATTTGTTATGCTTTCTTTTGTTAACCTGTCTTTTATTATAGGAGTGTCAAACCATGACTCTTAAAAGGGTTGAGGAAAAGTATCACAACTCTTTTGGCCCTACAACTTATCAGTAACAATGAATGCTAGAATACAATGGAATAACAACTTTAAAATTCTGAGAAGTATAAAAAGATATGGAACTAACTTTCCATTTCCAGTTAAACTAGCAATCTTAACGAGGGCAAAATAAGAGAATTTTAAAGTTCATACATATGACTACATATATATATATATGTATATAAACTTCTTTAAGGAGATATTCCAACAAAACAAAAAAAGGAATCCAAGAAAGAAGATGGCATGAGATATAAGAGACGGTGGCACTGATACATGACACAGGAAAAGGAAGTTAGAAAGAAAATCAAGATCCATTAACTCTTGAGCCTTGTATATGACATTTTAGTGTTAATAATATAGAATAGTTTCTTCTCTATATTCTAATCACAATACCTGAATTTATATAGTGTCCAATTTTCCCTTTCCGCCATGGTTCCTTGACCTAGAATATTGGTCCTAGTGTTTTTCTTCAGGCAACAACAAATTTTGATCATCATTTATCACATACTTCTAGCATTTCTTAGATTTAGTTTTCATTGAGTCCTGCTCCCAAATGGGTTTCTACTGTGGGTATCTATACGGCAAATGTGCTAAGGCAAATATGCCTGAGAATATTTTATGTCACCCTCACATCTCAAAGTTAGGAAGATTTAAATTTCTTGATTCAAAGTTGTTTTTCTTGGCTACTTTTAAACTTTATCGTTTTTTCTCATTCTACATTGCTGTTCAACTGTCAAATGTCTATCTTCTTGTTCCCTTACAGGTCATCTGCTTTTTCTCTCTGAAATCTTTCAGAATTTTCTCTCTGCTATTCTTAATTCTACTTTAATCTGCTTAGGTATAACGCTTTCCCTTATTTGTTCTATTTGGTACACTATGAGCTCTTTCGCCAATCTGAAGTCTTTCACCATTTTTGAATTTTAAGAAATGTATCTCCATTATTTCTACAATTATTTCACCTACATTTTTTTTTTGAGATGGAGTTTCACTCTTGTTGCCCAGGCTGGAGTCCAGTGGCACGATCTCAGCTCACTGCAATCTCCGCCTGTGGGTTTAAGCAATTCTCCTACCTCAGCCTCCCAAGTAGCTGGGATTACAGACATGCGCCGCCAAGCCTGGCTAATTTTTGTATTTTTAGTAGAGACAGCATTTCAATATGTTGGTCAGGCTGGTCTTGAACTCCTGACCTCAGGTGATTCACCCATCTTGGCCTCCCAAAGTGCTGGGATTACAGGTGTGAGCCCCCGTGCCCGGGCTTAAATTTTTATTTTTCTTTCCTTCTGGAATTCCTTTTAAGATGTTGGCACTTGTACAACAATTCTCTATCTTTCTTAGTTTCTCTACTCTATTTTCTATTTCTTTATCTTTTTTCCCTCGCTTTTTCCTGGAAGAGTGCTCTTGCTAATCTTCCAACTGATTAATTCACTCATACCATCCTACTTACATTTGTTGTAGTCTTCATTTTCATTATATTTTTCATATCTACTATTTCCGTATGGTTCTGTTTTTATAATGTTTGGATCTTATTTCATATTACTAGTGTGTTCTCTTACATCTTTAAGTGTATTCATCATGCTTATTTTAAATTCTTGGTTCATCTTTTTTTTTTTTTGAGATGGAGTTTCGCTCTTGTTGCCCAGGCTGGAGTGCAATGGCACAGTTTCAGCTGACTGCAATCTCCGCCTCCCGGGTTCAAGCGATTCTCCTGTCTCAGCCTCCCGAGTAGCTGGGACTACAGGCACGTGCCACCATGCCTGGCTAATTTTGTATTTTTAGTGGAGACGGGGTTTCTCCATGTTGGTCAGGCTGGTCTCAAACTCCCGACCTCAGGTTATCTGCCTGCCTCAGCCTCCAAAAGTGCTGGGATTACAGGCACTAGCCATCACCCCTGGCCGTTCATCTGTTTTAATAATTCTGCTTTACATCATGTATAAGTTTACTCATTTTTTTTTTTTGAGACAGTTGTAGTCCTCAACTGTCTAGTTATATCAGTATGCAAGGTAATGTTTTTCAGGGAATCAGCTCTTCTTTCTGGTAAGATATATTGGAGAGGACTCAAAGGCCAGGCCTTAACTGGTAGAGATTAAGGAAAATAGAGAGGAAAAGTCATAGGGTTCTGAAGCATAAGCACAAAGAACCAAGAATCATGTCCATATATGATCACGCCCCTATGCAACAGTTTTGTACCTTTAAACCCTTCAGGCAAGGGTTTAAAGAGGAAGGAGAAGGCAGTCTCCCTGGACAAAGGGAGAAGAGAAGAAGAAATGAACTATTGAGAACAGATGGTCAGTCCACATGTTTTCATCAACTCTGAACTCCAGCAGGGTTTCTGCACTGACATAATGTTTGCCCACCGAATTCTGACACTAGTGGGCTAGGCTACCGCTGCTAGTTTCTATAGTGAAAGGGTAAAAATTAACTGAAGGGTAATCTGGGGGAGAGTGAGCCTTCAGTCTTATTTAAGGAGTTTCTGGAATCCAGCTGCTCTCAATTTTATTTCTCTGGGTTGATTCTGGGGAAGGGAATCAGCAGCCTGTGTCAGTTTGCTACTTTGGCAGAAGTACTTTTCATTTTATAGCATTCTATGTTATTTGAGTTTTGCTTTATTGATCATGTGAACTGCATTACTTTTATAATAATTATAATAATAAAAATGAAGGCTGGTTAAATAAAAACGGCATTATCAAAAAACAAAAAAAACTAAAGGTCAAAACCAAGAAAGCAGCTTTCATTCTAATATGGCAAAACTATTAATAGTTTTCTGTACTGATTTTCTTTGCAAGATGAAAACAAGGCTATCTTTTCAATTTTTAACAGTTTCTTTTCTCTTTTTTTTTTGGTTTGGAGACAGAGTCTCACTCTGTCACTCAGGCTGGAATGCAATAATGTGAATTCAGTTCACTGCAACCTCTGCCTCCCAAGTTCCAGCAATTATCCTGCCTCAGCCTCCTGAGTAGGTGGGACAACAGGCGTGCATCACCACACCAGGCTAACTTTTTTATTTTTAGTACAGCCGGGGTTTCACTATGTTGGCCAGGCTGATCTTGAACTCCTGACCTCAGGTGATTCGCCTGCCTCGGCCTCCCAAAGTGTTGGGATTACAGGCAAGAGCCACCATGCCTGGCCAATTTAACAGTTTCTAATGGGTATATTTGCGGGGGAGGAGGGAAGGACAAAAGACCTGCAACATAAACGATTTTAAAAACTTTAAGATTCAACTGCTAAAAAGCTCAACTAAATGCCAGGACCTTAACCAGTCTTTAACCTTAACCAGTTTAGAAACTGACTCACAAAGAAAAATTAATCAAGCAGATCAGTAAACGTTAATCATTAACATATTTTGAAAGAACATTTATCTGAAAAAAACAGAAAATAAGAATGATACAACAATTATCACTGCCAACTCGTTATTTTTATAATTGTTTTAGGAAGTTACAATGATAATCCTTCAACTCTATTTCTTCTTTAACATCTTTAAAACTCAAAATAGAACAGCTAAAGGGGAAGTAAAAAAATTTTATCTATATGTCTGAATCACATCTTTTCTCTTCCTTCCTTGGTTTATCCTCTAAGCAAATGGGAGAGATTGTCAGAATATTTAACATAAAGAAACCCTGTGGGAGGGGGGATAAAAAAAAAGTTAACAAATATTTTCGAAGTCCTTTGAATTCCTGAGGAAGATATGTTATTGCATTAACTTATGAATTAATCTCAACTCTATTTTTGCTTCACGGTCCAATGCACATATTCATTACTGATTAGCTAAGACAAAGGAAAAGAACAGTTTTCAGAGCTGTCACAGAAATACAGAATCTAATAAAAAATAGCTTTCCACAAATTCACTATTTGTTAGGATATTTTCAGCTCCAAGTAACAGAAAACCTAACTAACAGTAGATTAATTAGCTCATGTAACAAAATTTTGCAAGTAGACAGCTCCAAGATTGTTTCAGAGTTCAACCAAATCATGGTGCTAGGTTAACTTTCTGCAATTTTCTTGGCCGCCTTCTCATTTTTGAAACTTGCCAATACCAACTCTAAGCATCACATCCTTATATAGAGCACCCAAAGCAGGGAGGCAAAGAATTCTTTCAGCATCTCTCTACTGTCATCAGGGAAGACATTTTTGTCAAATGTCCTCCAGTAGACTTTCTTTATGTCTCATTGGCCAGAATTGTGTCACATGGGAGGAAGGTAAAGTGAAATAATTTGCCAAAGGATAATAATGACTGGTTTAGACTAATCATGATTAACCATTCATGCCCTGGGGTTAGGCAACTTGCCATTAAACAAAATTATGGTTTGGTTAACAGAAGAAAGGGCCAATGACTTTTGGGAAAGCAAACAACAGTGTCTGCCACATCCTTCTCTTTGAAAGTTGGGACATTTTAAATGTTGGATGGGGCCCTATTAAGCACTAGCAACAACTCCAGTTCAGAACTAACTTCTATTATTTTACTTGAATCTTTCTACCACTCATCATTTATTTTTTGTAAATTTGCAACTAGCTTTTGACACTCAACAATATTTACTGATTTATCTCAGCTGTATTAAGCTATAAAAAACTGAACTCTTTGAATGGATCAACCAATTTATTTACTGGTGGACAATCAAATAAATAAAAATCAAATAAGTTGATGGTCAATCCGTCTTCAGATTTTTTCTCCTTGCATACAATACTACAATAAATATCTCTGTATAGCTTATTTTTTGTGGATCTATAAAAGTATATGAGTAGGAAAAGTTCGTGGAGTAAAATGCTTAGTCAAAAAAATATATTTTTTGTATTTTAACAGATAATGATAAAGTACTGTTAAAAAAAAAAAAAAAGGCTGTACCAAATACATTTCAACCAGAATGTAAGACACCTGCTTCCTCATGGCCATACCAACATTCACTGAGTGATTTTTTAATTTACACTTAAAAGTTATGAATAAAGCTGAGCATCTGTACATGTGTAAATTTACTGGCAATATGAATTATTTTTTCTTCGAAGTATCTATTCATATAATTTGTCATTGTTCTACTACAGGATTATCCACTTTTATTGGTTTATAAGAGCCTTTTGTTCATTGTAGGAAATAAGCTTTGTCTTAATTGCTAGTTTGTCATTATTTGATATTTTAACAATTTTTTATATTTTTTAATTTTGCAAAAATCAAACATTCCTTTTCTTTATGATTTCTGGGTTTGTGGCATGTTTAGAAGGGTCTTCTCTTAATCCTAGATTATTAAAAATAATTGGAATTATAATTTTATTTCTTAAGTATGAAACTTAAGTTCACCTAGAATTTTCTTTGATGTACAAAAGTCAAGTAGGGATCCAGATTTTCCCATTTATTCATATTTATTTATTTACTTATTTAAAGAGAAAGAGTCTTGCCGTTGCCCAGGCTGGAGTCAGATTTTCCTTTTTTTTAAAATACTGCCAAGTCTTAAGCAATGTCTCCATGTCATATACTGTTTAATCTATTCTTTCTCTCTGACTGGAAATGCCAACTTTACCATATACTAAATTCTCATATGTATTTGGGGACATTTTTATACTATCTGCTCTATTTCATCCCATTAGTCTGTACTTTGGCAAATTGTAGCTTTATAAATATCTGGTAGTGCCAGTACTACTTCATTAACTTTCAAAATTGTTGTTAGTGTTCTTGCATGTTTGTTTTTACATGTGAACTTTAATTCTCATTTACTATCAAGTAACCTAAATATCATATCTAAAAATATAAAATACTCTTGTAAGCTTGTAACTAGCAAAAACACCCCTGGGAGGGTAGAAGGGGGAAATCAGGGAAAGTTATTATTACCAATAATTTTGAGAGGCAAAAAGTAGATACTCTGTTTGAATAATGACACATCAAATACAAAACATACTAAACTGACAGCAATGAAGCCTAATTATGTTGAAAATAAGCGCTACCATTTTCTAGTCCAGTAACTAATCTATGTTAATGACAGCAAATCATCAGCTTCAAAGTCTTCTCTGTGTTGCCAGTTTGGCTTTACTCATTTAATTGGTAAAAGTATAAAAGGATCGGCCGGGTGCAGTGGCTCACGCCTGTAATCCCAGCACTTTGGGAGGCCGAGGCGGGCGGATCACAAGGTCAAGAGATCAAGACCATCCTGGCCAACATGATGAAACCCCGTCTCTATTAAAAGTACAAAAATTAGCTGGGCGTAGTGGCGCATGCCTGTAATCCCAGCTATTCGGGAGGCTGAGGCAGGAGAATCGCTTGAACCCGGGAGGCAGAGGTTGCAGTGAGCCGGGATTGTGCCACTGCACTCCAGCCTGGCGACAGGGCGGGACTCCATCTCAAAAAAAAAAAAAAAAAAAAAAAAAGTATAAAAGGATCAGAAACATAAAGAGTTATGACCATACTAATTTTTTAAAATGTCAGTAAGCACAATAAGCACATTCCCAGGGCCAAAATGAAAATCAGTATGATTTTGCTTTTAAGGTTTTCATAAAAATTTATTTATAGATAAATCAAGTTCTGTAGATGTAAACTCACATAGCCCTCATATCTTAGTTTCACAGCCTGATAACAGCAGAAGGGAATGAAATTTAATTTTCAAAATTTTGGAGCTAGATGAGGTCTTATGATCAACTGGTCCAATCTCCTCATTTTCAGATGAATAATCAGGTTCAGAGAAGTTATATAATTTTTCTAGAATTACAGAGGGATGAGTGGCAGACCCAGACAAAGAGAGACCAAGTCTTCTGATTCTCAATTTGCTATTCTTTCAATGGTACCAATCTGCTATAATGGTTAGAACAGGATGGAATAAACAATGGCAGATGTGGGAAAACAGAGTGGACACAATTTAAAAATCAAAACAAGTAAATACATAACTACTAAAGAACAAGCATCAGGTTGTAAGACCTCAGTATTACCAATACTTGACTTAGCATTTGGCAAATGAAGAAGGTTCAATATATGCTTCTTCCTTGAATGAATACGAACAGGAGAAAGCACTCTTACTATAGTAGACTGAGTTTCTATAGAAAACTACAAAACTCTGGTGGTGTGACAGACCATCTTCTACACATAAGTTTCAATTAGTGTTAAATACAGAGCTTACATATGGGGAATCTGCTAAACCCCTTGTGTTCACAGTCTTACTTGCCAAAAGTTTCTCAGAAATAAACTCAAGTTTTAGATATGCTGAATTTTGATGTAATTATGTATGTATTAGACACAATGCTAATAAATCCCTTAAAGCAGCTGCCAATCCATTGATTTAAATTATAATTTTCTTCTGAGGAGAGCATAAAATTGTTACACTGTAGTTTAAAAATAAGCATTAAAGTTTCTTCAGATCTTCAGATGTTAAATCTAAGATGGTACATTCAGATAATTATAAAGAGCAACAACTTAAGATTTTATAGTATCTGACAATACAGAATTATATAAACAGCAGTAATTTTACTATTAGCTATACCATCTCGGTGATCTCAATAGTTCAAACAAATTTACTCTATGAGCTCAAACAATCCCATTTGATACTCACATTGTAAATATAATTTTAATCAAATAAGCCACATTACTGAATCACAGATAAACACAGTAATTATATGTTAAGTCCATCTCAAATTACAGTAATTAACTGTAGTAAAAAATCTTTAGAACAACAGTTAACAAACAACAGAATGATTAATAAGCTACAGAGCATCTACATAATGGATAAAATTGGTGTTTTCTAAGAATATTTTAAAAATGTGGGAATTTAAATAGTATTCTGCCTTCTTAAAAGTACTTTTCACTGCTTACAATAAAAATCTAGTAAGAGAGAAAAAAATGTACTTTTTAAAAGTGAGGTAAAATAATTCTATGGGAGGACAATATAATATACCATGGTTCTGATGTGAGGTTTTCTGAACAGTCTAATTTAGTTCAGTAAAAGACTTTTAGGAGATCTAGAGTACTGAAACCACTGAATGCTCTTTAAGAAATCATGAACAAGTCTGTGTATTTCAGCTGATCTTTGTATAGGTTTTGAAAAGCACAGTCAAGATTTTACAGCCAGATGAATACCTAGAATTGCGTTAACAATGATGGCTAGAGCCACATGTTTTTATATTTCTAACCTGGGCTTAAGGCATTAGAGAATTTTGGGCGACAACGATCTACAAGCTAAGATCTGAGAGGTAAGCAGTACAAGTTAGCTAGATTTTGGAGGGGAGAGGAAAGTGATTCAGGTAGGAGGAATAGCATGGGCAACTCTCAAAGGCAAGTTAAAACACACTATCTATAAAGATTTAATATTCGGTGGTCGTGAAACAGAGTTGGTGGCAAGAAGAGTACAGACACCAAGACTAGGACTGGAGAACTAAAATGGGGCACATCATAAAAGAGTCTGTGAATTATGTTAAGTTTAGACTTAATCCTGAGGGCAGGGAGAAACCATTAAAAGATTTAAAGTGAGGAAGAAAACCCACTAGGTTTGTATTTTTAAAAATATGTTCTTTTCTTCACTAGCACTAATCTAAAGGTAAGGCTGTCACTTTATTTTTCCTCTCTGTGTACAACCATAACTCCATGAAGATAGGGCCCTCATTCACAGTTGTACTCCTAGTGCGTAGCTTATTGTCTGGCACCTAGTAGGTGACCAAAAAATATCTGCTCTATAAATGTTAAGGCATATGGTTCTATTCTTTACTGGTAACACAGAATAGCTGTATCCTGCTTGCAGTGTGGAGAATGGGTTGCAGGGAGGGGTACATAGGGAGAGGAAGTCTAGAGACAGAGGCCAAATAGGTGATGTTAGCCCAAACTAGTTCATAGTGAAGCAGCAATGGGAATAGAGAGAAGATGAGGCAAAATTGGCATGACTTGATGTTAACTGGCTAGATTAGTGAACCTGAGGGTAGCAGTATTAACATCCTCTTGTGAAAATTAAGGCACCCAACAGTAACACCAGTCGAAACTAGAGGGTTAACCCATCTCTACTCCTAGGGTAGCCATGGACAGAGACGCTATTTTCCTTAAAATCTAATTTGGGTCATTTACAAATGTGGAAGCAAAAGCTGAGACATTAGGTAACTTGCTTAAGGTTAACTAAGGACTGAAATAGACTCCGGAGAGCTAGAACAGTGGTTCTCAATCCCAGCCGCATATTAGAATCCTCTAGGAGAGAGAAAGTTGGGGGAGGAGTAAAAGGGACATGGGAAAAAGAATGGGAAGGAGGGAAAAGGAAGAAAGTGAGAGAGGCAGAGATGAGGGGAAAAAAAAACAGAAAAAAAGAGAATAATTTCCATTTCACTCTAATGTGCTAACAGAGTCACTGAGGTTCCTCAATTCCAAGTATAACTGCAACAGTTTTAGGTGGGAAATTTTTCCAAGTAATTCTAACCAGATGCTCAACCCTGCCATAAAAATCCTCAGTAAACAAGCCTTTGAACAATGCAACTCACAGGAACATTGTCAAAATTAACCACTTGGAAAATATACACCTAGACAAAGAAGTGGTATTGTTAAAACTTAGATCAAGACACTGATATTAAACCTTTGAATAATCTATTTTATTCAGAAAAAAAATCCAAACTCCTTGCATTTGTAACAAGGCACTAAATACTCTGACTCTTATCTCCGTAGCTCTAACCTAGTTTCATACCAACTTTTCCAATCCTCAATACGTACCAGTCCCACTATTTCTGAACATCCCAGGTTCCTTCCTGCTTTGGGAACTCTGTACTTGTTCTTCTCTCAGTTCTTCACATGGTTCTTCCTAATTCTCTACTTTTCATCTTAAATCTTAAAGATTACCTCCTCAAAGATGGTTTCCCAACCTACTCTGTTTAAATGAGACTTCCCTTGTTATTCATTATCACGGCATCCAGTGTATTTTATTCACAGTACTTAGAACACAACTGCAGGTCTCTCTCCACTAGAATGTGAGTCCTCTAAGGGAAAGGATCTTATCCTCCAGGTCCATAGATGAATCCCAAGTGCCTAAAATAATCTTGGGCCTACAGAAGACAATGAACTAAGTGGGGAGGGAAGGAGGAAGGGAGAGGGACAAACTTAGATGCTAGTAGATGGTCAACAAATATTATTAATGAATTTATTTGCATTGTGGGAAAATTCAATTGTGTAAACCAATTACACACTGAACACACACAGTAAAAAATGGTGATTTTGATTTTAGAAAAATTGATTATAGCAGTAATCAAACAATGAATCCATTTGTCTTTTCTAATAACATCTCCAGTTCACATTAATAAAACCACAATAATGGAAAAAATCCCACAATTTAATGTAAATTTTAAAATAGAATACAAACTTGTATCAACTTTTATACAATAAATAAGTTTTAAAAAGACTAGACAGAAATATATCAAAATTTTAACAAGTTATCTCTGGACAGTTTGACATATTTTCTTTTTTGCATCTTATTTTTCAAATTCTCTACAATGAGCATATTTTTACTTTTATGACCACAACAAAATTAAATAAAAAGAATAATTGCCACACTGCTCTAAAGCTAGCCATAACCATGATTGAAGAATAATTGTCGATACTGTACATTACTACATAATTTTAACTCATTAAAAAATTGTTTTGAATGACAGTCATTAAAGCCTACTTGTCATGGTGAATTTTTATTTTACTAGTTCTCTGTCACTATCACGCATTGCCACTTTTTTTTCTTTTTTGAGACAGAGTCTCGCTCTGTCGCCCAGGGTGGAGTGCAGTGGCGTGATATCGGCTCACTGCAAGCTCCACCTCCCGGGTTCACGCCATTCTCCTGCCTCAGCCTCCCGAGTAGCTGGGACTACAGGCGCCCGCCACCACGCCCAGCTAATTTTTTGTATTTTTAGTATAGATGGGGTTTCACCACGTTAGCCAGGATGGTCTCGATCTCCTGACCTCGTGATCCACCTGTCTTGGCCTCCCAAACTGCTGGGATTACAGGTGTAAGCCACCTCACGTGGCCGCCACTTTTTTCTTTTAATCTTGGGCAGTAGTTTAGCATGGCAGAAACACCTTCCTTGCACTCAAACTTCTAAATCCCAGCTCTGTCATTACGTAGTTGTGTAACTGTTTTCATCTTGTACATTAGAATAATACCACCAATTAAAGATATTCTGGTATATGGTAGGGTCTAAATAAAGAGTAGTAATTATTATCCATGGGAATACATTACCTACTAGCTAGATTATAAGCACTTTGAGAGACTGTGATTGCCTTGTATCCACTGTGTCCGTAGTCTAGCACTGAGTCAGCATGCCATAATTTTCAACATATTGTCATATCAATTACTATCTTCACTACCTTTTTCAGGGAGACCCATCTTAGGATTGTAGAAGGAGTATTACCTCTCTCCTGCTATTTTATTTTTATTTTATAGAGATGAGGGCTAACTATGCTGCCCAGGCTAGTCTCAAACTCCTGGGCTCAAGCAGTCCTCTCACCTTAGCCTCCCAAAGTGCTGGGATTAAAGACATGAGCCACTGCGCCTGACCCTCCTAGTTATTTTAATGGTAAGTTAGAATAACTCTTAAAAGCCAGAGAAAGTCAAATATTAAATCATATAGCTCTACACTCTCCTATGGCAACAGTAAATAAATGAGTAAATAAGACAATTTTAGATAGGGTAAATAATGTTATTACCTATTCAGGTCCATATTTCTAAATCACATGCTAAGCTGCTATTTTAGACATTACCTACTAATTTCCTGTTGTAATAGACGAAGATGTTTACTACACTTACACTATCTTCCCACTATATTTCATCCCAATTTTTGGTTAAACTGGCTGTAGTTCTGCATTATGATTAGGGAAATACTGCTTACTGTAAAGCCAAGAAATTTACTGTGATAATGTCTCCTTTTTTATAAAAAGTTTCGCTTTTCCTGTTGTGTCCCTATCCTTCGTTTTTTACATTAGATGCTATTTATACTCATCAACAGATTTTTCTTCCAAATGCTTAACATATCTATTGAGTCTACTTTTATCTGGAAACCTCCTTTTTGTAGAGACAGGGTCTTGCTTTGTTGCTCAGGCTGGTCCTAAACTCCTAGATTCAAGCAATCCTCCCATGTCCGTCTCTGGACTAGCTGGAATTACAGGCATATGCGACTGTGCCTTGCCTATCTTTTGTTTTTTTGTTTGTTTGTTTTAAAACAAGTTTTTCTTCTTAAATGTGAACAAATATTTTAATTTAAAAATATTTTTGTTGTTTTTGTTTTAAAGGAAGCTTGTATTAATCAATAAAATATCCAGAAACAATGTCTGTGAAACAAGTGCTTTTATCCACATTTGGCAAAAGAGCCAATAATAAAAACACCAATCTATAAGCAACAGCTAAAAAGAAAAGCAGCTGATTTAATTTCTCACTCTATTGTTCAAATTAGCATTTTAAACCATTGCACCTTAATTAAAGCCACTCTTTTAGGTACAATAATCACAGGCAAAGCAACTACTATGTAGGGTAACTATAAATGATCAAAACAGGACACTTTTGAAAATGAATGGAGCACTATTAATAATTATGCCAGGGCAATATGCATAATCTAAGCAAACCAGCCATTCCACTACTAATAACCTCCTAGATGCTGAGCTTTTAAACTTACAAGGTGTTACCAATCCCATGAAGTTCCCCCCTTAAGACACACACCCTACTATGCTAGTGCCTAATATAAAGATCACTACAGTGAAAATAGAAGATGAAAAAAATTAGCAAACACAGAATAAAAAGTTTTTAAGATATTGATTCTTCCTACCCCGCCCCCCAACAAGCACACACACAATTCATTTAGAAATTCACATATTTTCTGCTTGAAGGAAATAGTAATTCCCATATTTAAAAATAGATAGAACTGAATAAGCTGGTAGAATTTTCTTTCTCTTACTTGGAATTACTCAATTAAAGAAATAAAGAAAGGGTGAAAAATGATTAGAAAGAAAAGAGAATGAACTGCAGTTTTCTACCTAAAGTAGTTAAGACATGAGAGAAGAAATCACTCAATGCCCTTACCCATCCCAGAGTCTTTCTTGGTGCCATCTGATATTATGTCTACATGATCAGAGTCCACATCATAACTAAAGAAATCATTCAAATAGGTCTTTGATCGCTGGCCACCAAATACATATAAGCAACGATTTTTCTGAAAAAGAAGAAAAAAAAAAAGAAAGGAGTAACTTATCACTTCCATGAAGAACTCAGAATGATCCTTTAAAAACTTAAACCTCTACAAAAGTAATTTTATAACAGATCCCAATGGAGTACTATGCTGGAATAAAAGGGAAAGAGGAAGCTCTCTACATATTGCTAAAAGGGGATCTCTAGGACATCCTGTTAAAGAAGAAAAGCAAGGTGCAGAATAATATATACAGGTTCCTTCTTCCTTTGTGTAGGAATGGAGAAGAAGGAATATCTGTGCATCAGACAAAAAGAGAGGGAGAGAGGGAAAGAGAATGTGAGAGAGGGGAAAAGTGAGAGAGAGAGCACGCAAGCGAGAGCGAGAATAGAGATTGCTTCTTTTTTTGAAAAACAAAGGAAGGATAAACCAAAACCTAATAAAAGACAGTTACCTATAGTGGCAGGAACAGAGCAGGAAGACCTCTCCAAAAATAATACCTTGATGTATGGTTTTGACTTTAGAACAATGTATATGCTTTTATTTAATTAGAAGACAAAATTAACTCAAAAAAAAAATCTAAAATTTGGGCAAAAAAAATCCAACAAATAAACCTATCTGTATATAAAGATATACTCAGACACAGAAATAGTATTTCTAATGATTTTAATACATACTTTTTGACTACCCATCCCTAGAAGTCTAAATCCTAAACAGAAAAATAATCAGAAAGCAACGTTAAACAGCACTCAGTGATTCTGTTGTTAGTTTTCTTTACTGTGAAAGCTATTATAGACAGACAAAGCAACTAATGTTATGAAGCAGGATTTTAACCTTAAAAGACACAAAAATAGGCCAGGCATGGTGGCTCACACCTGTAGTCCTAGCATTTGGGCAGGCCAAGGTGAGAGGATTGCTTGAGACAGCCTGGGCAACACAGCAAGGCCCTGTCTCCTACTTCCACTTCCACTTCCACTTCTACTACTACTACTACTACTACTACTACTACTACTACTACTACTACTACTACTACTACTTCTTCTACTACTACTACTACTACTACTACTACTACTACTACTACTCAAAACCCAGGTGTGGTGGTACACACCTGTAGTTTTAGCTACTTGGGGGGCTAAGGTGAGAGGATCATTTGAGCCCTGACATTCAAGGCTGTAGTGAGCTACGATCTGCGCTCCAGTCGGGGTAAAAAGAAAAGATATAAAGTTACAAAATAGAAGACATTAAGATAAAAAATATTTTATTTGAATCAGACATATCAGTATGAATTCACAATTTAATTTTTCTCTTACAAAAAAAGATACATAAATATGTTGTGGGGGGTGCTCCTACTAGCCAAAGAGAAAAATTTGAGCATCAAGAAAGTGGCCAGGTACAGTGGCTCATGCCTGTAATCCCAACACCGCAGAAGGCAGAGGCGGGTGGATCACCTGAGGTCAGGAGTTCAAGACCAGCCTGGCCAACATGGTGAAACCCTGTCTTTACTAAATACAAAAAATTAGCCGGGCGTGGTGGTGCATGCCTGTAATCCCAGCTACTTGGGAGGCTGGGACTACAGGCACAGGTCACCACGCCAGGCTAATTTTTGTATTTTTACTGGGGATGGGGTTTCGCCATGTTGGCCAGGCTCGTCTCAAACTTCTGGAATCAAGTGATCCACTGCTCCTGACCATTGCTGATACATTTAAATTCTAATTCTATAAAATCAAATCTTAAATTCTTTGTACTTAATGGAGAATAGCAGAAGGGAAAATAAGAACAGAGTAAGAAATTGTCCTTCTAATTACTAAGAGACGTAAGTGGAAAGGCATAAGAAAGGAACATAGCTACAAAATCTACATAAGCAGTGAAATTAGTCATAAGATTGCCCAGGTTGGTAGCCAGGTAGTAACTATTTAGGAATTACCAGGTTGATGGGAAGAGTCTCATAATTAGCAAACAGTTCACTGTTAAAGAAGTTTTGTCTTTCTCTGTCATTGCTACACTAATCTCTTCCTAAAGAATTAGATTTCACCACTTCTTTTCCTATCTAGATATACATGACAAAATAACATTTACGCAATGTACGGAATGTTCTTACTGAGTGGAATAACATGCAGTGTCCTATTCGAGACTGGATGTCCTCAGGCCCAGCATTACAGGAGTCCTCTCGAAGAAGTTTCCAGGTTTGACATTGACAGTTGAAAGCAAACAAGCCACTGAATTGTGGTTCACTGGCTCTGCTGTCATCTACGCTGCCATTACAAGTCAAAATTCTACCACCAAAAGTGTAGATCATATGTTTTTCTGAGTCCATACACATCTATCAGAACAAGGCAACAGATTGAATAGTTTTAGTTTGTTCCTGTCATATGTGCTAAAACAAAACCAACATGTACAGTTTTACATTCTCAAAAAAACCCTAAACTTTGTCCCTAATGACACTAAATACCACCCCTGATTATCATATGCAAGTTTCTAAATAATTTTTCAAGTTGTCATTTTTGTCAGTGAGGGTAAAAACATGTTGGAATAAAGAGCTTTCTGCTTTCTTGAAATTGCATAATTTTTATCAAAATCAACCAATGATACATGAGGCGTTGATTTATATGTAAGAGTGAATACTTATATTCTGGGTGAATAGTGATCATACCCTCCTTATAAAAATTCCCTTCTTTCATTCTAGGCAAGCATCCTATTAATATTACTACCATTTACTAAGCGATCAGATATGCAAATAAGAGTGGTGAAGCTAAATTCACCTCTCTGCATTTATTTTTATAAAACCCTTCAGATTATGTTACAAAACAGTAAAACAAACAAACAAAAGGACATTTACAACAATCAAGTCTCCAGACTGACTTCTACAATGTGAAGAACTCTGCCTACTTTTAACATAGCACTATTTAATTTTCTTTGAATTAAGCTATACACTTCATGTTTAAAAGTCAAGCTTTATTCTTCCATTCTTTCAACTCAAGATTATAACTTTTCATAAAAATGTGTGAGAAAACAGCCATTTGTCACGAGACAATAAGAATCAAATTCTGTTTCAAATAACACATAAATCCAAGTTGGGAATTAGCTGTTGAACGTAAGTGGCATTTACATAAAGAATAAATTGTGTACACAAAACATCTATGTTTTGCTAAAATAAAACCCAACCATTTGATGTTCAATTCTCCTACCAGATTACTTCTGCTATTTATGTATTTTTTTAAACAAAAGGCTATTTTCATAATTTGTTTTTTTTTCCTAGACAGAATTTCACTCTTGTTGCCCAGGCTAGAGTGCAACAGCATGAGCTTGGCTCACCACAACCTCTGCCTCCCAGGTTCAAGCAATTCTCCTGCCTCAGCCTCCCGGGTAGCTGGGATTACCAGCATATGCCACCACGCCAGGATAATTTTGTATTTTTAGTAGAGATGGTGTTACTCCATGTTGGTCAGGCTGGTCTTGAACTCTCGACCTCAGGTGATCCGCCTGCCTCGGCCTCCCAAAGTGCTGGGATTACAGGCATGAGCCACCGTGCCTGGCTATTTTCATAATTTTAAATGTTGTTTTAAAAAACTGTAGTTATTATTAAAAAGATTCTAACATCTCCTAATTTTTATCTACCACTAAAAAGATCTACCTCATTAGCCATTTCCCAGGTTTCTCAAAGACTTCCATAAATTAAGATGAAAATCTATTCCCCAAGGGTGAAATCTTGGTAAACATGGTTGAAAAACAAAGATGTCTGGAAGTATTCCTATTTTTTAAAATGATCATACAGTTAAAATCAGCACACTGCTGAAAACAACTCAGTTTGGCCCCATCCACTGCCTCCGTTGAGGGCTCCACTGGAGCTGGGTCACATTTCCGTTTCTGAAGTACTTCAGACTCAATCACTCCAAATATCTGGGAACTATGCTGAAAATCTTTAGGGACTCACATTAAATGAGTCTATTTCCATTTTTTATTAACTCACAGATTCATACTAATGGCCAATCTTTGTTACCAACCCCCTACCTTTCTACTTCGTATGGCTACAAAGAGTTTCTTTCTTTTTGAGAATATTCAAGCTTAATTTTGATGTGGTTTATTCTCATTTGTTTGCAGGGCTGAAGTATAAACATCTTTATCTTGGTAGTTCTTCCTAGCATACCAGTTTAAACCAAGAAACCTTTTAATATTCGATTTCCACGCTTTTGATTTGTTTTGTCATTTTTACTCTCCGAAAAAATTTCTGAAAAGCTAGTAAACTTATTAAACTCTGTGTGATAATGTCTTTTCCATCAAAGACTTAAAAAAATCTTTAAAGCCAAAAGTTTAAAGACTATTCATTTATTATGTCAGGAGTTAGATATTTAATTTTTAAAATCAAAATAGTGGATAACCACTTATTTTCCTGGGAAAAATTATTTTTTGAACCTGAAAATGACTTTATTTTACTCATCACAGGAATACAAGATTGGTAAGGGTTTGGCTGGGTTCAAAATAATCTTCTCCTCACAAAATTTGAAGATATTGCTATAAAGGCTTCTAAGTATCCAATGTTGTCCAACCTACCACCCTCCCTTCTACAAACCTCCAAAAATGCCTCATGACCCAGTGAGAATATCAATGAGCTGAGATCTTCAATTCTTCAACTGAAGTTTTTCCTGCTACTTCTTGGCTAGCTCACTTTCCATTTTCTAGTAATTTCCACAAAAACTGATTATACTTGAAGGACAGTTTGGCTAGATATAAAATTCTTGGCTCATACTGTCTTTTCTTGAATGTCTTCTAGATGTTGCTCTATTATCTCTTGGCACTGAAAGTAGATGTAGAGAAATCTGATACCAGTCTCATTTTAGTTCTCTTATAGGTGACTTGATCATTTTGTCTACTTGCTATAAAATGATCTCTTATCTTTTATAGTCAGTGTTATTAATATATGTCTTAGAGTTAAGTATTTGGGTCAACTTTTTCTGAATATAGTATGCCCATTTGACATGCGGAGTAAAATCTTTCTTCAGGAAAATGTTCCTGAATTCAATTGATAAATATTTGTTTTTTCCATTGTTTTGGCTTTCTTCTTTAAAGTCTCCAGTTATATATATATATGTTGGCTCTCCTCTGCCTACCTTCCCTGGTTAATCATTTTTACCTCTTTGTTTTATCTTATTCCTATGCTATATGATCATTACCTATTCTTCTTTACGCTCTTTGTAGATAAGTCTTCATTTCTGAAAGGGGTAATGTACTGGGATATAACTTTCATTTATTGTTATTTTTCTTTTTATTGTTTTTCTTTAGAATGTCTCTCTAAAGCTTTGTTATTTATTGCTTTTTAGTTTTTCATATGTAATTGAGTTGAATTTCCCTGGACCAGATAACTTCACAGAGGATTTCTATAGAAGGTGGATGTTCTCGCTCAAGAACTCCTTCCTCTGTTGCTACTGAATTGAATGGCTCCTTCAAAATATGGCACTTCCGGTGAAGCCATACCTTCTCTAATTCTATGACTCTCATCTGGCTTACAGGGCTGATCTCAAGCTTTGAGCTCCCCAGGTTTCTTACTGGCCATTGCAAAAGGAGCCATCATTCCCACTGTGTTTCCTTCACTTTTACAAAATAATGCTTTCTGACACATATCACCTCTGGATATTTCTGGGTACTTTACACATGTTAATTCACTGATTCTTCTAGTGGCTGCCCTGGGTGCAATTTGTGCCCTGTCCCTGACACTTCTCACTGTGACATACAACTGCTAGGCTCCCTTTGCTTTCCCAGGTCTCCCTATTATACTGTTGTGGGCTTCAACAAAAGTTCTGAGTATTTTAGTTGTTTCTGGCTAAACTTACAAGGCATTGGGAGTTATAGGTTTACTCTAGCTCTTGGTTTTGCTGAGAGAGAGAGACTGTGTGTGTGTGTGTGTGTGTGTGTGTGTGTGTGTGTGTGTGTGTGTGTGTGTTTAAATCTTTTTGCTTGATTACCATTATTCCTGGAAAACCACACAAAGCAACATCAAGGAAAGCTTGAGAACTAAACCGCCACTATGTTCTTAAGAAATCCAGATGTCTTTAAATTTTATTTTTTAAATATGTTAAAATTAAAAATGGCAAATAGCTTTTAAGCATGTTTGTATCGTATAGCTTTCTCATATTTTTATCAAATTTGAACATTGTGTTAAATCCTAAATTGTCATGAACACCACAAGCTATTTTTGGAGTGTCATAAACACTACAAGTGTAAGTTCTAACTTATAGCTTTATTTGTATGAAATAGAATAGCAAATGCAGGATTATACAGATTACTTGCTCACTATTACAGGGATAGTTGTTGGCTGAATTAGTACTGAAATCCTTGTTTCTTCACCCCCAGTGTTCTGCTGTACCATCTAACCAGTTGAAAACCATGCATTATTTAACAGCACCCAGCTTTCAAGAAACATCCTATTTTATAAAAGTCAAGAGAAACAAAGGCCACACACAAGAACTCTCTATGTGCTACTCCTAAGCTATTCTTTTTTCAACCTGTAAAAAAAAAAAGACATCAGCATCTTTTGTAAAAGAAATACGTAACCATTTGGGAACAAGAGAATAAATTGTTCCCTAACAATATTATCTGCTGATGTTTTTAAAAGATCAGAACCAGCCTAACTTTTCTTGGCATGCTTATTTTCCACGTGAAGAACATTGAGGGTGTCAGCAGGGATGTGCATAGCTCTGTGGAGCTCAGTTAAATAGAGCCAACAGAAGTTCCAAATTTAAGCTGGGGAGTATTTCCAAGAATACTAGTTTTGATTTTCTACCTACCACTTAACTTCACAGGCATAACTCACTCTTCCTCTCCTTACCATTCTCCTATAACAATTATATGTTAATAGAAATATGGCAATAGGATAGTTTAAAAGCAAATAATTAACAAAAATCTATAAAGACACAATAAATAAAGACCCTGGGTTCTATGTCCTAGATAAGATTTTAGGTCTCACTTAAGTTTTGTCATAATTCTAGCACCACCTCCCATTTCCCAAATACTAGATAATTTATGTTCATCAATACAGAGTTATAGATTTTTGAAGTCTTTTTCTCCTCAATACATCAAAAAAAACTTTGGACATGGGTTGAGCCAGGTAAAAACTTGCTTATGGAATTCAAAATGGTTACTGTCTTTTTTGACCTACATTGAATTTGTATGGAATAAGTATTCAAAGACAGGTAACAATGATAATGACAATGATGGGGCTAATGAGAGCTACATGTATATTAATATTAAAATGGCTTACAATGAGGCTATGTTCAGTCTTCTAGTCTACAACATTATTGTATAATTTCTATTGGTGCTGAGTTTAATCTAGTATGTCAAATTCCCCTCTAGGTTTATACAATTTTGTGACTATAAACAAAACAAAATATATTTCACTCTAACTGGAAGAAAAGCTCTAGATTTCACCTAGTTCATTATAAAGTGATTTCCATTTCTCACAGGAATGTAGAATAAGAAATATAATTAAAAGGGTAAGTTGTTATTGTTGATTTATGCATATGTATTATAAAACTAAATTTGTTTTTCCTAATATTGCTCCATCTACTCGCTAAAGTTTCTATAAATCAACAGTCTATGTCCTGAGATCTTCATATTCTACCCTGCAACAAACAAGAGAAAAAAATTTAAAGAATAACTTTATACCTACTGAAACAACAATTATTACTGTCAATAGATATTTGTCATGGAAAGCACTACTGGACAACTCAGCATAACATCTAACATAAACTCTAATTGCAAGAATCACTAAGCACTGATTAATTCCATCATATATTTAACTGTGCATCAAACCTGATGATCAAACACCAATTTCGGCCCTCCATCAGCAGCAGTATCCTCACTTAGTAACATCCATGTGTTTGTATCAATGTCATAACGATAGAAGTCACTTTTCAGAGATTTGCTGTTCCTCACAGAGGAATCCAAGTAACGCCCCAATGTGTAGATTTGCCTCCGTTGAATATCAATGCACATTTTATGACACGATCTGGCACTAGGACCATTCTGTAGAGAGAGAGAGAAAATAAATAAATAAACAAATAAAGAGCAAAAAAAAATCAAAGAACAAATAATAGAAAAATTAAACGTCATTTTTTATTACCTTTCATTAAAAGGTTTCTCAGAAACTCACATCAAGTCAACCAATATGAGTCCAACACTAGGCTTAACTCTCTAAAGGAAAGCAAAAGCAGTAAGCAGTAGGAGACAGAAATCTTACCTTAGAAATGCTTAAAATCTACCAGGAAAGATGAGATGAACTACACTGCAGCTTATGGCACTCTGTTTATAACATCTATACGGTTTCTACCATATACTGCACTGCATTTTAGTCATTTGTGCAGAGTTCAATTCTCTATTACATGACAATCTACTTTAAGACATGTTTGGTCTTTATGAACATTTTTGTATTTCTCATCAGAATCTAGCACAAAAGAGGTACTCCAAGAATATTTAGAATCAGTGAATTTCAAAATTAGAAGAAACATCAATAAAATCTCTAGTTTAATCACTTGGACACAGGGCAGGGAACATCACACACCAGGGACTGTCGAGGGGTGGGGGTCAGGGGGAGGGATAGCATTAGGAGAAATACCTAATGTAAATGATGAGTTGATGGGTGCAGCAAACCAACATGGCACATGTATACCTATCTATCAAACCTTCACATTGTGCACAGGTACCCTAGAACTTAAGAGTATAATAAAAATAAAAAATAAAAAAAATAAAATCTCTAGTTTTCTCCTTTTAAAGAGGAGAAAATACAAGCCTAGCAAGGAAATATAAGACCAGGATGATACCTTTAATAAGCTAGTGACAGAAACTAATAAGAATCCAAGTCTATCACTTCTTTATCCATCCTTTACATTGCAAAATTAATTTTCCTGATTGAATAAATAGCACAGCTACAGTAAATAAATAGGGAATAATATTAAGAACAGTATATTATCAATAAATTAATTAGCTGGTATCACTTGTATCACAGGACCCAATAAAACATAAAAAATATTGTAGTATAGTCAAAAGGGTTCATCGGGGAAAAAGAACTTCAATTGCATAGGGTTTAATTAGCTGAAAGGGGGAAAGGAAAGGAAACTAATGTTTGTTAAACAACTCCCAAGTTCTGTTTACACTATTACTGTGTATGTGTGTGTTCCATTTAATCCTTATAACAACCCCATATGGAAATATTATCACCATTTCACAGAGTCCACCGTCACAAAACTAGGAAGTAAGATAGCAAATCTACGCCCTTGTGTACCAGAGCCAAAAACTGGGCTCTTTCACAATTTCAGATTATTTTTTCTAGAAGAAAAACAAAGGCAAAAATATACTTGTTAATACAGTCTATGCAGTTATGACTGAGATGAAGAGTTCTTCCTGCAGAAATAACAGAATTGATGTATAAAGTGGACACAGAAAGCCTGATGAATGACTGACAGAGGAGACAATTTATGATCTTGTAGGCAATAAAGAACTACTGGTGGTTTCTAAAGCAAGATATAACATAAAAAGGCAGTATTCTAAGAAGAGTAATCTAGCAGTATTAATTAAGTGAAATGAAGGAATATTAGGCAGGAAGAACAGTATTTTGACAATGAAGTTGATGTGAATGTACACTTTAATATTCACACTAATTATTTTCAAACTTATTTTAAAATATTTTTTGTCAAAGAATATCTTCAGCAAATAAGGTGAAAATTTGATTTAAGAAAGGATTGCCTCCATAAATAATCTCAAAAACAAAGACGGAGTAACATATAATAAATCTATGCCATAATGCATAGAGTGTAAAACTTGAAATTTTAATAAGAGAATAATAGAACTTCTTGCTTCAACTAAATTAGCACAAATAATATTAAAATGATGACCAAGTTATATGCCAAGAAAAAAGAAATAAAGATAAATCAATAGAATAGAAAACATGAAAAAAAATAGAGAAAATTAACAAAGTTGGTTCTTTGAAAGACTGATAGAATTATAAACCACTGGCAGACTAATTTTTTACAAAGGGAGGGAAAATACAAATTGCCAGTACCAGAAATGAAAGCAAGATTAACACTACAGACTTCCTAGAAATGAAAAGAGAGAGAATACTATCAAAAACATAGGTAAAATCTGACAATGTAGATAAAACAGACATAATTTGTTAAAAAACCTAACTTACCAAGATGACATGAGATGAAAGAGGAAAATCTGAAGGAATTACACATACTGAAAAACTGAATTCATAATTGCCCACATATCTACACTGGTAAATTATATCAAGCACTTAAGGAAAAAATGGTATCAGTTTTAGACAAAATTTTTCAGAAAATCAAGGGAAAAAAAAACTCTACTGTTTATCCACATTCTCTTCCATTCCTAGCTTATTTTATGAGGCCAACATAACACTGAAACCAAATAATATTACAAAGGAGAAGGAAGAGAAGGGGAAGAAGGAGGAAGAAATGGGGAAGAGGTGGAGAAATCATTTACAGATGGCTAGGACCCCTTATGAACATAGACAAAACTAATCTTTAACAAAATATTACCAAACAGCAGTAGCAATATATGAAAAGAATATTTTACAACAAAAAGGTATTTATCCCAGGAATGTAAAGTTGATTTTACATCTGAAAATCAATCAGGATAATCTGACATATTAACAGAATAAAGAAGAAAAAACACAATTACATCAATACATATGTAAAAAGAGCATTTGGTAAAATTCATCACCTATTCATGATCAAAACTCATAGCAAAATAGGAATAGAAAGACTTTCAATCTGATAACATGTACGAAATTTAATTTTTCTTAATGATGACATACTGAACACTCTCCTGTTTAGATATGAAACAAGACAGGGATGTCTTTTCTCACCACTTATATTTAACATTGCTCTGGAAGTTCAAGTCAGTGCAATAAGGAAGGCATTAAAAAATAAAATAAAGGCTGGGCCTGGTGGCTCATGCCTGTAACCCCATCACTTTGGGAGGCCAAGGTGGGAGGATTCGTTGAGTTAAGGAGTTCAAGACTCCTCTGCATGTTCAACATACAGAGATCCTATCTCTACACATAATTTAAAAATTAGCTGGGCATGGAGGCACGCGCCTGTGGTCCCAGCTACTGGGGAGACTGAGGTAGAAGGATTGCTTGAGCCCAGAAGGTCGAGGCTGCAGCAAGCCATGATCATGTCACTGCACTCCAGCATGGGCAACAGAAAGACTCTGTCTCAAACAAATAAACAAAAAATAAAATAAAATAATGAAGGAAAAGAGAACAGAAAGAAGAAAAATGACTGCTTCTTTAAAATACTCTAAGAAATAAAAAAGAAGCTATTAGAAATAAGTAGACTTAAAGTGACATGATACAAAGGCAATATTAACAAACCAATTGTATTTCTCTATATTACCAGCCAACAAATGGAAAGTAAAAGATTTTTAAATTCCATTATAATAGCACAAAAAGCAAAATACACTGATATCAAGTTAACGAAAATATCATAGACCTCTTAAACTGAAAACTCTTAAGAGTGCTGAGAGATAATGAAGACTAAAATAAATGGAGACTAAACCATGTTCATGGTGTAGAAAGATTCAATATCATTAAAACACCAATTTGCAGCCAGGTGCAGTGGCTCATGCCTGTAATCCCAGCACTTTGAGAAGTTGAGGTGGGTGGATCACCTGAGGTCAGGATTTCGAGACCAGCCTGGCCAACATGGTGAAACCTCATCTCTACTAAAAATACAAAAATTAGCCAGGTGGGTCTCAGCTACTCGGTGTAGTCTCAGCTACTCGGGAGGCTGAGGTAGGAGAATCACTTGAACCTGGGAGAAGGGGGTTGCAGTGAGCCGAGATCGCATCATTGCACTCTGGCCTAGGCAACAAGAGCAAAACTCTGTCTCAAAAAAAAAAAAAAAAAATTCAAACGACAAAATGAAACCCACCAATTTGCTCCAAATTAATATATAGATTTATCATATTCCCATCATAATCCCAACAGTTCTAGAAATTGGTGATTCTAAAATTTATATATTACCTGACTTCATGAATTACTATAAAGCTACAGTAATCGAGGGAGTGTCATATTGGTTAAGAAGAGACCAAAATATAATAGAACAGAACAGAGTACAAAAAGAGATATATACTTACATGATCAATTGATTTTTGGCCAAGGTGCCAAAGCAAATCAATGGGCCAAGAAGATAGGGAGTAACCAGAAATCTCATACATTGCAGGCAAAGTATAAAATGGTATAACCATTTTGGGAAAAGCTTTAAGTTTCATTAATGGATGATAAAAGGGTGAGAGTTTGATGAGTAATGGCATATTTTCATAATCTTGAAATGTCTCCATATAAATTACTTATTAATTATAAATTAGACAAATCTGGTGGGCATCTCCTTAACCAAGTGATTGAAGCTAATATCAGACAAACTGATGTAATGTGTCTCCTGATATGATATATGGAGGAGATGCTAATGTGATCTATGGGTTATTCTTGCTAAAAATATGTCATCTAAATCCAATCCTAAGAAAACATACAAACCCAGTTGAAGGATACTCTAAAAAACAACTGCCCTGTACTCTTTAAAAATCATCAAAGTCAAGAAAGACAAAGAAAGTTTAGGGAACTATTCTAGACTAAAGATGACTAAAGAAGCATGACACCAAAAAGCAATACATGATCATGGTCTAAATTCTGGGCTGGGGTTGCAGAGTGACAAGGGATGCCTATAAAAAACATTACTGGGGCATTATTGGGATAATTGTCTATATCTGAATAGGAACTGTGGATTAGATTAAAGCAGCAGTTCTCAGTGTGGTCTGGGGTCTCCTAGGTACTTCAAGGGAGTCTATAAGGTCAAAGTTATTTTTACATGACTAACAAAAAAATTTGTCTTTTCACTCTTATTCTCTTATGAGTATATGTGAACATTTCCAGAGGCTACATGACTTTCTGATACAGCAACTGAATAAAGAAGCATATGAATCCAGATGTCTTTTATTGAGCCAAACATTAAAGAGATTTAGAAAACTATACAAAAATGCCACTTGAGGGCCAGGCGCGGTGGCTCATGCCTGCAATCCCAGCACTTTCGGAGGCCGAGGCCAGTGGATTACGAGGTCAAGAGATCGAGACCATCCTGGTCAACATGATGAAACCCTGTCTCTACTAAAAATACAAAAATTAGCCAGGCGTGGTGGCAGGCACCTGTAATCCCAGCTACTCGGGAGGCTGAGGCAGGAGAATTGCTTGAACCCGGGAGGCGGAGGTTTTTATGAGTCTATTAATTAACTATAATAAATCTGAGCTCCAGTACTGAATCACCACTTTACTCATCTGTACTGACTTTGAACTAACAGAAAGTGTTCTCATCAAAATAATCTCTATATTTTTCCAGCATGAGTTTTAAAATAATTACTTATTGCATTATAAATATTACTTACAACATATGTATATGGTATAAAAAAATAACGGAATGAAGTTATCTACCCATACCAAGCTTTAGAAGAATAACATTTAATATTACCTTTAAACCCCCTACCCTCTCTGGATTTTGTATTTATCGTTCCCTTTTCTCTAGTATTAATTTCTCATTTAACTTACCTCACCTACTTACTCACTAAAGAGTAAGAACGTGCACATCCTTAAAATACATACATTTTAAAGAATATGATTCACGCCTTTAAGGAATTCAGATAGGGAAACATGAATATAAACCAATCATTATAGTAAGCCATCCAAGTATTAAAAGGGGTTAAGTGAGCACATCAAAGGAAGCTTTTAATTCTGCTTGGCAAGTTCAAGAAAGGCTTTACAGAGAAAGTGAAGTCTGAACTGAGTTTTAAAGAATAAGTGGGTATTTATTAGGTAAAGTTAGGGGGAGAGCCTCCCTCTGTTAATTCCAAACAAGGAAAACAACATTGCCAAAGGACACAGGCGAGAAAGTTGAATAATTCCAGCAACTTTAACTGGCACATGGGAGATGAGGCTGGAAAAGTAATTGAGTAGCAAATCTTGATGAGAAATTTCGAGTTTTTACTCTAAGCAAAAGGAAGTGAGATAAATAAATTGTTTTATTATTGTTGTTGTTATTTACAATTTCCTGTATCTATGCCCTTTAATAGTATCCTGCACCAACTGACTCTGGACTTGGTTACATGATTGCTTTTTGCTATCAGGGCAAGAAAAAAATTGATGGATTGCTCATGTCTACTTCATCCCCTTTGCAGCCCAGCACCTGCCATGAGAACAAGCTCTGGCTAGCCTATATAAAACAGAGCCAGGCAGTCCCAGCTGAAACCACACTAGACCAGCTGACAGATAGCTGACTCCTAGACAAATGAATGAGCCCGGCCAAACCAAAAGAATGACCGAGCCAACTTGTAGACTCATGAGCAAATAAATGCTTATTACTATATGCCACTGAAGTTTTTTGAGTGCTTGTAATGTAATAAACAGTGTAAACGATAACTGAAACAAAGGCTGAAGCTAACCACAGGGTTTAAGCAGAGGTGTCATAGGATCAAATATGGTATTTGGGGGACTTGTTTTTGGTTGTTTTTTTTTGTTTTTTTTTGAGACAGAGTCTCACTCTGTCGACCAGGCTGGAGCACAGTGGTGCCATCTCGGCTCACTGCAACCTCCGCCTCCTGGGTTCAAGGGATTCTCCTGCCTCAGCCTCCCAGCTAGCTAGGATTACAGGCACCTGCTACCATGCCCAGCTAGTTTCTATTTTTAGTGCAGATGGGGTTCCACCATGTTGGTCACAGGCTGGTCTCAAACTACTGAGCTCAGGTGATCTGCTGGCCTCGCTCTCCCGAAGTGCTGGGATTACAGGCATGAGCCACTGTGCCCGGCCTTGTTTTTGTTTTGAGACAGGGTCTTGCTCTGTCACCGAGGCTGGAGGCAATGACACTGTAATGGCTCACTGCAGTCTCCACCTCCAATCCTCAAGCAGTCCTCCTGCCTTGACCTCCCAAAGTACTGTGATTATAGGTGTGAGCCACCACACCGAGCCCAAATATGCTTTTTAAAGACTGTGTTGGTGAACACAGAATAGGTCAACAATGGAGATATAAAAAGCGTAAGAAACCATAAAGTTGAAAAAACTGCTAAAAGGAATGGAGAGGAAAAGACATTTGAAATGTGGTATTGGATGACCTGTTGGATCATGCCAGGCACTTGGAGAACTGTTGGATCTTAGGCACTAATTAGACACATTCACTGAAGAAGAGGGAGGATTTTAGGATGAAACCTAGGCTTAACACAAGAATAATTACAGATGTCATCGCCTTAGATTTACAATACTTTAGTAGAAAAAAGTTAGTTTTTTTTTTAATTTAAGATTTGTCTTTTGTTGTTGAAGACAGAAATAATCATTTCAGAGAACAGTACTTCAATACTGAAACAGGAAGGCCACTTACACATACTTTCCCGGGGTAAGAAAAGTAAATCAGAATTTCAACATCTATTTGAAAAAATAAAAACTGTCCAGTGATTAATCCCTGGACAGTTTTTATTAACATAATTTCAGAGTAAGCAAGAACCTAGTTCCCCAGGATTAACGACACAGCACTAGATCTTTGGAAATGGCCTTCCTAGATCAAAATCAGTGGGTTATGAATTAGGCCGTTTTATCTCCTTTTCATTTGAGGCTCCTACTGTTTTGTTATAGCTCATTTGTCACTTTATATCCTGAAACAGTTTAAATGGAGAGTGCAATTAAAATGTTCTATAAAGATTTGAAAAAATAATAAATGAATTAACATTTACTTTATTCCAGGATATAATCATGCACTTAATTCAAAGCCATAAACCTAAGCCATCTTATTCACTATGGAAATGCTTTATGTATATGTGCATACACAGATCTGTACATGCATACATATATACAATTTTTATTAAAGATAATATGTATCAGCCAGGCGCAGTGGCTCACGCCTATAATCCCAGTACTTTGGGAGGCCGAGGCGGGTGGATCACGAGGTCAGGAGATCGAGACCATCCTGGTTAACATGGTGAAACCCCGTCTCTACTAAAATACAAAAAAAAATTCGCTGGGCGTGGTGGCGGACGCCTGTAGTCCCAGCTACTTGGGAGGCTGAGGCAGGAGAATGGCATGAACCTGGGAGGCGGAGCTTGCAGTGAGTCGAGATGGTGCCACTGCACTCCAGCCTGGGCGATAGAGCAAGACTCCAAAAAAAAGATAATATATATCATTTATGAAAACTGACATATAGTAAAATAACAGGAGCCAAAATAGGGAGATAGTGAGTGTCAAAAACACAATATTCCAGAAGAAATAAAAATAAGATGAATGTTAAAAATAAGAATAGAGGTAGTGGAGACATAAGCAAAAAAGACAGTTACACAGTTACATTTCTAGGCTAAAGCAGTTTAAAAACAAAATGATATAAAAATCCCCATTCCTCACTCTCTCTCTCTCTATAAAACAGATTTGGTTGTGTATCAGTAGCTGAACAGCCAGTTATAGAAGCTGAAATTCAAGAGTACTTAAAAAAAACTTGTTTACCACAAATTCTATTGCTACTACTGCTGACAGACATTAGTGAAGAATATAATCATGCCGAAAAACAAGTGCACATCTACGCCCCTTCTGTAATATAGATGTATGAAAAGTCTGAGAACTTGCCTCTTTTTCAGTGTCTCTAGAGATACATGTCCACTGGTTCTCCTTCACACTGTACGCCCAGAAGTCAGCAAGATCTTGTGTTCCATCCCAGCCACCAAACAAATAAACAGTCTCTATGAAAATCAGAAAAATATGTGTAAAAAAAAAAGGACAAAATAAGCATAAGCACCCAAACCTAGCCAGCTGTTTCTAAGGCCACTTAAGAAGCTACATCTAAATAAATTTTAAAATAAAAATTTTAACCTGGTAACTTTCTCAAATATATACTAGACTAATATTTCCTAGGCATGAATATATGAAAAGGATGCTGCAGAACCATTATTTTGAGAGATTTATAAAAATACAGATAACTAGGAGGCATGTCCCAAGATTCTGATTCCACAGGTTTTCAATGGGTAAAAATGGGTCTGTATTTGTAAAGTATCCCAGAAAAATTTAACGTGCAGCTGGTTTGGAGTTTCTGTGTTTGGCCTTGAAAACTTTACATTTACCAGCTTTTTAATAATGCAGCCACTTTTTATCCACTATGGAATTTTTTAATTCAGATTCTAAAAAATAAAACCCCCAGAGGAATATATAGTGTAAAAGTACAGCATAAGAACATTTAGCTGTTTTTGAAAAAAGTCATATTAAAGGCAATTTCTCTCTATTGCTATATCAAAAACAATGGTTAAAACTAGCTTTAAGTTAAAATTAGATATCTTAAGAAAAAGTGATCCACAGCTTTGATATTCCTATAAAAACTGGGAGAAATTTTTCCAGATATATTGTGGTACATTTAACTCATCAGAAATTATCCTTTAAGTCATTCTAAGTATCTTGAGAATTTGGTTTCTTCTGACTCTGAAATGTCTATTATATTCACAGACTTTACCGCTGACAAAACTGATTTTCTTCTTCAGTGAATAATGAATCTTTACATATAACATTGTGTATCATAGATCCTTCTTTATTTTTATTATTTATTTATTTATTTATTTTGAGACACGGTCTCTCTCTGTTGCCCATGCTGGAGTGCAGTGGTGCAATCATGGCTCACTGCAGCCTCCTGGGTTCAAGCAATCCCTCCACCCCAGCCTCTCGAGTAGCTGGGACTACAATAATGTGCCACCATGCCCAGCTAACTTTTTTTGGGGGGGTGGGGGTTACAGACAGGGGCTCACTATGTTGTCCAGGATGGTATTGAACTCCTGGCCTCAAGCAATCCTCCCACCTCAGCCTCCCAAAGTACCAGGATTATAGGCATGAGCCACCCCATTCAGCCCCTTCTTCATGCAATAATAGGCGTTTCCAATTTGGCACAGTGGCTCATGCCTGTAATCCCAGCACTTTGAGGGGCTGAGGCAGGTGGATCACAAGGTCAGGTGTTTGAGACCAGCCTGGCCAACATAGTGAAACTCCGTCTCTACTAAAAATACAAAAAAATTAGGCAGGTGTGGTGACGGGCACCTGTAATCCCAACTATTCGGGAGGCTGAGGCAGGAGAATCACTTGAACCTGGGAGGCAGAGGTTGCAGGGAGCTGAGATCACATCACTGCACTCCAGCCTGGGGTGACAGTGTGAGACTCTGTCTCAAAAAATGAAAAATAAAAAAAAAGTTGTTTCCTTTCTTCAAATATTTCCCCCTTTGTAACTGTTTTAAGTCTACCAGTTGTATAAGCCCACCAATTATTATCTTTTAATGTTAAATAAAACACTATACGAAAACTGTAAAGTCATGTACTCTCTAACTAACACGCTTTAGGCCTGTACATATGGAAGCTGTCATCTAAGTTACATCCCACCATGCAGGGTTACAATTCAAAGTGTACTTGGAAATGCTAGAAGACTATTTAAGAAAACCTTTTGCCATTCACAGAGTTAGGCTATCTTCTACAAGATTTCTGTCATATCTGCATATAATTTCAAACTCTAAGTAAATTTTTCAAGTGATTTGTCTCTTCTATCCCCCAAATACCACGGGAAATAAAAAAATGCTTCACTGCTTTCTGGATAAGAACAGGCCACTGGAGCAGGACTGAGTTCTAGTACTAACTGGGTGATCAGTACAGGTCATTTAAGCTCCCTAGGTTTTAGTTTTTTTCATCTGCAAAACTCTCAGTGTTGTCAAGTCCTTCAGATATAAGTTATATGAGGCCAGGCATGGTGGCTCATCTGAGATTGGGAGTTTGAGACCAGCCTGGTCAACATGGTGAAATCCCGTCTCTACCAAAAATACAAAAATTAGCCTGGCATGGTGGCACACATCTGTAATCCCAGCTACTCAAGAGGCTGAGGCAGGAGAATCACTTGAACTCAGGAGGTGGAGGCTGCAGTGAGCTGAGATCGCACCACTGCACTCCAGCCTGGGCAACACAGCGAGACTCCATCTAAAAAAAAAAAAGTTACATGAAAACATTCTGAAGGCTGTCAAGTATGAACATCATTTCCACCTTTAAAATATACATAAAAATGAAAAACACTCTGTAGTTACTAAGTACAATAAAAATGATATTATAACTGACTACATGTCTAATTCAGTACATAAAACACTTTTGGCACTGTATAAGTGTGAAATAATGCCAATTATTTTAAACTACAAAAAAAACACTGTCCTATCTTGGAACTATAAAACAATCCATTATCATCGTTAAGTAACATTCTGTTTCCAAAATGGCACACAGTAATACTCAGACACATAATTTTACAGAAAAAAAAAATTAAAGAATTTTCATCTGGCTTAAAAATTATTTGCCAAGTCCTCACTATAAAGGAAATTAACCCTGTTAAATTCTGAAGCCTGGAGAGGGGGTATATAACTAAAATAGCAATAGCAATTGACCTTTTGTTTTATAGTGTTTCTGGGCACCCTCTGGATAAGGTTACCCTGGTTCATTAACTTTAATAACCCTTCCTCTTGGGCTCTGGGTTCTCAATGTTCTTTCTGAAAAGCAGGTCTCTTTGTACGCATAAATTCTCACAGCAAAGAAAACCCACATTTCCACAACAGCCTCATTGATAGCTGAGCAAAATAAAATCTGGCACGCAGTAAGCATCCTAATGGAATTAAGCCAAGATGTCATTCCTATCCATGAAAGCTTTGTGGTCCCAGCTGAAGTTTAATAGTAAAATTAAATGAATCGGATGGAAACTGAGCCTTCTGACATACCTGAATGAAAATGCGTAACAAAAATTTTAATTAATTCATCTAATTATTTAAGTCATGCAAAGAAGAACTATTATCCAGAAACAGACACCAGAAAAGGTATTATTTAATGCACAAAGGATATCAAAGACCTTTAAAAATTATGGATATAATTGGAGAGAACTGTAGAGAGAAGGAAGTAGAAAGAAAAAAGAAAGCATTAATATTTGCAGTAGGGTAGTAGATTGGTTTATGGAAGCCCATTCTCATGCTTATAGGTTCTATAATAATTCATGTACATCTGGGGTAGTACGATCCTCTTCAAGGAGCAACCCCTTCACCCCTTCTCTATATTTTTTCTGAATGGGATATAGGCTATAGTGTCTATCCATTTCTCCCAGCACTTTGAGGAATGTTTATTCAACACTTTTTGAGTACTGAGAATTCGCAAAGCACTTTAGAGAATTCAAAAGAAAGAAGACATAGTCCCCAGTCCCTATCCTCAAGGAACTTACAATCTAGCCAAGAATATCAAAAGGCAAATAGAGCAACATAACGCAGGGCAGACTAAATGTCATAAGAAAGATAAACAAGGTAAAAAGCACCATGAGGGTTCAAAAGAGGGAAGACAGTATATCTGGCTGAGGGGACTCAGAAGAGATTTCATGGTAACAGTGGTATTTGACCTATGCACCAGCAGGAAGGCAGGATACAGAACAAAAAAAAAAGAGGGCTTTTCAAACAGAGTAAAAAGAATAGCAAAAGTATAGAGACAGAAAAACACGTCAAAAGTGTTTTAATGAACATGTACTCTAGTCAGGCAGATCTTGGCTACAATCCTGGCTCTATCACCACAGCTATGTGACCACCACACAGTTCCTTAACTATTGGTTTCTTAATCTCTAAGATGTGATACAGTATCTATCCCATAAAGCTGCTGTGAGAATTAAATTAAATTAAATAATGCATGTTAAATGGTTAAACTGTGTGATGAATAAATACACTGTTTGATTTAAAAGAACACATAGGTAGGAGGTGGAGAGGAGGTTAAAAGACAGGTGTGTCCAGATCATGGAAGGGATTAAATAACAGGATAAAGACTTTGAACTTGACTCCACACAGACAGTGGAGAAGCCACAGAAGATCTTAGGCAGAGGGGTAGCAAGGTAACATCTGAACTTGCAGCATACAGGACTGACTGAAGGAGTTGAGAATGACAGGGATTGGAGGTAAAGTGGCCTATGTTCGAAACGGCAAACAAATTTCATTCTAAAACACTGAGTCAATCACCAATCAATCTATTTTTCATTACTTAGGCCACAAAAACTAAAATTCAACCACATTCTTTGGTATAGTACATGTACCAATTTGGTACCAGTATAAAACAAACCCTGGAGCTACCGACTACCAGTAGTACCAATCTACACATCTTATATGCACTAAAAATAATGTAGAAATGTAAGGTATATAAAGACATCTCAGTGTCTTTTTGCACAATGGAATAGGCTTTTTATTTTTAGTGCCCAAGTGCAATATCTGTCTTCTACTTTGATTTTTAGGATAAATCAGACTGTGCTGATTGCATAATCCTCCACAAGATGGCACACTACTTTTGTAATTAAATCAGTTTTTCCACTCTGACACTGTATAGGATGTGTATACTACGCATTGACATAGCCTGGGCCCAAAACTTAGACAAAATTCATGTATCAAAAAGAAGAGGCAGGGGAAGGGTTAACAGGCTGGTGAAAGAAGTTACCTTAATTCTTAGTTAAGACACCGAGAGAAAAAAATTTTTTAAAAAAAGGTTTTAAGAAACAAATTTATCTTTAAGATAGAAATAAAACTCTATAATATTTAGATAGAGTCTGAATGCTTCTAAAAGTGAAGTTCAGTAAGACTTAAATTAACATGACAATTTTTGAAGACAGAAATATTTTTGAATTTTTTGAAGAGGGGAAAAATATTTTATATGCTCTTTACCTTTCCCTTCTTAAGCCATCCCCTTGAAGTATCATGACCCAGCAGATCATCAACTGAATTCACTGCCTCCCTTTTTAAATAGAACTGTATTCTTACATAAAGCTATGATTACAACACTATCTAAATCTTTTGGGTGAATTCAACATACAGTTACTTTCCTTACTAAAAGGCTGAATTGTTATGCCTATGACAATATACTTTGTATTCCTAATGAAGTCTGCATTTCAGAATTCTTTCTGTTAACAGTGTAAAAGAAAGATGCACATTACTTTCAGAAGTACAGCCATATGAATAAATTTGTAATAGCAACCAAAACCCATGTTTAGGCACTCTCTTCAAAAGTTTCTTTAAGGAACATCAAGAAAAACTATGTGGTACCACATGTAAAAAAATAAAAGCACTTTCAGGCCGGATGTGGTGGCTCACTCCAGTAATCCCAGCACTTTGGGAGGCCGAGGCAGGCGGATCACCTGAGGTCGGGAGTTCGAGACCAGCATGACCAACATGGAGAAAGCCTGGCTCTACTGAAAATACAAAATTAGCCAGGCGTGGTGGCACATGCCTGTAATCCCAGCTACTCAGGAGGCTGAGGCAGGAGAATCACTTGAACCCAGGACGTGGAGGTTGCAGTGAGCTGAGACTGTGCCATTGCACTCCAGCCTGGACAACAAGAGTGAAACTCCATCTCAAAAAATAAATAAATAAATAAAAATAATAATAAAAGCACTTTCATATAATAGCTACAGAACAGTTAAAGGTTCAAATTTCTACAGAAAGGCTCTTCCAAGTGACAAGCAACTCTCCATCAACTTCTTTTGTAGATACCAAATATTAGAGCTTTGCCTAAGTCTTCATACCTATTCTGATTGAGAAAGAAGAAAAAGGCTTAAATCGTAGGTTCTCAGAACGTAATGAGAGTTACACAACAAGGAACAGCCTAACACAATGGAAATTTATTAATATATTTCTAACTCAACAGACTTCCACACTGAAACAAAATAGACGTGGCTTTTCTCTTTCTATTCACTGTTCTTTTCCCAGTCGAAACCCAAGTCACAGTTGAAGAATCTTAAGTGGAGAGGTGCCAGGTATAGGGATTACAATTAATAAAACTGATCCAGTAGGACAAATTCAGTAGGACAGAATACAACATTCCTTCTCTACCATGGCATGAATGATAGGATTCCCTTAGGAGGGAAGAAAGCTTTGAAAATTAAATAATAAAATTTGTGCCATCATACACCTTTTAAAATGGTCACTGTATCCTTAGAGAAGACAGCAATATGGGAAAAAAAAAACCCTACAGACTAAAAAAAGAAAACAAAAGCTAGGTACTATTAAGTTTCTAATATCTAAGAAAACAAGGTATATGAGACACCGGGAAGCAACAATTGCTTTAAAATATAAGCCATGTTAAATAAGCTGAAATTAACTTTATGAAGTTTTACTCTAGTGAAGGTGTTCTTTTTTTAAAACAATTTCCGGAGACAGAATCTTGCTCTGTCGACTGGACTGGAGTGCAGTGGCACAATCATAGCTCACTGCAGCCTCGAACTTCTGGGCTCAAGCCATCCTCCTCAAGCCTCAGCCTCCCACAGAGCTGGGACTACAGGCACATGTCACCATGCCTGGCTAACTAAAAAAAATATTTTGCAGAGACAGAGGTCTTGCTGTGTTGCCCAGGCTGATCTCGAACTCCCAGCCTCAAGTGATCCTTCCACCTCAGCATCCCAAAACTCTGGGATTATAGGTATGAGCTACCATGTCTGGCCAGTGTTCTTAATTTTGTGAGTTAGTAAGAGTCTCTTTGATTATCTGAAGCCACAGATTTTCTTCCTAGAAAAAATTTGCAAACAGACAACATGTTGCACCTAACTTCAACAGATAAAGAATCCTTGTGCTAGAAAACTTTAAAATGCATACTTAAAGTAATAACTGGGCTTCTTTAAACTATATTTTACTACTTATGCACCAGTTTTGTTAACATGGAATTTCCTGGTTGTTCAAACTCTACTTAGAGAAAGTTATTCTTCACTACTAAACCTACCTGATCTTCATCAAGAAAATTCTTATATGCACTTTAGTATTTTGTCTCAAAAATATTATAAATATATTTATGGTGTCCCTTCCTAAGGCACCAATTATATAAAAGATTAAACAAATATACCAAAATAACATTGGTTTTTTAGAATGTGGAATTATGAGTGAGTTACTTTTTCCCCTCAACACTGCTTTTCAAGTTGTTTTAAACTTTTTCACAAACTTTTTAATTACTTTAAAACATTTCCATAGTGAAATTTTGTCAAATTATGCAAAAAACACACAAAAGAAAATTCCTTTGAGTCATATAAAATTCTCTCAGCATAATTAATCACTGCTGCATATTAATATATGGCATATCAAATGCATGTTATATAAATAATATATGCACATACAAAATACATTATTTCATTTAACTCTCACAATTACTTAGTTTATTATCACCATTTTAATCAATACAATTCATTCAAGATCGAATAAGAAGTCAGGGGTAGAGCCAGGATTCAATCCCAGGGATGTCAGACACCCAACTCTCCTTCCCACAAACTTAACACCTACCTATTATATGTGGCTGCCATATCATTAAGATCTGACTAGAAAGGTTCTTTCAAAGATTGATGATAAATACAATCTCTTTGAAAGTGATTAAGATCAACCTGATAATTAAGGTAACTGCTGATCAATAACAGGGCTATGGTACCTAAATGATTAAATAGATACTTAGAGTATATGAAAGCCCTCAGTAAATTATGCTACTAATAGTCATAATAGAAACACAGAAGAAATTTTGGAGAGAAAAACCCAAGGATACACCAGATTGTGCACTTGAGCCCAAACCAAGTTCAGAAAGCAACAAATTTTACTTTAACAAATGCAAAGCTCTATATTTAGTTTTTCTACCTAGATCCCGAAGTAATGATAATTACAGCTTTGGGAAGCATAGTCTAAATGGCATAACAAGTAGAATCTGAAAATTTAAATATGTTCGAATATAACCAATAAAACAGATCCACCACAGAAAATATTAGTATAATAAATGACATAATAACCTGATCTACTTATCAAGGTTTACAGCAGTATCTGAATACAGTTTCCAGGTAAATATTTTTCTTTCTACTCAAAGGAAAATGAATTTTAAAACTTTGATCCAATCCAACAAATATTTAGTGCACATCTACTCCATTCTAGCCTCTATAGTCATAAAAATAAATAAGGCAAGATCCCTGTCCTTCCCCCCTTGTCCATGGGGGCTGGGAAGCTGGAGAGACAGCAATGGTATATACAATACTTGTGTGAACAACTCTAAAACAATGTGGAAATTATTGTAGTAATAATGGTTTGAACAGTGTTACATAAATGTAGAGGGAATTATTACTTTGGTTAGATCTATCTCCTGAACCTCAAACTAATATATCCAACTGCTTACTTGACATACCTATGTAGATGTCTAATTGGCATCTCAGACTTAACTTGTCTAAAATCAAGTTGCTGAACAACCCACCATATTACCATATTGGATCCTCTTGTTGTACCCATCTTAGAGAATGGTTACACCATTTTTCTAATTGCTCAGGTCAAAACTTTAAGTCATCCTTAGCTTCTTTTTCTCACACTTCTCATCCAGTTCATCAAAAAATCCTGTCAGCTCTATATGATACCTTTTTTTTTCTAGTTTCTCTCTCTCTCCCTGCCACCATGTGCTCCCCCTCTCTCTTTTTCTCTTTCACCTTCTCATACTCACTAATAGCTACTCTTTCATAAGCAGCCAGCTGATGGGCTCATTCCACATACTATCTTTTTTTTTTTTAATTATACTTTAAGTTTTAGGGTACATGTGCACAACACGCAGGTTTGTTACACATGTATACATTTGCCATGTTGGTGTACTGCACCCATCAACTCGTCATTTAGCATTTATATGATACCTTTTAAAATACATCCAAAATGTGACCAATTTTCAACATTACTACTACCATTCTAGTATAAGCCAATGCTATAATCACTTCTCAGGTGAGCAATAGGATCCTTAAAGGACTCGCTGCCCTTCACTCAATTTGTTTTGTTAAAATGCAAGGTCAGTTCATAGCATTTCTTAAACCCAACAATGGCTTCCCACTTCACTCTGCATGTAGGTTAAAGTCCTAAACAAAGTCCTAAAAAACTCAACACAGTTTGTGCCCCCAGCTATTTCTCTGATTTCACCTCTTCCCACTCTCTTTCTCTGACTTCACCTCTTCCCACTCTCTTTCTCACATACCTCTGATCTAGCAACAAAAATTCTGGAAAAAAAACCAAGAGTAGTAGAAAGGTGGCAATGTTTTACTTTGTAATAATATCAGTTCAATAATGAATATCACCTGTATGAAGACACTTTATTTGAATACCTGGTTCAGCAGTACTTACCATAAAATGTCAATTAAGATAGGGATTAAGTCCTTTAAGAATATCTGTAATGAGGCCAGGCACGATGGCTCATGTATGTAATCCTGGCACTTTGGGAGGCCAAGGCAGGATGATCACCTGAGGTCAGAAGTTCAAGACCAGCCTGGCCAACATGGCACAACAATGTCCTACTAAAAATACAAAAATTAGCTGGGCGGGCGCCTGTAATCCCAGCTACTCGGGAGGCTGAGGCAGGAGAGTCACTTGAACCCCGGAGGCAGAGGTTGCAGTGAGCCGAGATCATGCCACTGCACTCCAGCCTGGGCAACAGAGCGAGACTCTGTCTCAAAAAAAAAAAAAAAACAAAAATATATATATATATATATACATATATATATGTAATGAATCTTCCCAGAAAACTACACAAAAACAAAAATTTTGCACACCGTTTAAAGACTATCATGGGCTCCCTTAAAATCTATTCATGAAGCTTCATGTAAACAAACATGAAATAGCCAAAGGACTGAGAACAGAACAAAAAATCGACAGCAATAGCTAGCTGAAATAAAAGATTGGGAATGCCAAGGCATGAAAGTTGTTAGACTTCTGAATAGTATTTTCTGATTTCTTTTGTTTTCTCTTGATCAGAGTCCTGGATTACCCAGTCACAACTAGAGACCTGTTTAATTTAACCTGAACCATAATTTCAGTCTTGTGAAAGTTCAGAGCTTTTCCTATTGAGTTCCAGGGCATGTTTCCTCATATTTCTGCTTCCAGACATTGGAATCCACAGAAGTTGCCTCACTACTGTCCTACCTCAGTTTGAACCCCAAACCTAATTGTCTCACCAGTATCTACCAAAAAATAAGTAAATAAAAATCAACTCCCAAATCAATTTTACTAGAGAAAACTTCTAAGAATTTGGTGAGTAAAGACAGAGTCATGTCATGAAATGTGGCATTCTGCCATCCTGCTGGCTCTACTACCACTTATCTCAAGCTTGTCCAACCTGTGGCCCATGGGCTGCATGAGGCCCAGGATGGCTTTCAATGTGGCCCAAGACAAATTTGTAAACTTACTTAAAACATTAAGAGACTTTTTTTGTGATTTTTTTTGTAAGCTCATAAGCTATTGTTAGTGTATTTTATGTGTGGTCCAAGACAATTCTTCTTCCAATGTGGCCCAGGGAAGCCAAAAGATTGAACACCCCTGATTTATCTCTCTTTTTTTTTTTTTTTTTTTTTTTGAGACGAAGTCTTGCTCTTGTCTCCCAGGCTGGAGTGCGATGGCGCAATCTCGCCTCACTGCAACCTCCGCCTCCCAGGTTCAAGTGATTCTCCTGCCTCGGCCCCCCGAGTAGCTGGGATTACAGGCACCTGCCACCATGCCCGGCTAATTTTTGTATTTTTAGTAGAGATGGGGTTTTACCATGTTGGCCAGGCTGGTCTAGAACTCCTGACCTCAGGTGATCCACCCACCTCGGTCTCCCAAAATGCTGGGATTACAGGCGTGAGCCACCGTGCCCGGCCATCTCTATTTCTTGTTCCATTTCTCTGGTGCTAACGAGACAATTTCTCTTAGTGTTACAAAAATAGTTCCTTCTACAATCAGGTCTCAGTATTTTACTTTGTACTCCAAAGCACCTTCACAAATAAATACAGTTCTTTTCCTAAAAAGAATGCTGTTGAGTAAAATTTTCTCCAACTTATAATTAAGTAGAAATTTTAAAAATACATTTTAAATAAAAAAATTTTAAATCACTGGTAATTGTACCACCAGACGTAACTAACGTCAATATTTTGGTATGTGTCCTTCTAGTCTTCCCCTCTATAGTGAATGATAAATTTAAAACGAATCATCACTTCTATCCCTATTTCTGTACTAAGATATCAAAATGTCGACAAAAGGTTTCAGATAGCTCTTCTTGGAAACATATTTTTTGAACGTAAAAAATAAAAACAAAAAAACAGAAGAGGAATTCCACCTCCAAATGTTTTATATGCCATCTCTATTACTGATATCAAGGACCACCTGAATCTGGTGAAATCCTTTCGACCTCAATGTCCACGTATAGTTAGTACTGTTTCCACACTATATGTGGCAATGGTAACATACTGAAAAGCATGAGAACTTGAGCAACAGACAACTGTATATTAAATGACCACCCATGATTTCTTTTAAAGGCTGAAAAATCTAGTTTTGTCATCAACCATGGGCCTAAATAAAGTTTGACCCAGAATTCATAACGAATAAAAGAAAAAAAGAAAGCACTCCAAATAGGTACAAAATGGCTCTAACTAAAATATCTACTAACAGGATAATTCCCCAGATTTTCTTTGGTAGAAATATTTGCTTAAAAGTGTATTTCTAAAGTACTTCTGTAGCTTTCTATAAACTAGTGTCAATATTGAAGTGTGGATATAGGCCGATTTTTCTTTGTACACCTTCACTAACCTATAATAAATCCTTAGAAGCTATCAAAAAGAGATTACTCTTTTAAAGGTCCCATCTGGAGTAAAATTCCATGACTACAATAGTCATTCTCGCTACGCTTTCTTATAATTTCTAAAGTAAATCTAGTAGTTACTCAAATAACATTTTTCCTCTTTGAGTTTTTTTTTTTTTTTTTTTTTTTTGACAGGGTTGCGCTTTGTTGCCCAGGCAGGTGTGCAGTGGTGTGATGATGGCTCACTGTAGCCTCCAATCCTGGGCTCAAGCAATCCTTCTGACTCAGCCTCTCGAGTAGCTGAGACTACAGGCATACACCACCACATCCAGCTGATTTTTTTATTTCTTATAGAGATGGGGGTCTCACTATGCTGCCTAGGCTGGTCTTGAACTTGTGGGATCAAGGGATCCTCCCCCTTTGGCTTCCCAAAGTGTTGCAACTACAGTCACGAGACAGTCACTGTGCCTAGCTGAAATATTTTTTTAAAGGGAGTAGGGGTAAGGACCCTGACCATCAAGACTTTGCTGAAATCCTACCCCTAATGCATAAAACAAAAATATTATAGAAAAATATCTAGGCCTTTGCGCCACTGCACTCCAGCCTGGGCGACAGAGCAAGACTCCATCTCAAAAAAAAAAAAAGAAAGAAAAATACCTAGGCCTTTATAACTTTATTGTAAGTATTTCAAGGCTCTCTGACCTGAAAAGTTAGATTTTAATTCTCAATGACTTGCTCACACTAAGTTCTGTCATGACATTTGCCTATTCTTTGAATAATTTTCTGTTTTCGAATTTCATGGATTATAAAAAGAGGAAAATTTTTTTGTCTTTCTTACACATGTACTTTACCTATCACATATGGTTCATCTCTCATAATAATTAACACAGTAAGCACTATGAAAATTCCTTCTGCCTCCCCAGATAAGGTGAACTTTAAATGTTAAAGTAAACCATATTACTTTTATATTTAAGGAAAGTGCATTTTGCTTTAAAAGGTAAAGGCTCCTTTCAAATAAACATAGATTTAGTATATTATTATAGCAAACTACAACCAAATTTGTTTGAAAGGGTGGGCCGGACATGGTAGCTCACACCTGTAATACAAGCACTTTGCGAGGTTGCAGCAGGCGGACTGCTTGAGCCCAGGAGTTCAAGACCAGCCTGGGCAACATGGCAAAACCTCATCTCTATTTTAAAAAAAGGTTGGGCAGGGGAGGGGTGTTTAATAATATTTTCCTTATAGTACTGATGGAGAAAAAAGAAAAGCATTACAAATTCTACTCTATGTTCAAAAAAAGGGGAAGCTACTGTGTAGACAATCTAAAAACAAATTTTCATGTCTATATTCATAAATAATTATTCTGGATAAAAAACCAGTTTGTATATAAATCTAGCTCTTTAGTAAATAAGCATATGAATATTTATTATACTCTCAGGCAGAAAAAAAGATGCCTAAGACTCTATAGCTAATTCAAGCCTATTTCTGCAGGGCAGAAAGGCATTTGGAAAGAGGGACCAAAATTAAGAAAGTGAATTCCTATACCTTAAAAATGAACCTTTTCCAAAGAGACCCTAATAACAGTCTCAAACCAGTTCAGAGGTTATCATAGAAATTTAGCTTTTAATTTTAAATTAAAAATTATAATTTCTCTTCTTACAAAAATTATGAAAATAAATTCATGTCAAGAAGACTTAGTGTCTACATTGTAACCATTTTTATTCTTAATTATTTTAGAATATGAGTCTCCAAGCAATTATTTTATTCCCGAAGCACTATGAGTTGGCATAACACACAGTATAATTGAGCATTCATTACGCCTGGAAAGAGTGGTATTCTATGCAGTAAAGTTTTCTAAAATCCAATAATAAAATATAGCTATGGTAGATTATTGGTATTATTTGCTTTTTAAGCTGCTAATCTGAGACCTATTATAATGTTGGCATTAACCTCTAAATATTATGGTAATTAAGTTTTCCTAGGTTTTAGAAACTTAAAAAAAAGTTTGCTACCAAGCTTCAGAACAAAATTTAAAAGACAGGAAAAAAAAAAACAAAACCAAACAAAAAACAACAACTAAATTATTTACAGGCTTGTGAACAGTTTTTAGCAATTAATGGACTTACCAACACTTAGCTGCCTAATTTGATATCTGCTTCCTCTAAAAATATATCTTAGTTCTCTTTATTCCAGTAATTCCCATATTACTCTACTATATAAGTGCAACAAAAATCCAGAAATACACCAGTTTTCCATGAAAATACAACACATATAAACTAGACACATACACACACATACAGACACACATAAAAGGCCGCATGTTAAACTTTTTTTAGGTAATCTAATTTCATTTGTGTAAGAGCCCCCCACCCCCCGCCCCTTCCTTACCTGCCACTGCCTGGTTTAGACGATGCCTGTAGCCAATGAAGATTTTGCTTTCCACTGCAACTGCTACTCACCTGTTTGAACATCAATAACCATCTGATGGCCTCCTCTCATTCCTGGACGGTTATCTTCCCCATCACCTTTAGAAGAAATAATAGTTTCTTTTAAAGGAATAACAAAGAACAGCATATCCAGAGTAAATTTATTCATAAGTCTGTAATCAGTAGTAAAAATAACCCACCCTTATTTTTTCAAAATATTAATAAGTAAAAGGACTCATAAAAGTAACAGTATGACTCAAATCTGTGTTTATAATAATCTTGTTCTTTTTTCCAAATGCTTTCAGGACATTAATGAACTTGGAAGTTATTTTTGATTTATTTATGATCAATGCCACAAACCAGCAAAGACACAGAATATTATACAAAAACATAAAACAAAAATCTCTAAGCTACTTGAGTGCCAAAGTGAAGGTCAAAAACAATTACAAAATTAGATCTCCCGTATATATTCTAGGCATAGTTCATTAGTATGATGAGCAGTTTTAAAGTCGAGTTATCAAACTATTTACTGAAAACAAAGATGCTATCAAGTTTTATATTAATGATATTAATTTTGTATAATGTATACAATTATTTTGTAAAATTTTTGTATAATTTTGTACTTTGTGTAATTATTTTATATAACTTTGTATAATGTATAATGTATTAATTTTGTGCCAATATTTCAGCAATCAGTTCCCACCTAATTTACCAACTATTTTATGTAAGAACTGACTGAGGAAATCTAAGATTTACTTCACTTTGATTCTTATTTCCATCACAGAGCTTAATAGGCAGGTTTAAATACAATCAGTAAAACTTTATTTAAACTTCCAAAAGAGAACACTATTATTCAACTTGTATCTAATCTTACTTTACACCAAATCTTACATAAATAAAGTTATGGCCGGGCGCGGTGGCTCAAACCTGTAATCCCAGCACTCTGGGAGGCCAAGGTGGGTGGATCACCTGAGGTCAGGAGTCCACGACCAGCCTAGCCAATATGGTGAAACCCTGTCTCTACTAAAATACAAAAATTAGCCGGGCATGGTGGTGGGTGCCTGTAATCCCAGCTACTCAGGAGGCTGAGGCAGGAGAATCACTTGAACTCAGGAGGCGGAGGTTGCAATGAACCGAGTTTGCACCACTGCACTCCGGCTGGGCAACGAGAGTAAGACTCCATCTCAAAAAAAAAAAAGTTATAAATTAATTTCAGTAGTTCAAAAGGTTGTAAGATTCTAATGTCTTACTTGATATGAACTAGAAAGCCTAAGGCTTTCTTCATAATTCTCCTATTAGTTGAAATATATTACTTTGGCTAATAAGTTTCCCTGTATTGGCTTTCTCCTAATGTAAAATTGAGAATATCCAATTTTATACTAATTTTACAAGGGTGCTATGAAAATGACTGAAATGTCAGTTCTTATATACAGAAAATAAGATACAAAACTGAAGCTTTTCATTACTACTGTATTCAGCGGCTAATCATCCAGAAGTTCCCTCCAAATCCTTTATCCTAATAGTTAAGCCTTTAGATTGTGCAATTTATTATCATTGAAGCTTTGCCCTTTTCTTCTTTCCTTCCCTCATCAGTCAGTACCGTATCGCCATCTTTAAGAATAGATTTAGAAAGCATATTCACCCCTGAGAGGTCTGAGGGAAAAAAGAAAGCACTAAAATGAATTCATTTTCAGTATGTTTGTATTTTATATGTTGAATCCATTAGTTTGCAAATACACAATTACTGTCTGTTTGCTATAATATGTGTGTCTTTGAAGAAAATTACCTCATACATGACTGATAAAATAGGAGAATGATGTTCATGTAACATCAATTATGGAGGTTCTTAAGCAATTTTCCCCTGCATATTAATATGCAATACTATCAGGAGAAAGCTTTCTCACAACTAAAGAGAAGTCCTTAGTAATATATGAAGACCACAATGAAAAAAGCTCAGTATCCATAGAACTGCCTTCCTTTAACACAAACAGTTGCATTAAGAAATTGCTACACTTTCCACTATGTTAATTATCTGGCAAAGCAGTGAGTACAGATGAAGAAGTGACAAAACCTCCCCCCTTATATGAAAATAAGGTATTCATGAAGAAGACTATACTCTGGATCCGATTTCAAGTTTTGATGAAAACAGTCTTTATTAGAAGCAAATGCCCTCTAGGATCTACATTTCAAAGACAGAGGCATGAGCCCAGGGCTTAAGTCTCTAAACACACTATGATGTTCAATATAAATACCTAATTTAAATGTACTGATATTTATTTTTATTACAATTATTACACTAGTTTTTATTAGTAGCTGGTTATAAAGTTCCACAGATTTAGAATGGTCTTCTGCCTTTCTATTTTTCTTATATGCCTTGCTAGGTTTAGCAAATAATTTTGCATAACTTAAGGTTTTCAAGAACATGTGTATGGCATTACAACACAGCCTATAATTTTACACCATGCCTCTAACAAAGCAGTTTATAATGATATTCTGTGTAAAAGCTGCCCAACCTTCTGTTACGGCAGTAAATCAAAAAGGTTTAAAAAGAAAATTTTAATATAACAAATGAATTGTGCCACCTAGTTAAGGAACCTATGCCTTGTTTTAAACATCTGCTTTTTATTTATTTTGCTGTGGTTATTGTTTTGTTTTTTGAGACAGAGTCTCGCTCTGTTGCCCAGGTTGAAGTGCAGTGGTATGAACACGGCTGACTGCAGCCTTGACCTCCCAGGCTCAAGCCACCCTTCTACCTCAGTACCCTAAGCAGCTGGGACCACAGATGCCTGCCAACATGTCTGGCTAATTTTTTTTTTTTTTTTTTTTTTTTTTTTTTTGAGATGGAATCTCCATCTGTCTCCCAGGCCGGAGTACAATAGCATGATCTCAGCTCACTGCAACCTCTGCCTCACAGGTTCAAGTGATTCTCCTACCCCAGCCTCCCGAGTAGCTGGGATTACAGGCACACACCATCACGCCCAGCTAATTTTTGTATTTTTAGTAGAGACAGGGTTTTGCCATGTTGGGCAGGCTGGTCTTCAACTACTAACCTCAGGTGATCTGCCCACCTTGGCCTCCCACAGTGTTGGGATTATAGGTGTGAGCCACCACACTCGGCTGTATAGCTAATTTTTTGTAGAGACAGGTCTCACCATGTTGCCCAGGCTGATCTTGAACCTCTGGGCTCAAGCAATCCTCCTGCCTCGGCCTCCAAAAGTATTGGGATTAGACATGAGCCACTGCAACTGGCCAACATCTTCTTTTTTATTAACTTAGTACTATGATACTTGAACTACCTTGGGAAAACTGAAGACTGAGACATTAATGAAAAAGAACTACAATCTAGAAGGTATGGCTTACCTTTGGTACTTTTGGGAATGATTTGACTCCATCGTGGCTTATATTCCTGTTGACTGATATACTGATTGAACAAGCCATCTGCAAATATTGAAGAATGAGAAAGAATTACACCTTAACTACTTACATTATTTATTATAGAAAAAAATTAAAATTTAAAAGGCTACATTAAAAGAAATTACTAATATGTCACTAATACAAAAGCACATTTTCATAAAATATGCATCACTTCAATTTCACTTCATGCTACCTCAAATATAAATAGTAAAATATTAATTGACACAACCATGCAAACAAATTGCTTTAGGGGAAGCTCATATTAAACGTACTATGTTTCTCATCATCACTGTATGTATTAGATACAAAGTCACTGTTGCATTCAACGGACACGTATGTGACATTATCAGAGGGTTAGAGACCTTGAAAGAAGGAAAAGGGAGTGAACTGGGAGGGGAAAAAAAGTCATAAGACAATTTAAGGCTGCAAAATAGAAGCAGGAGAAAATAAAAATAAATAATCTGAATAAATGTTCTACTTCATTGAAAAAAGATCTTATATATCTTTAAAAAATCATTTCTATCATTATCATAAATATAATTAAGAAGAGGAAAGGATAACTAAAGATTAGGAGAATTATATTTTCTTTTTGTGATCTCCCACCACTTGTCTTTATTTCAACTATGAAATTCTTAATCTTTACATCCTATAATGACATGGATTCATTGGATCCTAATCTCTTTCCCCCAACAGTGCTTTGTGCCAGTACTTTTTGCCACCCATATCCAAGAGAACTAGAGAAGAAAATAGAGCTCCAATAATTTTGGTCTAGGTCCTTGATACATTTTCAGGAAAAGGGAACACTAACTTTAACATGTGAATTCCATTATTATACAGTTTTGAGTACAAAACTACATAAAGATAAAAGTACTAACAGCAGTAATAAAACTATACTTATGGAACACTTACCAAATGTTAGAATTTATGCTGTCTCATCTCATTTAATTCTAAAAACAATCCTATGAACTACACATTATCATCTCCGTTTTATAAATCCAGAAATTTGTATTTAAAAAAAGTAAGAAACTTAACCAAAATCACACAGCTCTTAAATGGTGGGGCTGGTACTAAAGTTCTACCATGTTTTCCTTACTCCTGATTCTGCTGTATTGATAAACTCATAATCTACTTAAGTTGTTACACTAGTTACTGTAATGGTATGGAGACTGAACTCCCTACATACATCCCCCCACATACACACCTAAATAATTATGAAGCCCTACTCCCATGGCCCTCAACAAAGATTAGTTTAAGAACAGTATGGAACCCAATTTTGGCTAATGAAACATGAGGAATCTTCTGGGAGACTTCTAGGCAATTTTTCCTTACTTCTAAAGAGACATACAGAAAAAAAAATCTACTTTTATTCCTCTGGAATATCTGCATGTAATGTATACAAATATTAAAGCAAATTTGTCGAAGTACAAGAATGCAGTCAATTCTATAATGATGATACAGCACAGAGAAAGAAAGAAATGATCACTGAATCAACCAACCATGAAATCTGCCTTACCTCTGGACTTCTTGCTATGTGCTACAATAACATTTCCTTACTTTTTAAGCTAGAAACCCTAGCTTTTACATGCACCCAAATAGATCATAATTTATAAAGTTACTTTTACTATTAAACTCTGTCATGTGACTCAATTTAAAAGTAAAACTGTTTTCTGCGATTTATATATTCACCAGAGACCAACCAATTTAGAGCACTCCCCCTAATCTTTCTTTTCTGGGTAATTATGAAGCTCAGTTGTAACCAACCCTTTCGCTTTCAAGACTTTTCAGCTGGCTTTAACTGGAAACCTCCATCCTACAGGCACGCTCACCAAATTTCCTTTCTTCTTTGCCTTTGAGACTTTTCAAAATTCTTGCAAAAAGTCAGTAAATACTGCAAATACTAAAGCAGGGTAAAGGTTAAAAAAATGCATTGCTTTTACTACCTTGTTTTAATGTAAAAGAACTTCCTGCAACTTTCGCAACCTAAAAACAAAGAGTTGACACCTCTGCATCCCAAATAATCTCCATGCTCCCTATTATTTCTAATTCTTGCAAACGCTTGCTAATAAGGCCTTTTGCCTTGGTAGGCTTGCTTTAGATATATAATTCAGCAAAAGTCAGCCTCTCTATTGAAACAATGATATTCTCATCTATAAAAATATGACATCCATTACACTGTTTGAAAATCTTAGAAACAAATTAGTAAATAAGAAATTTAAAGATGCCTGTGAACCATGTGAGTTCAAAAATTATTTCTGTTTAAAGAAGAAGTCAGGCAGTTGCTAATATTTCTGTAAGTCTATTTTTGACAAAAATCTAAAGCAAGAGATCAGAACAGTCAGATAAAATTAAAACTATCCAAAAGAAATTAAAATATCACTAGGAGAAAGCACACTAAGAACTAGTTGTTAATAATTTTTAAACTATTTAACTAGAGTCTCCAGGTCCAATATCACTTCATTTTTTCTCCTATAATTATGACTATAATAAATATATTTCATACAGTCCTCACTGAGCACAAGCTGTTCTTTTCTCCAATAATAGTGGATACTCTCTTAAAAAAGCACATGATGGCCCAGCCTGGTGGCTCACACCTGTAATCCTAGGGTTTTGGGAGGCTAAGGCAGGAGGATCATTCAAGGCCAGGAGTTCAAAACCAGTCTGGGCAACACAGAAATCCTGCCTGCACACACATGCCCACATACACATACAACATGATTTAAAAAACATGATTTAGGAAGCTTTCACCAAAAGGGGAAAAAATTTCAAATCTCTTGCCCAGAATTAAAAAGAAAACAAAACCAAAAAAATCCACATAGATTATAGTACTGCTGCCTAGTTGTATGTATTTATATTTGGTAAACTCAAACTTTTATCAAATTTGATTTTGCACCAAAATAGAGATTACATACAAAAGAAATAATTTAAAATGCATGTATAGGTAAATAACTTATAGAGCATAAAATCCTTTTTGACCATTCAAGAATGATTAGATCAAAAAGAATTTTTAAGAAGCTGATTTCATCAGTTTGTCCAAATTCTGAAAAAAAGGGCAATATTATACCAGTAAGAATATAATAGTCAATATTATGACACTGAACTAGTAAATATTTACTAAGACGGTAAAGCTTAGAGATAGAGAGTATGGATTTTTGGCACCAGACTACCTGAATTCAAATCTTAGCTCTGTCACTTACTAGATACACCATCTTAAGCAAATTAATCATTCTCATATATTAGACGGAAATAACAACAATACTTAACCTAGAAGGTAAGTATGAAAATTAAATAAATTCACGTAAAAGGCCTAGGAGAATAAACGGCACATTGTCAAGCTCTCAGATGTATGTTACTTACGATGATGATGATGATGATGACAATGATGCAGTGTTTGGAAATGTACTTGACAGAAAATTAACAATCTTTTATGAACAAAATGAGAAATACAGCACCAAGGCAAATAGGAGTTAAGAGGAGGAAGGAGTGATTCAGTGAGAATATAATGAAAGAAGATACCTTGAAAGAGTTGGCTTTGAAGAATGCACTGGAACTGAATTATATAAAAAGGAAAGTAATAGGAAAGAGAATACAGCATACACAAAGGCACAAAGGCATAAATGAGCAAAAATTATGAAAAAAAAAAAAACCATGTTTCAGGAAAAGGGTCTGGCAGTTGGGAAAGGGGAAAAAAGTGAGATTTTTGCATTATGAGCATTGCTAAGAAACAAAATCTTAAAGAGAAAAAAGGTGTTATAAGGAAAAATCTTGCTATCCTGGAACACAGCCCTACCTCCTAACTCACAAGAAGCTTCTAAAAATAGGAAAAATTCACCACATTAAAATATTAATAATGTTAAAAAAGAATCAACCCAGGAATTATGCCACAATATAAAAAGGAAAAGAAATGAATTTTTTAAAGTAGCAAATGAATCTGATTCAACAGAAAAATGTAGCCTGCAATAGATGAAAGTAGCCAAATACCTTTCCACAAATTTATTCCACAAATAAAAAAAAGCAACTCTCTCTATGAAACATGAGTACAGATTAGAGATATAAGCAGTTGGAAAGTAGACATCTAAATAGTTGGAAAAGAAATGGCAAGACAACCAAAGGAAACAAAAATGGAATTGTTAGAAATGAGAGAAAAGAGGAATGAAAAAATTGAAAATATCACAGAACTGAAGGTCAAAGTGTAAGAAAGAGACACTAAAAATAATATAGTAGTGGAAATGGGATAAAGGGTTTAGAGAAGCTTAAAATATTAAACAGAAATGTGCAGTTAAAAAAGATAAAGGAGAAAATAAATGATAGACAAAGGCAACATATATTTAATTGAAAGAAAACCAAAATAGACAATAGTTAACAGGGCTGCCACACTGGAGTTTCGGACAGCCTTGTTAATGTAACTACAAAATAATCTAAAACAAATATAAAATATTTAAACAGTCAGAGGGAAAAAGATTATATTAAAAAATGGCAGTTGAAAATGATAGCACACCTCTCAACAGCAACAAGGAAGCTGGTTAATAACAGTCGAATGATATTCAAAATGTATTTCAAGAAAGTAAGTGTCAATCTGGAATTCTACATCTAGCAAAAATACCCTCCTATAAAGGAGACAAAATTTTCAGGCCATCAATTCTGAGAGAGTTGAGCTGCATTATAGAAGAAATTCTAAAGGATGGGCTTACGGCACAGGGAATGAACACAATCCTAGACATAAGATTAAAGACGCAAACAATAATGAAGAGAAAAAAAACCCAGTAAATATTTGGGTAAAATTAATGAACAATTGCTGTATAAGACAAATATTTTATAGGGTCTTTGAACATGGTATCAAAATAAATGACAACAATAGAGCAATTGACAACAATAGAATAATGAATTAGAAGGTGAGAATATGAAGCTGAAAGTCTACTAAATCCTCACATGGGAAGAGAGAAAAGGCACTGATCAATTTTGTTAAGGTAATCATGCATACTTGCAATTTCTAAACTAATCATAAGTCAAATGATTTATTAATAAAATAAAATTTTCTTTATTTAAATAAAATTTATAGGAGATATTTCTCTTAAGAGGGATAAAGGTTGAAAATAAAAGATGGAAAAGATATGCCATACAAATAAGAAATGAAAACAGATCTTAATACAATTTACCTTAAAGCAAAAATATTTCTAGAGATAAAAAGGCACTTCATAATAAAAGATTTAATTCAAAATAATTTAAAATTTGTTTTCAATTAAAAACATGGCATCAAAATGTATAAAGTAAAATTGGACCAACTATAGGAAACATATAATTCGATGATCATAGTGGAAAGTGTTAACATCTTTCTCAGTAATGAGAATCAGACAGAAAATTCTTATTGATAAAGATTTGTGCAATATGATTAGCAACTCTGACCAACTGAACAAATATACAACACTGCTCCAACAACTAAAGAATTCACATTCTGTTCAAATATATATGATATGTTTATAAAAATTGAATAAGCTGGGTTATATAGCAAGTCTCATTAAATTTCAAAGGACTGGAAACATACAGGATATGCACTCTGGCCCCTATGCAATTATGCCAGAAATCACTAACAAAGAAAACAAGTAGTAAATCGCCACAAATTTGTAAATTAAAAACCACAGTTCTTCCAAAGAGCCATTTCATTTCATAATGAAAATACTAAACTGAACAAAAATAAAAATACTTCATAGCACAACTAAAGAACAAGAGGAGGAAATTTTATATATTTAAATGTATATAAGGGAAATTTTCAAAGTCTGAAAACTAATGAGCTAAGCATCTGGCTTAAAAAGTTGTTATAAAAAGACAGCAAATTAATCTCAAAAAGAGAAGGAAGACAACAGTAAACAGAGCATAAGTCAAGGACACAGGAAATAACAGAAAAGATGAACAAACCAAAAATTGGTTCTCTCAAGAGACTAGTGCACTTGATAAACATGTGCTGATGGAAAAATATATATATATTCAAGATAAGTAACAAAAAAGGGGCATCTCAAGAAATCCTGCAGAAAAGATGAACAAACCAAAAATTGGTTCTCTCAAGAGACTAGTGCACTTGATAAACATGTGCTGATGGAAAAATATATATATATTCAAGATAAGTAACAAAAAAGGGGCATCTCAAGAAATCCTGCAAACACTAAACAAACAGTAAGATATTAGGTATACCTTAATACCCATAAATTTGAAATTTTTGATTATAGACAATTATAGACAATTCCTAGAAAAATATCATTTAATAAACCTGAACCAAACAATTAACAACTCTGATTAGTCCTATGATGTTTAAAGAAATTAAACTGATAGGTAAAAAACACTCCCACCCACCAAATTTCAAGCACAGACAGCTTCAGACACTGGAAAGTGTTTGTTTGTTTGTTTGTTTGTTTTAACCAAGTATAAAATAAAGAAGTAATTCGGCTGAGGGTGGCGGCTCACAACTGTAATTCTAGCACTTTGGGAGGCCAAGGCAGGTGGATCACTTGAGCCCAGGAGTTTGAGACCAGCCTGGGCAATACAGCAAAACCCCATCTCTACAAAAAATTAACCGGGTGTAGTGGCGCACACCTGTAGTCCCTGCTACCTGGGAGGCTTGGTAAGAGGATCACTTGAGCCCAGGGAGGTCAAGGCTGTAGTGAGCCGTGACTGTGCCACTGCACTCCAGCCTGGGCAACAGAGAGAGACCCTGTCTCAAAAAAAAAGAAAAGAAAAGAAAAAGAGAAAACAAACAAATAGCTCACACCCGAAATTCCAGTGCTTTGGGATCATTTGAGCAAGGAGTTAAAGACCAGTCTGGGTAACATGGCGAGACCCCATCTCCACATTTTTAAAAATTAGCCAGGCATGATACCATGCACCAATAGTCCAGGCTACTCAGGAGGCAGGAGGATAGCCTGAGCCCAGGAGTTCAAGGCTAAAGTTAACTGATCATGCCACTGTACTCCAGTCTGGGTGACAAAGAGAGACCCTGCCAAAAGAACACAAAAACCTCCACACAAAGGTAACTTCAGGTCCAGTTGCCTTCACTAGTAAATTCTACCAAGCTACTACTCATTCTACACAAACACTTTTAGATTCCTGCCCCATTCTATAAGACTGGAAGTACCCAAACATACCAAAAGATAACAAAACAAGACATGCACATTAAAAGAAAACTGCAGACCAATATCTTACATACACAAATATATGCAAAAATACTTCATAAAAAGGTGGCAGATCAAATACAATACCTGAAAAGAGTAAGACACCATTATCAAGTAGGGTTTGTAAAAAGGAATACAAAATTGCATTAAAAACAGAAAATCAATTAAGATAATTCAACATACATATGCCTTTATAATGCTTTGCTTGACCACGCTTCACAGATACTGTGTTTTTTACAAATTGAAGGAAGTCTATGGATGCCGTTTTTCCAACAGAATTTCTTCACTTGTGTCTCTCTCTCATTTCAGTAATTCTCGTAATGTTTCAACCTTTTTCATTACTGTCATATCTGTTACAGTGACCTATGATCAGTGATCTTTGATGTTAATAATGTAATTGTTTTGAGGCACCATGTTGTGTGTGTTCTGACTTCTCCATAAACCAGCAGTTCCCCCATTTCTCTCCCTCTCTTTGGGCCTCCCTATTCCCTGAGATGCAACAATACTGAAATTAGGCCATTTAATATCTTTACCACGGCCTTTAAGTGTTCAACACAAACCTCTCACTTTAAATAAAAAAACTAGAAATAATTAAACTTAGGGAGGAAGGCATGTCAAAGGCCAAGATAGGCTGAAAGTTGACCTCTTGCACTAAAGTTGACCAAGTTGTAAATGAGAAGGAAAAGTTCTTGAAGGAAATTACAAGTGAACCCATGACTGATAAGAAAGCAAAACAGACTTATTGTTAATATGGAGAAAGTTAGAGCGGTCTGGATAGATTAAACCAGTCATAACACTCCCTTAAGCCAAAACCTAATCTAAAGCATGGCCTTAACTCTCTTCAAGTGTGTGAAAGCTGAGAGAAGTCAGAAAACTGCAAAAGAAAAGTTGGAAGCTAGCAGAGGTTGGTTCATGAAGTTTAAAGAAAGAAGCCACCTCTGTAACATAAAAGTGCAAAGTAAAGCCACAAGTGTTGATGTATTATAGAAGATGCAGCAAGTTATTAATATCTAGAAGATCTTGCTAAGATCACTGATGAAGGTAACTATACTAAACAGATTTTCAATGTAGACAAAACATTCCAATAGACTTCTATTGGAAGAAGGTGCCATCTAGGACTTTCATAGCTAGAGTGAAGTCAATGCCTGGCTTCAAAGCTTTAAAGGATAGTGTGACTGTCTTGCAAGGGTTTAATGCAGCTAGTGACTTTAAGCGGAAGTCAATGCTCATTTACTATTCTGAAAAATCCTAGGGCCCTTAAGAATTAAGCTGAATCTACTGCCTGTGCTCTACAAATGGAGTAACAAAGCCTAGATGACAGCACATCTGTGTACAGAATGGTTTACTGAATATTTTATGCCCACTGTTGAGACCTACTGCTCAGAAAAAGAAAAAAAGATTTCTTTCAAAATATTACTGCTCACTGACAATGCACCTGTCACCCAAGAGCTTGATGGAGAAACACAGGAATATTAATGTTTTCATGCCTACTAACACATATCCATTTTGTAGCCTATGAATCAAGGAGTCATTTAGACTTTCAAGAAAATCTTATTATTTAAGAAACACATCTTGTAAGGCTATAGTTGCCACAGACAGTGATTCCTCTGATGGATCTGGGCAAAGTAAATTGAAAACCTTCTGGAAAGGATTCACCATTCTAGATGCCATTAAGAACATTCATGATTCATGGGAAGAGATCAAAATATCAACATAAACAAGAGTTTGGAAGAAGTTGATTCCAATGCTCATGGATGATGTGGAAAGTGTTAAAGGCTTCAGAAGAAGAAATTAACTGCAGATGTGGTAGAAATAGCAAGAGAACTAGAATTAGAAGTAGAGCCTGAAGATGTGACTGAACTGCTACACTCTCATGATAAAACTTGAATGGATGAGAAATTGCTTCTTATGAATGAGCAAATAAAGTGGTTTCTTGAGATGGAAACTGCTCCTGATGAAGATGCTGTGAACATTGTTGAAATGACAACAAAGGATTTAGAATATTACATAAACTTAGCTGATAAAGCAGCAGCAGGGTTTGAGAGGATTGACTCCAATTTTGAAAGAAGTTCTATTGTGGGTCAAATGCAATCAGACAGCATTGCACACCACAGATAAATCTTTTGTGAAAGGAAGAACTCATTGATGCAGCAAATTTCATTTTTGTCTTATTTTAAGAAACTGTCACAGCCACCCCAACTTTCAGCAATCACCATCCTTATCAGCCAGCAGCCATCAATACTGAGGCAAGACCCTTCACTAGCAAAAAGAGTATAACTCACTGAAGGCTCAGATGATCATTAGCATTTTTTAAGCAATAAAGCATTTTTTAAGTTAAGGTATATGCATTTTTTTTAAAGAAATAATGCCACTGTACCTTAAGAGGCTACAGTAAAGTGGAAAGATAACTTTTATATGCACATGCAAAGGAAATAAAATTTGTGACTTGCTTTATTGTGTCATTCACTTCACTGCAGTGGTCTGGAACCAAACCTGCAATATCTCCAAGATATGCCTATAATTAACAACTACTGCACAATCCAAAAAACCAGAGTGGAGAGATTATTTTTTAAACCAGGAAAACAGAAAAAAGAAAGAAGCAGGGAAAGACAAAGGGAGAAAGGTAGAGATTTCAGGTTGAAACTTTATGACTACCTTATTAAACTTTATCCTTCCCTTATCTCACAAAAGAAAATTTTTCTTTCTATAGCAAATAAGATAAGCTCAGCAAAGGGTGGATTTCAGTACAATCTCTACATGTCTGAGTAAAACATTCCTGTCCCTAGGTGATTACTTTTGCCTATCATCACTGGATCCTGCATGGGCAAAGAGGTAGTAGCAATTATTGGTTCCAAAATCACCTCTAATAAAATGAAATGTAAATACAGTGATGTTTCTAGACAAACAAAAAGCCTATTACAGAAATAAATAGAGCCTTACACTTTCTTAAAATACAGAAAATACTTAAAGATCATACTAAGTAATATACTAAAAATACTAAAAGTAGCTTTTGTATCCTCCATTACAAGAAGCTTGACAGAGACTCTTTTGATTCCCTAGATCTTCCTATTTAGCAGGCAGGAACTTCTTGTCCTTCTCTGCTATGTTTTTAATAGAGCAGAAGCCAAAAAACTCTGCACTGTTTACTTCCTTATTTGTCCAACAAATCATCATCAATGAGATCAGAAGCAAAGAGAACAACCCTGAAAGGAATGTTTATTAACTAACAGTGTTCCAGGCCAGTTTAGAAAGCCCATAGTATTCACAGTACAAAAACTATGATGTGGCTGTAAGTTTCAAGAATTGAGCAACTACTAATTTCTCTAAACTTGGTTCCTTTCTAGAGCCAAAGGATAAGTTAAGTCTCTGTAGATATCAAAACTGCACAAGATTTTTATCAGCTAATCTTAACCAACTGAGTACGTCACTAAAGAGACCTTTAAAATATAACTGTTTTTAGCTTATTAACTGTAGAGTTGCCTGTGGCTGTTGTTTTGCTTTCCCTTCACAAAATGGTATCAAATGCCTTACTGATAAATATCTGAAACAAACAAAAAAGCCCTAAAATTACCTATGCCTCCCTCATCTTATGAGGTTAAAAAAAACCCACAGAATTCACTCCTAGAAATGGCATATATATATATATATATATATTTTTTTTTTATTGGTAGCATTTTAAAGTCTGTTAAGAGATTAGTTATTTGTTTGTTTATACTCCAAAATATACTCAATTTCAAACATACCTATCATTTATTTGCAAGTATCATCATCAATCAAGTAAGCAATAACAATGCACAAGGCTTAGAAGCAGATTTGTCATATTTCAAAAAGTGGAGCTCAAAGCAATTCATTTTAAGTTAACTTTAAATTTATAAACTCAAGGCAGTACAAGTCTGGTTTTTTTTTAGCTACCCAATATCTGATAAATATGAATACCTAATAATAGACGATAATAACAGTGATAAAATTAAAATGAGAGCAAACCACTGAATAATCTATTATTTCTTATTTCTTCCTATAAAGGATGCACCAAATTCAATTCCACAAGTTTTATATTGTGCAACTATTCTGTTGTTTGTCACTATGAAAGTTACTGAGGAAGATTAAAAAAAAAAGTCATACTATAAGCAACAACAGAGTCCCTTTTTAGTTTAAATAACAAAACACATCAGACCTTAAAAATCCAAATGAGTGTTACCCTCCAAAGCCAATACCCTGGGAGATAATACAGATGTTCAACTATTCACATTTCTTTCAAAGCCAGACTACAGGTCACACAAGAAAATCAGCAATTATATAGCATTCACACCACAAGGAAGTTGTTTTCAATACAAATCTCCTTGTTCCTTATATATAATTGTTTACTAATAACATTTTTTATTATCTAGCCCCCCTTCTCCTCAAAACTACACTGTTAATGAATATTGGCTACCAATATCAAAATATTATTTCTGATACAGTTTAATGCTAGTTAATCATTTGTAAGTGCATGGTTTCCCAAGATGACAACTTAAATTTATATGTGAGTTCAAGTACATTTCAATTTTTTAAGTCTCATTACATCATGGATCTATTTTACATGAAAGAAGTCCCTAATCCAAAGAGATAACAATCTTTAACCGAGTAAAAAACCAAGAAAAAAAATTACAGTAATAACTGGCATAAGCCTATATTATTTTTGAGAAAAAGTTTCCCGTATGTACTTGAATTTACCCTAATAACCAATCTAAGTTTCATACCATTTACAGCCTTTTCAATCAACTCTTCGCAAGCATCAAAATCACCCTTCAACACCAGCTTGTCATGAATATCTGTTAACATGGGATGTTCCAGTGCAATCTTGGTTTTCTTTTGCAGTGACTCAAAAGCTTCTGTATAGTTGTGTTGTCTGAAGTGTTTTAGGCAAAGGCGAATAGCTTCCTGTTCACGGTACTACTAGAACACAGAGTAAGTATGGAAAGAAGAGATTTGGTTAGATGATACTGTAGGAAACAATAACAACAGTAAAAATAACTAATCTACACTGAGCATTTATTAACACTATGTGCCAAGCAGTTTACTAACCTGATTCATTAGGTATCATTATTTGGCTCTTTTAACTAGCAAAACTAAAGCTTGGCCTGTTCCAATAACTTGCTCAAGGTCACAAAATATGTAGCCAAAAGTTATTAAACCAAACCTAATTCCAGAGCCTCAACTTTGAAGAAAGGGAGAACATCTATTTCTTAAACTCCACTTAATACTGTAAAAATTATAACTCCATAGCATCTATTAATCCCATTACAATGCAGGTACTGAGAGCACAAAAGAACATTAAATAATCCACATAAATTATATTATGCTATTTTTGGTTTTTAAAAATAAACTATTACTTGAATGACAAGTATCAAGTATACAGATATTTCAAATTTACAAACACATTTTATGACTCAAAAATCATCAAAAAGAGACATTTAATCTTTTTTTTTTTCTTTCTTTTTTTGAGACAGGGTCTTGCTCTGTCTCCCAGGCTGGACTGTAGCGGCATAATCTCAGCTCACTGCAACCTCCGCCTCCCAGGTTCAAGCAATTCTGCCTCAGCCTCCTAAGTAGCTGAGCTTACAGGCACGCGCTACCACGCCCAGCTAATTTTTGTATTTTTAGTAGAGTCGGGGTTTCACCATGTTGGTCAGGATGGTCTTGAACTCCTGACCTCAGGCAATCTGCCCACTTTGGTCTCCCAAAGTGCTGGGATTACAGGTGTGAGCCACTGCGCCCGGCCCAATTTAATTGTTTTCTAAGCCTGAACTACCTCATCTATTAAGCAGCTATAAAGTAGACATCTCAATTAACTGGAATCCAAAAAGCAGGCACTTAATTTATTAAAATTTTCCCCTAATAGGATAGATGCCAAAAATACAATCTTATAAAAAGGATTTTTTTAAAAAAATCTCAACTTCAGGAATATGTTCTGGGACTACCTCAAACTTCCTAAGTATACCACTATTCAAACAAACAGATGACATGGAAGCCTGCATGATAATCAAACAACAATGATTTACTTATAGGCATGACCCTTTAATAAGGCAAGAAAATAATGTGTTTAGGAAGATGTATAAGATTTGAAACAAATCAGTTGATAGCTGACTTAACTAATAAAAGGTCATTAAACACCTAATCCTTACACGTTATAATTAACTATAATTAATTAACAACTTAATTATAATTAGTTAACTATAATTAACTTACTCTTGGCCTCTAAAAAAGACTTATCATAACTACCATGTAACAATATATATTACAGTTATATTAAACAGCAGTATTTTTTAACCCTGTTGACTACTTTAGGAGTCTAAATCACATCCACATCTTAAATTTTCCATTAGGCTGCAAAACTATCCCACTAAAAACTATGTTTTAAGTATTTATATGAATACAAGTGAAAAAACAAAATTCAGAGTCAAATGGGTATAATAACATAAAAGCAGACTGTGGAGCCAAACTGCCTGAATTCATATACTGGCTCAAACACTTTACAATTGTGTGATCCTAGGCAAACTATTTAATCTCTCTGTTCTTCATTTCTTCATCTATAAACTAATGGGGATAATAAGTGCACCTGTCTCATAGAGTGATAATGACTAAGTGAGTTATCAGGATTCCTTAAAAGCTGGCAGACTGGAAGTGCTTAATAAAATGTTAGCTAACTGTTGTTATTATTATTTTGAATATTTTAAATTATTCTCAATGAAGATAAGAGATTGACATATTTCTCCTTTTATAGGCATTAAAGTCAGGATTTAAAACACAGTCCTACCTTGCTATACCAGTTGAGACAAGGTTGTACTATATCAGGATCATCAATGCCACTAAGTTCAACATACCAGATGCTAAAGTTAAAGCTGGGTCCCCAGGACAAGAGTGGAACTTTAAGGAGAAAAAACAAAAAGAAGAAGAAAAATATTAACACAGTTCAAATAAAACTTTAGCAAAGTAAAAGCACTATTCAACCTTATAAGGATTCATTCAACGAATTTTCTGGGCATCTTTTATATGACTAGCATGGTGCTAAGGCTACAACAGTAAAACGAAACAGATGACCCATGCCACCATAAGATTTCCTTAGTTAATAAAAACACTGTAAGATAAATTAAAAATGTGCACATGTCTACCCCCAAATAAATGCCACCAGAATTAGATGATTTAACAGGTAAATTTTATCAAATGTACAAGCAGCAAAAAATTACTTTAGAATTTAGTCTACATCAGAACACTGAAAGAGACTGAAATTATTTATCAGTGGCACAACCCTGAAATCCAAATCAGAAGAAAAAAGACTTAAGGCCAATCACAGCTATGAATACATATTTAAATACAAATTAAAAGGAGAAAAGTTGCAAAAAATTCTATCAGATTTTCATTGTAACCAAACAGATCTCATTCCAGGAATGGAAAGATGATGGTTCAATAAATAATAGGAGCTATATTAATATAATCTACCACGTTAACAAAATAAAAGAAAAAACACATTTGATGACTTAAATACATTATTATTTTTAAACCCTCAATATATAAGCAATATAAGGCAATAAAAAATTTCCTTAGATTTTTTTAAAAAGCATCAAAAACCTTAAAAATTAAACCTACTGGGAAAATACTAAATATTCCCACTCAAGTCAGAACAAGACAAAGATGTCCAATATCTCTACTATTTGTCACTAATTAGAGGTCTCAACCAGTGCAATAAGGAAACAAACAAACAAATTAAGAAAAACGAATTGTAATTTAAAGATGACCTGTCTACCTAAAAAAATTCAAGAGAGCCAGGAGCAGTAGCTCAAGCCTGTAATCCCAGCACTTTGGGAGGCCGTGGCAAGAGGATCACTTGAGGCCAGGAATTCAAAACCAGCCTGGCAAACACAGTGAAACTCTGTCTCCACTAAAAATAGAAAAAATAGCCAGTCATGGTGGCGTGCGCCTATAATCCCAGCTACTTGGGAGGCTGTGGCAAGAGAATCACTTGAACCCAGGAGGTGGAGGTTGCAGTGAGCTGCCATGACACCACTGTACTCCAGCCTGGGCGACAGAATAAGACTGTGTCTCAGTGGAAAAAAATATATATATATATTCAATTGAAAAACTTTTTATTTGTAAACAAGGTAAACACACAAAAATCAACTTTTCCTATACCTACAATAACCAATTAGAAAATATACCTCAAAAAAGTCCTATTTATAATGGCAAAAAGCTGAAAATACTTCAGAATAAACTTAAAATACGCAATATTTATAAGAAAATATAAAATTTTAGTGAATAATTGAATAAATGAAAGAACATACTATGTTCCTATATAGGAAAACTCAATATTGTAAATGTGTAGCTCTCTCCAATTAATTATAAATTTAACATCATGTCAATCAAAATCCCAATGGTCTTTCCAGAGGTCCCACGTAGTCAAAACTACTTTTTTTTTTAATAACAACACTAGTTATTTTTCAAAACAACTATTTTTCAAAATAACATAATAAACACTTTTCTAGCCTTTTAATAATAGCAACATTGCACTAATGGTACAAAAGCAATGGTGTGTAAAACTGCTAGCACCTTGGTACCAAACTAATGGCACCAAAAAGTACTATTAGTGCTCAGTAAGTACAAGGTGCACTGTATGCCTCACCACCATACACTGGCAGTAAAATAAAATAAAATAAAATAAAATAAAATAAAATAAAATAAAATAAAAATAATTTTTACCAATGGCACAGAAAAATTAATTTTATTAAATTCCCATCAAGTACACATCTGTCTAGTATCCTGTGTGACAAAATGAGATTTGCATATAAAGCATTTTTGTTGTGTACCAAACCACAATGGTTATCTCAAGGAAAGGACCTGTACAATTATTTAAGTTGTGAGTTTAAAAATCAATTTATTTTTCATGGAATGCCATTTTATTCTTGAAAGAAAAACAGACAACCTATGATTATTCAGATTTGGGTATTTGCCAAACATTTACATGTTATTTCAAGGAAAATACTTAACGATATTTGCTGTCAAGGATAAAAACCAAGCTTTCAAGAGAAAAATTAGAATTTTGGAAGATAAGTACCCACCACTGTGAGCTTAACTGATTCCCAACACTTAGATTTTTTTAAATGAGATTAGATGTGATATTAATAAATGTGATTTTTAAAATATTACATAATGAAGTGTTTCAACATTTGGGAGATCTGTGTAATTCAGTGAACCATATTTTCTAAATAACCAATGAATGTTACAAAATCACACCTGGGTAAAAAGTCCAAGACAGACCACTGGGTAAAAAGTCCAAGATAGACCAGTGAATTTTAATGTAACAACAGATTCACTGATGCAGTTTCAGAATCAATAATGCAACTATCTTTAAGAAACTAACATTTGTAGAGTTTTGATGAAGCATCAAAATAGAATATCCAGAATAGCTGATACCAGGCGTAATGATTTCCAATATCCGACTGAATAAGGAAAATGTATGGGGTATGATACTTTTATATATTTTTGTCATCTAAAACAGGGGTCCCAAACCCCCAGGCCCAAACCTGTACAGGTCCCTGGCCTGTTAGGAACCCAGACGCATGGCAGGAGGTGCGCAGTGTGTTAAGGGAGCATTACTGCCTGGGCTCTGCCTCCTGTCAGATCAGCGTTGGCATTAGATTCTCAAAGGACTGCAAACTCTATCATGAACTGCAAATACAAGGGATCTAAGTTGTGCACTCCTTATGAGAATCTAATGCTTGATGATCTGAGATGGAAAAGTTTCATCCCAAAACCATCTCTCCACCATACCCTGCCCCAACTTCTGGGTCCACAGAAAAACTGTCTTCCACAAAACTGGTCGCTGGTGTCAAAAAGGTTGGGGACCACTGATATAAAGGAAGCTGTGTGAATAAAAACACAGGCAGTAGCAACCAGCCATAAGGATGTATGAAGGAATGCTGGGATATTTAATATGCCTTTCTGTTTATGTATGTAAACAACACACATTTCAAAAAGTTTTTTTTTAACAACAAATATTAAATTATCTTTATTGTTTTAGTGTTTCTTTATGTAGCAGTGTCATTTAAAAGTTTATCTACTAAATCACATAGCAATAACCATCTAGTAGTATAAGAGTCAGAATAAAATAATGATTCTAAACTAAAAGCACCAAGAATATAGTCTATATATGTCACCAGACATAAAATATTAGAGATTTCCAGGTCCAAGTCTCATTAAGAATTCATTTATTGGTCCTGGTGCAGTGGCTCATGTCTGTAATCCCAACACTTTGGGAGGCAGAAGCAAGAGGATCATTTGAGCCCAGGAGTTCAAGACCAGCCTGGAAATATAGTGAGACCCTATCTCTACAAAAAAAAATTAAAAATCAGCTGGGCATGATAGTATGTGCCTGTAGTCCTGGCTACTTGGGAGGCCAGATGAAGGATCACTTGAGCCCAGGAGTTCAGTGTTACAGTGAGCTATGACCACACTACTAAATTCTAGCCTAGGTAACCGAGAAAGACCCTGTCTCTTAAAAAACAAAACAAAACAAAACAAAACAAAAACCTTTTAAAACACTTGCAGTGAAATTTAATCTGTTACCCAATGGTCCAATAGAAATATTTCTAGAATAAAATTAGTTATAATTTTTAATACCTTTAAAGAATACCTTTAGAGGAAGGAGGTAAATCATGAAGTTATCTTGCCAATGGGCATATATATTACAGATGAATAAACAATATAATTAATTTTCAACAGACTAAAAGGGTATGTAAAAAATGAGCAGAATGATGTCCACTCACTTCAAACGCCAGTGATTTTTGGTAGCATTAACAATACTAATAATGCATATTAGAACACTAAGAAATCTAAAAGTGAATTAAAGCTCCAGGCACGTGTTCTTTGTTCCCTGATAAAAGATGCCTCCCTCATCAAATAAAAGAATTAGAAACTCCTAATACATATCCCAAGGCTAGCAGTTTGTATTCTAGGATTCAGTCATCAGTTTTCCCCATTGGACAATCAGACATGAATATAATCAACATCCCTGTGTCACCTTTTTTCATAAAATGGCCAGCCTGGGCAAGACAGCAAGACTCAGTTTCTACAAAAAAATTGTTTTTAAAATTAGCCAGGTGTGGTGGTGTGCTACTAGGGAGGCTGAGGCCGGAACATGGCTTGAGCCCAGGAACTGGAGGTTGCACTGAGCTCTAATTGTGCCACCTGAGCAACAGAGCAAGACTCTGCCTCTTAAAAAAAAAAAAAAAATTAGGCCAGGCGCAGTGGCTCACGCCTGTAATCCCAGCACTTTGGGAGGCCAAGGCGGGTGGATCGCCTCAGGTCGGGAGTTCAAGACCAGTCTGACCAACATGGAGAAACCCCGTCTCTACTAAAAATACAAAATTAGCCGGGCATGGTGGCGCATGCCTGTAATCACGGCTACTTAGGAGGCTGAGGCAGGAGAATCGCTTGAACCCAGGAGGCAGGAAGTTGTGGTGAGCCGAGATTGTGCCATTGCACTCCAGCCTAGGCAACAAGAGTGAAACTCCACCTCCCAAAAAAAAAAAAAAAAAGAGGTTCTGAGAGATCCTAAAAATTCAAGATTAACTATTCTGAAAGAGTGCATCTACTATTCTACTACAGATTTAATGACATAAGTATACTTAGCACAGTAACTGGCACATACTAAGTGTTCAATAAATGTTAGCTGTTATTATCTATTATTATTATATTAATTTTCCTCTTAATAGTATACTTCTAAAATGTCACTTTTCCACATGCTCTCCTAAAGGGCTTCCTGGAACTAATACCCAGACTTCATGCTCAGATTTCATGCTGCATCCAGCCAGAGTTAAAGCCGCTCTCTGAAGTCTCCACAATCATCCAGGCTGCAGCTGACTCCTTTACAAAAATCCACATCTCTCCATTTACCAAAAACCAAGACTCCCCCTGAATCCTTCCAAGACCCTGTACCTCTTTTTGCCCTCACCTACCCCTGATTTCCTCATACAGCTGTTATTGTGGCTATAAATCAGAATGTAAACCCTTTGAGCCATCTGTAACCAATACCCTCAACCCATTTTATGTTTACTTTCCTCTGATCTAATCTCCTGCTGAGCTTTCCCTTCCCAAACTTTAACTTGCCCTCTGGAATCCAGTCTCCCAATTAATAACTCACCTCTGTTACTAAATTTTCCTTTCACCTCTAGGTCTTATCTAAAACCAAGCTTCTTTCTAAGGCCAACTGTCCTTCTACACTAAGTCCCATCAAAGTCCCTAGAATACTACATGTAAGAAGGCATGTAAACACAAACTTTAAAAATATAAGTACGAAAATGTGCAAAAGAGATATCCAAAATGCAATCATTTCTTCCATAAATGTACTCTTAAATTAAAACCACAGATCCACAAACTGGAACAGAATTCAAGAAAATATCCAATATAGCTACCTATCCTACCATTAGACAGAAAAAGCATTAACATCCTCATTTTATACAAAAGGTAACTTAAGAAAGGAAAGTAAAACTTTCCTGAAGGAAGGCAGTCCAATGACATCAGTTCAGCTTTACTGGTACTCTGAATTATCCACAACAGATCTTAAAAGTTAACCCCTGCCACACAGTAGAAATGTGGGCTATTTTCCTTGTTAACAATTTATGACCAAACTTACTTCAATTTGCTTAATAAGCTACATTCATTATAAATGAAAATTATTATAGTTACATGTCAATAAACAATTTGGAGATTATCTGCCATTGTGTTAGCCTTGCTTCTGTTCCCCTCCATTACTGTGAATAATTGAAGGCTGACTAAATTGAGAAATTTTGCTGTTTAAGCATTAACTTGTTTTTTAAATAAAGCAAGATCTTTCAAACATGTCACTATAGAACACAGATGTAAAATACTCAAAGGCTTTTTTTAAGTCAAATTCTAACGATTTACCTAAATGAAATAAACGTCTGTGCTAAACTAACATCAAAAGAGAGCTATACATCATTCAAGTCCTTTACTGGAATAACTTTTGAAGAAAATATGACAAACTAAAAATATGACCTAACATACGGCCTTTTAGTTCCATATTTTCCTTATATTACTTAAAAAAAAAAGTTCTTAAGAGAATGCTTGGGAAAGGGTTGGGAAGCAAATACACTGCTGACCGGTATTAACATATTTTAAGAGAAAAGTAAGACATACTAAGTTATCTATATATTAATATCCTAAATAGAAAATGGGCTAATAAGTGTCTACTATTATTTGGAAAGCTCCAATTAACATTTTGCCTAAATACCATTAAACTAACCCTAGATCAAGTAAAAGACATCATTATGCCCTATAATTAAAAAGGTGATGAGAGAAATGCGTGGCTGTTGGTGAAAGGGTAAAAAGTTTCAGTCAAGCAGGAAGAATAAGTTCTGGAGATCTACTGTACAGCATGGTGACTATAGTAATAACTGAAAATTGCTCAGAGAGTAGATCTTAAATGTTCTCACCATAAAAAAATGTTAAGTATGTGAGGTGAGGGATATGTTAATTAGCTTGATTTAATAATTTCACAATGTATTCATATGTCAAAACATCACATTGTAAACCATAAATATATATAATTATTATTTGTCAATTATACCTTAGTAAAGCTGGGGGGAAATTTTTTAAGTGCACATATTCAAATACTCAGCAAAAAAGAAAAGAAAGGGGAAAAAAGGCTGACAGGGCTGGAAAAGGTTCCAATTTCCACTGCTTGTATACTTGCAACATAAAATCATAAAATTGTTAAAGCTATGCAAAGGTCTTTAGGAACTGATAACTCTAAATACTGATGAAAACATTACCCAGTGCAAAAGAAGTAAATAACCGAAAGTTAAATTTATTTTTAAAATTTGCTTGCTCATAAATTCTTATAAGAAAACAGAATATAGGTTTTAATTTATAAGTATTTATTATAACAACAGAAACTATAATTACTACAAAGTGACATACTGGAATCCAATTGTTCCAAAAACAGTTTCTGTATATAAGCAGTTTTTCTTAAGACCTCAAATATTCTTTTGCCCTACAGAACTGTTTGAGTCACAAAACAAAATGGCAGCAACTCTTGATAGATTGGCAAACAATGACTATGTTTGCTCCAAAAGAGTAATTATTCTCCCAAATCAAAATGTGGACTCTGGCTTTTATTATTATTCTTCAAAGTATCTAATTCACTTTAATCCCCATATCAATATAATATTTTCAAAAGTATGCAACATGGTTATAAATTAGAAGTATTTTTTTTTTGGTTTTTTTTTTGGAGATGGAGTCTCGCTCTGTCTCCCAGGCTGGAGTGCAGTGGCATGATCTTGGCTCACTGCAAACTCTGCCTCCTGGGTTCACAGCATTCTCCCACCTCAGCTTCCCGAGTAACTGGGACTACAGGCGCCTACCACCACGCCCAGCTAAATTTTTTTTTGTATTTTTAGTAGAGATGGGGTTTCACCATGTTAGCCAGGATTTAATTGCTCAATTTCCCTACCTTCTAAATAATAAATCCTATAGGAAACAAAATCACCTGAAAAATACTAATTTTGAGGATGCATTATAAATACTTTCTTAAGCTAAAATACTTGCTAAATAAATACATGCCTTAAGGTAATATTTTTCAAACAGTGATTTGCAACCTATCGATGGGTCATTAAATCAATTTAATGGGTTTGACCAGCATTTAACTAAAAAAAATAAATAAATAAAATAAAAGAACACAACTGATAATAACCATAATATACTGCCTTAAGGATTTTATCAGTATTTGGTTTTAGAATATTATTGTTTTAGTATAAGTGATAAACCTTCCATAAAATTAAGGCAATCAAATCACTAGATCCCATAAAATCTAAGAAAACTTTCAAATGAGAAAACATTTGGAAAAGATTCCACTTGAAATAACTGCCACTTAGTAATGAATTTATATAAAGCAGAAGTCAGCAAACTTCTCCTGTAAAGGACCAAAGAGTAAATTTAAGGGGCTCTGTGGTCTCTTGCAACTACTCAAGTCTACTTTTGTAGCACAAAAGCAGATACAGACAATATGTAAACAAACCAGCGCAGCAATATTCCCATAAAATTGTATTTAAAAAAACAAGAGGCCTGCAGGATTTGGTCTATGGGCTATAGTTTGCTGACTGATGATATCAAGAATTTGTTTCTATTTCAGAATGCTAAAATCTTACCTATTTTAATGAATCGACAAGGGAACATCTGTTCATCAATTTTATGCTTCAAGGTGAATGTTTCTTTGTTATAATCATTCTTTAAGCCACTGTGGGAAAAAAATAAGGCTATTAAATCTGACTTCATAATTTAGTAAATGCACTAGAACACGAATTAATGCACACTCAGGTTTTAAGTTTAAACTCATGCTCAAAATATTATGACCAAGACAATATAAACAAGTAGTTGAACATGGGCATATAGGTCAAAACCGGTACATTCAAATCAACAGCATTATAACTGGATTCTCTTAATTATACGAGGATTAATGAAAAATGTTCAGTATTATAAAGAATGTAGCTACGGTGTTTAAAAATGTGTGACAGGGCCTAGTGTCCTGAATGGATAACTGAATATAACATAAAATTTTCAACGGTAAGAATGAAATTCAAAAATAATTCACAGTCAAATCTGACAATTTAAAACCACATATTAGAATACGCCAAAGAATTTAGTTATTTAATTCTGACTGAGATGCCAATGTTTCTTTTATAGTTCAACAAATTTTCAAAGCCAACCTTACTCTGTTGGCTTAATAGCATCTGCTTTATCCTAAATAAAAATAAATGGATATCACCTCTCTACTTAAACAACTAGGACTGACACAATGATTTATGGGAAAGTCACTCACCCTCAGGTTGCTTTACATTTCCTGAAATACTTTCATGACTTAAATACAGTATAGAGTATTTGCTTATATAAAATATTATGTTAATGGGCCATACCATGTCACAAATATATTGTTTTTGTTTTTGTTTTTGTTTTTGAGACAGAGTCTCACTGTTTCACCCCAGCTGGAGTGCAGTGGTGCGATCTTGGCTCACTGCAACCTCTGACTCCCAGGTTCAAGTGATTCTCCTGCCTCAGCCTCCCAAGTAGATGGGACTACAGTCGTCCGCTACCATGTCCAGCTAATCTTTGCATTTTTATTAGAGACAGGGTTTCACTGTGCTGGCCAGGCTGGTCTTGAACTCCTGACCTCGTGATCCACCTGCCTCAGCCTCCCAAAGTTCTGGGATTACAGGCATGAGCCACCACACCCAGCCATCACAAATATATTCTAAATCTCCATGGTTTCATTTGTCCATTCCATTAGCTATCTGATTTTTCATTTGCTGGGCAGCAAATTAACACCTTCATTCCCGGTGGTCAAATATTATTAAAACTCAAATTTACTGAGCTCCTTCCAAGTGACAGGCACTGTGCTTGGCGTAGTCACGCATCTTTCAATTTATAAAACATTCCTCTTTCTAGTCTCCAACTTACAGTAAACCACTAGAATATTGCTTCTGGATTAGGGCAATTAATCTTAGTGTTTTGGATAGAGCCTGTATTTTTTTTTACAGCAAAGATTATAGCAAAAAATTTCATTAAAGCTGAAAATATTTCTGAAGTCATTAACAGCTCAAAAATACAGTTAAAAAAGGATGAAACAAAAAAGTTTGTTTCTTCTTTGGTAAAAATATTAACTAGGGTCTGTTGGTTAAAAAATAAAAATAAAAAAGAAAGCTAACTCAAGCCACAGTATTAAACTAAGGCATTAGGGATAGAATAGAAGGAATACTCTTTTCTCCTTTGAAAGAAAAATCAAACCATGCAGATTAGCTACAAAAAGACTAAGACTACGTTTTGTTTAGAAGACAGCTCTCTTCAACATAACCATAACTCACCTGGACAACAGCTCTGTCATATTTTCTTCATTCATTCCACCAAAGACTTTAAATTTCTTCAAATTGCAAACATGAGTTTTCTCATATTTTCCAAATGTGATATTCTGAACTATAGCAGGCCTTTCGAGCTTTAGAATCAAGTACTAAAAAAAGAAACGACCAAATTATATCCTCTTCTGTTTAAAACAAATGTTAGACAACTTTAAAACTATTGCCAGTTAACAGAAGAATGTATAAGGTCCATCCTTGTCCATCCTGTACTAGCAGATTTTTTTAAAGCTATAGAATAGTACATAACAGCCTTATAAAGGTTATCCCACCAGAACCACTTTTCACGCCAGTAGATCCCAAAAACTACATTATCCCCAACACTGTAGGTGAAGGGAGGAAAAAAAGAACTAGTGAGATAACTTCTAATCAAAGAACAGTATTCAATAAAAGATATAACCAAACTATGCAAAACCAAATAAAACAAGATTAGAATACAAAAATAACAATTACATATTTCTATGGACTCTACTTCAATAACTAAACCAATGTTTGAAAGCGGCACTAAAATTTTTAGATGTAGAAGCAAAGATTTACTAATCAACCCTGCCAAGTTTACAAATTTGAAACCCAAATCTACTCTAGATACGTCTAATGTAGCTCATTTTCCTATTACACATTGGATAAAACGGGATCAATTAAATAGAGAACATCACGCAGACTGTTCTCTATTATAAAAATTAAGAAGAAAATTACCACTCCTTGAACACATGTTGGAAAAGCTATTTAGAAAAACCAATCAGATGTTTTGTTGGAGAGACGTCATGCTTCACGATATTGGATAATATAGGTGATAAAGACGGTTAAGAATAAACTTGCTGGTCCTGCCTCTTATCACACACAAAAATCAACTCAAAATGGATAAAAACTGATCCAACATCAATCCTTTAGGACTGAAGACCTGGCCGGGTGCGGTGGCTCACACCTGTAATCCCAGCACTTTGGGAGGCCGAGGTGGGCGGATCACAAGGTCAGGGGTTTGAGACCGGCCTGGCCAACATGGTGAAACCCCGTTTTTACTAAAAATACAAAAATTAGCCAGGCATGGTGGCGGTCGCCTGTAATCCTAGCTACTCAGGAGGCTGAGGCAGGAGAATTGCTTGAACCCTAGAGATGGAGGTTGCAGTGAGCCAAGATCACGCCATTGCACTCTAGCTTGAGTAACAGAGTAAGACTCTAGCTCAAAAAAAAAAAAAAAAAGACTGAAGACCTAAATGTAAGAGCTAAAACTTTAAACATCTTAGACAAAAACTACGGGCAAATCTTCATGACTCTGGATTTGGCACCGGATTCTTAGATATGACAGCAAAAGTACAAACAAAATAAAATAAATTGGATTTCATCAAAACTAAAATTTTAGTATCAAAGGATACTATCAAGAAAGTGAAAAGACACCCTATAGAATGGGAGAAAATATTTGCAAATCATATATCTGATAAGAGTCTGGTATCTGGAATATATTAAAAATGCCCCTACAATTTAACAACAAAAAGACAAACAACCCAATTTAAAAACAGATAAAGGACCTGAATAGCCCTTTCTCCAAAGAAAGTAAACAAATGGCCAACAGGCACATGAAAAGATGCTTAACATCATTAGTCATCAGGAAAATGTAAATCCAAATCACAAAATACCATTTCACATCCACTAAGATGGCAATAATAATAATAATTTTAAAATGCAAAACCGTAAGTGTTGACAAAGATGTAAAGAAACTGGAACTCTCATGCATTGCTGGCAGGAATGTAAAACGGTACACATACTGTGGAAAATCATTTGGCAGTGCCTCAAAAAGTTAAACAGAATTACTACACGACCAAGAATGTCCACTCCTAGGTATAAACCCAAATGAAATGAGGAAAAAAAAAAAAGGTATACAAACAAACAGTCGTACATGAATGTTCACAGGGGTACTGTTCACAATAGCCAAAAGGTGGAAACAACCCAAATGTCCGTCGACTGATGAATGGCCAAATTACAGTATTTCTGTGCAATGTAGTATTCCGCCATATGAAGGAATGCACACTGACACACACTACAACCTGGATTAACCTCAAAAACATACTAAGTGAAAAAAGTCAGATACAAAAGCCAGTCTGACTTACCCAGAACAAGTAAATGCATAGAGGCATAAAGCAGATTAGTGGTTGTCAAAAACTGGGCTGAGATCGAAAAGGAGATACTCCTTACTGGGTATATGAAGTTTCTTTGTGGACAATGAAAATATTTTGGAACTAGATGGAGGTGATAGTTGCTCAATTCTGTAAATGCACTAAATGTCACTGAATTATATACTTTAAAATGGCTAACTTTATATTATGTGTGATTTTACCTCAATAAAAAAAGAATTAAGCTGGTGGTGTTAAGAATGGCAATGAAAATAACGCTAACATTTTGTGAGCACTAACTTCTTATTTGGCACATTGCTGAGACTTTTACATGCATTAGCTCATTCACAGTAGTAGCAGTAGTGGGAGGAATATATGAACACAGGTTACTCTCTTCATCCTCAATTTACAGATGAAGAAATATAGTTACACAGCTAACTATAGGTGTACTATAGGGTGTATTAGTTTCCTTGGGTTTCCATAACAAATTATAACAAATCGATGGCTTTAAAACAACAGAAATTTATTTTCTCATAGTTCTGGAGGCCTGAAGTCTTAAACTACAGTGTCAGCAGTACCATGCTCCCTTCAAAGGACCTCAGAAAGGATCCTTCTTTGCCTCTTCCAGTATCTGGTGGCTCTTGATTTTTTTTCTGGCTTGTGACAGTGTAACTCCTATCTCTGCCACCCATCTTCACATGGCTTTCTTCCCTGTATCTGTGTCTTTTCTGTGTCTAGTAAGGACACTTGTCATTGGATTTATAGGCCACCCTAATCAAAGATGCTCTCACCTCGAGATCCCTACCTTAATTACATTTACTAACACTTTATTCCAAATAAGGTCACATTCTGAGATGTCACATATCTTGGTAGGGGTGGGGGTGGGGGGAGGGACCATTCAATCTACTACACAGAGCCAGCCAGGCAAAAAAAAAAAAAGTAGTGAATGCTTATGAAAATTAGTTCTAGGTACTGCTGTTAAAATGCCAGTGTGGTTGCAGCCTAATAGGCAGGGCAGAAAATGGTATGTGTTGAAAATGAAGAGGAGGCAGTCACCAGATCATGCAGTTTGTGCAATTACATGAAGTTTGAATTATAAATTCAATGGGATCTATTAAGCACAACAAAAAGCTATGATCTGATTAACATTACACACACATATGCACACAATGTGCATTACAGAGAGCGGATTAAAAGAACTGGCACACCAGTTAGGATGCTGTCACAATAAACTCAGGAAAGAGGTGAGATGAAGGAGACTTGGACTAAAATAGCGTGGAGATGGACAACAGTAGACAGTTTTGACACACATTTTGGAGAAACAATTGATGGGATTTGGTGACAGATTGGATGCAGGGGAAAAAGAGGGAGGCATTAAGGATGATGACATAGTTTCTGACTTCAATAACAGGGTAAGTGGTGATATCATTTACTGTGATGGAAAGAACTGGCAAAGAAACAGGAAGTACAAAAATGAGACTAGAAAAGTCCAGATTTTATATCTATGTATATCTGAGGTTATGTAATAAATCACTCCAGTGTCTTAAAACAACAGTGGTTCATGATTTCTCATGATTCTGTGGGTTTGCTAGACAGCTTTTCCATTGGTAGCTGCTGGATTCATTCATGTAGTTGTATTAAGCTGATGGATTGGCTAGGGGACTGGGCTTAACTGGAGTGGGGAATGGGAAGGCTGGGGTTAATTGGGATTGGGCTTTCAACCTCAAAGAAGCTAAATAGGCTTTCCTCAAGCACATTTATCTCTAAGCTTCTACAGGCCTTGCTTAGAAGTTGCAATATCACTTTCTTAGACTTTTCTGTTGGTCAAAGAAAATCACAAGACCAACCAAGACTCATGAGGTAGAAGAGACTGCACCTTCTGCTGGAAGGAGGTGTAATTTGTGACCATATTAAGAAATTTGGACTCTGTTCTAGGACAAGTAGAGAAACATAAAAAGGTTTTAAGGTGTGGAACAATAGCAACAAAATTCAATATCCATTCAGGATTAGAAATTCTCAGAAAACTTCAAACAGGAGGAAATTTTCTCAAAGAAACACAGGACATATATAAAATATCCGTAGCTGGCCGGGTGTGGTGGCTCATGCCTGTAATCCCAGAACTTTGGGAGGCCAAGGAGGGTCGATCACGAGGTCAAGAGATCGAGACCATCCTAGCTAACACGGTGAAACCCTGTCTCTACTAAAAATACAAAAAATTAGCCGGGCGTGGTGGTGGGCACCTGTAGTCCCAGCTACTCGGGAGGCTGAGACAGGAGAATGGCATGAACCTATGGGGCGGAGCTTGCAGTGAGCCAAGATCGCACCACTGCACTCCAGCCTGGGAGACACAGTAAGACCCTGTCTCTAAAATAAAATAAAATAAAATAAAATATCTATAGCTAAGCATCATGCTTAATGATGATTCCCTCTAATATTGGAACAGAAGGAAGGCTGGGGCAGTGAGTGGGGAGAACAGGAAGGGGAAACCACAGATGCAAAGAAAATATTTGCAAATCATATATAAATCTGATAAAGAACTTAAATACAAAACATACACAGAACTCTCAAAACTGAACAATAACAACAAATTTTAAAACGACAAACCTTTTGAACAGACACTTCACCAGAAAACAGTCAAGAAGGCAACAAGCATACAAAAAATGGTAACATCATTAATCATTTTAAAAATGCAAATTAAAACCACAAAGACTTGTATATTAATTTTGTTTTTTTTTTGGGAGAAAGATTCTCGCCTTGTCTGTCGCCCTGGCTGGAGTGCAGTGGCAAGATCCTGGCTCACTGCAACCTCCGCCTCCCAGGTTCAAGTGATTCTTGTGCCTCAGCCTCCCAAATAGCTGAGATTACAGGCATGAGCCACCACGCCTGGCTAATTTTTTGTAATTTTATGGATATGGGGTTTCGCCATGTTGGCCAGGCTGGTCTCGAACTCCTGGCCTCAAGTGATCTGCCTGCCTCGACCTCCCAAAGTGCTGGGATTACAGGCACGAGCCACCATACCCAGGCACTTCTGTATTAATTTTTAGCACATCTTTGTAATAGCCAAAAATTGGAAAACGATTCAATGTTCATTAACAGGTATATGGATAAACAAACTGTGAGATATTCATACAACAGAAATCAAGTAGGTAACAAGATCCTACTATTATTACCTGAATAATGACACTTGCGCTTGCCAGTATGTTTGTGAGTACATACAGATGTATGCATGTACATGTTTAAATTAGTATTTGATGCAATGAACCCATATAAAGATATGAATGGGCACAAACCTGATTGTTAGCATTGGTTACTAGAGAGAAGGAGATGAGAGGACAAAAAAAAGAAAACAATTATTTTCTTTTAAAAAGTTATTCCCATTTATAAAACCAACATGTTACGTAAATTATGTGTCTGTGTGAGTGTATGCACAGAGTTAAGCTGAATCATCTTCAAAATGATGGCAGTGGTGGTGGTGGTGGTGGTAGTGATGAGGTCAGGATGATGGAATTCAGCTGATTTCTAATTTATTTTAGATTTCTTATGCTTTTATCTCCTTTTTGATTCTCACTTTTAGTATTTGTAATTTGTATAAACAAAAACATTAAAGTCATTTTCACAGTGATGGGGGCAATATTTTGAGACCTTAATGAGAAAACATTGCTGTTAATTCTGGATCATCTGTGCTGGTAGAGTAAATGTAGCATGAATGAAAATCCCATAAATGCTTTAAAGATATAATATCACCCTTCCCTGTCATCATATATGTGGTTACAGTAGTTACTGATACTGTCATGGAAAACATGTCTTTCAAGATGACTGGTGAAAACTCTCTAGGGTTGGTTAAAATGTACAGGCAGTTACAAATGTCTTTTTAATTGACATAATAAGGGTTAGATCATAACTCCTTTACTGCAATTATAAGCTTCTTCCAAAGTAGTTTAAGTAAATGATATGCCTTATGGAGAAAATACATGTGTTAGATAAACTCATTATGATATGAGTTATAGTACTGTTGGCTGTGAATTCAATGTTAATGAATCAAAAATACTTATATTAAGGTTTCTTTAAACAGAAACATACATAAGACAAGATTATACATTGATTAGCTGATGAAAATATTTAACCAAAGACTCACAGGAACCTAACCCTGTATTTTTCTAGGAGCAATGGTTCAGTATTTGCTAAATCACTGTTCATGACTACTTTATAGGACATAACTACTGTGAATAACCAGAATCAACTGTATATGAAACCAAAATACTTGCCATAGTTTAAGGGCAGCAAAGTAGCTACTACATGTATCCTAATCCTTGCAATTACCGTATGATTATGGGAAGAATTCAAAAACACATCAACATTTAGTGAAATAAGGTTTCTCCTTATTCAAAACTAAATAAAACTAATTTATACAGCATGAGTATCCTCTTAAGTGATTTGAAACAAGCAGGTCACATAACAGCTTATTAGAATAAACTAAAAAGTGAATAACTTTTTGCATCTGCAATATTATATTACTGGCAACAATTATTTTCTTAGCAATACCTGCCTATAATAATACTGCTACTTTACATAAAGTATACTAAATTTCAGAAAATGCTTTTGCATACATTCTTATTTTATTCTCATAAGTGCAATTTGCATTTTGGGTATTGTATTTTTCATTTTTTGTTGGTATTTTTTAATACAGTTTTCAGTTCTTTGCCAAAATTTTCAATATTAATTTTCATCTCCTTTTTTCCTTTCACATAGCAAGGGCACTTATTTTAAGACTTGTATCTGAAACTCCTATTATCTGTAAATCCCTCTATTTTGATAGACACCAAATATGAAAAACTAAAAGTAACTACATGCCTAGGGTATCAGCTTCCTAAAAAAGTATATCTTCTACTGTAGGTCTATTGCTAGGGATACTACCAATTCCTGATTATTTTAATCCAGTTTCAAGTACCGGGATGATATGAAACTGGACTTCACTCCCTGTGAGGGCCAGATTATTTCTGGTTCACGCTCACTCTTCAGACATAGCTTCAGGGTCTTCAGCCCAGAGCAAGAGGAGTCTACCACCCTACCACACCCCAGATTCTAGCTTCTAATCTATAACTCCCTGGCTCCAGGGGTTTGTCAAAGGTGCTATTTCAGCTTCTTAATCTCTTAGAACTTCTTTAGGCTACTCAGTAGAAAAGTGGCCCCAAAGTAGTTCTTTTTAGATTCCCATAGTCTTCTGAATCTTGGCCCCATCACTTTTGAAAAAAAATTTTGTGGGCACACAGTAGGTGTATATATTTACAGGGTACATGAGATGTTTTGATACAGGGATGCAATGTGAAATACGCACATCGTGGAGAATGGGGTACCCCTAACCTCAAACATTTATCCTTCAAGTTACAAACAATCCAACTACATTCCTTACGTTACTTAAAAATATATAGTTATTATTGACTACAGTCAGCCTATTGTGCTATCAAATAGTAGGTCTTATTCATTCCCATCACTCTTTACTACCTTATTTTCAATATACTACCTTCAAAAATATTTTTTAAAATTTGACTTCTATTTCATCTTTTCTATCTGTGCTTAGTGGAAAATCTTGTCAAAACTGACTTTTATTATTATATTTTTCATTTATAGAAGTTTTATTTGGTTCTTTTTCAAATCTGCCACATCACTTTTTAGTGTCCAATTTCTTTTATTTCTTTAAATATAAGTAGTTGACTTAACTCCAGTATCTTTCAGTAATTTTAATTCTAATATCTAAAATTCTGGAAGGGGTTCTGCCATTTGTTCTGCTAGTTCTTAAAGTATCTTACTTTCTGCTATATACTTAGTTATCTTTGAGTGTGTACTGCTCAATTTTCCTCTAATAATGATTTGTGGAGAATGCCTGAGGCCTAGAATAAAGGTAACTATTTTCAGAGAAGATCTGCATTTGCTTCTGCTGAGAACCTTAAATGTACTATTCATCCACAATCACTTTAAACTAAAATCATACCACAAGGTTTCATGGATAGTCAAGTAATGAGAATCTGACTACCAAATGTGAACAAAAACCAATACATAAGCTATAACCTCTCAGAGACGAGTTTTCTTCCTCATTTTCCCTTCCTCTACTGAGTGTCAATGCAATTCTTTCCACGGTCCCTAGGAGGTGGGGACTTCTTCTGTTTCATTCTTATCCTGAGAATGAATTGCTTTAAGGTTCCAGCTTCCAAAAAAAAAAAAAAAAAGTCCCAGCTTTGCGTGCGTGTGTGTGCACACGTGCGTGTATTTTTTCTTTTTTGAGACAGTCTCTCACTCTGTCACCCAGGCTGGAGTGCAGTGGCATGATCTCGACTCACTGCAGCCTTGACCTCCTGGGTTCAAGCAATCCTCCCAACTCAGCCTCCTGAGTATCTCGGACTACAGGCACACGCTACCATGCCCGACTACTTTTTGTATTTTTTGTACAGACAGGGTTTCACCATGTTGCCCAGACTGATCTCAAACTCCTGAGCACAAGTGATCCACCCGTCTTGGCCTCCCAAAGTGGTAGGATTACAGGCATGAGCCACCACGTCCGGCCGTGGATATATCTATTTTTTATCCAGTGCATTTGGGAACTTTCAGATCAAGAGTGGGAAAGAAATATTATAGCTTACAACCACTAGAAGTGCAAGACTCTTTGCTACATAACTATACATGAAAACTATACCCATGCTGGCCAGGCATGATGGTTCACGCCTGTAAGCCCAGCACTTTGGGTGGCCAAGGTGGGCGGATCACCTGAGGTCAGGAATTCAAGGCCAGCCTGACCAACATGGTGAAACCCAGTATCTACTAAAAATACAAAAATTAGCTGGGCGTGGTGGTGCACGCCTATAATCCCAGCTACTCGGGAGGCTGAGGCAGGAGAATCACTTGAGCCCAGGAGGTGGAGGCTGCAGTGAGCCAAGATTACGCCACTGCACTCCAGCCTGGATGACAAGAGCAAAATTCGGTCTCAAAAAAATAAATAAACAAATAAAAAATAAAACTATACCCATTCCATCCAACATGGCAGTCTCTCATACAACTAAGTAAACATTGAAATTGCTTTCAATTTTATTTTTTCTTTTCTGGCAAAAATGTTGTCCCTTGAGACTGGCCACAGAAAACCCCAGTTATATTTGAGTAATAACTACAATGAAGAAAACTAGATTGCATGGTATTTATTTTCATGACAAATTAGTCCTTCTTCATTACAAAAACTTCAGATAACTTCTACTATAGGACTTATCATATTGAAATGTTTCAGGGTATCTGATGTAATACCCGTCGCTCATCAAGAGGAGACAATATTTAATTCCCTACAGTATTCAAATACCTAAAGTTTGGCACTCCATAGATGCTTACTAAATAATTTTTTAATGAATGAATAAGCAAACAAAAAAGTTAAGAAAAGTATTAAATTCTACTGCCTTCAAAATATAGTCCAATAACAAATAAAGACAATTTCAAAATAATAAGGTTATCATAGTTTCAGTTATGATCACTGAATTTTCCTTTTTTCAGAAAAGATCATTAATAAGAAATAAAAATAATCAAATGAAAAACACTAACATACCAAAATTTGAGCACTAAAATTAAGTAAAATGAAAAAGTGAATCAAGAAAAGCGTGATTAAAAACACAATGTAAGTCCATTAACATATGCAAAGAGATTTTAATGTAAATAGGAAAAAGCAAATTATAACCACAATGAGTTAAAATGAAAAATCCACTAGACTGGCAAAATATAAAATCCACCCATAGAAGTGATGAGGAGAACATGATCCAACAGCAACTTCCATAAACAACCATTAAGAGGATAAATTCTACAACTACTTTGTAAAACAGTCTTCTGTTACCTGATAAAGTTCAATACACATATACCTACCCTATAATTCAACAATTCTACTCCAAGGTATGTATACCTTAAAGAAACTCTTACACATGTGTACCAGGAGACAACATATAAGAATGTTCACAGCAGCTTGTATCATAATAGCGAAGAACTGTAAAAAGCCTAAATGCCTATCATCAGCAAAATGGATAAATACATTTTGGCATATTTATACACAGGAATACTATATGGTAGTGAAAATGAACAAACTACAATTACATATAACGATATTAATAAACATCATGTTAAAAAACAGCTAGTCACAGAAAATTTATAAATGACTGAATCAATTTATATTTTATTTTTATAAAGTCAAAGCCAAAAAAATTAAATCATAAAATATTTATATGCTATATCTATGGAATATTATTTTAAAATGCTTAATAAAACATCAATTATAGTTACTGGGGAGGGGTTAGAGGAAAGATATAAGAGGGGGCTCAAAGGAGGCTTCAAAAGATAGCAGTCACTTTCCATTTCTAAACATGGCTGATGAATAAACAGGTTATTTGTCTTATTCTTTACATTATATATAAAAATTATAAATATATATTCTTTTTTTTTTTTTTTGAGACAGAGTCTCACTCTGTCACCAGGCTAGAGTGCAGTTGTGCAATTTTGGCTCACTGAAACCTCTGCCTCCTGGGTTCAAACGATTCTCCTGCCTCAGCCTCCCGAGTAGCTGGGACTATAGGCGTGTGCCACCACACCCAGCTAATTTTTGTATTTTTAGTGGAGACAAGGTTTTACCATGTTGGCCAGGATGGTCTCAATCTCCTGACCTTGTGATCTGCCCTCCTCGGCCTCCCAAAGTGCTGGGATTACACGCATGAGCCACCGCGCCCAGCCATTTTTTTTTTTTTTTTTTAACATAGATCAAAGGTTTCTGTGTTGCCCAGGCTAGCCTCGAACGCCTAGCCTCGCCTCCTTATGCACCAGACAACAGGCCTGAGCCACTGCGGCTCCCAAAAATTATAAATATATATTCTTTAGACATGTCTTTTGCAATAAAACATGTAAACACCAGGGGATCCAAATAGGTAGGCAAAGAGAAAAAAAAATACATACATCATACATATATATATATATATATATATATATATATATATATATATTTCCATGAATTATACTACAATTAAAAAATAAAGTAAGTATTATTTACCCATTTGCTTTACCTAGCAGAGCATTAATTTCTTCAAGGATATGGACATACGTGTGCCTAATACATTATAAATATTAATGCTGAACGCATATAACTGAAAGACTGATTTTAAATTCAGTCAACCCCAGACACTACTTGCCAGGGAAAAGAAATTTAGCACATGGTCCTGATGCCATTTAAATATTATTTTAATATTAAGTATAATAATATTATAATAAAATAAACTATTTAAGTTTATTTTCCCCATAAGATAGTCATTGAGTCAGAGTTCAATTTACTAACATTTCCTTAAACATTTACAGAATAACTTGAGCGTAACTGTTCTGGTAGACAGAAGTAAAAGTCCATGTTTCATCAAATCTCACACTGCATTTGCCTATGAGATAAAAATTCTTCCAAAATTTAATAAACAAGCAAAAATAGAGAGAATAAAAATTTACCTCACAATCTCAAAAAGAGAATAAACTATTAGTAGATTCCAGATAACTAGTATCAATTGAGTGTTTATTTAAATGGTGACTTCTAAACAGCATTAAGGGATACATGTAATCTTACCTGGGGAGGATAGTTGCTCTCTGAAGACCATCTTGAAGATTGGTCATTTGGTTTGTCCACTAAAATGTTCCTGGAATAAAGAAAGTATTAAAAAATTAAGAGAACATGAATAGGCAAAAACAGGAATAATCTACCAGATGCTGAAATTATCATAAAGTTATGTAATGTTTGGAACTTGAATAAGAATAGAAAACAAAACAGAGTAAGAAAAGCACAGAAAGCTTCTAGTAGATATAAGATTTTAAAATATGACAAAGGTGGTATTTTCAACAACAGAGAAAAATCAAGACTTTTCATAAGGCACTTTTGTTTAAAATAAAAAGTTATATTAATACTTTACACTAAGTGACAAAATGAACCTTAGACATACATATTTAAGAATTTAAGGTAAAAATAGCTGGGTGCAGTGGCACACGTCTGTAACCTCAGCTACTTGGAGGAAGACTTGAGGCCCAGAGTTCAAGGCCACAGTGTGCTATGATGGATCATGTCTGTGAATAGCAACTCCAGCTTGGGCAACATAGCAAGACTCTGTCTTTAAAAAAAAAAAAAAAGACTTCAGGGTAAAAATAAAGCAATAAAATACCTAAAAATAAAATACCATATATACATATTACATGTAGCATGCATTATATTGCATGCAATCATATTGTTACATTATATATTACATATATCAAACATGCATCGTATAGAATATATATATTTTTTATACATATATAAAGTCCATCTTTGGAGTAAGATGCACTTTTAGGCATACCATCAAAAGCAGAACTGTGAGTGGAAAAGGAACTGATATAAGTAACTTTAGAAGACCGCTTTTTCACTGGAAACTGTAAGGCTAAAGGCAAGCAGAGCTATATACATAAACACTGCTTGATTTGGTAAAGTTGTTTTTCACAAGGAATATGGGTTAATTCCTATGTTACATACATACTGGGGTTGAACAAATAAGTAAATGGCTGGTAAATGTGGGAGCCAGGTTTCTCACTTTTGTAGGGGGATGTTACAGTTAGGCAAGGGGACGGAGGGCAGAAGGAACCCTGTGATACTGGATTAGAATCAGTGACATCAGTGCAAACTTGTGTTTACCGTAATATAATATAAATAATTATAGGGGTGTGTGTGCACAAACAGTATTTTCTAATTCTGTCCACTGAGGGGGACTAGAAGCAGTGACACACCAGTACCCAAAAACACACCCAGCACCGCACCCTGGTATTTCCACAATGGTATGTTTCCACATACCACTCTCCAATAAAAGAAAACAGGAGTAGCTGGAGAAATGGCTGATTCCAGAGCCAGGTAAGGGAATACAGAAGATTAACCTAGAGCATCTTACACAAGAAAAAAAGTGTTTTTTAAAAAAGGCAGAAGAAGGGAGCAGTATGGATCATGTCAAAGGGTCACAGAGAATGACAGGCCAATGCTAAAAAAATTTAAGTGGTAAAATACCCATGAGTCTATATTGATACAAATAACCCCAGCCTAACCAGCAGGAAAACATCAGAGGAAAGGTCAATGAAACAAATGAATAGTACTCCTCCAAACTCTCAATATAATAAAAAACAAGGAAAGACTGAGAAACTCACAGACCAGAGGAGAGTAATAAACATGACAACTAAATGTAATGTGGGATCTTGGATCAGAGAAAGAATACTTGTGGGAAAACTAGTGAAATCCAAATAAAATGTGGCATTTAGTTAATAGTAGTGTACCAATGTTGACATCTTAGTTGTGACAAACGTACCATGGTAATAATGCAGGATGTCAGCAACAAGGGAAAACTGCGTAAAGAACATATATAGTAACTATGCCATCTTTGCAACTTTTCCATAAACCTAAAATTATTCTGCAATAAAAATTCTATTTTTAAAAGTTAGATCTATACTGGCAAACAGAAGGTACTTAATAATTATAGACTTATTTATACCAACACAAATAAAGAGACTTATTATCAAAAATAGATTAATGAATTTTTTTAAAAAGCACAGTGTATGGAAAAGAACTGCCTTTACACACATGTTCCACAAAGGCAAAACATAAACACATAAAACAACTAAAAATCAAATTAACAGGCAAACAGCCAACTAGAAAAAATAAAGGCAAATAAAATACATTGGGCTAATTAAAATTTGAATATTTAAAGAGCACTTAAATATAAATACCCCATATGAAAACGGACAAAAAAAATCCAAAATCAATATTCAAAAATTGGAGATTAAGATAAACATATATATTGTCCCTATAAAATTAGTCCCACACCCTCAAAAATAACTACATTTTACAATTATAACAGCAGTTGTTGGCCAGGGCTGGTAAAATGTTACTCTTATATTTTGCTGATAGGAATGCAAATTAATGTAACTTTTCAGGAGAAAAATTTAATCGATAGCAAAAATATTTCAAATATGTACATCCTTTAAATAAAAATGATGACAACCACGACAATGACTGTGTTTGAGTCCCAGACACTCTTCTAAATGTTTTCTATGTATAAACCATTATCTTGGAAGTATACAAATTTAAGAAATTGAAACATACTGCAGGAAAAAGGTAAAAGAAAAAAGAAAAGAAAGAAGGTAGGGAAGGGAGCAAAGAAAGAAAAGAAAGAAAAAGAAAAAGAAAAGATTAATTGCCTAAACGTATACAGCTAAGTAAGGATTTGAACCCAAGGCAGTCAGTCTACAAAGTCCATGCTCTTAATCACCATATGCTAAAGCCTCAGAATTCTTTCACTTCTTAGAACTTTATCTAAAAAAAAAAAAAAAAAAACCTAGGGGATATAACTAATCCACATTCATCAAAGCACACTTTAGAAGAGCAAGCTGTAAATAAACTAACAATGGAGGATTAAATTATAACATGTCTGTACAGAATACCATGTAAATTATTATGTATTCTACAGCTTGACTTTAATGTCATAGGAAAATGTTCAATACATAGTAAGTGAAGGGGAAAAGTAGTTAACTGTGTATGTAAAGAATCAAGTGTTGCAAAGTAATAACATTCATAAACAGGGAGAAAAGACAAAGAACGTATACTAAGTTATTAATATAATTCTCAAAGGGAGATTACAAGTAATTTTTTTCTTTGTGCTTTTTTGTGTTTTTTCAAATTTTCTAAAATTAACACAAATTCCTTTCATATCACAAAAAAAGCTTTTTCCCAAAAATGAATTAGAAAACACAGAAGATTGAAGATATGAACTGAGTTTGAAAAGACTACAGGACAATTAAAAGCTAAAGAACTAGAATTTTTAAAAATCACACTGATATACATGTTATAAAGCATGAAGGAAAACCTAATACATTATAACTATGATACATTGGAACCACAAAAATCATGAAGTATAATAAATATGGGGAGGGGAATGTTAGATGTCATGGAAGTGAGGTAGTTCCTTCATCTTTCACAGTTCCTAGGAAAGAATAATGTTTCTGAAGTTGATAAAAAGAAAAAAAATTAATACTATTTAAAGTTTAAAATTAAACAAAGATAGAAATAAAAACGTACCACATATCTTCTAAATTATTTGAGACAGAAAATCAAGAAGGCAACAGGGAGAGACCCTGTCTCTAAAAAAGAAATTCGATGGTAACATAATTTGTCAGCTGTAATGAATCAAATAAAGCAAAAACCACAGTAAATATGAGAAGAAATTGATTCTAAAAATAGGAGATTAACAGCTCTCAGCATCTGGAAAATTAAGTGTATATATATATATATATGTTATATATGTCAAGTATAATGTAAAGTATTGGTAAGTAGTGGTAAAGAATAATGTTACTATGAAGAAAAGTATAGGAGAAACAGGCCTCAATAACATGAGGAAGAGAGCCGTGTCATAACCTGAAAAATGAGCAGATGGACCACTAAATGCAAAATCAAGGGGGCCAAACAGTTGCAATATGTTTTGGTCTTGTGAATTTTCACATGCCTATTAGATATGGCAATTGGCTATCTGGGGCTGAAATTCAAGGAAAATACCAGTGCTGAATAAAATATACTCTTCAGAGATGTCAATGTATCAATGCTATTTAAATCCGCAACATTAAGTGAGATGACTTAGGGAATGAAATAGAGCAGAAGAAAAGCTTAAGGACTGATTATGCTCTGGGAGTCCATCATTTAGGAGGTCCAGAAGAAAAGAATCAAGCAAAAGAAACCGAAGAATGCCAAAGATAAAGAAAATGAAAACCTAGAAAGTGTAAATACTAAGTGAAGACAGTATTTTAAGAAGAAAGAAAAGAAAAATTTTGCAAAATGCTGCTCAGAAGACAAGGACTGGGTGATACATCTTCATAGGCCTAAATGTTGCCATATACAAGGTACTTAATAAATATCTGATAATGATATGAACAAATAAATAACACAAAAAAGAAAAAAATTAAAGTAGACCCACCAAAGGATACAGTACATTAATCCCACTGATTACCTGTAACTTAAAGCTCATACTAAATTGAAAGGAAAATTAAAAAGAAATAAAATACAGACCAGAAACGGAGTGAGGTTAGCCTAGGGGGTTTGGAAAGATAGAAGCTTGAAGATACTCCTGCTGATCTCCAGTCCCAGCACTAAGCCAACTAAGTAACTCTCCTGAGCCCACCAGGTTACAGAGGCCAGGCTCAGATCTTTAAGAATCTTACAAAAGCTTGGCCCTAGCAGAAGAACCATAAATTCCTTGAATACTTCTCTCCCTAAGAGTCAGGCATCAACTGCATAAGTATTGCTGTGACAATCTGCTATCTCCCTACCCCACTAAGACCTTCAAGAGAAGTAACCTGCCCTAAAGGTGAGAAGAACTTGCCCTGTCAGTTGAAGCCATCTAATTGCTGAGGGGTGTCTCCTGGTGACCCACAGAAACCTAACACAGGAAGTGGTATACCAAAACCCATAAGACAAGCATTGCTGACTGCCAACTATTTGAGGTATGCGAAATTTTACCCAAGGAGTATACAATGTAAAAAGTTTGTATGGAAAAAATAAACATACAAAAAGGGTTAAGAAAACTTACTAAAAAAAAAAAAAAGAATAGTGACAGGAAATCATCTTATCACTTTTAAAACACTTTTTAAAAGTAAGAATTAAAGACTTTAAAAAAGATTCCTTAAAAAAAAAAAAAACACTTTAAATCCGCCATAATTATAAACAGAAAGGACTGGAATAGGAAAAAAACAATAGCTCAGAGAAACACAAACCCAGAAACTGAGTCCAGTGTAGATGGAAATTTAGTATCAGATAAAGGTGATATTTTAATTCAGCAGGAAATGATAATTCATTTATTAAATGATGCACAACTGAATATCCATCAGAAGAAAGTTAACTCCTGTCTAATATCATACAAAAGTAATCTCATGGCTGGGCACCGTGGCTCACGCCTGTAATCCCAACACTTTGGAAGGCCGAAGCCGGCGGATCACCTGAGGTCAGGAGTTTGAGACCAGCCTGGCTAACATGGTGAAACCCCGTTAATACTAAAAATACAAAAAATTAGCCAGGCATGGTGGCACGTGCCCGTAATCCCAGCTACCTGGGAGGCTGAGGCAGGAGAATTGCTTGAACCCGGGAGGCAGAGGTTGCAGTGAGCCGAGATCACACAATCGCACTCCAGCTTGGGCAGCAAGACCAAAACTCTGTCTCAACAACAACAACAAAAAGTAATCTCAATTAAAGATCTAAACATACACATATACATAAAAACCCTAGGGGAAAAATGTAGGGGCCAATATGTATCTTTTTGCCAAGAAACACATAATCTGTAAAACAAAAAGTAACTATTTGATTATATTAAAACTTTCAAATTTTGTGTTATAAAAAGTGCCATGAAGAAAAACAGGAGACAAACAATAGTTTGGACAAAATTCTCTGCAACTCATATGACTAATAAAGAATTCATATCTAGAGTATGCAAAATGCTGTTACACTTGATAAGAATAAGATGAACAACAGAACTGAAAATGAGCAGAATGCAAGTCACTGAAGAGTCATTCAAATAGCCAATAAACTATGACCAAAAAAAATTTCTCAAAATCCCTGTGTATTGTCTGTGTCATGGAAAAAGAAATTAAAATAGTAAGATATCCCTTTTTACCCATCAAATTGATGAAATTAATTCCTAATTATCAGAAAATTAGGGAGAAAAGATGAACATGTGCATTATCCTAGCCTTTATGGAAAGTAAACATGTAAAATTTATTAAAATCTAAAATGTACATATTCTTTCACCTAGAACTCTCATTTCAAAATCCATCCCACAGAAATAAAATCTCCAGTACGTAAGGACATATGATAGAGATGTTTGATGCCGCATTTTTTGAAGTAGCAAGGAAATGATCAAATAAATTATAGAACATACATCATGGAACTTTATACTATCATTATAAAACACTTAAAGGGATTTCTACTATGCAAGATACAAAGAAGCATGTATGATTCTATTCTTATTTTAAAAACCTGTTATATACAGATATGTGTGTGTGTGTGTGTGTGTGTGATTATACAGATAAGCAGGTATATGATCCAATTTACATCAAATTATATAAAGTAAGTACAAATGGTAGCCAAAAATGAGGCATAAATACCATTAAGAGATTTTACTTATTTTCTTGTTATTTGTCATATTATTCATACATAAAATAATATATAAGCATATATTATTTATCAAAACAGTAAAAAGTTATTGTTGAAAATAATAGTTGACATGACAGCAAACTTTCTGCATTTATAGCAAACTGACTTGCAATCTGATATGGTTTGACTCTGTGTCCCCGCCCAAATCTCATGTTGAATTTTAATTCCAAATGTTGGAGGAGGTACTTGTTAGGAGGTGATTGGATCATGGGGGGGCGAATTTCCCCCATGCTGTTCTTGTCAAAGTGAGTGACTTCTCACAAGATCTGATGTTTTAAAAGTGTGTGGCACTTCCCCACTCATTCTCTTTCTCTCCTGCTGCCATGAGAAGAAGGTGTTTGCTTCCCCTTTGCCTTCTGCCATGACTGTAAGTTTCCTGAGGCCTCCCAGTCATGCTTCCTATCAAGCCTACAGACCTGTGAGTCAGTTAAACTTCTTTTCTTCATAAATCACCCAGCCTCAGGTAGTTCTTTATAACAGTGTGAGAACGTACTAACACACCATCAGAAAATCAAATCAGGCTCTACTTTTCCATCATTTTAAAGACATAGAAAAAGACAGCAAAGAAACTAATAAAAGCTCATTGTCTTTTAAAATTTTTAAATAATGGATCTTATTTCAAAACATAAAGTAAGATCTAGACTGTTTTTAATTCTTCCTCCTATGATGTTGCTCCCCTCCACCCATTTCCACTCTCCTGCAAGGCAAAGGAGAATCCAGTTTAGGGTAGTGACTGCTAACATCAGCCCCTCAGCAGTGGTAATAGAGCCTATTGCCATAGTAGTATTCTATAAAACATATTCATTATTATCCTCCCTTGTATTACTTTCCAAAGACTTATACAATCTACCATCACTAGTGGTATATATAGCCTATCCTCCTTTAATTTTCAGGACTAAGTGAGAGATGTTAACCTCTTATACTACATATGTCAATCATGATATCAATTCAACATCCCTTGTTTTTAAAAGCGGAATACCCCATCCACAGCCTCTACTGAAGGAGCAATCATAGGCAATATGCTTTGTACATGTGATTTTTACTTATGAGTATTTCAATGACTGCTAATCTTGGCTGGCTATCTCCTGTGACAGGAGATGGGATGGGCCAGTATAGAAATAAAATTCTAAGACAAAGAATATATAAGTAAACAGAACTAATGAAACAGAGAACAGAGATACCAGGTAAGAATAATAAAAGAGAAATAAGGCAGTCAGTAGCATAATAAAAATGAAGCAGATGTAGAACAGAAGGAGGGGTATCTTGAGAGACCATGCACTAGAGGGAATAAGAAAGAATAGAAACTGGCTTTTTAGTTCCACTTGCCAGGAGTCACTGATCTGGCAACCAAAGCGATTGTGACCACAACACTCTTCTAGATACCCATGACTTTCATTTATACTAACATCTAGAAAAATAGAAAATACATTTTATAAGACACAATTCGGTATCAACTATATGAGTCAAATAATAAAGATTTGCCAACTAGAGTTAAATTAAATATCTGCCATTTAAAAATATTTAAAATGCAAATAATAACTGAGAACTGGTTAAGAAGAATTGAAAATAGAGTTGGGCTGAAGACTAAAATGGCTACCTATTTCCATCAGGTTAGTTTAATATTAAAATGTACATTTTCATTCTTACCAATGCTGGATGAAAACTGAAAGCAATAAAAATGAATAACATTTTAAGTTTCTCATACAAAGACTACAAAACAAAAGCAAGACTATGAGTAATTAAATTCTTCTATGAGAACTTTAAAAATTTATAATGAAACACAAATGGGTAACTGAAAAATGGGATACAGTTTTAATTTTTCCCAAGTTATATGTCTTTATTTTTGCATATTTTAAAATCTACTATATCTGTATATACTACCAATTAAATGTCAGTAACAAACGATTACAATTCACCATGAGAAGATAATTTATTTGACATTTTAGGTTTTAATTCAAGTCAGCAAATTAAAAACCTTTCTTGATTACATATGCTTAAACCCTAAGCTTGCTTAGCAATATACCTTTCAAATTACTACTCTTGTTTTGTTTTGAGATGGAGTTTCACTCTGTCGCCCAGGCTGGAGTGCAGTGGTGCAATCTTAGCTCACTGCAACATCCACCTCCCAGGTTCATGCAATTCTCCTGCCTCAGCCTCCAGAGTAGCTGGGATTACAGGTGCCTGCCACCATGCCCGGCTAGTTTTTGTATTTTTAGTAGAGACGGGGATTTCACCATGTTGGCCAGGCTAGTCTCGAACTCCTGACCTCAAGTGATCTTGCCGCCTCAGCCTCCCAAAGTGCTGGGATTACAGGCATGAGCCACCACACCCAGCCCTAAATTACTACTCTTAAGAATACTTAAATATAACAGCAGCAATTGGGCAAAAAATTGAGCATTTAACATTTTTTCTGATAAGGGCTGGTCAGGATGCTTATCAGTAAGCCCCGCCAACTTTAAATTGGAAGTTTTAGATACTTTAAAGCCACCTCTAATTTTTATATGAAGAAAAGTCAGTCAAGCAGAGTATTTTAAAAAGTATAAAAGGATGTTTTTCCTTTGGTAGTTTAAAAACATCCTTCTAAAGCCTGCCTTTTTGTTGAATCATATGATAAAATGGATCTGAAAAAAAATCAACTTCAACTAGAAATCTTGAGATTTTGGAGCTTGGTCACTAATTGGTTAGATAATCCATTACATAATCTCTCAGGACTTGAATTATTTTATCTGCAGTATAAAGGGAAAGGTTTAATTCTTTAGTCTCAAATTTCTTTCAGCTGTAATCAGGGGAGTTGAATTGCACAATTCTAGGAAACACTACTCACGAAGGCCAAGTTAACATTCTGCATTTCTATGAAGAGCTTTCACACCCTTCATTCGAAGTATCATGTATACTCTTGCTCCTACACAAAAGTCAGTAATAACAATCAATCAAACCATTATAATAGAGCTTCCACTACATGTGAACACTCTGCTGGGGTAATACCGTATCAGAACAAGAATGGTTATCTGTGGCCAAGGGGATCACAAAGTATTTTTTAAACATAAAAAAAAACACACATAAAATTTAAGAGACAGACAAAAAAAGTATACAATAAAGGCCACATACCTACGATCATCTGATCTTCAACAAAGCTGATGAAAACAAGCAATGGGGAAAAGACTCCCCTTCCCATAAATGATGTTGGGGTAACTGGCTAGCCATATGCAAAAGATCGAGGCTGGACTCCCTTCCTCACATCATATACAAAAATCAACTCGAGATAGATTAAAGACTTAAATGTAAAACCCAAAGCTATAAAAACGCTGGAAGATAACCTAGGCAATACCACCCTGGACGTAAGAACAGGCAAAGATTTCAAGACAAATAAAAAACAATTGCAACAAAAACAAAAATTGACAAGTGGGATCTAATTAAACTTAAGAGCTTCTGCACAGCAAAAGAAACTATCAACAGAGTAAACAGACAACCTACAGAATGGGAGAAAATATTTGCAAACTATGTATCTGACAAAGGTCTAATATACAGCATCTATAAGGAACTTAAATTTACAAGAGAAAACCCAGTTAAAAAGTAGGCAAAGGATATGAACAGACACTTTTGAAAGAAAACATACATGACAACCAACAAGCATATGAGAAAAATCTCAGTATCACCGATCATTAGAGAAATGCAAATCAAAACCACAATGAGATACCATCTCACACCAGTCAGAATGGCTATTACTAAAGTCAAAAATGACAGATGGGGTTAAGGTTACAGAGAAAAGGGAACACACTGTTAGTGGGAGTGTAAATTAGTTCAACCATTGTGGAAAGCAGTATGGCAATTCCTCAAATAGCTAAAAGTAGAACTGCCATTCAACCCAGCAATCCCATTATTGGGGAGGTACCCAGAGGAATAGAAATCATTTTACCGTAAAGTACCGTAAAGACACATGCACACAAATGTTCACTGCAGCACTATGAACAACAGTAAAGACATGGAGTCAACCTAAATGTCCACCAGTGACAGATTAGATAAAGAAAATGTGGTACATATGCACCATGGAATACTATGCAACCATAAAAAAAACGAGATCATTTCTTTTGTGGGAACATGGATGCATCTGGAGACTATTATCCTCAGCACAACTACCGTATGTTCTCATTTATAAGTGGGAGCTAAATCATGAGAACTTATGAACACAAAGAAGCAAACAACAGACACTTGGGACTACTTGAGGGTGGAGGGTGGGAGGAATGAGAAGAGCAGAAAAGAGAAAAGATCACTACTGGGTACTAGGCTTAATACCTGGGTGATGAAACAATCTGTACAACAAGCCCCCATAACACAACTATGTAAAAACCTTCACGTATGCCCTGAACCTAAAATAAATGTTTAAAAAAAAAAAAACCAAAGTCCTTATACATTAGGAAATTCTGATACGGAACACATTTAAATACCCAAGATTAATCAGTTTGGTAAAAACTTGGGGCATTCTCTCCCAATATTCGAGAAATATCTTTATCTACACACACAGGAAGTCTAGAAAGTTTTTGATTATAGCTACAAATGTGTGGGAAGGGGGAATGCTGATAATTTTTCAAGGCTTTCTGATTTAAAATCTAAGAACATTGTATTTTGAAAGGATAAGTACATGTAAATAAATAAACAAACGTTTTTTTCTTAAAAGACTATAATTCAAAATGCAGTAAGGATCAACTCTTAAATCAATTTTTAATATCTCCAGCTATAAAGAGTATACTATAAAAATGATAGCTTTCTCCCAAATCACTTAGACTTACATATACTGCAGAGGTTTAGACTCACAAGTATTTCCCAATTTTAAGACAACAGCATAGTAAGAAGGGGATTTTACTATTTGTTGGAGTTACTTATCAAACAAATATTTACTGAGTCCTAGTCTTGTGCTAGACAATGTGATAGGCTCTGGGAACACCATGGTATATGAGATAGGATCTCCAGTTGTGAGGCTAACATTCAAATGACAAGCAGCAGAAAATAAACAAGTAGAATTGTAAACATGGTAATTACAGACTGTGATAAGTGCTACAAAAGAAATAAACGGGGTGGTGACACGGCAGGACAGTTTTTTTTTTTTCCCAGGGATGGTACAAAAAAAGAAAAAAATCACCTCTCTGAAAATATTTTAATTATGCTAATCAGAAGGAACCACTCATGTAAAAATAAAGAAAAAGTCTATTCTTCACAAAGGAACAAACAAGTTCAAATGCTGGTGATGGGAAAGAAAATCTGAGAACTAAGTAAAGTTAGATAACACATCCTTCTCAGGCTCCAAGATATAGGTAAATGCAGAGATAACTGGAAAACTGAGAGAGGCAGATTCTACACTCTAAGAGGACTGTAGAAGTATCCTACCAACAAATACTCTCTTACTTTCATGAAAACAGAGACCCATTCTGGAGAAATTGCAAGAAACAGAAATAGACCTAAGCAAAGCAAAAAGAATGAGAACCCTCCAGGAGAGATAAGATTCACATTCTAGGTGGGCAGGAGGTCCAAGTGACACAGATCTCAGAAAGTTCCACAACAGTAAAATACATTTAAAGGGGTCTATTCAGAAAGCAAAATACCTGGAAAACATAAAGGTGAAAAGCTTTACTACATCTCAAAAGTGCAATTAAAAAAAAAATTCACAAATGCGGCCTGGAGCCACACAGCTCAAAAACTGCACTGGTCTATCCCCTCCTCCTACAGAAGTTCTTCCTTCTAAAACTACAGGAAAACCAACTTGTTTAAACAATAGAAAATAAAATAAAAATCCACTCTAAGATGTTGTAATAGATAAAAATACTTGAGAAAAATGTGGCCACGAAGATGAAAATTGTTAATTATTTCAAAATGACCTAAATGAAATTAAGAAAATAGTTTATATTTTTATTATCATTACTTTTATTAAGAAGCAATAATTCAAAATTAAAACAGCTCAAAAATAGTATGGCCAGAATGACAGGAAGAGCTGATAAGACTTACATATAAGTGAGAAGAGTTTTTTTTTCAGAAACAAGGACTAAATTTTTAAAAATCCTCCCCCAAAAAATACACAGTTTGAAATATCTGTCTAGAGTATCTTTCAAAAACACAGACTAAATTTTAAAAGTTCCTCCCAAAAAAGATACCGCTAAAATAGCCCAGTAAGGGAAAAGAGGTTGGAAAGTGATGAAAATAATGAAACAGATACAAAAGACAGCAACTGTCTATAACGTAACATAATTGGACTCGACAAAAAAATATATAATTGGAACTAGACAGATACATCAAACTGTGCTTCAAGCAAATCTTTCTAAAATAAAAGTTGAATCTACACACTCAAAGAATACACGGTATGCTAGGGAAATTCAACTCAATATTCCTAGTACAAACTATGCAGACTTTGAAGACTTTTTTTAAAAACTTCCTTGAGCTTCCAGATAGAAATATCAAGTCACTCATAAAATTAAGAAAAGTTTATTGTCAAAAAAACCTTACAACAGCTACAACAGTCATGAACCGCATTATGTTTCTGTCAATAACAGACCACATGTAAGATGCTGGCCCCATGAGATTATAATAGAGCTATATAATGGAGTACGCTATACTATTTAAGTTTGTGTAAGTACACTCCATAGTTCACTAATGACGAAACCACCTAAAGAGACACTTCTCAGAACACATCCCAGTCGTTAAGCAACACGTGACTGTATTTCATACCCAAATACAATAAACAGGTATTTTATACTCAAAATAAAATAAAAAATTTTAAGAAAATCAAGTACAAAAAATGTGAGCCTAGGACTGTATATATAATCAAACTATCTTTCAAGTTTAAAGGCATAGTTAACAAAGCGTTCCTTGAGCCATTCTTTCTGAGAAAACTACTAATGAATAAACTATACATACTGAAGAAATGATTTGAGAAGCTTCAGCATAAAATCTGGTTACATGAAATAAAAATATTTAACCACCGAACTAAAACTAACCATGAAGATAAGAATGTCATACATAACAGAATATAAATGTGTGGTGCAACAATGTAGAAAAGATAGAGCTAACCAAAAAAAAATGAGAGAAGAATGGAGAATAAGTGGAATTTGGAATATACTTACTGACTGCCTCACAAGTATAAAATGAAAGGAAAAGATCATCACTTAAGATCAGATGTTGGGAGAGTGAGGAAAGAAAGTTAGAAAAAGTTCTTAGTTAACTTCCTCAGAGAGATTTAAGTGTTAAAGGAACTGGATTGAAGGGAACCAAAAAAAAAAAAAGAAAGCCAGAAAAAAGAAACAAAAAACTGGAATGCATGCTAAATAAGGCAAGAAAAAACAGTGTGAAAAGACAAAGCAAGCCAGACTCAGATATGATCTAGATTTTGATACGAGCAGATAGTGAATGTAAAATAACTACAATTAACATTTTAAGGCCACTAATGGAAAATGTAGACAACATGCAAGATAGATGGGTAATGTACCATGGAAAGAATCAGTGAGCTTAAAGATATGACAGCTGAAAGTTCCCAAACTGAAAAAAGAAAATAAAGAAAAAAAAGAAACAATATCCAAAAACTATTTTTTAAAATAAAAAAGCTATAACAGATGCATAACTGCAATATGAGAAGGGAAAGAAAGGAGCAGAAGAAATATTTGAAGTAATAATGGCTGGAATTTTCCAAAATTAATGATAGGCACCAAACCACTGACCAGAGAAAACCCAGCAGGAAGCTCAGAGAAAACCAAGCAGGAAATATCAAAAAAATTTATAAGTTGGAGTATCATATTCAAACTGCAGAAAACCAAAGACAAGGGAAAAAAAACTCCTCATTTATAGAGAAACAAGGAGAAGAATTACATTGGATTTCTCATCAGAAACTATGCAAGCAAGAAAAGAGTGGGAACGAAATACTTGAAGTGCCAGGGAAAAAAATAAAAACAAAAACACTAACCTAGACATCTATATCCAGTGAAATTATCCTTTAAAAGTGAAGGAGAAATAAATACTTCCTAAAACAAAAACTAAAGGAATTTGTTACCAGTAGACATGCCTTGCAGAAATGTTAAAAGCAGTTCTTCAGCAAGAACAGCTATATAGGTTACAACATTGATGTACATAAAGAAAGAGGGTCAGAGAAGGATTAAATGAAGATAAAATTAAAACATGTATTTTTTACTCTTAAACTGATCTAACAAATAACTGTTCAAAGTAACAATGTTAACAATATATTGAGTGATTATGGCATGTAGATAAATGAGTAAGAACAACATTATAAGGGATACAAGAGAAGAGTAGGAAATACTCTGATATTAGGTACATGGCACATGAAATAGTACACTGTTATTTAAAGCTGGACTTAGTTTAGATGCACATAAATATTACAAATTCTAGGACAACCACTAAAAACAAGTTAAAAAGAAGTGTAACTGATATGCTAAGAGATGAGAAAACAAAATCACAATCAATGTCCATTTTAAATCAGAGAAGATGGAAAAAGGGGAAGAGAAGAAACAAAGAACAAGTACAGTAAATAGAAAACAGTTACAAATATGGTAGATATCAATCCAATTATATCAACAATCAATTTGTATGTGAATGGTCTAAAGAAACTAATTAGAAGACAGGCTGTTAGAGTAGATAAAAAAAACAAAGTCCAAATATGTTGTCTACCAGAAACCCCCATAAAGATACAAATAGGTGAATATAAAGAAATGGAAAAAGACATACCATTCTTTAAATAGAAAACTGGAATAGCTATATTAATTAATATCAGACAAAGCAAACATAAGATCAAGGAAAATCATCAGCAAAAAAGAGAGCCATTGGCCAGAAGCAGTGGCTCATGCCTGTAATCCCAGCACTTTGGGAGGCCGAGGCGGGTGGATCATTTGAAGTCAGGAGTTCAAGACCAGCCTCGCCAACATGGTAAAAAAGTACATGTTTTAATTTTACCTCTACTAAAAATACAAAAATTAGCTAGGCGTGGTGGTGCAGGCCTGTAATCCCAGCTACTCAGGAGGCTGAGGCAGGAGAATTGCTTGAGCCTGGGAGGTAGAGGTTGCAGTGAACTGAGATCACAACACTGCACTCCAGTCTGGGTGACAGAGTGAAACCCTGTCTCAAAAAATAAAAAAAAAAATAAAAGAGGCATTAAATAATAATAAAAACTGTCAATTCTCCAAGAAGACATAACAATCCTTAAGGTGTCTGTACCAAACAAAAGCGTGTCAAAATACTTGAGAGAGAAACTGACAGAAGTTCAAGAAGCATTATTATAATTGGACACATCAATATCCCTGTCAGTAATAGACAGACTCAGCAGGCAGAAGCTCAGAATACCCTTGAACTGAAGAGCATCATCAATCAACTAGATCTAACTGACTTTGCAGAGTATTTCACCCAATAACAGCAGAATACGTATTCTTCTCAAGCTCACACAAGGATATTCACCAAGGAAGATGATAAAATATATGTTAGTAATGTAAAAGAGTTGAAGATTACACAAAGTATGCTCTCAGACCACAATGGAATTAAACTAGAAGTCATTCACAGATAGCTGGAAAATCCCAAAATATTTGGTGTAAACATACTTCCAAATGATACATGGGTCAAAGCAGTCTCCAGATAAATTTAAAAATATTCTGAACAAAGTGAAACTAAGAACAAAACATCAAAACTTGTGGGATACAGTGAAAGGAATGCTTAGAAGGAAATTTACGGCATTGAAAGCATTTTATTAAGTCAAAACAACTTAAAGTCAATCACTTAAGCTTCCACCCTAGGAAACTAGAGAAAAGCAACTGAAGCATAAACAAAGCAGAAAAAATAAATAAATAAATAAATCTTAGGGCAAAAATCAATGAAACTGAAAACAGGAAATGCGTAGAATAAAGCAAGAAACCAAAAGCTGGCTACCTGAAAAGACCAATAAAACTGACAAAACTCTAGCTAGGCTAACAAAGAAAAAAACAGAGAAGACACAAATTACCAATATTAGAAATGAAAATGAGTGATCACTATTGATCACTTGGATATTAAACAGATAATAAAATGAACAACTCTATTCCCATAAAACTGATAACATAAATGAAATGGACCAATTCCTTAAAAGATACAAACTACCAAAAGTCGAGAAAGCGACCTTCTGAATATGCCAGTAACTATTAATGAAACTGAATTAGTAATTAATAATCTTCCAAAAAGAAAATCTCCAGGCCCAGATGGTTTCACTGGTGAATTCTACCAAACATTTAAAGAAAACAATGATACCAATGCTCTAGAATGTCTTTCAGAAAAGAATAGCAGAGGAAACACTTCCTAATGCTTTCTACGAGACCAGCATTAACCTAATACAAAAACCAGATAAAGACATCACTAAAAGAAAACCTCCAGCCAATCTCTTATGAATATGGATGCAAAAATAATCTCAAAAAATATTAGCAAATCAAATTTAAAAATGTATACAAATAATTACACACCACAATAAAACGTACTTATTACAGGGCTATTTCAATATCCCAAAATCAATTAATGTATTACACATCAATAGGCTAAAGAAGAAAGTCATATGATCATATCAACAGATGCAGAGAAAGCATTTCACAGAATCCAACACATATTCATGATTAAAAATCTTAGCTAACTAGGAATTCAGGCAGCCCTCTTCAATTTGATAAAGAGTACCTACAAAACACCTACAACTAACATCATATTTAATGGTGAGAAACTAGATGTTTTACCCCAAGACTGGGAATAAGGCAATTCTATTCAATACTATCCTGGAAATGCTAGCTAAATCCAATAAGATAAGCGGGGGAAAAAAACAGTCTACACATTGAGAAGGAAATAATACTGTCATCATTCACAGATGACAGGACTGCCTATACAGAAAATCCCAAAGAACTGATGAACTCCTGGAAATAATGAATGATTACAGCAAGGTTTCAGGATATAAGGTTAATGAGAGGGACTAAAAGAAACAAAACCCCCGAAGCAGGACATCTAGCACCCAGATTTTGTTTTTTTATGCCTTTCTCCAATAAAAGGAACAACAGTTCTATGGAGAAATGGGGCAGAAAATAAACAAGATGAGCCTGGAGCATCCTGTAATACCAGAAATTAAGAAAGCACTAAAATGAAAAACAAAACAAAACAAAAATGATGGAAGTTATGTCAAAGGCGCACATGAGTCAACTGAAAGAGCTTCCAACAGCCAAAGCCGGAACATTTTGAGCAACAAAATAAATAAAGTAGTACTGGATTATAATAAAGTATAAAATAAGTATCTGAGTCCACATGATACAAATAAATTATTGGATAAATTAGTATGGCGGAAGAGACAAATCTCCCATAAAGAAGAATTCCTAAGAAATTATGTAATACTCCACTCTAAGAACTGAGAGTACTCCCTCAGTATTGGCTGTGTATAATGGCTTCTTTCCAAAGTACAGTATGCAAAAGGGAAAATATTACAGTGGAGAAACCTGACAAACACCACCTCAGGGAGGTGATCAAGGGCATGCTTACAATATATTCCTTCCCAATCAACCCAAACTCCAGTAGAGGGGCATCCTACAATACACCTGTCCAGTACTCCTCGAAACTGTCAGTCCAAAACAAAGGAAGTTCGAGAAAACTGTCACAGTCAAGATGAGCCTGAGACATGACAAACTTGATGTGGTATCCTCAATAGGAACTTGGAACAGAAAAAGGACATTCGAGAAAAACTTAGGAAATTTAAATAAACTATGGATTATAGTTAGTAATGAACTATAAATATTGGTTCATTAATTCTAAGAAACAGAGCATATGAATGTAATACAGTAAGAATAGGGTAACTGGCACTTGGTTTCTCAAGTCACTCACTTGGTCCTCTTCCAAGGTGTACTTTCCTTCTTTCCTTTCCTTCCTTTCCTTACTGTTCTAAAGCTTTTTAACAAACTTGCACTCCTGCTCTGAAACCTGCCTCAGTCTCTCCCTCCTTCTGCCTTATGCCCCTCATTCGAATTCTCCTGAGGAGGCAAGAACTGAAGTTGTGGCAGACCCATACGGAATCGGGGTAACTTGGGTATCTGCCACCGGCAACATATTTGGCGCACACGATTTGGATACATTCCCTAGTGGCCATTAAGCTCCAGGTAATCCTCGATGAAGAATACTGTCCTTTCAATATTCAAGAATCACCCTTCTACAGGGGACCTCTAGACTGCCCATCAGTGGGACACGACAGAGGCGAAATCCTGCCCCTGTCTCCCTTGGGCCTGGCCGGATATCGCTTTCAACAACTCATGGAGCCAACTCAGCAATGACAGCTAGCAAGAGGCCAAGACCCATAGAACCACCACTGCCCCTCTGTCAGCAGGAAGCAGTTACAGAAGACTGACCTTCGTCCATTTAACCCCAAAGATTTGGGGTCTTGGACTCTTGGGGGGGGAAATGTTACAGTGGGTAGCTAGTCAGGTATGAGCAGGGCAGTAGGGGGCTCCACCCCACATGCACACCAGGAGTGTTAGGCGACCATCAGGTGATGGTCAGGCAGTTAACTGTTTCTCTAAAGTAATAACTGGTTGCAGCCGGAGCTAGGGAAAGGCAGGCTAATAGATATAAAACACCTGAAACTCATCAGCAGCTTCTCAATAAGATCTCAGGAGTGAGGAGAAGTAATGCAAGATCCCAAAGTATGCCAGCGTATAAAATCCCAAGTCAAGAGGTCAAGCTGCCGGTTTCTCAAGTCGCTTGCTTGGCCCTCTTCCAAGTTGTACTTTGCTCCTTTCCTTTTCTTCCCTTCCTCAAAAAAAAAAAAAAAAAAAATAGGGGAACTATTGGGAGGTATATACAAACTCTCTGTATTACATGCTCGATATTTTAGTAAATCTAAAACTGTTCTAAAGGATAAAGTCTAAAATTTAAGAGATAGAAAAAGTAATTACAAAGCATACAAATTAGAGTGTTTGTAGATGAAAAAATTATACAACTAGAAGATGCCAAAAGAATCAATGGGAAAAATACTATTTAGAATAGAAGAATTTAGTTAGAAAAAAATATCAAGGCTGGGTGTGGTGGCTCACACCTATAATTCCAGCACTTTGGGAGGCTGAGACAGGAGGATCACTTGAGCCCAGGAGTTTGAGGTTCCAGTGAGCTATGATCACACCACTATACTCCAGCCTGGACCAAAGAGACCTGTTTAAAAAAAAAAAACAAAAAACCCCAGAACTTAAAGCATATATATATATATATATATAGTATCAAGTTAAAGAAATCAGAGCCTTCAAACATAAAAGCGAAAAGCAGTTAGAAGATATAATGCAAGAGAAGACCTCTAATTACAACAATAAAATACAGTATTAGCCATAAGCTTAGAAAAATGTGCAAAACCTATGAGAAAATTGTTTTAAACAGTCCTGATATATACATATATATATGTATGTATAAGTAAACCTGGAAAAAATGCAAAGACATGCCATGTTCCTGCATAAAAAGACTCATCATAAAAATACAATTCTATGTTAACTTATAAATTTAATTAGACCCAAAAATAAAAACAGGTTTCCCTATGACCATACAACAAATAAGGCTGATACAGTTCACACAAATAATAAATTTCACATTAAAAATTAAAAGGATAAAAACAGCCAAAGAAACCCTGAAAAAGAGTAGAAGAGCAAGGAGAGAAGACTAGACCCTGTCAGATGTTAAAGCATATTATGAAGTCTCTGTAATTAAAGCAGCAAGATATTTATACATGAATACACAATCAGGAACAGAATACAAAACAGTGAAATAAAAGAGTGGGCTGACTGCAGTGGTTCGCACTTGTAATCCCAGCACTTTGGGAGGCCACGCAGTAGGATTACTTAAGGCCAGGAGTTCAAGACAAGCCTGGTCAAGATAGTGAGACCCTGTCTCTACCAAAAAATTTAAAAATAAAAATAAATAGAACAAAGCACATAAAATTTAATAAATGATCAAGATAGCATCATAAATCATTGGGGTTGGGGGAAATATGAGCTTTATAATAAATGATGTATTTAAATGTTTCGATAGATATAAATGATGTACAGCCATTTAGAAATAAAATTAGATTTGTGCCTCACATCATCCACCAGGTTAAATTCCAAATGAATCAGAAAACTAAATATAAAAACATACAAGTAACAGAAGAAAACACAGTTAAATCCTTTACATCCTGTCACTGAGAAGACACTCCCTAATTCAAAAATCCAGAAAAAAATAAAACTTGACACATTCAACTAAACAATGATGCAACCTTCAGAAGGGAAGAAATGAAACCATCCCTATTTTCAGATGACATAATTTGCCTACGTGAAAAATCCCACAAGATTTACGCCCCCCCCCACAAAAAAAAATCCTAGGACTAATGAGTTCAGCAACGTTGCAGGATATAAGATCAACAATCAAATGCATTTCTATATACTAACACTAAACATGTGAAACCCAAGATTAAAAGCACAAAACAATTTACAGTTGCTTTAAAGGAAATGAAGGAAGAATATTTTTAACAAAACATGTACAGGATGCTCTGTATCCTGAAAACTACAAAATGCTGATAAAAGAAATTGAAGAAGACCTAAATAAATGGAAGACATATTGTGCTCGTGGACTGGAAGACTCGACATAGCAATGATGGCAATTCTCCCAAAATGACCTACAAATTTAATGTAATTCCTATCAAAATCCCAGCAAGATTTCTTTTAGACATAGACAAGTTTACTCTGAAATTTACACATAAAACACAAGACCTAGAATAGCCAAAATAATTATTTAAATGAGAATAAAATGAGAGCGATCACTCTATACAATATTAAAGCTTGCTCCATTATAAAACTGCATAATCAATAAAGTATAATACTAGCAGATGGACAGACACATATCATTAGGACAGAATAAAAGGCCCCCAAAAGACCCACACATATATGCCCAACTGGTTTTTTTTTTTTTTTTTTTTTACAAAGGTACAAAAGCAATTCAACAAAGGAAGAATAGCCTTTTCAACAAACAGTGCTAGAGCAACTGGACAACTATAAGCCAAAAAAAAAAAATTGACCTAAAACTCATACTTCATTAAAAAAATTAATGAATCATGAATGAAAATGTAAAATATAAAACTATGAAACTTTAAAAAAATATAAACATAAGACAAAATCTTCACGGTCTAGGACTAGGCAAGGAGATCTTATACAAAAAGCAAAATGTATAAAAGGAAAAATTGAAAAACTGGACTTCAGCAAAATTAAAAACTTTTATTTTGAGAAAGACTTTTAAGTGGTTGAAAAGGTAAGCTAAAGACTGGGAGAACGTATTTCCGAACTACATACGCAACAAAAGACCTAAAACATACACCTAAACACACACCTAAAACATACACCTAAAACATACAAAGTACTCTTGACATCCATCAGGTAAAAGGCAAACAATCCAATCAGAAAATAGGTAAGACATGAATACATTCCAGTAAGCAGTTATACAGATAGCAAATAAACACGAGATGTGCAACATTACTAGCCATTAGAGGAATAAAAAAAAATCAGATATCACTATATGCCTATCATAATAGCTAAAAGATAAAACAGTGATGACACCAAATGCTCACAAGGATTCAGAGAAACTGGATCCCTCATACATTGTTGATGGGAATGTAAAATGGTAACCCATTTTAGAAAAGGGTATGAAGGTTTCTTACAAAACTAACCACTACAATCCAGCAATTGGACTCTTCGGCATTTTTCCTAGGGAAACAAAAACCTATGTTCAAACAAAAACCTGTACTCCAATGTTTATAGTAGCTTCATTTCTAATAACCCCAAAATGGAAACAATCTAGATGTTCATCAACTGCTGAATGGTTCAACAAATTGTGGCACATCTAAATGAATGGATACACATGTAGATGTTTGTATTTGCAGCGGAAGAACTAGCCCATTGTAAAGGGAATAAAAAGTGTTGAAGGGACAGAGGTGGAAGCTGCATAGTTTAAAATCTGAAACCATGCAAATGTTTTACATGCAGAAACAAAAACAGGAATCACTAAAAGCTGAAAATAAACTAAAACAAATGAACCTGTGTATCAAGTTGGTGACATAACCCACAGAAAATAATAAAAAGAATTATTCCAACTGACCTTAGGACACAGCATTTTTACTATCTTCAGTAGAAAACAGTCTAACGGCAAAAAGAATCTACAAAGAAATGTTAAACTTCACCCAGTAATAACACTGATATTACTTTAAATTTATGTTTTAAACATATTTATGTGCACCACACACACATAGATAGGGCCCAAAGCAATTATATTAATGTTAATACTGGGAAACATTTTCAACTTAAAAAAAAAAGTGTAAAATGAAAGAAGTTACAACCTCACAAATCAAATTTGAACTGGAAATAGCAGTATAAATTCAAGATATTTTTTCTCTTAAAAAAATTTATTTCCTAGCTCTATCACCTAGAAGGATCTAAAAGAAATGACAATCTGGTAACATTAAGTATCTCCATTTTCCAATTATGCACTCTGAACATCATTCTTCGACTAAAGCATGTTATATAAAGTCATTTTCCTATGCCAAAAAGCAAGAAAATAAAGAATGGGGTCATGTCAAAGGAACACAGGAGAGAGCCTGAAGGGACTCCCACTGGCCTAAGATGGAACCATCTGGCATCACAAATAATGACTACTGAAGTCATTTAAAACACAATGAATAAAGAGACTAATGTTCATAAATGCTTTTCGTTTTTAAAAAAGAAAAAATTAATTAGACACCTGGAGGTATATAACAACTCACTATGCTGAAAACTAGTGATTAAAAGGAAAGAATTAAGCATTTGTCTTGCTTTTCCAGTAGAACTGTATTTCAGAGTAACCAAAAAGCTCAAATAGACAAGGGAAAATTTTATCCAGGAAAATTACAGCTAGTAAATGTGAAAGGAATGGTAAGATGAGAGAAATCCAATTTTGATACTTCTACTGAAATAGTTTATTCTAACAATGAGTTATCTTTGGATATTAACACTATTAATGAAAAGTGGATGGCTTTACAAAAAAGTTGTCACCACCACATTTTGTGCCTCCTGAAGTGATAAAATACAAAGTATATGGCACCACCTAGGGAGTGGTCTTTCTAAAAAACTGATGGAGGCCAATGTGGGAGGATTGCTTGAGGCCAGGAGTTTAAGACCAGCCTAGGCAACACAATGAGACCTTGACTCTAAAAAAAAAATTTAAAAATGAGCCAGGCATGGTGGCACACACCTGTAGTTCCAGTTACTTGGGAGGCTGAGGTGGGAGGACCACTTGAGCCCAGGAGGTTCAAGGCTACAGTGAGCCATGATTGTGCCACTGCACTCCAGCCTGGGCAACAGAGCAAGACCCTGTCTCAAAAAAAATCTGATCCAAAATCTAAATAAGGCTTTCTGTTTAACTCCCAGTATATATAAAGCATGACAAATAGAGGAATTAGTCAAATGCCACCATAGAAACAACTGAACATATCTAGAATAGGGGAGCTTCTTCAGGACAAATGACCTGATTTCTTCAACAAATCAATGGATAAAAAGAAAACAGCAAGAGGATGGGAAGACTCTTCTTCTTCTTTTTGTTTTTTTAAAAGAGACAGGGTCTTGCTCTGTTGCCCAGGCTGGAGTGCGGTGGCACAATCATAGCTCACTGCAGCCTCGACCTCCTGGACTCAAGCAATCCTCTTGCCTCAGCCTCCAAAGTAGTTGGGACTACAGGTGCACACCACCACACCTGGCTAATGGAAGAACTCTTGATAAAAAGAATTGTAAAAGGGACATAACAACAAATGCAATAAGCGTTTGGATCCTGATTCGAACACACTATAAAAAGACATTTTTTAGAAAACTGAAAATTAAATATGGACTAGGTATTAATTGTAATTAAAGAATTACTGCTAAATCTGTTAAGTAAAATAATGACATTGTGGCCATAAAAGAAAATGTCTCTGGCAGGGCAGTTCAAAGATGGCCTCAAATGATCCCCACCACTGAGAATTCACACCATTGAGTAATTCCATCTCATTGTAATTTCATCTCATTGAGTGTAGGTTGGCCTAGTGACTTGTTTTTAATGAAGAGAATATGGCAAAGGTGATGGGACATCATTTCAGGGCCTAGGCTACATAAAACTGTGACTTCCACTTCACTAGCAGACTTTCCCTTGTTGGCATTGATGAAGCAAAACACCACATTAGAGATGCCCACGTGGCAATAAACTGAGGACAACCTCTGGGCAACAACTTGCAAGAAACTGAATCCTGCCAACAATCAAATAAGCTTAGAGGCAGATCTTTCCCCACTCAAGCCTTTAGGTGAAACCACAGCCCCAGCCAACATCTTGACTGTAGCCTTAGAGACCTGGAGCAGAAGACCTCTCAAATCTATGTCTAAACACTGGACCCTCATTGAGAAAATAAATTGTGTATTGTTTTAAGCTGCTAAGTTTGTAGCAATTTGTTATGGATTAATAGATAACGAAGGCCAGGTGCAGCGGCTCATGCCTGTAATTCCAGAACTCTGGGAGGCTGAGGTGAAGGAGTGCTTGAGCCCAGGAGTTTGAGACTAGCTTGGGCAACATAGCGAGACCCCAACTCTACCAAAAAAAAAAAAAAGATTTTAAATAAAATGAAATAAAAAATAACTAATAAAATGTCCTCTTCTTCATGTATACTGAAGTATTTAGAAATAAAATAACATAACTTATATTTACTTTAAAATATACCAGAAGAAAGAGAGGTGGGTACAAATACAGGTTGAAAATTACAGAATGTCAATGGCCTAGCAAATAGCAGACCATTGTAGTATCGTTAGTTACCATCACTCAAAGCAAAACTCAAGTCAACTTATCACTACCAAGCAACTGAAAATAAGCATGTAGTAATTATCTCTAAGGATTCAAAACACTTTGGGAACACATACCTACAACATACTCCACAAGAATGAATGGAGCGACCACTAGGAAAAAAGAATGGCAACAAAATAAAACAAACATTCCTATACAGAAGTTTGATAAAATAGGAAATTCTCACTAGACAAAAATGAAACTAAAAAGCTCGCTAACATGATTTGGTGTCTCCCCAAAACAAAAAAATCTATCTGCTGAGACACTCATATAAAAATAGTCCTCAATTGCTGAATATCTCAGAAGGCTTGAATTATCAATCTTTTCAGAAATTAAATGACCCTTCAGAATATATTTCAAAACAAAGAACTATCCCTTTTCTACCTAATGCAAAGATCATTAAATTTGGACATGATCTGGCAATGATTTACTGCTTAGTACACACATTCTTCAAACCTCAGACAATATAACAATATATTCACAGAGGGATTAGAAAGATTTAAGGCCGGGTGCGGCGGCTCATGCCTAAATCCCAGCACTTTGGGAGGCTGAGGCAGGTGGATCACAAGGTCAACAGATAGAGACCATCCTGGTCAACATGGTGAAACCCCGTCTCTACTAAAAATACAAAAAATTAGCTGGGCGTGGTGGCACGCACCTGTAGTCCCAGCTACTCAGGAGGCTGAGGCAAGAGGACTGCTTGAACCTGGGAGGTAGAGGTTGCAGTGAGCCGAGATCGTGCCACTGTACTCCAGCCTGGGCAACAGAGCAAGACTCTGTCTCAAAAAAAAAAAAGATAGATTTAAGAGATCAAACTGCTTCTAAGCACTCTCAAAGGCTTCATTTATATGTAATTAATTTTACTAAAATAATCATTATCATCTAATTATATCAAGTTCTTAAAATATCTTTGTTGGGCAACAATGTAGCTTAATATGAACTATAACATGTGGATGTGGGGGAGGGTGCATGTCTTTAAAAAATTACTCTGTAATATCAACTGTTTGCTATTTTGCATCAAAAAAATACCTTCAGAATCTAAATCCCTCATTTTGTATGAGAAAAAAATAAAAGGCTAGAGAAATTAAATGACCGATCTAAAACTACCAATTAATCGGTGGTAGAACTGGGATTAGAACTCAAGTCCCAGTCCTAGGTCAGTGTTCTCTCTATACCATACTGTCTCAATTCTTTCATGTTTTCCTTTGCATCAGATCCAGCTTTTGCCACAGTATAATACAATAATTTAAACTGTACTAAGGATGACAGGTCAAACCAATATTAACTAATCCAAATCTGCTTACTTAATAAGAACTCTCCTCTCATACCCATAATAGGTATCTTTGACCAATGCCCTAAGTCCCATGGTAAAGCATTTTTCAAACTCTCTTCCTCAGAGATACTCCAGAGGATCTACAAATATTTTTAAATTACATTTGTGGGACCCTGTCTTTAAAAAAAAAAAACCCAACGACTATAGTTAACTCTTAAAACTATTAAAAAATTCAGAAGTATTATACATCAAATATTACCGCAATGGATAATATCCTCTATAAAAACTTGTGTACCTTGTTTTGTGTTAGCTTTGGAATAAAACTTCTCCCAACATCTCTGCATATATATGAATTATTTTCTACATGTGTCCTTGATTAATGGCTGTAGTTGTATGCTGGACTTTCAAAAACTCATTTCCATATATATATCTGTTCGCATAAAATTCACAAATAAATTAACACCTAGAACATATCTGATAAATAGGCAAGGCTGTTTTAATGCTCTCTTCATATATTAATAAGAGATATGTCATATGGCAAATCACAATATAGATAGCTGTAGCACAGAATACAACTTTGGAGTGCTTTTCTGTTTAAAATAATATATGGAACATGAGCAGTTTAGTGATATAACTGAAATCAAGTTTATTACAGGTAATAACTCTCCTCACTCAACTGTCAGACAACTCACACTTATGTATCTTAGAGCTCTCAGCCTTTCCTTTGTTAAATACAGAATGTTCATCAGGTCACAAACCATTAGTTTGTTACTATACTATGATTACCTCACATGCCAGCCAACATTTGTTTCAAAAGCACTACTGTCTTTATAATTCGGTATCCATTTTTGCAATTTAAAAAATGTTATTGCACTGTATGAATGGAAAATAGAAACACAAAAGCTTACTAGTAATATTAATCCACTTGAAACAATAATAGGCATCAGATTAACCAAAAGAAAACTTCAGATACTAGATTTAACCAGTTTAAGTATAAATGAAATGCTGAGAAAACAGATTTTAAAATCACATCAAAAGGTAAAAGTAAACGAGCCAATTATGGATTTATTGACTCTCACCTCTAAATTCACTCTTTTTGTCTCCTCTTTGAAAATGGATTTGGGCCCTTTATTTTTCCTTTACCAGCTGGTGCAATGTTAAGCTGTGTCAGTAAGAGGGGGCAGGAGTCATCGCAGCAAGTAAGGGTTTTTTGTCTTTGGGTTTTTTTTGTTTTTGTTTGGCTTCTTGGTTCAGGTATGCTTGCCGTGCATGCTCTTGCAGCATACACAGCTTCTCTAGCTCTTCATTCCTGCCATACAGGTTTCTCCAGCATCAGGCTCCAGCAGCATATACAGCTTCAATGCCCAGTTCCTGTGCCTGAGCAGCTTCTCTAGCACCAGGTTCCTGCATCTGAATGCAGACTAATTATGGATACTTTTGCACTTACTCTCTTGACAATCAGCAAGGCTGTTCAAACTAATGACTTCAACTGAGCCTTTCTTTAGCTCAGATAAATTTTCCTCTATTTTTTCCTTTCGTTTCTATTTTGTTTCTAATCTCTTTCTAGGCCTATTATTATGTAGAAGGTGCAGGGCTGCTATATATAATTATGCAGGTTGCACCATGCACTAGAAGATCCCACTGAAGAGTGAAAGCTGAAATTCAGCCTGTGTCCCACCCATCAAGTCCTGTATCCCAGTCAAAGAGCATCATCTGCTCATTAAGCCATGTGTCCTGAAGGTGAGAAGGTGGACCTTCTGGATCAAGGCTAGCCTCCATTTCAATTTTTCATTAATATTTTCCTTATCTTTTTGCTTTTGTTTTAGATTCCAAGTCTTTTTTCTATCTATGCATGTAACTACAGAATAAATATATGTGTATATGTAATTATAGAAAAACAATCACTTTTGTGGGATCTTCATCATAGTCTAGTACTTTGGGCCTAGGCCCAAAATAATAGATTATTTTATAACCTAGGAGCATCAGCATTTTTAAAAGATTCACAAGTAATTCGAAAGTGCAAACTGCTGTCAGTTAATGGTGCACAAGCTTTTCTGCTCAAGTACCCTCTAAATTAATTTTGAAAATCTATGCACATCCTCAACATTTTTAAGTTGTAAAATGTTTCATACCTTATAATTGTTGCAAAGGTTGTGATTTCCAGTGTACTTTAAATATTGTTTTTTGGGTTTTTTTTTTTTTTGAGACTGAGTCTCGCTCTGTCACTAGGCTGGAGTGCAGTGGTGCAATCTCAGCTCACTGCAACCTCCGCCTCCCGGGTTCAAGGAATTCTCCTGCCTCAGCCTCCCGACTAGCTGGGATTACAGGTGTGCACCATCACGCCCAGCTAACTTTTATATTTTTAGCAGAGACAGGTTTCACCATGTTGGCCAGGCTGGTCTCGAACTCCTAGCCTCAAGTGATCCACCTGCCTTGGCCTCCCAAAGTGCTGGGATTACAGGCATGAGCCACCACACCCGCCCTAATATTGTTAATTTTTAATAAAGTTGTTATATGTGTTCTTTTAAAAGTATCAATAGAAGAAAAATACCATCATCTATTTTTTAAGTGAACAGCCTCTTCTTATACAGTCAAAAGTTTATATTATCTTGGTTTCTCCTTAAACTTCCCCCAAAGAATTTTACAAAATGTAAATGTAATTTTACTTATAGGCTGGAAGGTCTTTCATTTTTCACTCCTATGACTTCTCTGAGAAAATGCCACGTGAATTAAGATTAAACTTTTTTGGTTTTTGATCATGAGATTCCGAGTGATTTTTAAAATTTCTTCTGGATGTTATTATCAATTTCATAAGTATATTATTGACCAAAACAATATATTAAAAACTTTGACAGATGATGATTAAATATACAGTAAAGGTATTAGATACGATTCTCAAAGACACGTGTACTTTCAAAACAATTGTCTCATGTATATATGAATAAATATCACTGCTAGAATAAAATGGGATTCAACATCAACTCTGTACTTATTTTTAAATTTTTTTTTTGAGACACAGTCTCGTTCCATTGCCCAGGCTGGAGTGCAGTGGCATGAACATAGCTCACTGCAGCCTCGAATTCCTGGGCTCAAGTGATCCTCAAGCCTCAGCCTCTCAAGTAGCTAGAACTACAGGAGCACAACACCACACCCGACTAATTTAACGTTTTGTAGAGAAGAGGTCTCGCTATGTTACCCAAGCTATTCTCCAACTTCTGGACTCTATGATCCTCCCTTGCTCACATAAATAAATACAAGGGAGCTGAAGGAATTTCTGTTACTACAGTTTGAGAATCTGAAAACCCAAAATCAGAAATGTTCCAAAATCTGAAAACTTTTTGAGTTCTGACATGACACTGCAAGGAAATGCTCATGGGAGCATTTCAGACTTCAAATTTCAGATTAGGGATGCTCAACTGCTAAGTATATATTAACATAATGCAAATATTCCAAAATCGTAAAAATTCCAAAATCCAAAACACTTCCGGTCTTAAGCATTTCAAGTAAGGGATACTCAACCTGGACTGTTCCTGTACTACTAATTTTTTTTACCACCTTCCAAATTACATGCCAAAAATCGCATAACGAGCTATCATTAAAAATATTTATGATCTATCAGTCCAGGTGCGGTGGCTCATGCCTGTAATCCCAGCACTTTGGGAGGCCAAGGCGGGTGGATCGCCTGAGGTCAGGAGTTCGAGACCAGCCTGGCCAACATGGTGAAACCCCGTCTTTACTAAAAATACAAAAAAAAATTAGCCAGGCGCAGTGGTGCGTGCCTGTAATCCCAGCTACTCGGGAGGCCGAGGCAGGAGAATCGCTTGAACCCAGGAGGTGGAGGCTGCAGTGAGCCAAGATGGCGCCACTGCACTCCAGCCTGGGCAACAGAGCAAGATCCAGCTCAAAAAAAAAAAATTATTTATGATCCATCAACTGACAAATTGATTAGGTCCTCCTTTTATTTTGTTTAAAAGAATTGAGAACCACGTTTTTTGCATTTAACAAACAACCAGCAATAACAATACTGCTGGTGAATAGACCACACTTTTGAGGAGCAAGGGCATAAGCCACAGGCAAGTTCTTAGGCAGATCAATTTTAGGAAAGAATACACAAGAACAGTAAGGCTTAGGAAACTGAGTATTTTAAAACTATTTTTGCCCGCATACCCAGTGGAAGGTCTACGTGTAATCCCAGGGATAAGCATGCCTGAATTTGATGATACTCAAAATTAGCTACTAAAAACTGAAATTGCTGGGTCATAAGAGTACTTAAAATTTTTAATTTTAAACCATAGACTTAACTTTATTCACATCACTTTTCTATTAAAAAATCCTTTGATAGCTCCTCACTTTAAAAAAACAAAAAGAAACTCACTAACATGGGACATAGGATCCTATATAATTTGTGTTTATAATCAAAGCAATTCACACAAACACAACAATTCTCTATTTTTTCTTAGTTAAAAGTAGTATTTATTATTTGCTAAAATGAGATAATATTTAACATTTCAGGCAATACCCAAAGAAAAGGCACTTAAAAAATAAAAATCACCCCAATTACTACAACCCAGAGATAATCACTTAATATTTTGGTAAATATCCTTGCAATCTTTTCTATATACACAGGCATACAAATCATGTGTCTGTGTTTTTAAAATATAAATTGAATCAAACCGTTTTAAAATCAGGGTTTTTTTGCTGTTTTCTCTTTTACATGCCATTGTATCTGAAGCATTTTCTCTATATCATTAAAAAATATTCTAAAACTTACATGTGGCAACCCAATATCCCATCATAATTCAAGGATATATCAAAAGACTGTCTCATTAAATCCAATAAATCTTAGGGCAACACATCTCTATCAACAGCATTAGATATCTGCCAGAAGATTAATTTGCAATTCACACATTCTCAGATTTATATAAAAATAAGTGCTGCCCTGTATGCCCCGGAAAAGCAGGTTAGAATACCATAAAAAAAATCAAGATATCTTCATTTCCTCAAAAGAGTAAAATAAAATTCAAAGAGTTCTATTTTCAATATATTTAAATTTTTTACAGAGTAGTACATCCCCTAAATGCATTTGTGATAAGTGCTTGTTATCTTCTGATATGCAGAATCATAAAGAAACTATAAATAAACAGAAGGGAATTCATTGACAAATAATGAGGAGAATAAATGTTAATTATGCAGAGAGGAAAGTGGCAAGTGACTTTGGAACAGTATCAGCCAAGCTACCTTCAATAAATACAATAGTGTAACTATAAAATAAATCTTAACAAAAACTGAAAAGACTTACTAAAAGCATTAAAAAGGGTGAATGTGGAAAGAAATAAGGATAAGAACACCACTTCATATACACAAAGTCTAAGAAAGAAGTACATGATCAAGGACCCAGCCCATTAAGTGTCTTGTATAAACTTTAGGGAAAAGTCTACCTCCAAGTATCTTTCTGGTTATGACGTGCTACACTAGTCAATCTCCTAAATTGGAGCTGATGAATATGCACATGGGTAAGGATAAATTCCTACATTCAAGAAATGCAAAAAAATGGCAAAAGAAATTAAATCAGTACCCAAAGGAAGGCATAGCTCATCTTCCTCTTTCAAAGTCTCCCCTTAAGCCTTACCCAACAGTGGAAGCGCAATTCTCTGAATTTCAGTTCTGCAGCATTTACTGCTTTTGTCACTTACTCATACTTAGCCTTTGCTACCTCCTATTGAACCATGTATGGACAGTGTATCACCAGAGATTCTCTCTTCTACCTTCTAATAGATTAGGCTATTATCTGGAATCAGTAAGCACCTAATAATCTGTTTATGGTAAAAATAGGAATTTCAAAAGCCATAATACCACTATATAGCAATAAAAATATACATTTTTTAAAAAGGTTTGTCTTTAACCTGTCACCCATCATAGCATTTTAGGTTGTAGAAAATAGAGATCTCCATAGATGCGAAAGACTTAAACTTTCAGACCTAGATGTATGAATTTTCCAATCATCTGAAATTCTAAGCTCTGGAAGAAACTATTTTGTTAAACTAGAAGTTATTTTCAGCTTTTCAAAAATCTATGTCTCTCACTTCCCAGTCATCAATGCTGAAAGAAACAAAGAGAAAAAGATTAATTTGTTTTTAAAAAACCTGTCTTCTTTTGTGTAAGGAAAGAATTCATAAACAAGTTTCACTGCTTCCAAAAATATCTCCCATTTGATATTTCATATATAAACAAACGATATAAATTTTAGGAAAAAACACCGAGTTTCAACTATTGTCCCCAGCACAAACTGCTTAGCAAAGTATTATATGTGTACCTATGTGTGTACATGTCTGTACACTGATAGGTATGTATCTTCAAATATGAAGGCAGGGAGCTAATTCATGTATTCTCAAGAAAAATAAGGAAGATAAAGGACTAGCTAAACTGTCACAGAAAATTCTCAAAGTAATACATTTGAAGTCAAGCAATTTGCGATCTAATCCCAAATGATCACTTTCCTTACAGGGCTTCAATTCATATGCATTAAACGGTTTCTTGACACTACATAATAACAGAAAAAAAAAAAAATCAACAAAAAATCTGGCAGTTTCTCCAATAACGAAATCATAGTTAGCAAATGACCCAGAAATTCCACTGCTGGACATATACCCAAGAAATGAAACCATGTCCACAAAAAACTTGTATGAATGTTTATTATAGCAGCATTATTCATAATAGCCAATAAGTGGATATAATCCAAATGTCTATCAACTAATGCAGGGATCCCAAACCCCCAGGCCACAGACCAGTACTGGTTCCTGTAAGGAACTGAGATGCACAGCAGGAGGTGAGTGGCGGTGGGTTAGCAAGCATTACTGCCTGAGCTCTGCCTCCTGTCAGATCAGCATAGGCATTAGACTCTCATAGGAGCACCAACCTACTATGAACTGCACATGCAAGGGATCTAGGTTGGGTGCTCCTTATGAGAATCACTGTTGTTGTTGCTGTTTTGGTTTTGTTCCTTATAAGAATCTAATGCCTGATGATCTGAAATGGAACAATTTCATTCTGAAACCATCCTCCCCCATCACACCCCATCCATGGAAAAACTGCCTTGCACAAAGTCAGTCCTTGGTGCCAAAAAGGTTGGGGACCACTGTACTAATAAACGGCTAAACATAATGTGGTATATCGATACAACAGAATACTTACCAGCAATAAGAAGGATGTAGTACTGATACATGATACAATATAAACTTTGAAAACAACATCCTAAATGGAAGCCAATCACAAAAGGCCATAAATTATATGATTCCATTTATAGAAAATGTCTTAAATAGGCAAATCTATACACACCAAAAGTAGTTTAGTGGTTGCTCAGGGATGGAAGAATAAGTGGATAATAGCCAAAGGCTACAGTTTTCCTTTTGAGATTATGAAAATGTTCTAAAATTGACTGCAATGACGGTCACATCTGTGAATGTACAAAAAATCCATGAATCTAATACCCTAAAGTAGAAGAACCGTATGGTACATAAATTACATCTCAAAAACACTGTTACATTAAAAAAAAAAATCAACCAACAAATAATTATGTTCAAAGAATTAGAGGAAATGATCCCTAACTTAAAATTAATCAAAATACTGATACTCAAAAACTATTAAAAACTATTAGGCAACTCAGATTCTGTAATAAACTGCACTCTATAAATTTTTCAAGGTCTCATTAAAAATATTACCTATAAAATCATAAATAACTTCATAATAAAAATATTTTAAAACTCAAAGATTTAAATAAAAAGCTTTCTACTGTTACAAGTCTTTCCAAATATAATACCTCCACCCTAGATATAACCAATTTCACTTAAGACACTCTCAGATTTTGCTGAAACTCATTGAAAAAAATACAGAATGGACTTAAAACACTAATGTGACATTCTGAATATGGCCAGTATGACTCCTTACAGTCCTAAACCAAAACTGCACTAAAAAGAGAAAATTAATCAAAATGGCTAGTTAATTCACTCATTTACTCATTTAATAAATATTATGCTTGGACTACAAGGATGATGGAGGAAAATTCCATACATTCTATGGAGTTTTTGGTCTAGTTGGGAAGATAGCTATTAATCAAGTAATTATACATTTTAATACATAATTACAGGAAGCCGGGCACGGTGGCTCACGCCTGTAATCCCAGCACTTTGGGAGGCCAAGGCAGGTGGGTCACCTGAGGTCAGGAGTTTGAGACCAGCCTGGCCAACATGATGAAACTCCGCCTCTACTAAAAATACAAAAATTAGCCAGGCGTGGTGGTGCGCACCTGTAGTCCCAGCTACTTGGGGGGGCTGAGGCAGGAAAATTGCTTGAACCTGGGAGGCAGAGGTTGTAGTAAGCCAAGATCGCACCACGCACTCCAGCCTGGGCGACAAAGCGAGACTCCATCTCAAAAAAAAAAAAAAAAAAAAAGCCGTAATTACAAACTGTAAAAAATGATAGATAGGTACACACTGCTATGAAAGCATTTAAAGGCCAGGGGAATGGGTGCCAGAACAAAGGGGAAAGGGGGGTCAGGCAGGATTTCCTGAGAAAGTGACATTTTAGCTGATAGCTCGAGAATAAACAGGAGTTAGATTTTATGACTTTTCTGATGGAACTTCTTAATCAAAAGGGAAAAGGGAAGAAAGAGGACAGTGACAGGAAGGGAAAAGAAACATATCCAGGGTTGTTTAAAGTAGCTTATTATACCATTTCTATGTATATAAGACAACTTCTTTAACAAAAAATACATAGGTGATACTGGCCATAATAAATATTAGTCATACTAAAAAAAAAAGTAGGAATATTTTTAAAGTATTAAATACTAACATTTACAAAACCAAAGTTTACACCAAACCCAATTATCTTCCTTCTAAACCTACATCTTCACATAAATATAAGATTCCATAAAAGTCCTAACAAAAAGGTAAATAATTTAAAAATCCTATTATATGAAGGGAAATACTATACTTATAGAAAGATTAAACTCTCAATTTTTTTTTTTTTGGAGACTGAGTCTCCCTCTGTCACCCAGTCTGGAGTACAGTGGCACGATCTCAGCTCGCTGCAACCTCCACCTCCTGGATTCAAGCAATTCTCGTGCCTCAGCCTCCCAAACAGCTGGGAGCACAGGCATGCACCAACACATCCTGCTAATTTTTGTATTTTTAGTAGAGACGGGGTTTCACTATGTTGGCCAGGCTGAATTCCTGACCTCAAGTGATCCACCCACCTCGGCCTCCCAAAGTGCTGGGATTACAGGCACGAGCCAGTGCACCCGACCAACTCTCAATTTCTTAACCTTATAAACAAGTAAGTCTCAAAAGAAATGTGCAAATCACCAATGAAACCAAAAATAAAATCTCATTTTAACTCTTAATAAGCATTTAAAACAACTGCTTAACAATAACTTCTCAGTTTTTTGGCTAAGAACAAGAATAAAACAACTGCTAACAAATCATGTTACAGTCAGTTGACCCTTGAACAATGTGGGGCCTAGGGGCGCCAACTCCCATGCAGTTGAAAAAGCCATGTATGACTTTTGACTCCCATAAAACTTAACTGCTAATAGCTTACTGTTGACTAGAAGCCTTATCAATAACATGAATAGACAATTAACACATATTTCATGTGTTACGTGTATGACATACTATATTCTTACAATAAGCTAGAGAAAGGAAAATGTTATTAAGAAAACTATAAGGAAGAGAAAAAATATTTACTATTCATTAAATGGAAGTGGATCATCACAAAGGTCTTCATTGTTGTCATCTTCACGTTGAGTAGGCTGAGAAGGAGAAAGAGAAGGGATCGACCTTTCTGTCTCAAGGTGGCAGAAGCAGAAGAAAATCACGTGTAAGTAGATCTGCAAATTCAAATCCATGTTGTTCAAGGGTCAACTGTATTTAAGTTCCACAATTCTTTCCCATCAGATAGCAAGAATAAGCAGTTAATGAAGGAAAACACTTAGCAAGAGACCAAAGAACTCTGGGGATCAAGTCGTACGTTTTTACATTAATATAACCATGAGAAACTCACAGGCCTACAAGATATAACACTCTATTCCAAAAGAACTAAACACAGAAAGATTTCTGCTTTTGAATATGACGGAATAGTCTGTAGCAGATCAACACTCCCTCTTAAACTAGAAAAACTGTATTAAATAGGGAGAAAGTTCTTAAAATATCAGACTTTCTGAGGTAGCTAAGACTTGAGGTGGCAAGAAACTCACTGAAGGGTATCTGACATTCTGTGCAGCTTTCCCTTTCAAGACATGTCACCTATTTCTTTAATGGCACAGGCCAAGGGGCTAAGAAGCCAAAAAAGGACAGCCACTAGGAGGCAGAGAAGTCAGCAAAGCTTTTGGCAATTTCATGGGAGTAGGGGGACAAAACTTGGTAGCTAAGTCTTGAGGAGTCAAGATCCCCTAGTGAAAGAAGGCACAGAAGAACAAATGTGACACTCAGTACTGATTTTCCTCTTAAGGGATTTATCAGCTTTTAAACTGCACATAGCAAAAGGCTAAAAAGCCAGCAGAAAGCAATTAAAAAGGAAGAAGGAGCTTTTAAAACTCTCATGGGTCTGGAAAGAAAAAAAGCCAGAGAAGCCCTAAAAATACCCAATCTCTTAATTGAGATCTCTAGGGGGCTACCAAGTTGGAAGCAAACTACAGGTAGAACAAGGTTTATAAGGCTGAAAACCCAACCTCAAGTCAGCTCAGTCCTTGACAGTTGCAGTGATCTCTATCTGCCTGCAAGAAGATGGGTGAATCTGAAGACATGTGAATCCTATCTGGGGAAATGTATCATTATAGATACAAAATTTGTATCTAAAATTCTGCATATAATGTCTGGCACTCCATCAAAAAATTGCCTAATAATAATTATTACTATTATGTTATTATCCACATGTAATAATTTATATAATATACAATAGAATATATAATTAACATACATTAATATACAAATATATTAACTATTATTATTATTTGGCCTAACAAGATGCAAAATCAAAAGGAAAGAGATGATGGAAATAGGCCTATAGGTGATACAGATATTGAAGTTTTCAGACACAGACTTTAAAGCAATTTGATTAATATGCTCAAAAAATACATGACAAGAGATTTTCACATAATTAGAATCTATCTTAAAAAGAGAGGATGAAATAATTCTAAAACTAAAAAATACTATAACTAAAATTAAGAATAGATGGGGTTAAAAAGCAGATTGGACATAGTTAAATTCAGAATAAGTGAACTGAAATACAGTCAAGTAAAAACTATCCAGAACGGATAAGAGGAGGAAAAAAATCATAAAAATAACAGAAGAGAGCAGGAGACATATGGGGGATAAAAAGTATAATAAAGATTTAATTGGAGTCACAGAGCAAAGGAGACAAAAATGGGGCAGAAACAATATTTTTAAAAAGTCAAAATTTTTTCACAGCTGATCAGTCATACTACAAATTCAAGAGGTGCCAGAAACGCCAAACAGGGTACAAACAAAACCATTCTTAGGTGCATCACTGAAAGCTGTTTAAACTTAAAGAAAAAGAGAATGACAAAAAGAAAGGCAGCTGAACAAGAAAGTCATACTACCTTCCAAGAAGCAACAGTAAGTCTGACGGCTGATTTTGCAACAGAAACAATGGAAGCTAGAAGACAATGAACTGAGATCTTTAAAGTGCTTCAAGAAAATAACAGCTAATAATGTAGAACTGTACAGTCATTTAATATATTCTTCAAAGATGAAAATAAATAAATTTCAAACAAGCAAAAACTGAGAATTCAGTACCACCAAACTCCCTAAAAGGAGTTCTTCAGACAGAGGAAAATTAATCTCAGATGGAAGCATGTAAATACAAAAGGAAATAAAGAACAATGGAAAGGGTAAATATTAACTGTACAAAACAACAGTCTCTGGATTTAAATGTAGACGTGAAATGCATGACAATGACAACATAAAAGCAGGAGAGTGATAAATGCTATTAAAGTTTTCTAGGGTCCTAACAATGTCTGAGATGTTGTTTTTCAAAATCCTAATGAATATGCAACTCTAATGTACCACAAGAAAGCTTGTGGTGATCTAGCGTAACCACCAAAAGAACAGTAACAGAATATATAACTAACAAGCTAACAAAGGGAGGAATAAAATAATATTTTTAAAACACTTGATTAATCCAAAAGAAGGCAACAATGGAGAGAAAATAGAATATAGAACAAGTAGGACAAACAGAAAACAATAAAATGACAGACATAAACCCAAATTTATCAATAATTATATTTACCATTAATGAGCTAAATATATTTCAGATTTAATTAAAAACAGGCAAACAAAAATCTGTTTATTCTTAACAAGAAACAGACCCCAAATATAAAGCTACAGGAGCATTAAAAGCAAAAAGGAGAGAGAAAGTTTTACCATGCAAGCAAACAGCAGCCAAAATAAAGCAGGTGTAGCTAAGAAGACTTTGAGGCGAGAGACAAGTGTTACTAGAGATAAAAAGGGACATGTTATAATGATAAAGAGCCAATGTACTAGAAAGATAAGTTTGTATGTGCCTAGTAATATGACTTCAAAATACATAAAGCATACAGTTTAGTTCTTTATAGAACTAAAAGGAGAAATATACAAATCCACAATCACAGTAAGACACATTTGACACTTAACCTCAAGACACCTCTCTCTGTAATGAATAGAAAAAAAGGCAAAAAAAAAAAAATTCAGTAAGGATAGAGAAGATTTGTACAACACAATAACACAATTTACAAACTTGAACTTAACAAAGTACATAGAAGACAGTAGTTAACAGCAGAATGCATAGTCTTTTCAAGGGTACATAAACATTTATAAAAATGCTGAGCCATAAAATAAGTATCAATAAAGGTCTGAAACTATTCAGAGTGTGTTCTCTAATCATAGTGAAATTAAGAAATTAGTAACAGAAAGATAACTAGCAAATCCCCAAACGTTCAAAAAGTAAGCAATACATTTGTTAAAAAAAAAAAAAAACCTACAGGTCAAAGAATAAGCCAAAATAAAATCTGAAAAACATTTTTGCATAAATGATAATGAACATGTAACATACCACAATTTGTGGGATACAGCTAAAATGTGTTGAGAGGAAACCCTATAGTCTTAGGACTAAACATAGCCTAGTTTTCCAATTATTATTAACAACCAATTCAAAATATAAGTTATGTTAGGGTACTTCAATCTAGTTAGCTGCCATTCAACAACTTTTTTAGGGACAGATTTATATTAGACTACTTAAATTATTCCTAGATAATGACTATGATATTTCCTTTCTCTTTGTATACTTTTTTAAACATGGATTAATCTTAATCAGTAAAATTTCATCATAAGCAAAACCCATTAAACAAACAATATCTTTGTTTATCTACAGCATAAATATACATACACAGTATTCTACAGAATGTTACTTTGACTTCACAGATTTTTAGAAATATTCGTAACCAAGTCCTGAAGTTCTCATTAAACAACAACAAAAAAATTTTCTAACTGAAACATCTTCCCAATGTGCAAAGATGTTAAAAAATATTTTCTTCAAAAGTCCCCCATATTAATAGATTTTAATACTGCTGGACTTCTCAGAGCTTTATCTGACCACCCCTTAATAAGCAACAATCTACAGAACCAGCCATTCACAAAACAAGCCCTGGGAAATCCGGTAGCAGAGAAGATACCCGGATCAACTATCCTAAGATTGAACCTATAAAGACCTAGAAATTTTATAAATTTTCTATTGTCTCTTATCAGAGATTTCTGACAAATGGTATTATAAACAAACAGTAATTAGGGATCTCTAAATTCTCAACTGTACATTCTTTGAAACATTTTATACATATTAAAATGTCTATAAATAGCTGTATCTCTAAAATTAAAGTCTAGAAAATCTTTCATATTTCCAAAAACGATTTTTGAATGACTGAAATACAGCAAACTCATTGCCACAAGTGGCTGAAATGTATCTTATCTACACGTAAAACATCACAAAGTCTTTGTATCAGGCCAAAAATCATTTATTAAAAATCTATTTAAATATTTACCTAAAAGTTAACGCAAATAATAGAACCATTTACCCATGTGCCCAAAAAATTGTACATAAACCTCTCAACATTTGATCAAGATAAAAAGTATTTCTACACAAGAAACTGACGCTCAGAAAAGAATCATAACTTGCCAAAAGTCACAAATATCTAATTCTAGGAATCAGCTCTGTAGACTCAAATTCTCATCCTGAGTACATTTCTTCCATCTTGAGTGTTTTTATTTTTCTGAAGTTCTAAGAGTCCCAGACTGAAAAACACAGAACTTTCAGTGGCCAGTAAGGTTCCCAAACAGGGCCAGTGTCCTTAAATCTCAGTTTAAGATAGGGAGAAAAGGGAGAAAAGGAAGGGCATAATAGTATCCGGTCTCCTGGGAGTTGCATGCCTCCAAACTAGTGGTTCACAAATTCTGGGTTGCAGGAGCCTACAGAATTATTGTAACAAGACCTCAAATCCATTTTCATAACCACCATTATCTGTACACCAAATACAATAAATATATTCTATTTTTCAACTATATGTGATTAATAAAATCAAAATTCACTTAAAAGCTAAAGTAAAGGGATAGAGAAGGAAGAAACAAAAAAGTTATTGGGAGCATTATCACTTTTGAATTATATAAGCATCCTCTAGACATCTCTACGGACCTGTCTCTGATTTAAATATGTTTTCTTCCAAATTACCAAGGATAATGCCAAAATGAACTCAGAGTAGTCTACACAGATAGAAGGAAAATAAACTGATACCTTTAATCCAGCAACTCAACATCTAGGAATTTATCACCAATGAGTTCAAAATTTTTTTCCAGGCTGGGTGTGGTGGCTGTAATCCCAACACTTTGGAAGGCCGAGGTGGGCGGATCACCTGAGGTCAGGAGTTCGGGACCAGCCTGACCAACACGGAGAAACCCCGTCTCTACTAAAAATACAAAAAATTAGCTGGGTATGGTGGCACATGCCTGTAATCCCAGCTACTTGGGAGGCTGAGGTAGGAGAATCGCTTGGACCCGGGAGGCAGAGGTTGCGGTGAGCCGAGACTGCGCCATTGCACTCCAGCCTGGGCAATAAGAGCGAAACTCCGTTTCAAAAAAAAAAAAATTTCTGTAAAGCAAAACTACCTCATGACTCATAATAGTCAAATAACAAGAAACACAAATGAAAATAAAATAAAACCACAAAGCCTAAATGTCTAATAACACGGGACCAATTAAACAAAATGACATAAAGTCATTACATGGAATATAATGTATCCATAATAAATTTTGGCTGGGCACAGTGGCTCACACCTACAATCGCAGCACTTTGGGGCACTGAGGTGAGAGGATCACTTGAGCCCAGGAGCTGGAGACCAGCCTGGGCAACATAGTGGGACCCCATCTCTACAAAAAAATTTAAAAAATTAGCCAGGCATGGTTGGCTGGGCATGGTGGCTCATGCCTGTAATCCCAGCACTTAGGGAGGCCAAAGCAAGTGGATCATTTGAGGTCAGGAATTCAAGACCAGCCTGGCCAACATGGTGAAACAGTGTCTCTACCAAAAATACAAAAATTAACCAGACGTGGTGGTGCACGCCTGTAATACCAGCTACTTAGGAGGCTGAGGCACAAGAATTGCTTGAAGCCAGGAGGCAGAGTTTGCAGTGAGCCAAGATGGTGCCACTAAATTCCAGTCTGGGTGACACAGCGAGACTCCATCTAAAAAAAAAAAATTAGCCAGGCGTGATGGCATGTGCCTGTAGTCCCAGCTACTTGAGAAACTGGGGCTGGAGGATCGCTTGAGCCCAGGAGGTCGAGGCTGCAGTGAACTATGATCATGCCACTGTACTCCAGCATGGGTGACAGAGCAAGACCCTGTCCCTTTAAAAAAAAAGAAAAAAAATACAATATAGAAGAATATTTAATAACATAAGGAAGTATTTACTATATGTTAAGGAGGAAAAAGCAAATACAGAACAGCAAACAGGACAACAGTAAATTGAAAAATACATACATCTACAGTAAAAGATCTGGAATGATAATAAACAGTATTTAAAGGGTGACTAGTAATCTTTAGGTAGTGATATCAAGGGTAATTTAAATTTTGTTTCTGTGGGTCCATATTTTACAAATATTCGATAATAAACATAGAGCATTTTTTACATCAAAATATATATTAAAAGATATATAAAATATATTTTAATATATATGATATAAAAAGTGTCTATTTTTTTCTTAGACATGGGGTATTGACGAGATGCTGTCTTTTTCTTTTGTAGAGACAAAGAAGAAAAGAATATATATATATTTACATATTTTTAACATAATAATATATAACTATGCACATATATTTTATGTAATAAAAATATATAAATATTTATATATTTTTTTTCTTTTGTAGAGATGGGGTATGTTTCCCAGGCTGGTCTCAAACTCCTGGTCTCAAGTGATGGTCCTGCCTCAGCCTCCCAAAGTGCTAGGATTACAGGCATGAGCCACCGTGCCTAGCCTATATTCATTTTTAAATGTGAAATTTTAAAATTAGTTTTGAAAAGAGTTGAAATAAATTCACCTTCTATTCTAGTTGTCAAATCATAACACTTGTACTCTGAACCATGAATCAATCACATGTTGACACAAGGTACTATTTTAAGTACTATTTGATTTTAAGTAATAAGACTAACAGGAAAAAGGTAAACACACTTAAAAATCTATCAGATTTTATCATCTAAATTATCTAAGTCATTCAATAATATGTAAACAAGATAAGAATCATTCTATACCAATGAAATTACCTAATATGTAAAAAATACTTTCAAAGTTTCTCCCAGTTCTCATATGAGTATACTAAAATCTTAAACATCAAGATAAAATCTATTTTTCCCTCTCTTGCTGTTCTAACCTTAGAGCGCTTATCTGTAATCTCAATTAGACATATACAATAGCCATGTATAATAATGAACAGCTTTCGTAACAGAAGTCAAAAGGCCCAATATGAGAACCTTATCACCTACATTTTCTTCCTCCTCATCATTATTATTATTGCAGATGGGGTCTCATTGTGTTGCCCATGCTGGTCTCAAACTCCTGGGCACAAGTGATCCTCCTGCCTTGGCCTCCCAAAGTGCAGGGATTACAGGTGTGAGCCACCCTGCCCTGCCCCTCTTACATTTTCAACTCTTAGACCTGGGCAAGTTAACTTACCTCCCTAAATCTCACTTTTCCTAGCTCTAAAATAGAATAATAATATTTATCTCATAGGGTTTTTGTGAAGACTATTATATCAAAGAACACATGCTAAATGCTCAGTACAGTGCCTGAAGAATAGAAAGTACTCAATAAGTGGTGACTGTTATTAAAGTCACAATGCAATAGTTTTTAAGTCAGAAAACCTGGCAAGCCTCTGGAAAACTATATGACCCTGGGCAAGCTACTTACCCTGTATGGACCTCAGTTTCATCCTCCACAAAACATATATAAAATACCTATCTTACAGGTATGTACCAAGAATTAAACAAAACTGTATACAAAAAGCATCTTGCATATATTAGGTGCTCACTAAATTGTAACTAGCATCATTATTAGATACAAAAATAAACATTTGAGTACAGGGATTAGCAGTTTACAAAATATTTTTATGTATAAGAGTATATGTAATTTTATGAATTATTTAAATAAGTGTATTTAATTATTAAATTAGGTGTAAATTTCAGAAAAAAAGTAAAATACAGGCAATCTCTAAGCACACAAAAATAAAAGGCCTTTTTTTAGTCTCAAAGTAAAAATGTGTTCCCTATAACTGAATCTGCTTTAACATTTTTAAAGTCCAAATAAATTAAAAAGAGTTGAAAGGGGAAATATTTGTTTTTTCTGCCTCTGGAAGAAGGGGAAAAGAATTCTAAGTCCTTAGAAAGAAAATAGAGATAAAATTGTTCAATTTTTTTTAATGACTTCACATTTCTTTACACAACTAAAATGTAAGTGCCTTTAATACAAGAGCTCTTTTAAAGTTCTGATTTCCTGTACTATATATACCTTTGTGCAGAAGCAGTAAAACACTATAGTTAAAGACCACAGACTGTGGAGCCTGACTACCTTGATTCAAATTCTGGTTCCATCTAGCTGTGTGACCTTAGGCAAGTTTAAACTTCTCCCTACCTGCTTCCAACATCTGGCAAACGGAGATTCCTCTTGGGATTGCGGTAAGGATTAAATGAGTTGATACACTTAAAAATGTTCATAAGAGAGCCTAGCAAATGGACGGCACATCATAAATGTTTACCATTTTTGTTACTGATTTATTACTGCCACCTCGAAATGCTTAGATCTATGCCAACAAATATTTGCCACTTTGTGGACAATTTCAACAAATGTCTTTAACCTAAAATGAGACCTGTTTAAGAAGTACCTTAATATGGTTTCCACTGCCAGTAAAGATACAACAATTGCTGCTAGAGGGGATTTTAGGGCAAAGGTAAGTAAAGTCAACCCCTTTCCTACATCTTCTGTCACACAGAGAAGTAATATCCTTGCTTGCTTATAGAAGTTCAGAGCCAAGAGTTTTATAATTTAGGCATGGCACACACCAACCCAGCAGACACAATATTCTCCAACTCCAGCTCCATAATACTCAACTATACTCCTTCAAAGAAAAAAGCTTAGATTACTCTTCTAATACTTTACTTTAAATACAAATTATACTGCATTTGTCAATAGAATGTCATAAGGATTAAACAAGATATAGTAAGTGGAAGTGTATGAAAGTTACGTATGTATTAAATACTATTTTATGTATGTACTTGAGAAAATTGCAGCAATGTATTTCTCCAATCTCAAATTGTTGCTTTCTAACTCCAAAACTAGTGTTCTGCCCACTGCAAACCAGGGGCCAGAGTAACAAGACACAAAAGATTAAAGTTGCCATCCCACTAAATCATTTCCTGCTTGAAATGTACTTTCTTAAAATGTCTATACAACAGATAACGCGGATGGTACTTGTGTTATCCAAGCCTCAGGCCTACATCAAAAATTTAAGGAGTGACGTCCTGGAAATACGCTAATTCAAGACCAGAAAAATGTCTCTACAGTTAGATCAAACAATGCCACACCAATTCCCAACTGTCCATAATCCTAGCCTGGGTATAGAAAAAAGCTGAATAACTTCAGATCCAAGAACAAGATAGCCCAGAATATCAGAGGTCAAGTACATAGGGCCACATTTCAACTCCAACTACATGGCTGGACTGTTTATCTGGCTCACTCTCAAATTCAAAGTTGGGTTTCAGCATCAATCAGGGATATGGCCATGAATAGGCTACGCAGGCCAGATCAAACCACAGGTCACTTGGCACCCTTCATTGGGCCAGATCCTACTGAATGCCAACCCTTGACCTGGTGAATAAAATGGGAGGCTGGCAGTCATGACAGATTCTTCCAGTTGCAGCTCCATTTTGAGATTCTTCATTGATATAACCAGTGAAATCAAATTTGGATAAATGTGAAGAATTTCTCAAATACAGATGGAAAACTTACTTGAGTATGCTTCACAGATCTAGTCACTTTTTTGTTTAGTAAAATACTCAGTAAAATATATTATTCATTAATTTGTTTCGTTCATAAAATCGTTTCGGTCCTGTGAGATGGTTAGAGGGACAACTAGCACTTTTCTTCAGGATCTGCACAGATCTTAACCCTTTACTAAGCCAGTTCCTCCACTAGCATGTAAAATTGGAGTTAGATCTGCTCCTCCTTTCAAAGATAAGCCAAAGATAAATAAGATACTATGTAAGAGTATTTTCAGCATTTCAGAAGGAATTTGCTAGAGAAAAAAACACCACCAACAAAAACCTAACAATGCAACTGAATTTTTTTAACACCTAAATCAGGGATCAAGACAAAGCCGGTGTTGAAAATCAAATTCATTAAAGCCAGATGTTTCTATGTTTGAGTTTCCGGACTGGGAAACGTGTCTGTGTCCATACAAACCCATCTTCTAATGAGCCGTAATACTGAAATTCTTCGGTAACGTCCCTCCTTCCCACTCCCTATCTTTTTCAGAACTTCCAGGCATTAAAGACAACGTCTGCCAATCCTACAAGTTCTCCCCGCCTGCTAGGATTCAGATGGATTCCACAACTTTTCAGCCTTCCGTGACTTTTAACACTACTCTAGAGCTAATCACTTTTAATGACCCCACTCTGGAATAGACACTCCTCGGCTTTACACTTTGTCCCGGCAGCAATCGACTGAACTGTCCCCCGACGCCGACCACCTCGGACGACCTCAGACATTCGGGGTAGTTTGCCCGCGGGCAGGGCCCCGCCAACTCCGATTCCTGCCCCAGAGCCGTCCGCCCCCCAAGCCCTCCTCAACCTCAACCCCCAAATCCCAAGCGCAGAACCGCTGGGCTTCCGGTTCTCCTGTGCGCGCCCCGGATCCGCCACACACCTCGCCCCTTCTCCCTGGGCTCGCTCTCCGGACCCTAACCCCTTCCCGAGCGAGGCCGAGCAACGCTCTCAGCAGCTGAACTAAGACTCCGGAGGCCGCACGTCCCCCTCAGCAGGCCCCGCCTGGGCCTCTCGGCTCGGCTGCCCTCCATTGCACCCCTGGCCCAACCGTGCTGACGCGGAAGGGTGGGGCAGCACGAGCTCAAGGCCCGGCACTTACTCGGGAAGGTAGGTGGAGGAAAAGGAGCTCCACTTGTGTAGCGCGTAGGGGAGAAGCCGGCACTCGGGCGCCGCAGCGACAGCTCCGCCAGCCGCCATCTTGTCAGCACCGTAGCGGCCGCCACCGACCGCTGGCAGCGAACGGGAGGAGGGGAGGGGGCGTGGCCTGCTCTTAAAGGGGCCGCCGCCCTCCCCGGCCGCCCGCGCTCCCCGCCCCGCATCGTTACCCGAGCCCAGCGCCGGGCCAATGTCCTATCTCAGGGTTTCCCACGTCGCTCGCTCCTTGACGGCTGACCGACACTGGGTCTGAGGTGTAAGCGCTTTCCAGGCCCTTCCCTGGGGCTTGGAGGGGAATGGCGCAAAGGACTTTTCTTACAAGCAGAGGTAAGGAAAAGCCGAGATGATTACGAACAGAAACACGTTGTAGTTATGGAGCAGGAAGGGAAAATAAGAAGACCAAGTTGGAAAAGGGACGCCTGTGCGCTTTTGGAAGCCACCGCCCTCGCCAGTTTATAAGTCCTTTACGGAAACAACACTGAAGGGAGCTGGAGGGCAGTAGCTAATGTGCTGTCCTCCTGGAGTGGTCCTGGTTTTAAATGTCTTGTCCCCGCCTTCCAGAGTCAGATGGAGACAGGAAAAGGAAATGGTCCCGTGTCCTCCTACCCTGTTTGGTTTGCAGTCTGTGATGCCCTTCATTGTAAACATTTCTTGTGAGCCGCATCCTACTAATCTTGTGGCATTGGTTTGCTCGGGAATGACGTTCACCCACAGACCTGAAAAGTCCTTACAGAGTTGGGAAGCTGCGTGTCATCATTTTTTCAGTTGGCAAATCTGCCCACTTTGAACTGACATAATTGTAGCCTAAAAGTTCAGAGAGAGAGTAGTTCAGGAAAAAGACTATTCCTTCTTCTTAGAGGGAACAGCAGCCCTGAAAACTATGTGGACATCATACCAGCTTCTTACAACAAAAGGTGCACTTGGTCTAAATTATCTGGCAGCTCTAGATAACGTTCTCATCAAGTACCTGTTTGTTGTAGTTATGCATATTTATTCCTTGGCTTAGCCACTGCAGTTACCAAAGAGTATGTCGCTTATTGTCTAAGAGGTTGGACTCCTGAAAGCCTGGACAGTGTCATCATCTTCACCTGAAGAGTGGAAAAATTCAAGCAAAGAGTTTCTCAGGAAATGACCAAGTGAGTCAAAACACCTCAATAATTGTATTCTCTTCCCGTTGTAATCATTAACCTGCCGAAATTCCCTCCAGTCCTTTCCTGACTTCCTGTTTCTATAGATGGAAATTTTAATAGTGGGCTCTACTAGGATATCAAATCAAAAAAGCCAGATAGAAAGGCCAGGCCCGGCACGGTGGCTCACACCTGTAATCCCAGCACGTTGGGAGGCTGAGGTGGGTGGATCACCTGAGGTCAGGAGTTCGAAACCAGCGTGGCCAACATGGTGAAACCCCGTCTCTACTAAAAATACAAAAGTTAGCTGCGTGTGGTGACATACACCTATAATCTCAGCTACTTGGGAGGCCGAGGCACAAGAATCACTTGAACCCAGGAGGCAGAGGTTGCAGTGAGCCAAGATCACACCACTGCACTCCAGCCTGGGCAACAGAGTGAAATTCTGTCTCAGAAAAACAAATAAAATACAATAAAATAAAAAATTACATGTGCTTTCTGTGTTGCAGCAGGTTGGAAAAGCATGTGTTCCTTAAGGGAATGCTGTAACTGTAGTGACTTGGGTCGGGAGCTGCCAGAGACAGTGGGAAAGGGCCAGAGAATGTTAGCCCCAGAGATGATATAGTGGTTATCTTTGAAGAAAATAGACACTTTAAAGGGGAGGAATTAACTCACTCCAATTCCTTTGGGCCCCAGATTTTATAATTCCACTTCTTACCTTAATGTAAGTCAAGTCCTTGTTCTTTTCCAGACATAGTTCCTGAGCAATCTTTTTTAAAAACACATGTTAATTAGTTCTTCTTAAGCTTAAATCCTTTTGGTGACTTTCAATACCCTTCTAAACTGTTTAACAGAGGCCCTTCATAACCTGCCTTGATTTTTCTCTCCAGCTTCCTCACCACCACCCCCCCCCCACTTTTCTCCTTTGCGCTTTTGACATCTGCCCACTAACTAGCACACTGAATTTGTTCCCATAGAGTCCTTGTTCTCTCTAGCCTCCGGAGCTTGCTCTAAGCCAGGCATGGAATATTCTTTCCCATTCTTTACCTGGCTAACTCCAGCTCATCCTGTAGACTGTTTGGTCCTGGAAATTTTTTTGGTTTTTTTTTTTTGAGACAGAATCTCACTCTGACTCTGTCACCCAGGATGGAGTGCAGTCACATGAACATGACTCACTGCAGCCTTGACCTCCTGGGTTTAAAGGATCATGCTGCCTCAGCCTCCCATGTAGGTGGGACCACAGGCAGACATCACCACACCAAGCTACTTTTTAAATTTTTTTGTAGACACAGGGTTTCACTCTGTTGCCCAGGCTGGTCTTGAACTCCTGGGCTCAAGCGATCCTCCTGCCTCGGCCTGGCCTCCCAAAGTGCTGGGATTACAGGTATGAGCCACTGCGTCTGGCCGAAAATCTTTCTTCAACACCTGCTCTGGGATTAGGTGACAGTTTTCTTCATTTTTTTTTTCCTATGCAAGCTAACACAGGATAGGTAACATTTTTTACATTTCTCTTAGCACTCTAAGTTTCCCTCTTTATCTTAGCACACATCACAATATATTTTAATTTTCTCTTTTTTCCCCTTTCTTTCTCTCTAAATGATAGCTCCCATGAAGATAAGAGTCATACATATCTTGTTCACAGTTGTATCCTCAGTCCTGTTGATGTGTCTAGCAAATAAAGATGTTCAGTAAATATTTATCAAAGAGTGAATGAATAATGCTAAAAGAGAACTTTAATTAGAGACTTCTGAGTTGCAAAGGAAAAAAAAAATGCCAGCACTTCTCAGACTACAAACGTGTATCCCTGAGGTATAATTGCTACTCAGAAGGTAAAGACCCAGGATAGCATGGCTTTCCTGCATCACAAATTTTATAAATGGTAAAATAATTTAAAGCATTCCTATGTTAACATACAGACAGCTATATTATGATACCAAGACGAAAATTTGTTTAAATGTTAAGAAAAGAACTTTATCTGAGGAATGCAAATCCTTTTAAATTATGAGGCCCAGAGAGGCATTAAAGTGAAACAGCAATCCTGTCCTTCTCCCCCACTTTTGAACTGTGTATTTGTCTCTTGAAACTGCTTACTATTGCCACAGAAGCTAAACATTAACCTACTAATTAATGCTGCACCAGACATTATAACCCTCATCCTATAGTTTCATAATGTATAGCCAATCAGTAGCTTGATTTATTTTAATGTAAATTCTTGGTAAATAACTCAGGCACTGCCTCATCTTTCCCTTTAAAAATCCACTTGTAACTGCTGCTACTCAGAGTGTATATTCAAGGCAACCTGAATCTATGTTCCCAGGTTGCAGTCATCAAGCTTGGCCCAAATAAACTCCCAACTTATATTAATTTTGCCTCCGCTTCTTCCTTTTAGGTAAAACATCTGGAGTAAGTCAGCAGGATTCACAGTGACTCCCCCCAACCAGCTGGTGGTGTTTCTCTCTGAAAGCAGCGCTTGGTACCAGTGTGAACTCTCTTCCTTCAGAAGTCTCATCAGGTGTTTCAGATGAGTTCTCCGGAATTTGGACCTCCTACTCTTGGGTTGAAGGTCTAGACTTTATTTGGGCTGTTTTTCAAACCCTTTCTTTAAGTGTGAGGGCTTCGGTCTCTGTCTTTGGACAGAAGATTCGGGTATAGAGCTCTGCAGGGAACTGCCTTTTTTCCCTCTCTGTCTTACAGCAGAGGTGCAGGTCATGGTTTTTCTGCCTCTGCCTCAGAACCAGGGGTTTGGGTCAAGTTTTTTTCACCTCTGTCTCACAGCAGAGGTTTGAGTGAAAGAACTGGCAGTTAGGCACCAGTGGTTTCATTTTATATCGTATGTGTTTGAGATAGCAGTTGTTTACTATCACTTGAAAATTCTGAATTAGTCTTTAATTTTAACTAATTCCTGTTAGTTCCTAACTGAAATGTGTACCCCTTTTGCTCTTCCAGGTGGACGTAATACGAGGGTCTGGTCCCCCATACCTTGAGGACTCCGCTGCCATCTGACAATTACAGACAATCCAATTGTCCTCATCCTTGAGGACTCTGCTGCCATCTGACAATTAGAGACAGTCCAAAACATGCCACACTTTGATCCTAAACACATTCCTGGCTTTGGTCACTTTTGAAAAGTTCCTGAGTTATGAGAAATCAATAATAAGAGTGTTCAAAACCTGAACACTCTTTTTAGAAATACCTGCTGGAACTACATATATGATTTATGGGGTACTGTCTTGTAGTATCTGGGAAAGTAGACCCATCTAACCTGGAATGATCATAGGCAACAATGACCAAAAATGGGGATCTTTTGATATACCTAAAGTAATTTATTTGTGCACACCATTGGAAAGAGCTGGTTTTAGAACCAGACATGTAAATAAGAGACTGACTTCCACTGGCACCTAAAAACTTCTAAAAGAAATCCTGAAAGAAAAAGTCACCTTCATTCAAGAGGTAAACAAAGGGATATTTGAAACTATGTTAAAAGACTTCAGAGGCTTTCTCCCTTTCACCTCCAGACCCTCCTTTTCCTTCCAGCCCTGTGATCTGAACTCATCCCTTTCTGCCGCTTCTCTTGGCTTCCATACATCTCTTAGGCAGAGATGTTTTAAAATTTCACAATGTACACATTTCCTTCTCTCAGGGGAAATGAATTTAAATTTAGAGCAGAAGGAACAAGCAGAACAACAACAGAATGGGAATAAGACTGCTGAGACTATAAAAATGCAGATCCAACAAAATTTTTTCTCACCAGGTCTAGTGAATGACACTGTGATATGGTCTGGCTCTGTGTTCCCAACAAAATGTCATCTCGAATTGTAATCCCCACGTGTCGGGGGAGAAGCCTGGTGGGAGATGATTGGATCATGGAGGCAGTTTCCCCCATGCTGTTTTCATGATAGGGAGGGAGTTCTTACGAGATGTGATGGTTTAAAAGTGTTTGGCAGTGGCCGGGCGCGGTGGCTCACGCCTGTAATCCCAGCACTTTGGGAGGCCGAGGCGGGTGGATCATGAGGTCAGGAGATCGAGACCATCCTGGCTAACAAGGTGAAACCCCGTCTCTACTAAAAATACAAAAAATTAGCCGGGCGCGGTGGCGGGCGCCTGTAGTCCCAGCTACTCGGGAGGCTGAGGCAGGAGAATGGCGTGAACCCGGGAAGCGGAGCTTGCAGTGAGCCGAGATTGCGCCACTGCAGTCCGCAGTCCGGCCTGGGCGACAGAGCGAGACTCCGTCTCAAAAAAAAAAAAAAAAAAAAAAAAGTGTTTGGCAGTTCCCTTTCTGGCTTTCTCTCTCCTACTGCCTTGTGAAGAAGGTGCTTGCTTCTCCTTCACCTTCCACCCTGATTTTAAGTTTCCTGAGGCCTCCCCAGCCATGTAGAACTGTGAGTCAATTAAACCAATTTTATTTATAAATTATCCGGTCTCAGGTAGTTCTTTATAGCAGTGTGAGAATGAACTAATACACACTGATTTATTGACCCACTGTGAGACAGTACCCTTTAAATCTTATCATGTCTTTAAAATGCTAACATTCAGGGAATTAGCTAAGCAGCATTCCAGATGAGATCAGATCTAAGACAAGATAAAATCCTTAAATGCTTAAACTGCCTGCTTTGGATTCCCTGCAAAATTTACCAAAAAACAAACACACAAACAAAAAAATGAAAACAAAAACAAAGAAAACACCCCATCCAGTGGTATAATGGCTAGGATTTGGTGCTTTCACCACTGTAGCCTGAGTTCAATTCCTAGCCAGGGAGCTAATCTCATTTGTTTTAAAGTATTGTATGATTCTTAACCTTTTGGGATACCAATTGTTATTGATCCTTATCTCTTCCATGGACAACTTTTGATTTCCTGTCTTTTTCCATTTGTGGGACATACAGACCATTTGGGCCTTCATGAGTAACCAGCTGAGAAGCTGAGATCAGATAGAAATGTGAGTTGTACTTTACTTGTGGCTAGTGAAACTTCCCTTTCTTTGAGCTGTCTTTGGGATGATTCTTGATCTTGTGAGGACTGTGTTGCACCTCCTTTGGAGATGCCCCATGCATCCTTGGTTAAGTCATAACCTTGATAAAGGCTTATTGGTTTTGGTGAGTCATTTGGAAGGGTACCTTTGTTTTTTGTTTGTTTGTTTGTTTTTTAAAGTTCAAAAGCCAGGAATAACAGCTATTTGTGCTGGCTAATACTTGATAATGAGAGATTTGAAAAGTTTTTATTTTTTTTAAATTTTACTTTAAATTCTGCGATACATGTGCAGAATGTACAGGTTTGTTACATAGATATACTTGTGCCATGGTGGTGTGCTACACTTACCAACTGTCATCTAGGTTTTAAGCCCCACGTGCATTAGGTATTTGTCCTAATGTTCTCCCTTCCCTTGGCCCCACCCCGACTGGCCCCGGTGTTTAATGTTCTTCTTGTGTCCATCTATTCTCATTGTTCATCTCCCACTTATTAGTGAGAACATGTGGTGTTTGGTTTTCTGTTCCTGTGTTAATTTGCTGAGAATGATGGCTTCCAGCGTCATCCATGTCCCTGGAAAGGACATGAACTCTTTTTTTATAGCTGCATAGTATTCCATGGTGTTTATGTGCCACATTTTCTTTTTCCAGCTTGTCATTGATGGGCATTTGGGTTGGTTCCAAGTCTTTGCTATTGTAAAGTGCTGCGGCAAACACACATGTGCATGTGTCTTTATACCAGAATGATTTATAACCCTTTTGGTGTATATCCAGTAATGGGATTGCTGGGTCAAATGGTGTTTCTGGTTCTAGATGCTTGAGGAATCACCACACTGTCTTCCACAATGGTTGGATTAATTTACACTCTCACCAACAAGTGTAAAAGCATTCCTGTTTCTCCACAGCATTGCCAGCATCTGTTGTTTCCTGACTTTTTAATAATTGCCATTCTAACTGGTATTAGATAGTATCTCACTGTGGTTTTGAGTTGCATTTCTCTAATGACCACTGATGATGAGCTATTTTTCATATGTTTGTTGGCCACATCAATCTCTTCTTCTGGAAGTGTCTGTTCATATTCTTTGCCCACTTTTTGTTGGGGTTGTTTGTTTTTTTTCTTGAAAATTTGTTTAAGTTCCTTGTAGATTCTGGATATTAGACCTTTGACACATGGGTAGATTGCAAAATTTTTCTCTCATTCTGTAGGTTGCCTTTTCACTCTGGTGATAGTTTCTTTTGCTGTGCAGAAACTCTTTAGTTTAATTAGATCCCATTTGTCAATTTTTGCTTTTGTTGCAATTGCTTTTGGTGTTTTAGTCATGAAGTCTTTGCCCATGCCTATGTCCTGAATGGTATTGCCTAGGTTTTCTTCTAGGGTTTTTATGGCTTGGGGTTTTACATTTAAGTCTTTAATCTATCTTGAGTTAATTTTTGTATAAGGTGTAAGGAGGGGGTCCAGTTTCTGTTTTCTGCATATGGCTAGCTAGTTTTCCCAGCACCATTTATTAAATAGGGAATTCTTTCCCCATTGCTTGTTTTTGTCAGGTTTGTCAAAGATCAGATGGTTGTAGATGTGTGGTGTTATTTCTGAGGTCTCTGTTCTGTTCCATTGGTCTATGTATCTGTTTTGGTACCAGTATCATGCTGTTTTGGTTACTGTAGCCTTGCAGTATAGTTTGAGGTCAGGTAGCGTGCTGCCTCCAACTTTGTTATTTTTGCTTATGATTGTCTTGGCTATGCAGGCTCTTTCTTGGTTCCATATTAAATTTAAAGTAGTTTTTTATAATTCTGCAAAGAAACTCAATGGTAGCTTAATGGGAGTAGCATTGAATCTATAAATTACTTTGGGCAGTATGGCCATTTTCATGATATTGATTCTTCCTATCCATGAGCATGGAATTTTTTTCCATTTGTTTGAGTCCTCTCATTTCCTTGAGCAGTGGTTTGTAGTTCTCCTTGAAAAGATCCTTCACGTCCCTTGAAAACTGTATTCCTAGGTATTTTATTCTCTTTGTAGCAATTGTGAATGGGAGTTCACTCGTGATTTGGCTCTCTGTTCTCTATGATTGGTGTACAGGAATGCTTGCGATTTTTGATCCTGAGACTTTGCTGAAGTTGCCTGTCAGCTTAAGGAGATTTTGGGGCTCAGACAATGGGTTTTCTAAATATATAATCATGTCGTCTGCAAACAGAGACAAGTTGACTTCCTCTCTTTCTATTTGAATACCCTTTATTTCTTTCTCTTGCCTGAGTGCCCTGGGCCAGAACTTCCAATACTATGTTGAATAGGAGTGGTGAGAGAGGGCATCCTTGTCTTGTGCCAGTTTTCAAAGGGAATGCCTCCAGCTTTTGCCCATTCAGTATGATCTTGGCTATGGGTTTGTCATAAATAGCTCTTAATATTTTGAGATATGTTCTATCAATACCTAGTTTATTGAGAGTTTTTAACATGAAGAGATGTTGAATTTCATCGAAGGCCTTTTCTGTATCTATTGAGATAATCGTGGTTTTTGTCATTGGTTCTGTTTACGTGATAGATTACGTTTGTTGATTTGCATATGTTGAACCAGCCTTGCACCCCAATGATGAAGCCAACTTGATTGTGGTGGATAAGCTTTTTGATGTGCTGCTGGATTCGGTTTGCCAATATTTTATTGAGGATTTTCACATCGATGTTCATCAGGGATATTGGCCTGAAATTTTCTTTTTTTGTTGTGTCTTTGCCAGGTTTTGGTATCAGGAGGACGCTGGCCTCATAAAATGAGTTAGGGAGGAGTCCCTCTTTTTCTGTTGTTTGGAATAGTTTCAGAAGGAATGGTACCAGCTCCTCTTTGTACCTCTGGTAGAATTCGGCTGTCAGTCTCTCTGGTCCTGGGCTTTTTTTGGTTGGTAGGCTATTAACTACTGCCTCAATTTCAGAGCCTGTTATTGGTCTATTCAGGGATTCGACTTCTTCCTGGTTTAGTCTTGGGAGGGTGTATGTGTCCAGGAATTTATCCATTTCTTCTAGATCTTCTAGTTTATTTGCATAGAGGTGTTTATAGTATTCTCTGATGGTAGTTTGTATTTCTGTGGGATCAGTGGTGATATCCCCTTTATCATTTTTTATTGTGTCTATTTGATTCTTGTCTCTTCTTTGTTAGTCTAGCTAGTGGTCTATTTTGTTAATTTTTTAAAAAAACTACCTCTGGATTCATTGATTTTTTGAAGGGTTTTTTGTGTCTCTATCTCCTTCAGTTCTGCTTTGATCTTAGTTATTTCTTGTCTTCTGCTAGCTTTTGAATTTGTTTGCTCTTGCTTCTCTAGTTCTTTTAATTGTGATGTTAGGGTGACGATTTCAGATCTTTCCAGCTTTCTGATATGGGCATTCAGTGCTATAAATTTCCATCTTAACACTGCTTTAGCTGTGTCCCAGAGATTCTGGTACATTGTCTTTTTGTTCTCATTGGTTTCGAAGAACTTCTTTATCTGCCTTAATTTCGATATTTATCCAGGAGTCATTCAGGAGCAGGTTGTTCAATTTCCATGTAATTGTGCAGTTTTGAGTGAGTTTCTTAATCCTGAGTTCTAATTTAATTGCACTGTGGTCTGAGAGACTGTTATGATTTCCATTCTTTTGCATTTGCTAAGGAGTGTTTTACTTCCTATTATGTGGTCAATTTTAGAATAACTGCCATGAGGTACTGAGAAGAATGTATATTCTGTTGATCTGGGGTGGAGAGTTCTATAGATATCTATTAAGTCCACTTGATCCAGAGCTGAGTACAAGTCCTGAATATCTTTGTTAATGTTCTGTCTTGTTGATCTGTCTAATATTGACAGTGTGGTGTTAAAGTCTCCCACTATTATTGTGTGGGAGTCTAAGTCTCTTTATAGGTCTCTAAGAACTTGTTTTATGAATCTGGGTGCTCCTGTATTGGGTGCATATATATTTAGGATAGTTAGCTCTTCTCTAACTATTGTTAGTTGCATTGATCCCTTTACCATTCTGTAATGCCCTTGTCTTTTTTGAACTTTTTGGGTTTAAAGTTTGTTTTATCAGAGACTAGGATTGCAACCCCTGCTTTTTTTTTTTTTTTTTTTTTGCTTTCCATTTGCTCGTCCCTTTATTTTGAGCCTATGTATGTCTTTGCATGTGAGATGGGTCTCCTAAATACAGCACACTGATGGGTCTTGACTCTATCCAATTTGCCAGTCTGTGTCTTTTAATTAGGGCGTTCAGCCTATTTACATTTAATGTTAATATTATTATATGTGAATTTGATCCTGTCATCATGATGCTAGCTGGTTATTTTACACATTAGTTGATGCAGTTTCTTCATAGTGTCACTGGTCTTTATATTTTGGTATGTTTTTGCAGTGGCTGGTACTGGTTTTTCCTTTCCATATTTAGTGCTTCCTTCAGGAGCTTTTGTAAGACCAGCCTGGTGGTGACAAAATCCCTCAGCATTTGCCTGTTTGGGAAGGATTTTATTTCTCCTTTGCTTAAGAAGCTTAGTTTGGTTGGGTATGAAATTCTGGGTTGAAAATTCTTTTCTTTAAGAATGTTGAATATTGGCCCTCACTCTCTTCTGGCTTGTAGGGTTTCTGCAGAGAGATCTGCTGTTAGTCTGACGGGCTTCCCTTTGTAGGTTACCTGAACTTTCTCTGTGTCTGCCCTTAACATTTTTTCCTTCGTTTCAATGTTTGGGAATCTGATGATTATGTGTCTTGGGGTTGATCTTCTCAAGGAATATCTTAGTGGTGTTCTCTGTATTTCCTGAATTTGAATGTTGGTCTGTCTTGCTAGGTTGGGGAAGTTCTGGATAATATCCTGAAGTGTGTTTTCCAACTTGGTTCCATTCTCCCCATCACTTTCAGATACACCAATCAATCGTAGGTTTAGTCTTTTCACATAGCCCCATATTTCTTGGAGGCTTTGTTCATTCCTTTTCATTCTTTTTTCTCTAATCTTGTCTTCACACCTTATTTCAGCAAGGTGATCTTCAATCTCTGATATCCTTTCTTCCACTTGATTGTTTCAGCTATTGATACTTGTGTATGCTTCAGGAAGTTCTTGTGCTGTGTTTTTCAGCTCCATCAGGTCATTTATGTTCCTCTCTAAACTGGTTATTCTAGTTAGCAGTTCCTGTAACCTTTTATCAAGGTTCTTAGCTTCCTTGCATTGGGTTAGAACATGTTCCTTTAGCTCAAAGGAGTTTGTTATTACCTACCTTCTGAAGCCTACTTCTGTCAATTCGTTAATCTCATTATTTGTCCAGTTTTGTGTCCTTGCTGGAGAGGAGTTGCGATCATTTGGAGGAGAGGAGGCATTCTGGTTTTTGGAATTTTCAGTGTTTTTGTGCTGGCTTTTCCTCATCTTCGTGGATTTATCTACCTTTGATATTTGAGGCTGATGACATTTGGATGGGAGTTTTTGTGTGGGAGTCTTTTTTGTTGATGATGTTGTTGTTGCTTTCTGTTTGTTAGTTTTTCTTCTAACAGTCAGGCCCCTCTTCTGCAAGTCTGCTGCAGTTTGCTAAACATCCTCTCTAGACCCTATTTGCCTGGGTATCACCAGTGGAGGTTGCAGAACAGCAAAGATTGCTGCCTGCTCCTTCCTCTGTAAGCTTTGTCCCAGAGGGGCACCAGCCTGATGCCAGCCGGAGCTCTCCTATATGAGGTGTCTGTCAACCCCTGTTGGGAGGTTTCTGTCAAGCCCTGTTGGGAGGTTTCTCCCAGTCAGGAGGCATGGGGGTCAGGGACCCACTTAAGGAGGCACTTCATCCCTTTGCAGAGCTGGTACCCTGTGTTGGGAGAATACCCTTTGTCAGGATCAGCTGCTCTCTTCAGAGCCAGCAGGCAGGAAAGATTAAGGCTGCTGAAGCTGTGCCCACAGCAGCCCCTCCGCAGTGCTCTGGGGACAATCCAGTGCTCTGTCCCAGGGAGGTGAGAGTTTTATCTGTAAGCCCCTGACTGGGGCTGTTACCTTTGCTTCAGAGATGCCCTGCCCAGTGAGGAGGAATCTAGAGAAGCAGTCTGGCCACAGCCGCTTTGCCACACTGTGGTGAATTCTGCCCAGTCCAAACCTCCCAGTCTCCTTATCACTATCAGGGGAAAACTGCCTACTAAAGCCTCAGTAATGGCAGATGCCCCTCCCCCCACCAAGCTCAATTGTCCCAGGTTGACTTCAGACTGGTGTGCTGGCAGTGAGAATTTCAAGCCAGTGGTTCTTAGCTTTCTGGGCTCCGTGGGAGTGGGACCCACTTAGCAAGACCACTTGACTCCCTGGCTTCAGCCTCCTTTCCAGGGGAGTGAACAGTTCTGTCTCACTGGGGTTCCAGGCGCCACTGGGGTATGAAAAAACTGTAGCTAGCTCAGTGCCTGCCCAAACAGCCTCCTGGTTTTGTGCTTGAAACCCAGGGCCCTGGTGGTGTAGGCTCACGAAGGACTCTCCTGATCTCCGGCTTGCAAATACCGTGGGAAAAGCATAGTATCCAGGCTGGGTAGCACAGTCCCTCACGGCTTCCCTTGGCTAGGGGAGGGAGGTCCCCCAGCTCCTTGCACTTCCGTGGTGAAGCAATGCCCCACCCTTCTGCTTGCTCTCCATGGGTTGCACCCACTGTCTAACCAGTCCCAATGGAATGAACTGGGTACCTTAGTTGGAAATGAAGAAATCACCTGCCTTCTGCATTGGTCTCGCTGGGAGCTGCAGACTGGAGCTGTTTCTATTCGGCCATCTTGGCCCCTTCTCGAAAAGTGTTTAAGAACTCCATAGTCAAAAGCCAGCTTCATTAAAAACAGATTCACGCAGGCATGGTGGCTGATGTCTGTAATCCCAGCCCACTTCGGGAGGCCACAGTGGGAGGATTGCTTGAGTCCGGCCTGGTCAATGTAATGAGTCCCTGTCTCTACAAAAAGTAAAAGCAAAACTTATCTTGGCATGGTGGTGTGTGCCTGTAGTCCCAGCTGCTTAGGAAGCTGAGGTCGAGGATCATTTAAGCCCAGAATGTGTCAAGGCTAGATGAACTGTAATCATGTCACACCGCACTCCCGCTTGTGTGACAGAGCAACACCCTGTTTCTATTTTTTTATTTTTCTTTCAGTACCGCAGAACAGAGAGACCCTCTCTCTCAAAACAACAAACAAGGGCTGGGCGCGGTGGCTCAAGCCTGTAATCCCAGCACTTTGGGTGGCCAAGGCAAGCAGATCACGAGGTCAGGAGATCGACACTGTCCTGGCTAATACGGTGAAACCCCGTCTCTACTAAAAATACAAAAAATTAGCTAGGCGTGGTGGCAGGTGCCTGTAGTCCCAGCTACTCGGGAGGCTGAGGCAGGAGAATGGTGTGAACCTGGGACGCGGAGCTTGCAGTGAGCCGAGATCGTACCACTGCATTCCAGCCTGGGTGACAGAGCGAGACTCCATCTCAAAAACAAACAAACAAAAATGAGATTCAACCTCCTCCCATCTCTCTGCTGTCTTCAGTACCACATGAAAAGATCTAGAGGAGACTTCTAATGACTCAGACCCCTAAAGGAAGACAGAAAAAGCTGCCTCTCACTCCCTTTCTGGGGTCTTCTGTCTTCCTGTGGAGTGTGAAGAGTCATGGAGAGATTTCATGACAGTTTCCAGCACAAAACTCTGCTCTCTTTTGTATCGTGTCGCCTGATCCCTTTGACTTTTAGGAGTACTGGATATTACTTTGTTCTGTGAGAGAACACTTAACCTTTGTGTATGTGATGGCTGGCAAGTTACTGGAGGTGGCTGACAGCAGTTGTTTACAGTGAATGGTTATTATTATTACTACAGGGAGTTACTGGTTTCTTTGCTGGTTAAGATAAGAAAGGCACGGTTTAAATACTTAGAGAAATGTTTTTGTATTGAAGTACACCATGAAAGTGTTGCATAGCCCAGTCCCATGGAGTTTCCCTCTTTTTGGGGACCCAGGATTCAGCCTAAAAATGGAATCCTTAATTTATAAAGCTCTAGATGCTCTGCCTTCAATTGCATCTGCTTTTCACATATTTAAATTATTAGGCTCTAAAAACTGTAAATGCTTTGATGGCCCTGCTCCTTAATGGGCTCTGCCCTGAGCTCAGTGATCCAACTGGAAAACAGACTAAATTAAAAGCTACTTATCTAAGTGAAATAGGTCTCCTTATAAAATCCAATGATAGATTCCTGTGATTTTGTATTACCTTGGCATCCATTTTTAATTTTCTTCCAACACACCCAAACTCCTCCTTGAAAAGGCTTAAATTCTTTCTCCTTGTACTTTGAGATATAAAGTTACTACTGCATTTTCTCTAAAACTCAGTACGAGCTTCAGCCATGTGGAACAGATAAACTTTAAACTTTTCCATTTACAAAGGTACAGTTTGAATCCAACTGTCCTTGTAAAACTAGTGAGTTTTACCAGTCTCATGACTAAAATTTTTTTCTCTGCTTGGTTTTGTTTTGTTTTTCTTACCTCAGTTCACCAGCAGTTTCAATGTGGCTAAAATTTTTTAATTAAAGCTATGAAGTCATTATCTGTGTCTGTCTGATTTATGTGTACCATGTATACATGTCTGTTTATATATTGTCTACATGGTACCACTGACTTATAGAAAACGTGCTCATAAATAATATAACCAACCCAAATGCTTTCCATGGTCACTTGACTTTAGTAATCTTGGGTTTAAATTAAGATAGTTTTTAAATTATTGGTAAAGTAAAATAGAAACGTCTTCAAATTTTAATTTAGACATGTTTGCCTAGATCTATTGGTTAGACTGGTTTATACTGTCTCTGCTAAATGTCTTAAGGTCATAAGGCCATTGCTTTTATGGTATTTTTTGGTATTTGCTTAATTTGTCTATGAGCTTATGTCTTTGGATTTGAGCCTTTAGATTCTGAGGACTAGACAAGTGGCCCTGGGGACAGTGCCTGGGCCCCATCATCCCTAGTTGAGCTGTGCCTCTTGGCTTTACTGCAAGGAGTTGGATCCTCCAGGCATTGTCTCCATAGCACTGTCATTTGTCCTGAGCTCTGCATACGGTACATAAAGTTGCTTACTTCTTAGGTTTTTCACTGAAAATTAGGGTTACTAAGAGTTAACATTGTGGTTAATATATGTAACTAAAACTACTAGGCCAGAAATTTACATAGAGAGCATATAAAGAAGATGTAAAGAAAGTTGAAAAGGGTAATTTTTTTCCTTTACGTAAGAGGGGACTTTGGTCAAAATGATAAGGGGGATAGTAAATCTTTGTCCTAAGTAGAATACCAATATAAGAAAAATGAAGTATAGGACAAAACTGAAGGTGTAAGCAAGTTGTAAAAGGTTTGTATAAGATTAATCTCATGAAAAGAATTTTGTATGTGATAAAGTTGGCTAAAATTAGAAGGAGATTATTAACTTTTCTAAAAATTATGCATTGATATTTAAAGCACACTGATGTGGGACCCCTGTTTCAGAATAACAGGGCTTTCTTGGAGCATTAATCTGCTCTTTAATAGAAAAATTTTTAAAGGTTATAGAAATTTTATGCAGTTAAAACTGAGGGCTAGATGCGGTGGCTCACACCTGTAATCCCAGCACTTTGGAAGGGTGAGGTGGGCAGATCACCTGAGGTCAGGAGTTTGAGACCAGCCTGGCCAACATGGTGAAACACCATCTCTACTAAAAATACAAAAATTAGCTGGGTATGGTGATAGGTGCCTGTAATCCCAGCTACTTGGGAGGCTGAGGCAGGAGAATCACTTGAACCCGGGAGGCAGAGGTTGCAGTGAGCTGAGATCAGGTCATTGCACTCCAGCCTGGGTAACAAGAGTGAGACTCCATCTAAAACAAACAAACAAACAAACAAACAAAAAACAAAAAAAAATACCTGCCTGAGATTTGATAGATTTGTTTATAAGGATTTAATGAAATTAGCCTTAGGATTAATAATATACTGATGCAAAAGTAAAATTTGGTTTTCTCTTTTGAATAAGATTTTTAAGTATTTTTAAGAAACAGTAAAAAAAAGTTCACCTTTTAAGTAAAAAAAAAAAATGGGAAAGAGAGATTCTGTTGGTCTCATGCCGTCTTTATAAGGTCTTTGGATTGTTTGGAAAACCGAGTTTACTCTCTATCAAAGAGTAAAGGGTTTTGCTTTTTGCAATCTTTGAATTATCACTTTGGCTAAATGAATGAATACTATTTTACAGTGACTTATGATCCTATTTGGTCAAATATTTTAAACTTTTAAATTGGACATACTTCCTAAAATCAAATTTCAAATTCTAAAATTAAGTATTTTCCAAAAGGAACCTCTGGAAGTCCAAGAGAGGAATATTAGGCATATTTAGCATGTTAAAATCATATGGAAAGCATTGTCAAAGAAATAATGGTGTTTAACTTTCTTTGAGTTATATTAGGATGAATGTGTTTTGTATGAGATTCCTAAAATTTTAATGTGTCTTGGTATATGTTATCAGTCATAATTATGATTATTATGTTAAACTGTTGTAAACCACAGGAATAACCAAATTTCCTTGTCAATTGCATCTTTAACCATGGCTATTCTAAGTCTTTTGCTATCTAAAACAATTAGTTTTATTTCTCTTCTCATAAAGCAGTTACAATTGTCTATAATTCAAAATTTGCTTTTTCTTCAAGGAAATTCATAGAATAGGACCCTGACAAGTACTCTTGAATACAGGTTTCTGATAACTTTGGAGATCATATCATTGGACTAAGTAACAACTTTCAGGTATGTAATAAACTGATGTGTTCCTTAGATTGCTAACTCAACATCAAGCAGAACACGAATTAATTACATGTGACTGAACTGACAGAAGACTGAAAAGATTTGCTGACTTTTTATTTAAAACATTGCTGGTTTTTTTTTTTATTTTGTCTTCCAGAGTCAAGAAAACTTTTTTTCCTTGAGCTATTTATTTATACTTTATAACAATTGGGTAAAAATACCTTTGTGAACAACATTGAAACATCTGCCTTTCTCTCTACCTGATTACTCCAAAATTTGGAAACTATTCATGAGTACTCTTATTTTATGGCAATCTAGTTATTTGCATACATTTAATAAGAATCTTTTTTCTGTAACAGGATATAATTGGAGACACTTGTTATTTTACTAAGGATTTGACTGGAATGACATATTTTCAGATATGACCAGACTGCTTTGAAGAATGGAGGTTGACTCTATAGAGGCAATTAGAAAGCCTCTTGGAAAGACTGGCCTGGTCCCTTGTCTACGTAGTTCCCTTTCAAGATTTCTGTCCTGTGTTAAGTAAAGAATGTCACTTTCTGACAGGCCTGGGAACCTCAAAATATTTCCGCTGTGTATCTCTCATTGTTTTATTTCTTCTGAGAAAACTAAATTCATGGTACACTGAAGAGGTGATTCCACAAGTGATGGCAGCTATAAATCAATGACTGGTAGGACTACCTGGGCATGAGCCTTTCTGGCAATGAGGGATACCTTGACACTCAGATTTTGATCATCAGTGCTTTCAAAAGGAAAGATTTTTGATCAAAAGGAAGAAATGAGAAAAAGAACTTTTATCTGAAGAATGCAAGTCCTTTCCAATTATCAGATCCAGAGAGGTATTAAAATGAGACGGCAATCCTGTCCTACACACACCCCCTTTTGAGGCATGTACTCATCTTTTTATACTGCTTACTATTGCCACAAGTAGCTGAAAATTAGCCTACTGGTGCTGCACCAGACATTATAACCCATATCCTATAGCTTAATAATGGATAGCCAATCAACAGCTTATGTTATGTTAATGTAAATTATTGGTAAATAACTCAGGAACTGCCTCTTCTTTCCTTTTAAAAACCCACTTGTGGGCCGGGCGTGGTGGCTCACGCCTGTAATCCCAGCATTTTGGGAGGCCAAGGTGGGCGGATCACAAGGTGAGGAGATCAAGACCATCCTGGATAACACAGTGAAACCCTGTCTCTACTAAAAATACAAAAAATTAGCCGGGCGTGGTGGCGGGCACCTGTAGTCCCAGCTACTCGGGAGGCTGAGGCAGGAGAAAGGCGTGAACCCAGGAAGCAGAGCTTGCAGTGAGCTGACATGGCACCACTGCACTCCAGCCCGGGCAACAGTGCGAGGCCCTGTCTCAAAAAAAAAAAAAAAAAAAAAATCCACTTGTGGCTGAGTGTGGTGGTTCACACCTGTAATCCCAGCACTTTGGGAGGCTGAGGTGGGTGGATCACCTGATGTCAGGAGTTCGAGACCAGCTTAACCAATGTGGCGAAACCCTGTCTCTACTAAAAATACAACAATTAGCCAGCTGTGATGGTGGGTGCCTGTAATCCCAGCTACTTGGGAGTCTGAGGCAGACTCAAGACTTCAAGAATGTCTTGAACCCAGGAGGCGGAGGTTGCAGTGAGCCAAGATCACACCATTGCACTCCAGCATGGGTGACAAGAGTGAAACTGCCTCCAAAAAAAAAAATCCACTTGTAACTGCTGCTACTCAGAATGTATATTCACGGCAACTAGAATCTATGTTACTAAGTTGCAATCCTCAAGCTTGTCCCAAATAAACTCTCTACTTATATTAATTTTGCCTCAGCTTCTTCCTTTTAGGTCAACAATGGTAAGATAAAATAGAAGACAAGAGAAATTTCAAAATCTGCAGGAGGCTCCTAGTAGTTAGACCCTCAGAACTCCTCGGTACATCTTAACTCTCCTTTGTCTACAGGACATGATTTTAAGTGATGGGGTTTATTGTAAGATACACAGGGAAAGCCTGGAAATTATAATCTGTCTAGTTCCCTTGCAATTCGAAGATTGAGACATATTGAACCTTATAGAAAACTGGACAATGGATCATCATTTTTTTAGGCATAACAGCAGCTATGGTGACACACCAGCTCTAGTGACCCAGTTGTCTTATCATCCCCCACAAGCTACCATCTTTACAGAGAGTAAAATCTGTATTCGTCCATTCTCACATTGCTATAAGGAACTACCTAGGTTGGGCATGGTGGCTCACGCCTGTAATCCCAGCACTTTGGGAGGCCAAGGTGGGTGGATCACCTGAGGTTGGGAGTTGGCAGCCAGCTTGACTAACATGGAGAAACCCTGTCTCTACTAAAAATACAAAATTAGCCAGGCGTGGTGGCACATGCCTATAATCCCAGCTACTCAGGAGGCTGAGGCAGGAGAATCACTTGAACCTGGGAGATGGACGTTGCGGTGAGCTGAGATCATGCCATTGCACTACAGCCTGGGCAAAAGGAGTGAAACTCTGTCTCAAAAAAAAAAAAGAAAAAACAAAACAAAAAAAACCTACCTGAGGCCAGGCGCGGTAGCCCATGCCTGTAATCCCAGCACTTTGGGAGGCCAAGGCAGGTGGATCACCTGAGGTCAGGATTCAAGACCAGCCTGACCAACATGGTGAAACCCTGTCTCTACCAAAAATACAGAAATTAGCTGGGCGTAGTGATGCATGCCTGTAATCCCAGCCACTTGGGAGGCTGAGAGAGGAGAATCACTTGAACCTGGGAGGTGGAGGTTGCAGTGAGCCAAAATCATGCCATTGCATTCCAGCCTGGCTGACAGAGCAAGATACCATCTCAAAAAAAAAAAAAAAAAACTACGTGAGACTGGGTAATTTAAGAAGAAAAGAGGTGTAATTGACTCACAGTTCCATATGGCTGGGGAGGCCTCAGAAAACTTACAATCATGATAGAAGGCAAAGGAGAAGCAAGTACCTTTTTCACAAGGCAGGAGGAGAGAGAGATCCAGTGAGGGAAGTCTCAAACACTTAAACCATCAGATCTCATGAGAATTCACTCACATCATGAGAAGAGCATGGGGGAAATCTGCCCCTATGATCCATTCACCTCCCAGCAGGTCCCTCCCTTGACTCATGGGGATTACAACTTGAGAAAAGATTTGGGTGGGGGCACAGGGCCAAACCATATCATTCTGCCCCTGGCCCCTCCCCAATTTCATGTCCTTTTCAGATTGCAAAATACAATTATTCCTCCTCAACAGCCACCGAAAGTCCTATTCCAGCATTAACTCAAAAGGTCACAGTCCAAAGTCTCTTCTGAGACAAGGTAAGTCCCTTCTGCCTAGGAGCCTGTAAAATAAAAAAACAAGTTAGTTACTTCCAAGATACAATAGGGGTTCAGGTATTGGGTAAATGCTTCCATTCCAAATGGAGAAACTGGCCAAAACAGAGGGGTTACAGGCCCCACTGCCAGTCTGAAACTTGGCAGTCATTAAATCTTCAAGCTCCAAAATAATCTCCTTTGACTCCATGTCTCACATCCAGAGCATGCTGATGCAAGAGGTAGGCTCCCAAGGCCTTAGGTAACTCCGCTCCTGTGACTCTGCGGGGTACAGCCCCTGCAGCTGCTTTCATGGGCTGCCCTTGAGTTCCTGCAGCTTTTCCAGGTGCACAGTACAACCTCTTGGTGGATCTGCCATTCTGGGGCCTGGAGGATGGTTGTCCTCTTCTCACAGGTCCACTAGGCAGTGCCCCAGTGGGGACTCCATGTGGGAGCTCGCATTCCACATTTCCCCTCTGCACTGCCCTAGTAGAGGTTTTCCATGAGGGCACTACCCCTGCAGCAGACTTCTGCCTGGATATCCAGGTGTTTCCACACATCCTCTGAAATCTAGGCGGAGGATTCTCAAACTTTAACTGTTGCCTTCTGCACACCTACAGGCCCAATACCACATAGAAGCCACCAAGATATGGGGCAGCACACTCTGGAGCAACAGCCCAAGCTGTACCTTGGCCCCTTTTAGCCACAACTGGAGCTGTAGTTGTGGCTAAAATGGGCATGGCATCCTGCATCCCCCAACTGTGGCTGGGATGCAGGGTGCCATGTCCCAAGCCTGCAGAGTAGTGGGGCCCTGGTACCAGCCCATGAAACCATTTTTCCCTCCTAGGCCTCTGGGCCTGTGATGGGAGGGGCTGCCATGAAGGTCTCTGAATTGCCCTGGAGACATTTTCTGCATTGTCTTGGCAATTAACATTTGGTTCTTCTTTACTTACCCAATTTTTGCAGCTGGCAGCTTGAATTTCTCCCCAGGAGATGAGTTTTTCTATTCTTCCACATGGTCAGGCTGCAAATTTTCCAAACTTTTATGCTCTGCTTTCCTTTTAAACATAAGTTGCAATTTCAGATCATCTCTTTGTGAATGCATATGACTGTAAACTTTCATAAACAGTCAGATCACATCTTCAGTGCTTTGCTGCTTAGAAATTTCTTCTGCTAGATACCTTAAATAATCTTTCTCAGGTTTATAGCTTCACAGCTCTCTAGGGCAGGGGCAAAATGCCACCAGTCTGTTTGCTAAAGCATAGCAAGAGTGACTTTTGCTCCAGTTCCCAGTGAGTTCCTTATCTCTATCTGAGACCACCTCAGCCTGGACTTCATGGTCCATATCACTATCAGCATTTTGGTCAAAACCATTCAACAAGTCTCTCAGAAGTTCCAAATTTTCCCACATCTTCCTGTATTCTTCTGAGCCGTCCAAACCGTTCCAACCTTTGCCCATAATCCAGTTCCAAAGTCACTTCCACATTTTTAGGTATCTTTATAGCAGTGCCCCACTCCTGGTACCAATTATCTGTATTACTCCATTCTCACACTGCTATAAAGAACTACCTGAGACTGAGTAATTTATGAAGAAAGGAGGTTTAATTGACTCACAGTTTCACATGGCTGGGGAGGCCTCAGGAAACGTAATCATGGTGGAAGGTGAAGGAGAAGCAAGCACCTTCTTCACAAGGTGGCAGGAGGGAGAGAGCAAGGGGGGATGTGCCACACTTTTAAACCATCAGCTCTCCTGAGAACTCACTATCATGTGAACAGAATAGGGGAAATCCACCCTCATGATCCAGTTACCTCCCACCAGGTCCTTTCCCTGACACGTGGGGATTATAATTTGAGATGAGATCTGGGTGGGGACACAGAGCCAAACCATATCACTCTCCAATGCCTTTCAGTATGCGTCTCCATATTAAATATTTCCCTGAGAGAGAGAATAACTCATTGTGTTTGGTTTGTCGCTATCCACTCTCTTTTCCTTGCAACATATATTTATGGAAAGGCTGTGATGTGCCAGGGGTAAGCAGACAGGCCATACAAGCGCCCTACTTCATACAGCTAATATTCTGGTGGGGCAAAATAAAATATAACAAATAAGTCCACCAGATAATTTTAGTCTGTGCTATGTAGAGACTAAACCAGGGTAATTTTTAGATTGGATGGTAAAGAAAGCTTCTCTAAGAAGGTAATACTTAAACTAGTACAGTGATGAAGAGTCACCCCCACAAAGCCTGAACAGAAAGAATTCTAGGCAGAGACTGGGACCTTGACTGATACAATGACTTATCCAAGGAAATAGAGCTAATCAGTGACAGACCCAGAATATTTTTGGTTCAAAAGCCCATCCTGTTGGATTGCATCACATTTCTTCCCAAATAAGTTGCTATATGGGAACTAAGTAAACTCTATAGTACTGTTCAAATTGTCAAATAATAATATTACTAAAGGCCACCAAAGTTAACAAAGCAAAACAAACACAGCTGAGTTTATTTTTCAGGCAAAGGAACACACCAGTTGGCTGAGGGCAAAAAGCATGTGTTTTTAATTGTTAGGAAGGGGTTTCATGGTTGCTATGCTATTTAAGGTTGAGTCTGTTCATGCTTCTATAACAAAGTAACTGAGACTGGGTAACACATAAAGAATAGAGATTCATTTCTCACAGTTCTGGTGGTTGGAAGTCCACAATCAAGGCGCCCGCAGGTTCAGTGTCTGGTGAGGGCCCAGTCTCCCTGCTTCCAAGATGACGCCTTGTTGCTGCATCCTCCAGAGGGGACGGATGGCTGTGTCCTCATATGGTGGAAAGGATGGAAGGGCAAAAAGGGGGCCTGCCTAGCTCCTTCCAGCCCTTTTATAAGGTTACTAATCCCATTCATGAGGACAGAGCATCATTCCCTAACCACCTCCTAAAGGCCTCAACTCCTAACGCTGTTGCATTGGGAATTTTTCAAGATCAATTTTGGAGGGGACACAAACATTCAAACCACAGCAAAGGATGAAAAACAAACACTCCAAATAGGCCAGAGTAAATCCATAGCTCTCTATGTGATTGGTTAAAACAAGACCTATATTTCATGGGAAAAAATTCTTCAGATAGGTCCTATAAGGGTTTTCCTTCAGCTTACCAGGATCACTCAAAATTCATGTTTTCTTTAACAGTGCTAACTGTTAAAGGGCAGTTGAAGCACAACACAGAATTCAATGCGCTATCCCATAGGCAAGCTCTGCTGTAAATAAAAGCATTTCCTTTTATGATATTATTATGCAACAGATGAAGAAACTAATATCCAAATATGTTAGCTGCCATGCCTAAGGTCATTTATACAACCAGGCTGTTTACACATCTCAATCTAGAACCCAAGTCCCCAATTCTCAACCACTTTCCAAATGTAATTTTTTGTTTTATTTTGTTTTTAGAGACAGAGTCTCACTCTGTTGCCAAGACTGGAGTACAGCAGTGGCATGATCATAACTCACTGCAACCTTGAATTCCTAGGCTCAGGTGATCCTATCTCTTCAGCCTCCTGAGTAGCTAGGACTACAGGCATGGGCCACTTCCTCCAGCTAATTTATTTTTTTGTAGAGTCAGGGTCTTCCTATGTTGCCCAGGCTGGTCTCAAACTCCTGGCCTCAAGAGATCCTCCCGCCTCAGCCTTCCAAAGTGCTAGGATTACTGGCATGAGTCACTGTGCCTGGTCTTCCTAATGTACTTCAGGGGACATTTTTGAGGCCTATACCTATATTGTACACATACAGCACATAGTAGGCACTCAAGAAATATTTTTTAAATTGAATCTCCTAGTTCCTCCTGAATTTCTTCTCACTAGTGTATTATTATGTTTAAATAAATAAAAGGAGTTTGCTTAGGGATCATCTATAAATCAGAAGACTAGAAAGAATTAAAGGCATGGGGCTGTTGGCCAGTTTTTTTGGTCCGTAAATATAGAAAATCACAATGGGGATATAAGAGTGAACTTGCCTCAAAATAATTCACATTGAACACTTCTCATATGAGGAAGTTACATGCATTATCTCAATTAATTTTCATAACAGCCCCACAAGTAAACTGAGACTCTTAGAGGTTGAGACTCACCAAATTCATGCATCCTTTATATCATACAATTCTCAAGTGCGTGCATTCCTAACATCACCCCAGGATTCAGAAGTCCAAGAGATGGAATCTCTGATACTTTCCTAAAACAAATGGTTCTGCCTCAATCTTATTTCTGCTCTCTCATGGTTCCGGTATTAACTCATTACAACTTTGTCATTGTTTGAGATTATTTCTTCAAGCATAACCTTGCCAAAACGAACAAACAAAAAGCAAAGAATACCAGGGTTCTGTTTGTTGAGTAAGGGGATATCCCTTTTATTTTCCAGGAGAAAGTAATTTCAGTCCTGCCCCAATGGGCCCTTTGCCCAAGACACAGGTGAACACTGAGGCTGGCTTCAGGTATGAAGCTAAGGTCTGTCTTCTCCCAGGAGGTGGCAGCAACAGCAGCTGCAGCCTCCGCCTGCTGCAGAAATCAGACAGAATTCATCCGTTTTCCTATTGGCATCCAAACCAAGAAACTCCTGGTTCCAAAGACCACTTCATCCCTTCCTTGGTTTGCAGAGCTTAGTTGGAGCTGGGGCATTGGGAGTTCAGGAGCTGGCAATAATTCCTCTTTATAAGTGCTTAGTTTTTTTTGTAAACACTTTGGTCTGGGCTGTGACCTTGAAACATGTATGAAGGAGGTTCAGGAAGTCTCTGGCCAGGGAAAAAGAGCTTCAGAAAGAAACAGTAGCTGAAACACATCCACACAAGCATAAATCTAGAGACCCCAGCGCACAGTTTGGTACCACACAAACGATACAGATTGTAGACCTGGCCTCTCAGCGACCAGCCAGCTGACCTTCTCATTGAACCTGTCAAACCATAATTTCCTCATCCACCCAGTGTGGACTAGGTCATCTTGAAGCACCTGCTAATTCTTAAATTATAAGTTACTGCACTTTTATTTTCTGGACTAATGGTTGGCCTTCACCCTTTCAGAATTTTAAAAAATCTCAGACACAACAAAGCACTACTGGTTCCAAGTTAATCCCGGTTGAGCACATATCCTGGTTTGGCAAACACTGCCAGCTGCATAGAAGGCGGGCAGGAATCCCAGGAAATGTCTGAACACCACTCAGCTATGGATGAACTGTCAACTGCTGGGGGTTGCTTTGCAAATTACCACATCTAAACGAAGCTGACAAAATGATATTTCAGAAAAGCAATTAACACTGATGCCTAGTGTATTTGGAACCAAACAGCCTTTTGGGAAGAGTGAAATTGGCTCAGAAAAAGAGTACCCCAGCGCTCCAGGTAGAAATGTTAAGTCAAGATCTTCCACACTTTTCTCCCATCACCACAAGTCAGATCGTCAGCCTGGTCTTTGTGAAGGAGACGGAAGTAGTTCCTTTCATTTTCCCCCTGCTTCCACTTGGATTGGTTAAACTTTCATCCATTTATTTAGTGAACATCTATAGGTCACCTCCCATGAGTCAGGGGCTGGGCGTACACCTGGTTATTGAGGAGCTCACAATGGAGTAGTCAGATGCTAAATGAATTAATATACATGGAGCATTCAGAAAGGGTTGGAATGTAAAATATAATAGAGGCGATAGAAATAGTATTATCTCCATAAGGCCACAGGCCAAATACCACACTTCCTAATGAACGCTATCCCTGTAGCACAATCATCTAGAAAGAATCCCATCCTCCTACAGGTATTGGCCCCTGTGGCATTGTCAATTAAACTTTTCCTATTTCACATGAAAGTTGTCATATCAGAATCCCTTCCCAGATTGGGAGTTTTGGTTCCGGAAGGCCACTCTAAATGGAAATATTGCACATGTTACCTGGCATCAAAGGATGGGGCTGGTGGGATAGCTTCTATCTCCACCTCTTCCCCTTGAAAATATCAGCACAGGTGATGGGCAGGTTAAATAAGTTTCAGTGTTACTGCAATAGAGAGAACTGGGGAATGACAGAGGTAGGAGAGCCTGGTGATAGCAAATCCTAGATAACTTCACTCCTGAAAAGAACCATATTCTGGAAGTTTGGAGAGCAGGTCAGAGGGCAAGAAAACACAGGGCTGTCCTACGTGACAAGGAATGAACTGAGCTATAGACCATAACAAACAAGCAGAAAAGAAGCAAACCATTTCTCCAGGTTCCCTGGACTGATTTCAGATTAGTCTGAAAAGGACAATTGACGTTTGCCTTCCAAGAGACACTAGATGCCCTCATAATGTTAAAATCAAGTTCAGTATTTCTCGAACATAATTTTTTAATAGAGACCTTTCTTATGTTGATGACTTCTTTTCTTCCTGCAGAGTTCCAAATAAGCCTCAAGAGGATCTCTTTCTTCCCACAGCTCCACATGCAATTCACAGCTATGCCAGTTACTACATGTATAGCACAAAGGTCGAGAACCTCTGGCCTTTGGCTGAGTTTCATCCAACTGAATGTTTAGTTCACTGATGTCATAGCCCCCAAAATAATCAGTGTTATAATGGGATTCTCTGGTGAACATATTTATAGTGAAGCCTCTGAGCAGCAGTTCTCTCCCTTGGCTTCACATGGGGAACTTTTAAAAATCCTCACCCCACATCCCAAACCAATTACATATTAGGGGTGGGGCCTAGGGATCAACTTTTCTTTTATCTACCATAGGTATCAACATTTTTGTACGTTCCTCAAAAGATGTCTATGTACAGCCAAGATTGAGACTTTCTCACGTTAAGTCTTAGGATAAGAAAAGGCAGGAAGCTGCTAGTAACTGACAGCTGAGCTCACCTCCTCCCTTTGGAATTTCTCCCGAAAAGCCAGCATGAAGAAACCAAATACTGCAATGGCAGCCAGCATAAACATCCACCTTGTAAGATTTCCATTTCTGCCTTCCCACCGTATCCATCAGGTCTACAATTAAAATGATTTGAATACCTACAGAGTTATGAACAGTGGCTAATCAGTATTTCAAAGAGAGAACCAGCAACAGGTGATGGTGGTATGAATGCCACGCTCTAGAGATTCCACATTCTTTTTTTTTCTTTTTGGTTGTTTTTTTTTTTTTGAGACAGGGTCTCACTGTGTCACCTCACACTGGAGTGCAGTGGCGTGATCTCAACTCACTGCAATCTCTTTCTCTGGAGTTCAAGCGATTCTCCTGCCTTAGCCTCTGGAGTAGCTGGGATTATTACAGGTGTGCCCCACCACACCTGGCGATTTTTTTTTTTTTTTTAACTAGAGACAGTGTTTTGCCATCTTGGCCAGGCTGGTCTTGAACTCCTGGCCTCAAGTGATCCACCTGCCTCGGCCTCCAAAAGTGCTGGGATTACAGGCATAAGCCACCACCCCCAGCCCCACATTGATCTTAAAAACAAACACAAATGCTTTTTTTTCCCACCCTCCAAACTTGTCTCTCTCCCCACTCTCCAGCCATTTTTCTCTTCCCCTTCCTCTCCCTTCCTGCCTGCCATCTCCTTCACCTGCTCTCCAACCTCGTCATTGTCATTCTTATTGCACCTATTTCTTGTATTTCTTTCTTAGCCTCTGCACCTCACTATTCCTTCTGTGTCTTATTTTCCTTTAGTCTCTATTCTCTCCCCCTTACCCACAATTACACACCTCTCTTCTCTGCTTCATCATCTTTCCCACTCCCAGCTCCTTAATTGACTATAATATGAAGCAAAAGCATTGTCAGATAGTTATAATTATTAACCCTTTTCTCGTTTGCCCCAAGAATACTCACCAGCAGCGCTTGTGGCTGCAGAGTTTACCCCGAGATAACTTTGCCACAAAATATCTTGCTTTTATTATTATTTTCACATCGCTCTAGTATATTGACTTTGGAAACAAAAGACATCATTCTGTTTATAGCATTCTATTTTTAGAGGTGGTATTTCCATTTACAAAATACAGTAATTCTCGATTGCTGAAAATGTCAAATCCTAGAAAACATAGCATTCCTATGTGCGACGTTAACATCGTTAACGAACAGTTGGCCAAAGATTCATTTGATGAATCCCATTTCTCTGAAATAGACAATTCTGATGATTCAGATGATTCTGATGTTAGTTCTGTTTAGAATTAACTCTAAGAACAGTTTTTATATTTTATTTTCACATTGAAAATCAGTCAGATTTGCTTCAGCCTCAAAGAGCATGTTTATGTAAAATTAAATGAGTGCTGGCGGCGAGCTACACTTTTTTTCTAAATGGGAAAAGGGTTAAATGAGATATTCTATTAGTTTTAAAAGCAGGTAAGTGCTGAAAATATTATATTTCTCTCTCCAAGGAGAAAAAAATCTAGCTCATAGTTAGCACTCCTTAAATCCTAACTGTAATTATTTTTCTTATAATTTCCTGTATTGGCCCCAGATTCCTTTTTTCATGTAGTTCATTGACCTTCACCAGAAAAATGGTTCTCTGTTCAATTCTGACAACAGCAGCTGACATCAATGTAAAAAGAGAAACAAGCTAAAAACAGTAGTTGAGTGTATACACCCTGAATTGAATATTCAGTTGCAAAATCATCATGATTATTATTGTAATTACAGAGAGGAGGCATTGCAATAATTGTTCAAGTGTCTTCTTGAGGAAATAACTAAAACAGGGCCAGCTGTCACAAACCACCCTACAATAATGATCCCTGTGTGTGCATCTTCAGTATTCATAGTGACCCCATAATAACAAATTTGTGCACTCATCTAATATCCTCTTTCAAAAGTTTTAATTTTATAAACAATAGAGACAGAATCTCGCTGTTGTTGCCCAAGCTGGTCTCAAACTCCTGGCATGAAGCGCTCCTCCTACCTCGGCCTCCCAAAGTGCTAATCTGATGCCCTTAAACAACTGAAAAAATAACAAACCTATGATCAGATTCAGTATTTCGCTTGATAGTTGACCCTCGTTTCTAAATGGTGTCCATGAACAGCCTTAGAATACTAAACTACCAAACAAAAATTGCTCCATCGATTTAATAACAAACTAGAGTGGGTAGTCCAGCATTCACCTGCAACATGAGGGCAACAAATCTAGGTACAAGAGTAGAGTGGAAGCCAGGCAGATAGGTCAGCAGACAACTAACACACTTAGGAGAAACATCTACAAAGACAGGCGTGTTTTATTGACTTGAAAACTGTAAACAAACAAGATCTGTGAGAAAAGAGGGAAGGCCTTGTTTTTTGTTTACTTGTGAAATCAGCCAAAAGTATTTGAAATTTTCTCTTCCCAAGATACAGCTGTGAAATGACTAATGGAAATTGAGTGAGCCTGCACCAGGAACTGAATGTGCCACTTCACTGAGAACAAAAAAATGTTCCCCAGATAGAGGCTGTCCTCTCAGATTAATACCTTGGGTGCTTTAAAGAGGACCAGCCAGGCACAAATATGATGCATTTGTAAAGAGGAAGAATCATCCAAGCACCTTGGCAAATTTTTTTCATATCTCAGTACCTCTGAGTCATGTGCATATCTTTTTTTTTTTTCTGAGACCGAGTCTTGCTCTGTCGCCCAGGCTGGAGTGCAGTGGCGTCATCTCGGCTCACTGCAAGCTCCACCTCCTGGGTTCACGCCATTCTTCTGCCTCAGCCTCCCGAGTATCTGGGACTACAGGCGCCTGCCACCGCGCCCGGCTAATTTTTTGTATTTTTAGTAGAGACGGGGTTTCACCGTGGTCTCGATCTCCTGACCTCGTGATCCATCCGCCTCAGCCTCCCAAAGTGGTGAGATTACAGGCGTGAGCCACCGCGCCCGGCCGTCATGTGTATATCTTAACTTGCATGTTCCTGAAGAAATTCCACAAAGAGGCAAAGAAAGAGAAGGAGAAAGAAAATTTCCTATTACATTATTTTTCCCTTGCTGGGCTTTCCAATAGGAGTCTGGCTAAAGGCTGAACCTGAGCTGCTTCAAGGATGAACTTGGTAACTGCTCTGATCAAATCTTCCTAGGTTCTAAAATTCACACTTCTAGTTGCAATGGATGAGTACCATTTGCATATTCGCATCTCCAGCTAAAAACAATTTACCCTGCACACAACCTTGTCCTATTTCAAAAGTATCATAAGGAGCACTGATTGACATTTTGAAAGTTGTTCCAAGGCACAATCTGTGCATTTTTTTCCATTGTAAAAGTAATACATGACCATAATAAAAATTGTATCATCCCTCAGTAGACTTCGGGGGAGTGGTTCTAAGGCCCCTATATATACTAAAATCTACACATACTCAAGGCCTGCAGTTGTCCGTACAGAACGGGCAGATACAAAAAGTCAGCCCTCAAGATATTTGGGCTTTGTATCTGCAAATACTGTCTGTGTGTGTGTGTGTATGTACACACACACACACAGAGTATTTGTGTATATATATACACACACACATATATATATATATTTTGTTTTTTGAGACGGAGTCTCGCTCTGTCACCAGACTGGAGTGCAGTGGCGCTATCTCGGCTCACTGCAACTTCCACCTCCCGGGTTCAAGCGATTCTCCTGCCTCAGCCTCCCAAGTAGCGGGAACTACAGGCGCACGCCACCACACGTGGCTAATTTTTTATATTTTTAGTAGAGACAGGGTTTCACCGTGTTAGCTAGGCTGTTCTCAATCTCCTGTTCTCAATCTCCTCGTGATCTGCCCTCCTTGGCCTCCCAAAGTGCTGGGATTACAGGCGTGAGCCACCACGCCCAGCCTGTATATATATCTTTTTAAGAGATGAGGTCTTGGCCAGGTGCAGTGGCTCATGCCTGTAATCCCAGCACTTTGGGAGGCTGAGGCAGGTGGATGACTTGAGTCCATGAGTTCCAGATCAGCCTGGGCAACACAGTGAAACTCCATCTCTACCAAAAATACAAAAACATTAGCTGGGCATGGTGGCACCCATCTGTGGTCCCAGCTTCTTGGGAGGCTGAGGTGGAAGGATCGCTTGATCCTGGGAGGTTGAGGCTGCAGTGAGCTGAAATCATGCTACTACACTCCAGCCTGGGTGACAGAGTGAGACTTCATCTCAAAATAAATAAATACATAAAAATGAAAATAAAGAGATGGGGTCTTGCTATGTTGCTTATGCCGGTCTCAAACTCCTGGCATCAAGCAATCCTCACACTTTAGCTTCCCGAGTAATTAGGATTACAGGTGTGAGCCAACTACTGTATTTTTTTATCTGAGTTTGGTTTTAAAAAATCCAGATACAAGTGGACCCATGCAATTCAAACCCATGTTCTTCAAGGGGCAACTGTAAATTGAAACTTCAAACTGATTTAAAATGGAAGGGAAAAATCTCGTTCCCACTCTTATCACAAGGCAAGCACTGTTAATTATTTCTGGTGTATTTTTTCTATATTAAGATATATAAAATAGACTCCATTTTTACACAGAGCAAATAATATATATCATCCTATACCTTGCTTTGTTCATTTAGTAATATAGCAGAAATATTTCCATAATAGCACATGTAGATGTTTTAATCATTGGATGGGCCATAAATTTATTTGTTGCCTAACTGATGAACTTTAAATCATTTCTACTTACACTATTATTATAAACAACATTTCCATCAATATCCTTATACACATGTCATTGGGGACTTGTATGACTCTCTGTAGGATAAATTCCTTTCAATGAAATTGCTGGATCAAAATATATGTACATTTAAGATTGGGTTAATGTTCCTAAATTGTAACCGCCAAAAAAGTTGTTCCTTTATATTCATCGACAGTGTAAGTTTCACTGTAACTTTGCCAAAACTAAGTTTTATTGAATTTAAAAATTTTTGTCACTCATAGGTAAAAATGGTATCACACTGTTGTGACCTGCATTTTTCTAAGCACTAATGAAGCTAAGTATTTTTTCAAGTGTTTTTTCCTTTTTTTTTTTTTTTGGATAGGACGTTGCTCTGTTACCCAGGCTGGAGTGCAGTAGTGGAATCATTACTCACTGCAGCCTCCATCTCCCAAGCTCAAGCAGTTCTCCTGCCTCAGCCTCCCTTGAAGCTGGCACTACAGGCAAGTAACACCATGTCCAGTTAATTTATTTTATTTTTAGTAGAGACGAGGTCTTGCTGTGTTGCCCAGGCTGGTATCAGACTCCTAAGCTCAAGTGATCTTCCCACCTTGGCCCCAAAGTGTTGGGATTATAGGCGTGAACTACCACACCTGGCTTTTTGCCACTCTATTTGTATGAAATATTTGTTCCTATTCTTTATGCCTTTTTTTTTCTTTTTTCCCTCATAAAACTGTAAGATCTTTTAGTAAAATAAAGAAATAAGCACTTTTTCTGTTGGATTGCAACTTTTTCTACTGTGTCATTTGTCTTTGGCTCTATTCATGGTGTGTTCTTGTTGTTGTTGTCATTTTTATTCTTACCATATAAAGGTTTTAAATGTTTTACACAATGTGTTTATCAGCATTTATCTTTTTGGTTTCTGAGTTCTGCCTGTGTTTTAAATGTTAGCTCTTGGCTGGGCATGGTGGCTCATGCCCATAATCCCAGCACTTTGAGAGACCAAGGTGGGAGGATTGCTTGAGCCCAGGAGTTTGAGACCAGCCTGGGCAACATAGTGACACTCTGTCTTTACAAAATAAAATAAAATAAAAATAAGAGCAAAAATTAAAATTAAAAAAAATAAACCTTAGCTCTCTTGCAAAATAGGTCTCTTTGCAGTTGCCATTTTAATGCACCAGAGCTTGATTTGAATTCCCCTGTCACACGGTAGAGGTTAAGAAATTAGGTTTTTCTGTGGAAAGAGAAAACTTACAAAGGGAAAGTCATTAAGAGAAGGGAAGGCACAAGGACCCCATCCTCCCGTCGTCCTCTGGGTGACCTGCTAGCCTCACGAGATGGTTTGCGTTCCAAGGAAGGGAACTCTGTCCTTCTTTGGGTCTCTTTTTTGTATGTAGCAAGTGTGAGAGCAGCCTTATCATGAAAGGAATAATCAGATTATCTTGGCACCAGGCAGCCTGGAATTTATTGTCAGCTGTTTACCAGAGATATCTGGGAAACGCACACAAGCTGCCCAGCATCTAGACTTTGGTTCCTGTGGAATGTTACACAAGGGAAAGGAAGACAGTGGTCCCTTGGGAAGATGAGCTTGTGTACAGTTTCTCAGGCTGAGAGAAGCCCCCTTCCTCAGCCCTAGCTCTCCACACCTGGTTTGAGCTAGCTCATTTCCCAGGCAACACAAAATGAGCACTCAGATTCATTTAAAACAAGCCTCCTCCTTCTATCACGTTAGATTAATGAAGAGCCAGGCAGTAGAGATGCAATAAACTCGTTCTTTCCCCAATTTTTTATTTTGAAAATTTTCAGACCCACAAAGATGGAAGAATAGTACAAGGAATGTGCCTATATGCTTCACCTAGATTCACCAATTATTAACACTTTTTTCACTTTTGCTTTATCTCTTTCTGTAAATATACATTTTTAACCGTTGAAGCATTAGAAAGTAAGTTGAATACTTTACAGTTATTCACTTAAAATAATTCAGCATACATCTCCTAAGAATAAGGGCATTTTCCTCCATTACTACAGTTCCATTTTCAGGCCTGGGAAAATTAACAGTGATTCAATAATAACATCTTTAAGTTCAGATTCAGATTTCTTCATTCGTACCAAATGTCTTTTACATAGCCTTTGATCCAAGATATTAACAAGGTCCATACATTGCATTTGATTCCGTTTCTCTAGTCCAGTGCCCCAAGACAGACTTTTAGCAACGCTTGGAGACATTTTTGATTGTCATGACTGGGTGTGCTACTGGTATCTAGTATCTAGAGACCAGGGATGCCTGCTAAAGAGCCTGAATTCACAGGACAGCCCCCTACAACAAAGAATGACCTAGTCCCAAATGTCATTTAATACCTAAATTGAAAAACCCTGTTCTAGACTATCAAGAACCATTTCCCTACTTTATTTGCTTTTCATGACACTGACTTTTATTATTATTAATTAATGAACTTAGAGACAGGGTCTCACTCTATTGCCCAGGCTAGAGAGCAGTGGCGTGATCATAGTTCACTGCAGCCTCAAACTCCTGGTCTCAAGTGATCCTCTTGCTTCAGCCTCTGGAGTAGCTGGTACTACAGGTGCACACCACTACACCCAGCTAATTTTTTATTTTTTGTAGAGATGGTCTCACCATGTTGCCCAGGCTGGTCTGGAATTCCTGGCCTCAGGTGATCCTTCCACCTCAGTCTTCCAAAGTGTTGGACATAGGTGTGAGCCACGGTGCCCTGCCAGGCACTTACTCTTTTGTAGCATCTAGTCCAGTTGTTTTGCAGAATGTCTCTCACTATACATTTTTCTGATTGTTTCCTCATGATCAGTTTGCATTTAAACTAATGCAAAAATTACAACATAGATGACTATAACCATTAGCTATTACTGCATAACAAACTATCCCAAAATTCAGTGGCATAATATTAAGAACCATTGGCTAGGTAGTTCTGCTGCTCTGGACTGGGCTCAGCTGATTTTGGCTGGACTGATTCATTCATCCAAGTCATTTGGTAAGTTGACTAGGAGCTGGTCAGTCTGGGATGATCTCAGCTGGGATGGCTGGGCTCAGTTCCATTAGCCTCTCACACTTAGCAAGCTAGCCCTGGCATGTTCTCATGGAAAAGGCAGGGTCTGAAAGAGTGTAGAAGCCTCTGTTGAGGCCTAGGTTTACAGCTGGCACTCTGTCACTTCAACTGCATTATGTTGGCAAAAGCAAGTGACAAAGCCAGCCCAGAGGTAAGTGGTAGCGAAATAAACTCAACCTCCTATTGCAATCAGTCTATCAAAGTGATATTGTGTACCTCTTACTGCATCATATCAGGAGATATACAATGTCGGGTTGTCCCACTATTAGTGCTGTTAAGCTTGAAACTTGATTAAGTGGTAACTAACAAATCCCTCGTTTGGAGAGCTCTATCTTTTATATATGTGGGATGATGCTTTGGTGCACTGTGTCAGTCCTGTTCCCCATTAGTTTCCTGGAGCTATGGTAACAAAGTACTCACAAATTGGGTGGCTTAAAAAACAGAAATGTATTGTCTGGAAGCTGGAAGTAGGAAAAGAATGTGTTGGCAGGGCCATGCTCCCTCTGAAACCTGCAGGGGAAAATCCTTGCCTATTCCAGCCTCTGGTAGCCCTAGGCATTCCTTGGCTTGCAGCTACAACGCCTCAATCCAGCCTTGATCTTCACATGAGGTTCTCCCTGGTCTTCTTATAAGGACAGCAGTCAGATTGGATTAGGAGCCCACCCTACTCCAGTATCTTGACTAATTATTTGTGCCCCAATGCTGTTTCCAAATAAGGGCACATTCTGGGGTGCTAGGGATTAGGACTTCAACATATCTTTTTGGGGGGACATGATTCGAGCCCTAATATCCATTAACCTTTCACATAATGGCTTTATCATCTACAGATGACCCTTGGGGATTGCACAACAGTGTTTTTCTTAAGCATCATCATTTTCTCAACATTTATTAGCTGGCATTCTCGCCTCCTTTCTTCCCTTCCCCAACTTTTTAAATCACTTTGAAAGCATGGCTTTTGCTTTGCAAAAAAAACTATCATTTTTATACAACCATACAAACAACATTTTCATGATCAACTTGCCTCAAATTTGACTAGTGAGGGTTCGTAAGGTCAACTCTATATTATTCTTATTTTAGAGACAGGGCCTGGCTCTGTTGTCCAGGCTGGAGTGCAGTGTCATGGTCATAGCTCACTACTGCCTCAAACTCCTATGCTCAAGCCATCCTCCCACCTCGGCCCCCTGAATAGCTAGGACTTAAGGCGCACGCCACCACACCTGGCTAATTTTTAAATTTCTTTTGTAGAGGCAGGGTCTCACTATGTGGCCCAGACTGGTCTCGAACTCCTGGTCTCAAGATATCCTCCCGCCTTGTCCTCCCAAAGTGCCGTTATTACAGGTGTGAGCTGCCATGCCTGGCCTATTTTCAAACTTTTTTTTTTAAATTTAAATGTCTTTTTTTTCTTTTTTTTTTTTAATGTGACTACTCCAACTAACTCACCTCTGTAGAACTTATTGCTGTCATCCAACTGGAGCAGCTGTGATTATTCCCCATGGGAAAAGTCGCATCATCATTCCTAAGTACAGCCATAATGAAAACTGCATTCTGCATTATATATGTTAAATAAAAGAAAGCTGTATTATATATATATATATATATATAATAAATGAAAGCTGTATTCTGTGTTATATATATTACATATGTATTCTGCATTATATATATATTATTTTTAATTGTCACAACTCTGTACATAAGTACTCTTACTACATATCACAAATGAGAAATTTGAAGCTTAAAATAACATATGGGATGGGCTGGGTGCAGTGGCCTATGCCCATAATCCCAGCACTTTGGGAGGCTGAGGCGGGTGGATCACCTGAGGTCAGGAGTTCGAGACCAGCCTGGCCAACATGATGAAACCCCATCTCTACTAAAAATACAAAAATTAGCCGGGTGTGGTGACACATGCCTGTAATCCCAGCTACTTGGAAGGCTGAGGCAGGATAATTGCTTGAACCTGGGAGGCGGAGGTTGCAGTGAGCCAAGATCACGCCACTGAACTCCAGCCTGGGTGACAGAGTGAGACTCTGTCTCAAATAAATAAATAAATAAATAAATAAATAAATAAATAAATAAATAAAATAAAATGAGATAAAAGGAAAAGCATGGATTTTGGAAACTGATGGTTTGCATCCTGGCTCTATTACCTATTAGGTATGTGATTTGGGGCCTTGGTTTGTTTATCTGTACCATGGTGATGATGATATTTGCCTCACAGATTTAAGCCTAGCAACTTATCTGACCTAGAGTCAGTGTTATTACTTCTTGTCTTTCCATATCCTGATGATAAGCTATAGCTTTTAGCTCATGTTGGATAAATCGCAGTGCTACAGAGTCTACCAGCAATTAATTAGGAGTTGGTCTATCTCATTAATTCAAAGTATGTTCATTAGGAATTAAAGAGAAGTTGACCTAAGTTTCAGCTAAAGTTTACCTTTAAATATCTTTGGGGAGAAAAGACAGTTGGCTAATCAGTTTATTAAAATAAATGATATTGTGGAAGGGAGATCATCTCTATTCAACTTAAAAGAACAACTTTTGGGAAGATCTTTGGCATTGCACATGCACCATAGGAAGCTCATTTAGAAATCAATCTTCAAAATAGATTCCAAGTTTGTTTACCTGAATACAGCTTGTTAATTCATTCCACAAAGAGCATGAGTGCCCATTATGTTCCATGCAATGTTCTAGGCACCTGGGATACATCAGAGAATGAAACAACAGCCCTGCCCTTGCTTACCCTTTAGTTGGGAGAGATAGGTGAAAAACAAATTTGCAAATTTACATAGAGTATTAGAAGTAGGTAAGTGATAATGAGAAAAATAAAGCAGGGTTGTACAGAGGATTGCAATTTCATTTTTATTTATTTACTGTTTGAGACGGAATTTCACTCTTGTTGCCCAGGCTTGGAGTGCAATGGTGCGATCTCGGCTCACTGCAACCTCTACCTCCCGGATTCAAGAGAGTCTCCTGCCTCAGCCTCCCAAGTAGCTGGGATTACAGGCACCTGCCACCATATCTGGCTAATTTTGTATTTTTAGTAGAGATGAGGTTTCACCATGTTGGTCAGGCTGGTCTTGAACTCCTGACCTCAAGTAATCCACCTGCCTTGGCCTCCCAAAGTGCTGGAATTACAGGTGCAACCCACCGCACCTGGCCAAGAATTGCAATTTTAAATAGCATTGTCATCATTTAAAAGACAATATTTGGGCAAAGAATAGAAAGAGGTAAGGAAATTGGTCATGTGTTCCCCTAGAAGAACAACAAACAAAAAGGCCCTTGGTCAGAAGTGTGCTTGGCCTGCTGGAGGTGCAGCAATGAGGCCAATGTGGCTGGAATGTAGTGAATGGGGGGAAATATTTTATTTACCTAACAAACACTTAAATAGCCCTTACTAGTAGCATTATTTGAAGCACATGAAAGATATTAACTAATTCTCCCAGCAAGTCTATGAAGTAGATACTGATTTTACCTTTTCCAGATGAGGAAACTGAGGTACAGGAAAGTTAAATAACTGCCCCCAAATGACACAGCAATCAAGTGATAGAGCTAGGATTGGAACTCAGGTGGTCTGTCTCTAGTGATGCATGCTGTTAAACACTAAAGTATGCTGTGCTGCTTCCTGGTAGTAAGAGATAAGAAACAAGTGGGTACTAGATCCTGTAGCTTATTAAAGTCCATTGGTAAGGATTTGCGGTTGGGGTTGTTTTTTCATTTTTTGTAGAGATGAGGTCTCGCTATGTTGGCCAGGCTGGTCTCAAACTCCTGGCCTCAAGGGATCCTCCCGCCTTGGTCTCCCAAAGTGCTGGGACCACAGGCGTGAGCCACCACACCTGGCTACTTGTAGGTTTTAATAACCATCCTTCCCCACTTCCTGCAAGTGTCATCATGTCTGCCACACCCATAAACCCCCTTCTAGGTTTCTAATAGACAGGACACCAAATTACGTAACAATTTATTCTGCCATTCCAAACAAAGCCATTTAGGCCAGGGGTGGGGACACCTGATCTAGGGCATCAGACCTATGCTCATGAGATGGTTTGTCAAGAAGGCTTTGATAGCCGGGCATGATGGACATGCCTGTAATACCAGCACTTTGGGAGGCTGAGGTGGAAGGATTGCCTGAGCCCAGGAGTTCAAGACTAGCCTGGGCAACACAGTGAGACCCCCATTTACTTCTACTTTAAAAAAATAATTTTTTTTTTTAAAAGAAGGCTCTGCCTAACCACCTGCACTTGATGGTGAACAGCCAAACTAGGCAGATTCTTTTGTTGAGTTGAATATGAAATACAAAGAGAGAGTCAGCAGTTAGAAATGGGCAGAAACTAAAAGATACACAGAGAGAAGGAAGAAAGCTGAGGTCATGTGGCAGCAAAAAGCATGCAGCAATAGAAGCTGTGAGATGAGAAAAGAATAGAAAGTACTGAACAGCAAGGGCAGTGGAGAGTCACAATACTAGCAGATAATTAGAGTGCAAAGCAACAGATACTGACTACTGAAGGGCCCACAAGATAACCCAGTTGCTAGGGCGGCACTGTGTGCTGAATCACCTTCCCACTCCTCGTTGCCAGAGTGTGGCAGAGAAGGACATGGGGCTTGTATTAGTCTTAAGCTTAGACTGAGGTAACCTGAGTATATCTCTCCGTTCTGAAAATTAAATTTTTGCTTCTTGGAATCTCTATCACTCAAGATCATGGCACAAAACTGAAGGCACATTGCGCTGGGATTTTGAAAATCATTTGATGAAATTGATATTTACAAGGATGTAGGGAGGGTGGTGGGAACTTAAGCGGATACTGAGGCACCCAAGGTCGAGTAGCAGTAGAAGTCCAGGCCTGAAGAGAAACAGTTTATCAGAGTCCAGAAAGAGCTAGAACTGTGAAGGGGCATACCTAATGCCAAACCCATGGCGCTAAAGCAGGGAGGAAAGGAGAAGAAATATCTCAACCTCTTTTGCCTCCTACCCTCTGATACTTGCTGATGCCTGCCATTGGACAAACCCAACAGTAAGCCAGAGGGCACTGGCTCCCAGGGGACGAAATCTGTGGGGTAACATCCTTGTCGGGAACAGAGTGTGGCAGAGAAGGACATGGGGCTTGTATTAATCCACTGTCACACTGCTATAATTTAAAGATACTACTGGAACCTGGGCAATTTATAAAGGAAAGAGGTTTAATTGACTCACCGTTCCACATGGCTGGGGAGGCCTCAGGAAACTTACAATCATGGCAGAAGGCAAAGGGGAAACAAGGACCTTCTTCACATGGCGTCAGGAGAGAGAAAAGTAAGAAGCAAAGGGGGAAGAGCCCCTTATAAAACCATCAGATCTCATGAGAACTCACTCACTATCACGAGAACAGCATGGGGGGAACCTCCCCCATGATCCAATCACCTCCCACTGGTCTTTCCCTAAACATGTGGGGATTATGGGGATTAAAATTCAAGATGAGATTTGGGTGGGGACACAAAGCCTAACCATATCAGGGCTATAATGGGTTGAATGATATTCTCCTCCCCCTCCCCCGCCAACAAAACATGCCCACAGCCGAATCTCTGGAACCTGGGAATATTACATTACATGGCAAAATATGTGATTAAGTTCAGGAGGACCTTATCCTGAGAGGAGGACCTTATCCTAGATCACTGTGGTAGGCCCTAAATGCAATCACATGTATCCTTATAAGAGAGAAGCAGAAACTTTAAGAGATAAAAGGAGGAGGCAATGTGACCTCAGAGGAGTGGCCACAAGCCAAGGAAGGCCTGGGGCCCCCAGACGCTGGAAGAAGCAAGGAGAAGATTCTCCCCCAGAGCTTTCAGGAGTGTGGCCTTGCCAACACTTGATTTCAGACTTCTGTCCTCCGGAACTGTGAGAAAATAAAATTCTGTTGTTTTAACCTATCCAGTTTGTAGTAATTTGTTACGGCAGTCACAGAAAACCAGGACAGGAGCCAGATGGAGAATAACCAGCACAAAACCTGTTCATCTCAGATGGGACAGGAGGATATACCTGATCACTTTAGCTGGACATTCTTTTGCCTGCCTTTTATATTCCCTTTGGTACTTTTTGTTTTGTTTTGAGACAGGGTTTCATTTCACTCTGTTACCCAGATTGGAGTGCAATGGCACGATTGTGGCTCACTGCAGCCTCAATCTTTAGGGCTCAATCGATCCTCCCATCTCAGCCTCCCAAGAAGCTGGGCCACAGGTGTGCACCACTACTTCCAGCTAATTTTTTTAAAAGTATATATGGGGCCTTGTTATGTTTCCCAGGCTGGTCTCAAACTCCTGGCCTCAAGCCATCCACCCATCTTGGCCTTCCAAAGTGCTGGGATTACAGGTGTGAGCCACCGTGCCTGGCCCATTGGGGCTCCTTTTGGGACCACTCATATGCCTCAAACTATATGCTCCTGAGTTGTAGTTCTTTTGTTATATAAATATTGTTTTATCCAAATAAGATTATGACATTCTTATTCGAAACAAGAACCTTGTCTTGTACATCTTTGTAGCCCATAAAAATCTTAGCACAGTACTTTAAACAGAGTGGACATTCTGTAATTGGTAAATGAGAAAGAAACCTTCCATTTGTCCATCTGTAAATGGAAAATAACAATTTCTACTGACTTGCCTCTCAGAGATAATGATGGCAGTGCTTCCTGGAAACAATTTTTTGTACCTGTAACAGAATGATATATCTGAAACACCCATTCCTACTGAGGCAATTCCTTGGGGGAGGAAAAAAAAACAAAGCTACATTTACTTTTAGCATGTCCTCCATTCCACGTGCAGATGAAACTGCTTGCAGATCACCCCACAAAGGAAAAGGCAGGGGATAATTAAGAAAATATAAGAGCTGAGGACTGATATCTTCTTAGGAACTTTGATTCATTCAATAAACATTTATCAAAGAACTACTATGTTAAAATATAGTCCATTGGCCAGGCGCAGTGGCTCACACCTGTAATCCCAGCACTTTGAGAGGCCAAGGCAGACAGATCACTTGAGATCAGGAGTTCGAGACCAGCCTGGCCAACATGGTGAAACCCTGTCTCTACTAAAAATACAAAATTAGTCCGGCGTGATAACGCATGCCTGTAATCCCAGCTCCTTGGGAGGTGGAGGCACGAGAATCGCTTGAACCCGGGAGACGAAGGTTGCAGTGAGACGGCGCCACTGCACTCCAGCCTGGGCGACAGAGTGAAACTGTGTCTCAAAAAAAAAAAAAAAAGTCCATAGATGCTGAGGAAACACACGCAGAGAATAAGGCATGATCCCAAGTCAGTAATTGTCACGCAATATGATGAATGGTTTTTATAAGAGCAAAATGCTATGGGGCCAGAAAAAAGGGAATGACTAACTATTGATGGGAGTTTCACCAAAAAAACTCACAATCAAGCTGGTCTCTTAAGACTGCATCAGGCAGAGGTGAAGTCAAGGGCATTCCAGGACCAAGAGAAACAGCTTTGCCTGAGCTGTTGCCAAGCAAACCACACCCTCAGCTCAGCCCTATTGTATCTACAGAGGCCTATTTTTATTCTTTATCCTCATCGCTACTTTTTAAGAGAAGAAAAGAATGCTGACTTCTTCCCTAATTTGCATCCATGTATTTTATATGCCAAAGAAAGGTGATTGTCAGGAGGGAAAATAGAAGTTGACTTTCGGCAAGTCCAATTACGACAGGTCCTCACATCCATCTGATAATAAGTTAACATGGAAACGCTTACCTTTGCTGAGCTTCTACCTCATTTCGGAAAATTGGGTTAGGCTATCCTGTGAATGCAGTACCAGGGGGAAAGTGGACAAGGTATGAGCGCATCCCGTGTCTCATTGCCCCACACCAGGAGGTTCATCTTTGGCAAACACTCCTTGAATGGGAATTATGGCTGAGGCCCTTTTTCCTCCCCTAGGCTGACCTTCACATCACTCCTCAGGGAACAACTCTGCCTAGGGCACCGCCCAGCTTCCCTCCCAGGCCAGCCCTGCTAGGCCTCTGAGACCAGAGCCGTGCTGCTTATGAGTGGAAGAAAGGAGAAAAAACTCTTAGGACAGCAGCCAGGAGAGAATGAAAGACTGGCCAAACCCACCAAGGAGCAAACGGTTCCCCATCCTCACCCTGCAGCTTCTGCTGGAAAAGCGGGGAGGCTGGGGAACCGGAATCTCAGCCTCAGAGTACGCATCACTTATCCTTGTTTTCTCAAGAAGCCTCTACCTTCCAGGCCCTGCCAGGAAGCTGGCAGCATTTTCCTGAAGCAGTAATAACAAGGACAGAGCGTTCTAGCCTGCTGGAGCCTGCTGGCTGGTCACTCTTTCCACTGCCTTTTGTTTTCATGCATCATTCCCCTCACTTGCTTCTCAGATTCCTCAGGGCTTTGAAAAAGCCACAAATGCTCCACACAGTGACACCACCCAGCGGGCTGGCAGACATAGCTGACAGGCACCTTGCCCTAAGCGACCGCACGTATGCAAGCCCTGACAGCTGATACCCAGCCACACACCTGGTGAGAGGGAAGGCAGCACTTAGAAAGGGCCCACCCTATTCACGTAGCTGGCAAAGGTAGGGCTTTAGATCAACTACAGCCCAGTGCACTGGTAAATCACAGACCGCTTTTTTATTCAAAGTGTATCTGTATGTTGGACAGTGGTACTTCCCCACCCTTTCCTCAAACATCTAAATCCAGCCAACATAGATGCTACCAACAGAGCACCAGAGTAACCTCAGCGTGACAATCCACATATCAATATATTAGATCATATACACATGCATACTTGGAGCAGACTTAACTTTATTTGTGTTTTAGAACCACCTGTAGCCTATTTCAAACCACACTCCAGAGTGAACCTATCAGAATCTATGAAAATAGGGCTTAGATATGTGTATTTTTAAAAAACTTGACAGCGTTGGTTAGAATGTGGGACAAGACAAATTCTTGTATATCATTGATGAGATATATAACAATTGGTTCAGCTGCTGTGGACAGTAAGCTGGAAGGCAATCTAGTCAAGTCGGAAGTGCGCATATCCTATTCCCTAGCAATTTTTGTTCTAGATATATTCCCTAGAACTCTCACACATGTGTTCAAGGAGACGTACACCAGGGCATGATTTACATCATGATTTGGAATAGCAAAAAACTGGCCATAACAAATATCCACCCACAGGAGAATAGATTCTAGAACATTTACACAATGGAGCACTACATTGCAGTATTATATAATATAATGTTATGTTATATAGAATGGATTAGCTCTACAAGTACCACAGATAAATCTCCAAATCACAATGTTGAGAAAAAAAGCTACAGAAAAAAATATGTACACTATTTACATACAGGTTTAAACATGCAAAACTTGCCTATTGTGTAGTAAAACTATAAAAACATGTGGGAAGGACACTCACAGTCTTCAACAGATTGGTTACCTCTGGAGAGAGTTGAAATGAAAGGGCCTTCTCGGCCGGGCACAATGGCACACGCCTGTTATCCCAGCATTTTTGGGAGGCCAAGATGCGCAGACAGCTTCAGCCCAGGAGTTCTAGACCAGCCTGAGCAACATCATGAAACCCTGTTTCTACAAAAAATACAAAAATTAGCCAGCTGTGGTGGTGCATGCCTGTAGTCCCAGCTACTCGGGAGGCTGAGGTGGGAGGATCACCTGAGCCCAGGAGGTCAAGGCTGCAGTGAGCTGTGAGTGCACCAGTGTACTCCAGCCTGTTTTGGGCAACAGAGTGAGATGCTGTCTCAAAAAAAAAAAAAAAGAGAAGAAAGAAAGCAGTAAAGAGAGAGAGAGGAAGGAAGGAAGGAAGGAAGGAAGGAAGGAAGGAAGGAAGGAAGGAAGGAAGGAGGGGAAGGGAAGGGAAGGAGGGAGGGAGGGAGGGAGGGAGGGAAGGGCCTTCTCTTGTAACTAGAAGGTTTTATCATGGCAAGCCGTTATTATTTATTAAATCTGGATAATGAGTCCATATCCCACAGGTAACTCTGAGGGTCATGGCCATCGACAGCGGAAGGATCTTTTGAGATTCTTAGATTCTCAGTTACAGAAAATAAAAGTTTGATCTGTATAATGAGCCATCCCCATAAACATAAATGACACTGAAGAGCCCTCTCAGTAACGTATGCAGATTGAGATGCTGTTCATGAACGGAGGAGCTGTTGCACAGGCCCAATTCCCCTCCCTTACTAGGTGCCCGTGTGACCTGCTGGCCTTGTGAGCATCCTAAACAGAGTCAGAGCTGCAGTGGAATGAAGATGAGGATTGGTCCACGTGTGGAAATCATGACTATAGTCATATCCAGAAATTTCCAAACCTGGCTGAAAATCAGATAAAACTTTTAATGCAGTTGTCCATGCCCCACCATCTGAGAATATGATACAATAGGTCTGACATGAGACTCTGGAATCTGTATATTTAAAAGGCTTGCCAAGAGATTCTGATGATCGCCAGGTTTGAGAAATGATAACCAACCATGGTTATATTCTATTAATGTTTTCAAAGAAGATGGGTAGGAAGAGAAAAGGGAGAAAAGGAAATAAGAAAATTAAAGAAGGAAGGGGAGAAAGAAGGAAGGGAAGGAGGTGAGCCTTCGAACCCAGCTCAGATCCCTCCTCCTCTATTTCTCCTAGACCTCTATAGCCTCCACGTCCCTCCTCATCCCCTGAACTTGCTAGATCTCTAATCATCTGGTAACATTCATTTGGCAATTATGTACTTCCCTGTATGTTGCTGTCAAGGGCTACTGTTTAATCAATAAGTTTATGTCTTACTTTTTGAATTAGGCTATAAGCTTCTTCAGGACAAAGACCATGTTTTCTTCATCTTTCTTTTTTTTTTTTTTTTTTTTGAGACGGAGTTTCACTCTTGTTGCCCAGGCTGGAGTGCAATGGCACTATCTCGGCTCACCACAACCTCCGCCTCCCGGGTTCAAGCGATTCTCCTGCCTCAGCCTCCCAAGTAGCTGGGATTACAGGCATGCGCCACCATGCCCAGCTAATTTTGTATTTTTAGTAGAGATGAAGTTTCTCCATGTTGGTCAGGCTGGTCTCAAACTCCCAAACTCAGGTAATCCACCCGCCTTGGCCTCCCAAAGTGCTGGGATTACAGGCATGAGCCACCATGCCCAGCCCATCTTTTTATTTCTAGTGTCTAACATGATGCCTCCCACAGAGTAAGCAGTAAAGCACCATGATAAGAGTATAAGATAAAACAGGCTCAGAAATGTGGCAGTGGCTGGGCATGGTGGCTGTAATCCCAGCACTCTGGGAGGCTGAGGTGGGAGGACGCTTGAGGCCAGGAGTTCAAGGCCAGCCTGGGCAACATAGTGAGACCCCCATCTTTGCAAAAAATTTAGAAATTAGCTGAGTGTGCATGTGTAGTCCTAGCCACTCACAAGACTGAGATGGGATGATTGCTGAGCTCACAAGTTGGAGGTTGCAGTGAGCTATGATCATGCCACTGCGCTCCACCCTGGGTGACAGAGCAAGACTGTAAACAAAAAAAAAAAGAAAAGAAATATGGCAGGATACAAGATCAATAAACAAAAATCAATTGTATTTCTATACACTAGCAATGAATAATCCTGAAAAATGAAATCCAATGCAATCTCCATCAAAATCCCAACTTTTTTTTTATTTTACAGAAATTGACAAGCTGATCATGCTATTCACATGGAAATACAACCCAAAATAGCCAAAACAATCTTGAAGAGGAAGAACAAAGTTGGAAGAGGCATAGTTCCTGATTTCAAAACCTACCAGAAAACTACAGTAATCACGACATAAGGCATAAGGATACACATATAGATGAATGGAATAGACTTGAGAGACTAAAAATAAACCCTCACATTGGTATTGAATTGAATTTCTGAAGAGTGCCAAGACAATTCGATAGGGAAAGAACCGTTTTTTCAACAAATGTTGCTGGGACAACTGGATACCTGTAAAAAAATGAAGTTGAACTCTCAACACTATACAAAAAAAAAAAAGAATAACTCAAAATGGATCATAGGCCTAAATGCATGAATTAAAACTATAAAACTCCTATCAGAAAACAAGAGTAAATGTTCATGACCTTGGATTTGGCAATAGTTTCTTGGATGTCGCCAAAGCAGAAGTAACAAAAGAAAAAAATAGATAAATTGAACTTCAAAAGTAAAATCTTTTGTTCTTCAAGTAACACCATCAAGAAAGTGAAAAGACAGTCCACAGGACAGGAAAAAATCTTTGCAAATCATGTATCTGACAAGGGACTCATATCCAGAATATTTTTAAAACCCTACTACTACTCAAGAATAAAAAGACAAATGACTCAATTAAAACATGGACAAAGACAGCCTGGTCAACATAGTGAAACCCTGTCTCTACTAAAAATACAAAAAATTAGCTGGGTGTGGTGGTGTTAGCCCATAATCCCAGCTACTCTGGAGGCTGAGGCACAAGAATTGCATTAACCCGGAAGGTGGAGGTTGCTGTGAGCCAAGATTGTGCCACTGCACTCCAGCCTGGGTGACAGGGTGAGACTCTTTCCCAAAAAAGAAAAAAAAAATTAAAAGAAAAAAAAAACATGGATGAATAATTTAAATAAACATTCTGCCACAGAATATATACCAATGGCCATTATGCACATGAAAAGATACTTAACATTATTCGTCATTCAGGAAATGCAAGTCAAAATCACAGTGAGACATCTCTTCACACCACAAGGATGGCTATAATAACAAGAACAAGTGTTGGTAAGGATCTGGAGAAACTGGAACCCTCATCTATTGCTTGTGAGCATGTGAAATGGTGGCACCACTTTGGAAAACAGTTTGGCAGTTCCTCAAAATGCTGAACATACGGTTACCAAATTACTCAGGAATTCTACTCCTAGCCATATATATACCAAGAGAAATGAAAACGTATGTCCACATGGAAACCTGTACGTGAATGCTCATAGCAGCATTATTTATAGTGGCCTAACGTGAAAACAATCCATGTCCATGAACTGAGGAATGGGTAAACAAAATGTGGTATAGCCATACAATGGAATCTTTTCAGCCAGAAAAAAGTAATAATTACTGATGATAGATGCTACAACATGGATGAACCTGGAAAACAAGTGAAGGAACCCTGTCTCAAAAGACTATATATTGTATGAATCCATTTATACCAAATGTCCAGAATAGGCAAATCCATAGAGACAGCAAGTAGATTAGTGGTTGCCTGGGGTTGGAGTGGGCTTGAGGGTGGGGAATGGGAACAAGGAATGGCTGCTGATGGGTATAGGGGTCTTTTGGGGGATGTTGAAAAGGCTGTAAAATTAGATAGTTGTGATGGTTGCACAATAGTATTAATACAGTAAAAAAACCATTGAACTATATACTTTATTTTTGTTATTATTATTTTTGAGACAGGGTCTTGCTCTGTCACCTAGGCTGGAATGCAGAGGTGCAATCATGGTTCACTGCAGTCTCCACCTTGCCAGGCTCAGGTGATCTTCCCACCTCCACCTCCCGAGTAGCTGGGACAACAGGTGTGCACCACCACACAGCTAACTTTTTTATTTTTTGTAAAGATTGGGTTTCTCTTTGTTGCCCAGGCTGGTCTTGAAGTCCTGGCCTCAAGTGATCCTCCTGACTCAGCCTCCCAAAGTGTTGGGATTACCAGTGTTAGCCACCACACCTGGACCAAACTTTACACTTTAAATGGGCAACTTTTTTTATGGTATGTGAAATAGATCTCACTAAAGCTGTAAAAGAAATAAAAATATGACCCAGTTTTGAATTCTAGTTCAATTACTGTTGCTGATCATACCAAGCTCATTCTCTCTCAGGATCTTTGCATTTGCAAAGATGCATGTCATGAGATCATTACCTCAAAACGTTGCACTACTGGCTTCACATAATTTAGGTCTTCTGAATCTCTTATCCAGTGTTGCACAATCTCCCCCTACTCCTGTCAGTCATGTCAATTACCCTATTTTAGTTTTCTCATAGCTTTAATCATTACTGAAATCCTCTTGTTTCTTAATTTACTAGTTTCCTATCTGCCTCTCCCACTAGAATAAAAGCTTCATGAGAATAGTCTTAGTCACAGCTCTAGCCTCATGTCTGAAACAGTGTCTGGCACACAGTAAACACTCAGTAATATATGTTGGATGTTGGATGAATGAAAGGTGGCTAACCTCCAAGTTTCACTTAATCTCTCTCAATCTTCATTTCCTAGCTACAAAGTGGCATTATAATAAAAATTACATTTAGTCCAGAGGATTGGTTTAAGAATTGAATAACAGTGCATGCAAAAACATACCTCATAGGCCAGGCACAATGGCTCAGGCCTGTAATTCAGCACTTTGGGAGGCTGAGGTGGGAGGATCTCTTGAGGCCAGGAGTTCGAGACCAGCCTGGGCAACGTAGTAAGACCCTGTCTCTACAAAAAACTAAATTTTAAAAATTAGCTGGGCATGGTTGGTGCATGCCTGTAGTCCTAGCTACTGGGGAGGCTGAGCTGGGAGGACTGCTTGAGGCCAGGAGTTCGAGGCTGCAGTGAGCTATGATCTCAACAGAATGACACCCTGTCTCTTAAAAAAAAAAAGTTCATAGTAGACATTCAATAAATGTTAATAATAATTATTGTTACTATTAATACCACAACTACTACTCTCTAGTTAAAATGCTCCAGATGAGGATAATGAGCACCTAAACTAAGTATTATCAATGGAAAAAGAATGCCTGGGTCCCATCTTCAAAGCTGGACAAGCTTTGCATTCAAGGGCCTTAGAATATGGCCCCTCCTTAAACTAAATAATAATAGTTATAGTTATTATTGGATCACCTGGATTATAAAGAAGAGAAAACAATAAAAAATAAATAAGGTGGCCAGGCACAGTGGCTCATACCTGTAATCCCAGCATTTTGGAAGGCCGAGGTGGGCAGATCGCTTGAGCTCATGAGTTCCAGACCAGCCTGGGCAACATGGCAAAACCCTGTCTCTACAAAAAATACAAAAATTAGCCAGGCGTGGTGTGCCTGTAGTCCCAGCTATTCAGGGGGCTGAGGTGGGAGATTGGCTTGAGTCCAGGAGGCAGAGGTTGCAGTGAGCTGAGATCACGCCACTGTATGCCAGTTTGCTCAATAGAGCCAGACCTTGTCTCAAAAATAAAATAAATAAAATAAAATAAAGGAGGAAAAGGAGGGGAAAAGAGAGAAAGACTAAAGAAAATTGCCCTAAAAAGAAGAGAAAAGGAGAGAATGGGCAGATCTTACATCTATTGATCATAATCCATTAACTTTTTTCCTTTACTTTTGTTGATATATAAAAGGTGTACATATTGGGAGGGTACATGTGATAATACATTCATATAATTTGTAAAGATCAAATCAGTGTAACTGGGATATCCATCACCTTAAATATTTGTCTTTTAAAGAAGAAAAGACAAATATTTAAATGCTAGAGACATTTAAATTATCCTCTTCTAGCCGTTTTGAAATGCACAATTGGCTAGGCACCATGGCTCACGCCTGTAGTCCCAGCACTTTGGGAGGCTGAGGTGGGTGGATCGCTTGAGGTCAAGAGTTTGAGACCAGCCTGGCCAACACGGTGAAACCTGTCTCTACTAAAAATACAAAAAGGCCGGGTGTGGTGGCTCACACCTGTAATCCTAGTACTTTGGGAGGCCGAGGCAGGTGGATCACCTGAGGTCAGGAGTTTGAGACCAGCTTGGCCAACATGGTGAAACCCCGTCTCTACTAAAAATACAAAAATTAGCAGGGCATGGTGGTGGGCGCTGGTAATCCTAGCTACTCAGGAGGCTGAGGCAGGAGAATCGCTTGAACCCAGGAGGCGGAGGTTGCAATGAGCCAAGATTGTGCCATTGAACTCCAGCCTGGGCAACAAGAGCAAAACTCCAACTCAAAAAAAAAAAAATGCACAATTGATTGTTGTAAACTATAGTTTACAATACAGATCATCCTACTGATCTATCAAACATTAGGTTTTCTTTCTTCTAACTGTATATTTGTACATTAATCAACCTCTGTTCACCGTTCCCTTCCCCTTCCATTAACTTCTTATCCACTTATTAAATATTACACAAGAATTTAGTGAGCTTTCATTGAGTACAGATACTTGTACAAGAATTTAGTGAGCTTTCATTGAGTACAAATATATCAAGCCACTTGATATATCTGGCTCTTCCTTGGTGACTTAAAAGATCCATGTCATGAAGTCATCAAAGCATAAATCTGAACCACGTGGGGAGTGAGGCTGCTGTGTGGAAGCAGGTCATGCAGCCAGGGACTGACTTGTACCTACTGATCAGCAACCACATCTAGGCTTGTCACATTTGTAATACTCCTCCTCAAAAGTCAGACAGAGTCACTGAAAGTTCTCCTTCACTGTCTTTTGTGAAGGAAATGATATGTTATAGTGGCATATCCATCAGGAAAGTTATGATTATGCTACGAGAACAAATGACCCCCAAATCTCAGTGGCTTACAACAACAACAGTTTTTATCCCATTCATGCTGCTTGTCCACGTTAAGTCAGCTGTGACTCTGCTCCAGTTTATCTTCCTCAGAGACCCAGACTGATGCAGCCACTATTATCTGAAACATCACTGGTTGTCGTGAAGAGGGAAAAGAAAAATGGTGAACCACACTGTGCCCCAAATCAACACACACATCACTTTCACCCACCTTTCATGTGCCATTGGAACGCTGCTGTCCCCATCCTCTCGGGATTTGGCCCTAGGATGTTCTCCCATGCCTGGAAATTCTGGTTATGCACTTGCTGTGCTTTCCCATCTAGAACAGATCTCTGAACTTTGACCTCCCTTCAGACCTCTAACCCCTGACTCTGAACTAGACTTTTCTTTCTGGATTCAAGTGCACATCGCTCTTCCTCTACAGATGACTCCACCCTAGCTCTCCCTCTCTCCCCAACATTTTTCTCCCAACCTTTTGTGCTCGGAAGCTGCCTTTACCTTCCCACCAGCACCTGAATCTTCCAAAGCAACAGGCCCAGAATAAAGGAGAGGGGGACACTGGAGGAAATGCTTCTGTGGTTTCCTTCCCTGTGGAGTTTGACACTCCTAGCTCCCTGTCCTGCCTGTCTCGTTCTTCCTCCTTAGAGGAGTGACTTAATCTGATTGATGAATGTGTGAAGACGACACAGTCTAGCACCTCCCTTCTTCCCCTATGTATCTGCCTGCGCAGAGTGAGGATATCATTGCGCCCTGCTCCTCCAGTGGGCCGGGTCTTCTTTCTGACCCAACCTCCCTATCCCAGCATGGGAAGGCCTGCCTTGGTCAAACGCTGTTACTTGTGACGGGGTGAGTAAGTCTACATCACCTTCAGCTGTCTACCTTCAGCTGTACCATTAGCTTTCACAATAAACAGCCTTTATCAGTAATCAAGGTGGTTATGGACTGAATAACAACCTCTCAAATTGATATGTTGATATCCTAACCAATACAAGGTGATGGGCAGGGCGCAGTGGCTCAGGCCTATAATCCCAGCACTTTGAGAGACCAAGGCAGGCGGATCACTTGAGGCCAGGAGTTTGAGACCAGCCTGGCCAATATGGTGAAAGCCGTCTCTACTAAAAATACAAAAAAGTACCAAAAAAAAAAAAAAAAAAAAAAAAATATATATATATATATATATATATATATATATATCAGCTGGGCGTTGTAGTGCATGCCTGTAGTCGCAGCTGCTCGGGAGGCTGAGGCAGGAGAATCACCTGAACCCGGAAGGTGGAGGTTGCAGTGAGCCGAGATCATGGCACTGCACTCCAGCCTGGGAGACAGAGTAAGACTCCGTCTCAAAAAAAAAAAAAAAAAAAAACCAACAACAACGACAACAAAAAAACTAGGTGATGGTATTAGGAGGTGGGGCCTTTGGGAGGTGATCAGGTCATGAGGGTAGAGTCCTTATGAATGAGATTAGTGCCTTCAGAGAGCTCTCTTGCTGTCTTTCTGCAATGCAAGCAAGGATACAGCAAGAATTGACTGCAACCTGGAAGATGCCCTTACCAGAACTTGACCATGCTGGCACCCTGATCTAGGATTTCCAGTCTCCAGAACTGTGAGAAATAAATTTCTGTTGTTTATAAGCCAACCAGCCAATGGTACTTTATTATAGCAGCCTAAACTGACTAAGACAAAGGTGATATTTCGGTCTCCATCTGCTCATTCTTTGGTCTCATTTCTCATCTTGACCAGAGATGGAAAGTGGGTAACAGAATGTTACTAATGAGATCTTCTCAGAGGCCAAGAAGGGAAATAATTTAAAAGACAACTGTGTGTCTCAGCACTAAGAAAGGAGCTTTACAAATGTTAGTTTATTTAATCCCTACAGGGGATTAGTGTTTATTATTGCCCCATATCACATAGCAGGAAACTGAGGCTCAAAGTTAAGAAACTTGCCTAAGTTCTCGTAGTGAGTGTCAGATGTCTCTCTAATTTCAAAGCCACTGCTTAAGAGCTTGTCTTTGAGTGACACCAAGACACTCATCAGGGACTGAGGCAGCAATCTCATCTCTCATCTTTTTTTTTTTTTTTTTTTTTGAGACAGGGTCTTGCTCTGTTGCCCAGGCTGGAGTGCAGTGATGCAATCATGGTTCACTGCAGCCTTGACCTGCTTGGACTCAGGTGATCCTCCCCCCTCAGCCTACCCAGTAGCTGGGACCTCAGTTACATGACACCACACTCAGCTAATTTTTGTATTTTTTGTAGAGATGGGGTTTCGCCATGTTGCCCAAGCTGGTCTCAAACTCCTGGGCTCAGATCACCTGCCCGCCTCACCCTCCCAAAGTGCTGGGATTACAGGCGTGAGCCACCACTCCCGGCAGCAATCTTATCTGAATACCTTATCATAACTAACTGAGCTGGCAATTGGGCAACACACAAGGAAGGCAAAGATGATACAATCAAAGGACAAGAAGTAAGATGATTATAAAATTCTTGGCCAAAAATCATCAAGGAATCTATTTTTGCCAGTTATCTTGGAGACTTTGAACAAACGACCTCCCCCGTCCCCAACTTATGTTTCAGCACCCCTAGTTGTAAAATAACTTAATAATACCCATTCCTACTTAAGTCAGAGGACATGTCATGTTTCTCTGAGCCTGACCTCAGCACAGTTGTCCCTATACTCCTACTTGCTATTGAAAAACAAATGTATGATCTATTGTCTTGGGTGGTACATGGAGTGAAAACAATTATAATGAATATTGAATGAGCTTAACAATATATGAAAACCAGAAGTAGTGAATTGATGAACAAGATAGTGATATTAAAGTGTCAGGCTGGGCGCGGTGGCTCACACCTATAATCCCAGCACTTTGAGAGGCCGAGGCAGGATCACTTGAAGCCAGGGGTTTTTCTAGAGATGGGATCTCGCTATGTTGCCCATAAAAAATTAGCAAGACATGGTGGCACACGCTGTAGCTCCAGCTACTTGGGAGCCTGAGGTGGGGGGATCACTTGAGCCTAGGAAGTCAAAGCTGCAATGAGCTATGATTATGCCACTGCACTCCAGCCTGGGTGACAGAGTGAGACCCTGTCACAAAAAAAAAAAAAAGGAAAAAAAAAGTCAGCCATAGGTATCTGATCCTTTAGACAGACAAAGCTTTGCTCTGACCCCTGAAGGACAGTCAACTGGCCGGCTGAACCACAGTCCCTCTTTGCGAGCCAACAAACTCCCCAAATGCCAAGGGACCTGGCAGAGTTTCCAGGAGCTCAAACCACTGCTACTTTCTTCTTATCTTCTCCACAAAAACTCAGAAAGTGCAGGGGCACCCCACAGGCCACTAAGCACATTCCCAGTGGTCCTCCAGGGAAATCTGATGCTAAAAAAATGGACCTTTTCCAAAATAGGCTCAAGCCAGATGAGGAATTACAGAAAGGACAGCCGCCCATGGAAAATACCCTGCCTCTGAATCCCCAGTGTCTTCATTAGGGAACTGAAAACACAGGCACACCAGCTGGTCTCAGCTGCTTTGAAGCACAGTGGCACAGTGGAAAGAGCAAGGCTGTAGGACTGGCACCAGGGATGAGCCTTCTAGTACCCAGCCCTGCCAAGTTCTAGCTGGGTGATCTTGGCAAAGGTACTTAACTTCTCTGGGACTCACTCTCCTCACTTGTTGAACAAGGTTTGACCAGACTGTGATATCTTCTGGTTCTAACATCCTTTCTCTTTCCTCTTTGGATTAGCATTTTACATTTGAAGACAATTAAGGGAAATTCTTGGCTGCTATGTTTTGCAGAGACCCTGCTTGATATGGTTTGGCTGTGTCCCCCACCAATCTCAACTTGAATTGTATCTCCCAGAATTCCCATGTGTTGTGGGAGGGACCCGGGGAGGGGTAATTGAACCATGGGGGCTGGTCTTTCCCGTACTATTCTCGTGATAGTGAATAAGTCTCACAAGATCTGATGGGTTTATCAGGGGTTTCCACTTTTGCTTCTTCCTCATTTTTCTCTTGCTACCACCATGTAAGAAGTGCCTTTCACCTCCCACCATGATTCTGAGGCCTCCCCAGCCATGTGGAACTGTAAGTCCAATTAAACCTCTTTTTCTTCCCAGTCTCAAGTATGTCTTTATCAGCAGCATAAAAATGGACTAATACACTGCTACTCCAGTGATCATGCCTCTCTCCTCTTCATATTCTTCATTGGCTTCCCTTTTCCCATGAGGGTAAGCCAAAATTCTTTTGATTGGCCCATGCCTCTCAATCCAGCCAACCTCCTCTCACCCCTACCAGTCACATATTTTATTCTTTGGCAATATTGGACTACTTGTACTTCCTCCTAATACCCTGACTGCAATATTAAATATTTATTGAGCATGTACTGTATGTTAGAAACATTTATAAACCTTTGCACATACTGTTTGCTTTGCCTGATATGCCTTGGGTTAATTATGGTAGAGCTTGCTGCTGTAACAAGCAAGCTATGAAATGTCAGTAGATTAACACAACAGAAGGTTATTTCTTATCCATGTAACAGCTGCATGTAGCCTTCCACCCAGGGTCCTTCTATTTTGAAGCTCTGCCAGCCTCTCAGCTTCAGAGGCCTTCGCTTCCAGAGCTGGCAGCCAGGAAGGAGAAGGAAGCAAAGGCAAACTTACGTCTTTGTCTGTCCCAGCAATGACCAACATCACTTCTGCTCACATTCCACTAACGAGAACTGGTCACCTGCCCCCATGGAGATGTACGGGGAATTGGAAGTTGTTTGGGCCAGTTCCATAAACGTAATACTGTGCAAGGACAGCACAAATCTTTGATTTTTTTTTTTTTTTGAGACAGAGTTTCGCTTTTGTTGCCTAAGCTGGAGTGCAGTGGCACAATCTCAGTTCACTGCAACCTCTGCCTCCTGGGTTCAAGTGATTCTCCTGCCTCAGCCTCCTGAGTAGCTGGAACAGCAGGTGCGCACCACCACACCTGGCTAATTTTTGTATTTTTAGTAGAGATGGGGTTTCACCATGTTGACCAAGCTGGTCTCAAACTCCTGACCTGCGTCAGCCTCCCAAAGTGCTGGGATTACAGGCGTGAGCAACCATGCCCGGCCAAATTTTTTTTTTTTTTTTTTTAGGAGACGGAGTCTCACTCTGTCGCCCAGGCTGGAATGCAGTGGCATGATCTCGGCTCACTGCAAGCTCCGCCTCCCGGGTTCACGCCATTCTCCTGCCTCAGCCTCCCGAGTAGCTGGGACTACAGGTGCCTGCCACCATGCCCAGCTAATTTTTGTATTTTTAGTAGAGACACGGTTTCACCGTGTTAGCGAGGATGGTCTCGATCTCCTGACCTCATGATCTGCCTGTCTCGGCCTCCCAAAGTGCTGGGATTACAGGCATGAGCCACCGTGCCAGGCCTCAAATCTTTGATTGTTAAGTAGCCATCTCATGCCTTTCCTCAACGTGGCAAAGGTTTATTCACCCTTCAGACCTCAGTGCTACCTCCTTTGTGAAGTGCTACCTCCTGTGTGAAGCCTTCCCTGACCTAGGTAGGCAGATGTAGGCCCCCTCCTTTTCCTGGTCCCACTGCACTTTGCACTTTTCTCCATGATGACATTCATCACGTTGTACTGTGTAGTTTACATGCTAGTCTCCTCAACTGGACTGTGATCCCTGCGATCACGAATCTTATATTTTTATTTCTGTGTTCTGACAGTTTAGCATAGTGAATAGCAAGGAGTAGTTTTACAATGATATTGAACAAATGAATGAATATAAATAAATAAATAATTGAATTAAATAGTGAGCAAATGAAAGAATCAATGAATGATTATCCTAAAAAGAAGCTGGTTTTTACAGAGGAGGAAAGACCCCAGTTAAAAGAAAAAAAAAAGGTGATTCAAGGTTATCCATTTTTTAAAATAAGCTATTTATATAAATATTACTATTATAATTAACATTTTGCATTAACATTTATTTAGAACCTTTCTCTCCCATAAGCTCCATGAAGGTAGGGACCTTATATCTATTATTCTTTGCTCTGACTCCAGCATTTAGCACACTGTCTGGCTCATATTAGGTACTCAACAATTATTTTGGAATGAACAAATGGAAAAGAAATGAATAAATAGATGAATGAAGATTGCACCCTTAACCCAATAATTCACATCCTAAGTGCATAACTTGGATTATAATAGGAAAGCATAGATGGACCAGTGAAAAGTTACCACCATAGGCTGGGCACGGTGGCTCAGGCCTATAATCCCAGTATTTTGGGAGGCCAAGCCGGGTGGATGACCTGAGGTCAGGAGTTCGAGACAAGCCTGGCCAACATGGTGAAACCCTGTCTCTACTAAAAACACAAAACTTAGCTGGGCATGGTAGCACATCTGTAATCCCAGCTACTTGGGAGGCTGAGGCAGGAGAATTGCTTGAAACTGGGAGGCAGAGGTTACAGTGAGCCAAGATTGTGCCACTGCACTCCAGCCTGGGCAACAAAGTGAGATCTTGTCTCAAAAAATAAAAATAAAAATAGGCCGGGTGCATGGCTCATGCCTGTAATCCCAGCACTTTGAGAGGCCGAGGCGGGTGGATCATGAAGTCGGGAGATCGAGACCATCCTGGCTAACATGGTGATACCCTGTCTCTACTAAAAATACAAAAAATTAGCTGGGTGTGGTGGCAATGCCTGTAGTCCCAGCTACTCGGGAGGCTGAGGCAGGAGAATTGCTTGAACCTGGGAAGCGGAGGTTGCAGTGAGCTCGGATCATGCCACTGCACTCCAGCCTGGATGACAGAGCAAGACTCCATCTCAAAAAATAAATAAAATAAAATAAAATAAAAAGAAAAAGAAAAGAAAAGTTACCTCCATAACTAGAAAAATGGCACAAAGTGCATGTCAGAACCTTACCAGTGTTCCCTTGTACATCATCCTCTTTATATGAGATGATAACAAACATTATTTGAGGAAGCTAAAATCTCAATGGGAATGCTAGCCTGTGAGTAAATGAGGACAAATGGATGTCTCTAAAATAGCTGAACTATGAAATAGCCTTTGTAAATTGGTTAATGAGAGAAACAGGAAGAAAGAGTGCAAACAGTAACGGAGTCATGACAACCGTGAAAAATACATTGATCGAGAAAAGACGAAAACATTTAAAAATATTTTATGAAGACATATTGCAATGAGCTAAATGTTTATGTCTCCCCCACATTTATATGTTAAAACTTAACCCCTAAGGTGATGAAATTATGCAGTGGAGCCTTTGAGAAGTGATTAGGTCATGAGGGCAGAACCCCCAGGAATGGGATAAATGCATGCCCTCATAAAAGAGACCCCAGAGAGCTAGCTTGCCCGTTCCACCATGTGAGGACACAACAAGAAGACGCCCTCTATGAACTAGAAGGCAGGCCCTCACCAGATGTCAAATCTGCTGATGACCTGATCTTGGACTTTACAGCCTCTAGAACTGTGGGCAATACATTTCTGTTGTTTACGAGTTACCCAGTTTATAGTTTTTTGGGATAGCAACACAAACTGACTAAAACAGATATGAAGACAGTTTTTCAAATGTTTATAACACATTTATTCTTTTCATAGGTCCCATGTGAGAAAGTTTGGTTTAGATATGCCACATGGCTTTGGGCAGATGACTTGCCAGATTTTGTAATGAGAACCATCTGATGAGAAGAGCAACATGCAAGTGTGTTCGCAACTTACAATCAGCATGTCTGCATGGGCTTGGTCCAGGTATCTTGGAACTCTGGAAAGTCCTATGTGTGAACAAGTTAAGTTCCAGTTTGGACTGATTTGTGGTAATAGTGAGCTTGAGGGATGGACTTTTTCCAGAAACTGACCGAGACATTAATGGTAGGTTTGGTCATTAAATAAACTGAAAATAAGTTAGCATATTTATTTTCCACATCTTTGACGACATACAAGAACAGCACTGTCTGCCTGCTCTAAGGAGCTCTCTGTTTTTCCATGTGGCAGAAACTGCTGTGAGCTGAGCATGGAGCTAGACTGTACTTCCTAGCCTCTCTCAACATGTAGGGCCATTGACTGAGCTCAGTCAAAGGCATGTGAAAGTGATGGGTGCCAGTTCCAGATCTGGCCCATAACAGTCCTCCTGTGCAGTTATCTGCAGGCTCTCTTTTCCACTGGCTGGATGGAAAGGACTCTGGGAACCCCACGGAAGACAGAGCCCCAAGATGGAAGAAGGTTATATGCTTGAATTACTGCATAGAATCAAATCACCACATTCCACACACCTCCACCTCTACCAATCCGTATTGGACCTTGACAAGAACAATATTTGCATGGGGTCAAACCATTGAAATTTGGAGGTCATTTCTTATAACAATTAGCCTATCTGACCAATACAACCCCTTTGCCCAACTTTCCTCTTGGTCACAAGTAGAAAGAAAGACTAGAGTAAATTTCTGGAGTCTCAGTGCATGGCTTCAGAGGATCTAGACAAAAGAAGGCATCAGCAGCCAAGCTCAACATCAAGGAATTTTGCAGGATTCTGGAGTGAATTTTAAAGCCTTAGAAATTCCCACAGAGCTGAAGCCATGTATCTCCTTATCTCACTGTCTCCTCTGGACATTTTTATATTCTTGGGAGAACAGTGAATAACCATCTCCAAACTAGTTCTCGTGTGAAACCCAACCCAGCCTATGTGATTTATTTAATATGTTTGGAGTCTAGTCAATACCACACTTAAACCTGTCTTGTTTTTGTCTTTTGTTAAACATGGTAATTAAAAAGAAGAAAAAAAACTGGTAAGAAACTTTGTGTTTAGAGGTACGTAATATTTTTTAAATTATTATAAAATGTTGTGGTTGAGCACAATACTAATAGGCAATTATGGAGAACCCAAATGCTGTGGTGAAAATGAAGTCTTTGGGTGTTTGCCTGAAGATGTTATTGGGAAACTATTGTTTACTTACCAGACTTTGAAAATTAAGTCTTTCTTCAAGTAGCCTCTGGGTATTAAGGACAATAAATAAAGATATGCTGACTGAAAACATTTAAAAAACAACTTGTTACAGCCCTTAAAATAATAAGGGATAAATTCAGCTTAAAACAGAATATTCCAAATTCATCTGACCTGCCCAACAGAACACCAAGATTAAAAAGCTGGAATCTACTGGTCAACTCTCTAAAGATGTCCCACCAAATGAAGTTTAGCAGGGGCCTGGGACCACAGTTCTAGTAAATGCTAGATAGCTTCTGGCTGTTCATTGTAAACCTGAGCCCACTTATGGAAGGGCAACAACCTTATCTTCCTATCCTGGGGGTGTTTACAGAGAGAGAAGAACTTGGAAATAGTCAGGACCCTGGTGGAGGGAAGAGGTAAGAGATGTTGAAGAAAGTCTCATTTATTTATATGTATATTTATTTATTTATTTATTTATTTTTGAGATGGAGTCTTGCTTGTTGCCCAGGCTAGAGTGCAGTGGTGGGATCTTGGCTCACGCAACCTCCATCCTTAGGGTTCAAGCAATTCTCCTGCTGTAGCCTCCCAAGTAGCTGGGACTACAGGTGTGCACCACTATGCCTGGCTAATTTTTGTAATTTTAGTAGAGATGGGGTTTCACCATGTTGGCCAAGCTGGTCTCAAACTCCTGACCTCAAGTGATCTGCCTGCCTCGGCCTCCCAAAGTGCTAGGATTACAGGCGTGAGCTACCACGCCCAGCCGGAAAGTCTCATTTCTTAGAAGAGTCCCTGTGAGGCTGAGATGAGAGAGGTTGACTTAGGATAGTACTTTTCTCTTTGGGAAAAAAAAAATTCTATTGCCTCATTTTCAAGGGGCTTAAACTAAGCTTGTGTGATCTTCCAACTTTCCACAAACTTTCCTTCTATCCTTTTTCCCCAAGACACTCTAGTCCTTTTTCTTTCCACCTAAAATGCTAAGTTTCCATAAACTTGCAGACCTGGTACTTCTGAGACAATCACCTAGGAATCAAGCAGAGGAATAGGCAAGCTTAAGAAAATGGAGGTAAGGCATTAGTTCCCATGGGAAACTATGGAAACTGAGTCAGGGAACTGAGTGTCTCCCTCAAGACAGGGTCTGTTCATCAACACAAAGGATGTGGGACTTCCTTGTACATCCCCTAGTCAGAGCCCTTAGACTAGACAGTTCTTGAGGGAGACCTGTGTGGCCATGTAGAACTATGTTACGTGAGTGCTTCCCAACCTCTTCTCTCAGTGATCAGATTCGTTGTTCCCCCAAGAGCTGTATGCTTTGAAAAAACTTTTATCTACCAAATAAATTACATTTACAAAGAAAACATAGTAAGTATTTATTGTGTATTAGGTATTGTATGAATGAGTGTCTTACACATATTATCTAGAATTCTCACAGTAGGCTGCAAAATAGTAATTATTGTCCCATTTTACAAATGAGTACATTGGTTGAGAGATGTTAAGTAAATTGCCCACAACTATTGCAAGAAACAAAATTCTGGTTGTGGTAGACAGCCTCACCTCTCTACCATATTCTTTCCAGTATACTCTCTTTATTCTATAGACAACACACACAACCAATTTGATTTTTTTTTTTTTTTTTTTTTTTGAGATGCAGTCTTGCTCTGTTGCCCAGGCTGGAGTGTAGTGGCATGACCTCGGCTCACTGCAAACTCTGCCTCCCAGGTTCAAGCGATTCTCGTGCCTCAGCCTCCCAAGCAGCTGGGACTACAGGTGCACACCACCATGTCTGGCTAATTTTTGTGTTGTTAGTAGAGATAGGGTTTCGCCATGTTGATCAGGCTGGTCTCAGACTCCTGGCCTCATGTGATCCACTGGCCTTGGCCTCCCAAAATGTTGGGATTACAGGCATGAGCCACAGAACTTCTGAATATGAGATGAAGTCTTCACAATGAGTTGGTGCTGCATGACCTCCCCTACCTCTCAGGCCCCCACTCTCCCCAAAAAGGAAAGAAACTTTCCATTATTTTAGTTAACTTGGTCAGGCTTTATTGAGGGTAAATATACAATATCTTCCAGGCTTTTTTTGAAGTACTAGACATAGTTGAAGCAATGCCATTACTATCCTGTAGAACTAGGAGAGCCTGGAGAACCTGGAACGGAAGCTGGGTAGGAGGGAATTCACATAGACCCAGCCACAGCCCCTCCTCCGCTGGGATTCTTACACTCCTTTGATTCTATTGAGTGTTCAGTAACAAACCCTGGGCTGATGTGAAGCAGGAGAATTTTTCTGGAACATAGCATTTGGTAGGCATCGGGGAATCAGGGAAGCATGCCAGCCTAGGCTGTGGAGTGGCAAAAGGAGGAAATGAAAGAAGAGTGGGTGGGGAGAAAGAGGCCGAAGGAGCAAGGCAGAAGAAGAAAGACGTAAGAGAGAAGAAAGAAAGAAGGGGGCTGTGCATAAAGAGGAAGAAAAGAGAACAGGATGGATGACTATACTGTTTGGCCTTGCAAACTACCATGGGGTCTTTGTCACCAAACATAAAGTAATTCCCAGTGGTGGTGAGAGACATGTGTGCCTAAGTCCCCTGGGAGGGCTATTGTTGAAGCATTATTTCGTCAAAGGTACTTTTGCCCCCTCCTTACCCAAGTGAAGTCAGAATCTTTAAAAATTACAGAACAGGACAGGCGCGGTGGCTCACGCCTGTAATCCCAGCACTTTGGGAGGCTGAAGCAGGTGGATTACCTGAGGTCAGGAGTTCAAGGCCAGCCTGGCCACATGGTGAAACCCCGTCTCTACTAAAAATACAAAAAAATTAGCCAGACATGGTGGTGGGTACCTGTAATCCCAGCTACTCGGGAGGCTGAGGCAGGAGAATTGCTTGAACCCGGGAGACGGAGGTTGCAGTGAGCCGAGATTGCACCACTGCACTACAGCCTGGGTGACAGAGTAAGACTCTGTCTCAAAAAAAACAAAAAAAATTACCGAATAAGTGGAGAAAATGTATTTTACTAATTCCAGTTGCAAAACAAAAAGTGTTAGTCTAGTATCCTAAGGTTAGAGTCTGTCCTGCTAAGGCAGAAAATTCACAACTTCTCTAGCTGAACAACAGAACTGCAAAAACAAAAAACAAACACGAATAAGCAATAATAACTAAAAAGAAAAAAAACCCAAAAACCCTCCGGGGACCCAAAAATATAGGGCAACCTTGGGCAGAGTTTACCTGATGTGGGTATTTAATTGCTATAAAACAAAAGTGTATATATGGATATTAAAAATAACTCATTTTCCTTAGAAACCCAAATTCTTACTTTTGAAAATGAAACTATTCAAAATTAGTTCCTTATATTTCCCTGGGTCACTTATTCAGTGTATAGTAGCTAAAAGACAAGAGGTAAGCATCAAACATAGAGGACAGATGCATAGTTTTTCCTTACTCTAAATTTAAATGATATTCAAGAAACATCTTAAGATTTGTTTGTTCTGCATCTGAAATAGATGCTCTTCCTTAATTTTTTATTCGGTAATCTAAAGTGATTTGTCTGAAGTTAGGGGAGGAGTGGAGGGCAGGGCTATTTTAAAATGCCATAAAAGATTCTCCTGTATCTGAATTCCCAAAGTGTTCTGTCTTTAGTAAGTGTTAGCAAAAAGATCTATTTGTCTATGGCTAAATTCTGGCTCACTACCAATTTCAGAGTACCTTCTTACTGGGCCCAGAGAAAGAACAGTCTCTGCTAGACCTCATATTCCAGAAATTTTTGCCCTGATGGAACACTCTGGGAGATAAACTTGAACTCCTGTGTCTACTCCATACAGAAGGAAAAGCCTCTGTCTTTATCTTCTTATCCTTTATACAGGATAAAGGCTATATCCTGGGTGCCAGGCAACTCCTCAGAGTCCCTTTATCTGAACAGGTAAAGTGGGGACAACCATTTCTTGAAAGTGCAATCAGGCTGGGCGTGGTGGCTCACACCTGTAATCCCAGCACTTTGAGAGGCCAAGGCAGGTGGATCACGTGAGGTCAGGAGTTTGAGACCAGCCTGGCCAACATGGTGAAACCCTGTCTCTACTAAAAATACAAAAATTAGCTGGGCATGGTGGCACACACCTGTAGTCCCCAGTACTTGGGGCTGAGGTAGGAGAATCGCTTGAACCCGGGAGGCAGAGGTTGCAGTGAGCCGAGATCGTGCCACTGCACTCCAGCCTGGGCTACAAAGTGAGACTCAGTCTCAAAAAAAAAAAAAAGTGCAATCATCAGTTCTTCATTTTAAGAAACTTATTATATATGTATATTTTGAGACAGGGTCTAGCTCTATTGCCCAGGCTGGAGTGCACTGGCATAATCATGGGTCACTGCAGCCTCAATCTCCCAGGCTCGAGCAGTCTTCCCACCTCAGCCTCCCAAGTAGCTGGGACTACAGGCATATGCCACCACACCCAGCTAATTTTATTATTATTATTATTATTATTATTAATAATTGTAGAGATGAGGTCTCACTATATTGTCCAGGCTGGTCTTGAACTTCTGGGCTAAAGTAATCCTGTCTCGGCCTCCCAAAGTGCTGGGAGTACAGGCATGAGCCACCATGCCCGGTCTTAAAAACTTACTTTCAACAGGCATATTGTCACCTTAACCCAGTAATCGGTATTGGCCTCATCAATACCAGGACAACCAGACATTATGTACAGCCTAATATGAGGCAGTAGGAAGTCCACAGCATTACCTGTGAAGAATTCTTACCAAAACGTTTCACTCTTATCAAGCCTTTAGGTCTAACTTTCTTTTTATAAGAAACGCAGAGAACAGAAGTACAAGTTTAAGAACATGATAAAGAAGCAATCAGACAAAGTAGAACATTCTGTAGAACAACTGCCCCAGAATCATCAAGACATCAATGTCATGAAAAAAAAATGTATGTGAGTGTGGAGAAAGGAGACAGTTCTAAATAAAGAGCCTTAAGAAACATAATAACCAGGCTGGGGGTGGTGGCTCATGCCTGTAATCCCAGCACTTTGGGAGGCCGAGGTGGGCGGATCACGAGGTCAGATGGAGACCATCCTGGCCAACGTGGTGAAACCCCGTCTCTACTAAAAATACAAAAATTAGCTAGGTGTGGTGGTGCATGCCTGCAGTCCCAGCTACTTGGGAGGCTGAGGGAGGAGAATCGCTTGAACCCAGGAGGTGGAGGTTGCAGTGAGCGGAGATCGCACCACTGCATTCCAGCCTGGGCCACAGAGCGGGACTCTATCTCAAAAAAGAAAAGAAAAGAAAAGAAAAAAAAACATAATAACAAAATGAAATAGTGGATCTTGTTTGAATTAACCAGAATTAAAGACATTTTGGAGGAGGGGGTAGTGGGGAGTTATTCTTTTCTTTTATTTTTGAGACGGAGTCTCGCTCTGTCGCCCAGGCTGGAGTGCAGTGGCACAATCTCGGCTCACTGCATCCTCTGCCTCCCGGGTTCAAGCCATTCTCCTGCCTCAGCCTCCCAAGTAGCTGGTACTACAGTCGCACGCCACCACGACCAGCTAATTTTTTTGTATTTTTTAGTAGAGACAGGGTTTCACCATGTTGGCCAGGATGGTCTCGATCTCTTGACCTCGTGATTTGCCCACCTCAGCCTCCCAAAGTGCTGGGATTACAGGCGTGAGCCACTGTGCCCAGCCGAGTTATTCTTTAAAAAAAAATCTTTTTTTAGGTTCCAGGATTTGTTATATAGGTAAATTGCATGTTGTAGGGTTTGTTGTACAAATTATTTCATCACCCAGATAATACGCATAGTACCCAATAGGTAGTTCTTCTGTTACCTCCCTTCTCCCACCCTCCACACTCCAGTAGGTCCTCATGTCTGCTGTTCTCTTTTTTGTGTCTATATGTACTCATACTTATAAGTGAGAACATGTGGTATTTAGTTTTCTGTTCCTATGTTATTAATAGTTCGCTTAGTACTATGGCCTCTAGCTCCATCCACATTGCTGCAAAGGACATGATCTTTTGTTTTTATGGCTGCATAGTATTCCATAGTGTAGATGTACCACATTTTCTTTATTCAGTCTACCACTGATGGGCATTTAGCTTGATTCCATGACTTTGCTGCTATTGTGAATAGTGCTTCAGTGAACATATGCATGCATGTGTCATTATGGCAGAATGATTTATATTCCTTTGAGTATACACCCAATAATGGAATTGCTGGGTGGAATGGTACTTCTGTTTTCAGTTCTTTGAGAAATCACCACACTGCTTTCCACAATGGGTGAACTAATTTACATTCCCACCACCAATGTATAAGTGTTGCCTTTTCTCTACAACCTCACCACCATGTTATTTTTTGACTTTTTAATAGTAGCCATTGTGACTGGTGTGAGATGGGGTCTCATTGTGGTTTTAATTTGCGTTTCTCTAATAGTTAGTGACGCTGAGCATTTTTTCATATGCTTATTGGCTACATGTGTGTCTTCTTTTGAAAAGTGTCTGTTCATTTCCTTTGCCCACTTTTTTATGGGGCTGGTTGTTTTTTGCTTGTTAATTTGTTTAAGTCTCTTACAGCTTCTGGATATTAGACCTTTGCCGGATGCATAGTTTGCAAATACTTTCTCTCATTCTGTAGGTTGTCTGTTTACTTGGTTGATAGTTTCTTTTGCTGTGCAGAAACTGTTTAGCTTAATTAGATCCCATTTGTCAATTTTTGTTTTTGTTGCAATTGCTTTTGGCATCTTTGTCACAAAATTTTTGCCAGGGCCTATGTCCAAAATGGTATTTCCTAGGTTATCTTCCAGGGTTTTTATAGTTTTATGTTTTACATTTAAATCTTTAATCCATCTTGAGTTGATTTTTGTATACAATATAAAGAAGGAGTCCAGCTTCAATCTTCTGCATGTGGCTAGCCAGTTATCCCAGCACTATTTATTGAACAGGGAATCCTTTCCCCATTGCATGTTTTTGTTGACTTTGTCAAACATCAGATGGTTGTAGGTGTGCAGCTTTCTAGGCTATCTATTCTGTTCCATTGGTCTATGTGTCTGTTTTTGTACCAGTATCATGCTGTTTTGGTTATTGTAGCCCTCTCTATTCTGTTTCACTCCTCATGTGTCTGTTTTTGTACCAGTACCATGCTGTTTTGGTTACAGGTAACGTGATGCCTCCAGCTTTGTTCTTTTTGCATAGGATTGCCCTGGCTATTCAAGCTCTTTTTTGGTTCCATATGAATTTTAAAAGCTTTTTCTAATTCTGTGAAGAATGATAGGAATAGCATGGACTCTGTAAATTGCTCTGGGCAGTGTGGCCATTTTAATGGTATTGATTTTTTCTATCCATGAGCATGGAATGTTTTTTCATTTGTGTCATCTCTGACTTCTTTGATCAGTGTTTTATAATTCTCATTGTAGTCATCTCCCTGGCTAGCTGTATTCCTAGGTATTTTATTCTTTTTGTGGCTATTGTGAATGGGATTGCATTCTTGATTTGGCTCTCAGCTTGGATGTTGGAATATAAAAATGCTGCTGATTTTTCTTTGGGAGGCTGAGGTGGATGGATTGCTTGAGCTCAGGAGTTCAAGACCAGCCTGGGCAACACAGTGAAACCCCATCTCTACTAAAATACAAAAAAAATTAGCCAGGCATGGTGGCGTGTGCCTGTAGTCTCAGCTACTTGGGAGGCTGGGGCAGAATTGCTTGAGCTCGGGAGGCAGAGGTTGCAGTGAGCTGAGATCGTGCCACTGTACTCCAGCCTGGGCGACACAGTAAGACCCCGTCTCTTAAAAAAAAAAAAATGCTGCTGATTTCTGTACATTGTTTTGTATCCTGAAACTTTGCTGAGGTTATTTATCAGATCTAGAGATCTAGGAGCTTTTGGGCAGACACTATGGGGTTTTATAGATATAGAATTATATTGTCTACAAAGAGCAATAATTTGACTTCCTCTTTTCCTATTTGGATGCCTTTTATTTCTTTCTCTTGCCTGACTGCTCTGGCTAGGACTTCCAGGAGTTATTCTTAATGAGTGTAGAGTTTCTGTTTGGAATAATAAAAAAGTTCTGGAAATAGTGGTGATGCTTTCACAATATTGTGAATGTACTTAATGCCATTAAATTGTACACTTAAAAATGATTAAAATGATAAATTTTACATTATATATATTTTACTACAATAAAAAACCATTTGGGGGACAAAAGGGGAAATTTTTAATGTAGATGAGTATTTGATTCTCTTGAATTATGTGAACCTTATTAAAGTTTGATAATGAAATTGTTTAGCTAACAAAAATGTGCTTATGTTTTAGAGGTGAATGTTAAAGTATTTAGGGGTGATATATTAATATAAGTATACATATCTACAGATAGATAGATATGTATACACATACTACTTTACCTCAGAAAAATAAAAAGGAAAAGGAAAGATGAAGAATATGTGGCAAAATTTTAGCAACTGTTTGATCTAGGAGACAGATATTGGGTATCCATTATACTATTCTATTCTGTCTCCATTTCTGAGTACACTGGGCTTATGCAAGAAAGAGGGAACTGTGAATAAATCCCTCTATACAATCCACCCTGTGAATGGAATTCTTAACTGGCCACATGAGTTTCCCAGAGGTGATGCACTCTGGAAGGCCAGACTTTCTAATGGTAAGAAGAGGGGTTCACAGGATGAGTGGTCATAGCTATGTAAATCTGATGAAGGTGTTTTATATATATATATTTTTTTAAAAAATCCAAAAAGAAAGTTCAAAAGAGTGGAGAAGAAGTTTCAACCCAAAGCCAAAGTGTAGGCAGTCTGTACAGCGAATCATTGCATCCAGCTAGAACTGGCTCCCCTGTTACCCTCACATTCTCCCTAGAAGTTTAAGCTGCTTAATCACACTGAAAGGCCAGACAGTTGCATTTCTGGGAGCTAAAAAGAGGGAAAAGGGATTATTTTCATCAAAGGCACCCTGTAAATCATTTCCCTTTTACAAATCAATACAATAGAAAGCAGACCACCAGGTTGTATCTCCTCTAGATGGTTATGAAATTCATCTCCATCCTTACTCTTTTTCATGAATAGATATTTAGTATATTCTGACTAGAATTGATCTCATAAAAGAAGGAAAGAAGGGGAAAATATAACCACACAAGGCACTAATAAAGAAAAAGCTCTGGGAATGTAAATGGATGGCTTCCCATACCCAAAATATCTGATAACATCTGCAAAGCACTTCATTTATACCAACAATTGTAACCTTGCTTTAAAACATAAATTGCTTTAATAATTCCGCAGTTTCTTTCCTGGGTTAAAATCTTACTTGGAAATATTGAAATGTACAGTGTCCTAGTTTCCTCTAATGGGTCTTTGATTTGCAAGGAACTGTAAAGCGTTCTTATTCACCGAGGCATCCTACTCAGGTTTGGTTTGACCCTATCTTTTCCACTACTTCCATCTCTGTGTCTCTGTTAGGACACTTCCTCCAGCAACAGAATCTTCCTCCAGCAACAGAATCTTCCTCCAGCAACAGAGCATCTCAGGAGAGAAACATCTACTCTTTTCTCTACCCACTCTTTCCAATTCTGCAAGAGGAGACAATAAATAGGAGATTGCAGGCAAAGGGCCAGATTTACAGTGAGTACAGTCACTGAGTGTTAAAAGATTACACATGTGAAACTTTCTCTGTGGTGGTGTCCTCTCAAAAAAAAAAGGAGCTTTTTTTTTTTTTAATTTTTTTGAGACAGAGTCTCACTCTGTCACCCAGGCTGGAGTGCAGTGGCATGATCATGGCTCACTGCAGCCTTGACCTCCTAGGCTCAAGCAATCCTGCTGCCTCAGCCTCCCAAGTAGCTGGGACGACAGGAACACTCCACCACGCCCAGCTGATTTTAAAATGTTTTTGTAGATATGGGGTCTCATTATGTTGCCCGGGCTGGTCTCAAACTCCTGCACTCAAGTGATCCTCCCACCTTGGCCTCCCAAAGTGTTGGGATTACAGGCATAAACCACCACACCCGGTCTCTGCTTTTTTGATGCTGAAATAACAACCTAAGCATCCAAGACTTTTTCCCCACATGGGAGAAGGAGATCTCCTCTCCTCCCCTTCCTTTCCCTTCTCTCCCTTCCCCTTCCCTCCCTTCTCCTCTCCTTCCTCCTTTTAGGTGGCCTCAGTGTTAAGAGGACATTTCTCTGAGATGGGATAAAGTTTAGCCATTTGGTTCTCATCTGTTCTCCCAAATGCACTTGGTTGCTCTCCTATCCTCACACCCTGTGAAGTGTGATAAAATTGCAAGATTCAGGTTTGGGGGACTAGGGCAAAGAAAAATGCCCCATAAATCTTCATTCTTGGCTATGAGGTCTAGGCCAGCTTACCAGACAGCTCACATTTCCATTTTAGGCACAACTTAAATTTAGGCTTCCCATAAGTTTTGGTTTGTTTTGCTTTCATTATCATTCATTTTAAAGTATTTTGTAATTTCTTCTTGGACCTATTGTTTATTTAGGAATGTGTCATTTAATTTCTGCACATGTTAATTTATCACACTTGTCTTATTGATTTTGATTTTGTGTCATTGTGGTCAGAAGTCATGCTTTATATAACTTCAAATCTTTTAAATGTATTAAGGCATGTTCTATAATCTAGAATAAGTATATCCTAGAGAACAGTCCATATTCAATTGAGAAGAGTATCGATTGTGCTGTTGTTGGTTGGAGCATTTTATAGATACTTGTTAAATCTAGCTAGTCTACAGTGTTGTTACAAGCCCAACAATACATTGTTATAATTATTACTTAATACGATTTTATGTCTTTTAAAGATGAGGAGAAAATAAAGCAAGTATGTATGTATAGAGCTTATATAAAGGTTATACTAACCTTTTATTTTAATTGTATTTTTTTATTTTACATTCATGGGATACATGTGCAAGTTTGTTACATGGATATATTGCATGATGCTGAGGTTTGAGCTTCAAATGATCCCATCGCCTAAGGAGTTGAACATAGTACCTGATAGGTAGTTTTTCAACCCTTTTTAGCCCTCCTCCCTCCCTCCACCCTTTTGGAGTCCCTGTGTCTA